>NC_000008.11:98214222-98839222 GCF_000001405.40 Homo sapiens
GCACAACCTCAGATCACTTAAACCTCTCCCTCTTGGGTTCAAGTGATTCTCTTGCCTCAAACTTCCAAGTAGCTGGGATTATGGGTGCCCGCCACCACGCCCGGCTAATTTTTGTATTTTTAGTAGAGACAGGGTTTTGCCATGTTGGCCATGTTGGTCTTGAACTCCTGACCTCAAGTGATCCACCTGCCTCGGCCTCCCAAAGTGCTGGGATTACAGGCATGAGCCACCGCACCCGGCCCAGGCTATTATTTTTGACGAGATGGTATTCTTGGGCTGAATTTGTAAGTATGAATGTTTACTTATCTAACAGCAGACAGTACCATCACTAATTTTTTTTCTTTTTTTTTTAACCACAGGAGTTAGGGACCTCACTCTTTTGAGGAATGCATTCTACCTACAACGCCCTCTCTAAATCAACTTAAATTTGTTTCCATTCAAGGGTTTGCTTGTGGGTTTGTTTTTTTCTCTAATCCTTTGTGGGCATGGGAAACAGCAGGCCCTTATCTTCCTCATTTAAAAACCTTTTCATCTAATATGGAAGATGAACTCATCCCTTTGTCTTTTCTTCTCCGGGTAAATTAAACCAATTATTTTAACTGTTTCTTATGGGACTTATTTGCCAGACCTTTGATTTAATTGAGTAGTGCTACAAAAGCTATTAAACTCGTATCTCTTTGCCTTCCCTAAAACAGCCATCAAAACATTGGGTGTCCTAATTTCTGTCCATTTCACCAATTGTTAACAGAAATATCCCTCTGGGCCCAGTCTCCCCTCAACCACAGGCTTCCATTTCTCGCATGAGACAATTATAGACAATTCACAGCAGCGTTTGGGCCGCTGTATTTGTTGCTGGAGAAAAGAAAGCTCTTCCTGTGTTAACACACAGAGCCTATTAGGTAAATCGATTCTCATGCTGATTATTAATTTTTGCAGGTATTTGTTATCAGTTCTAGAAACCATGTATGACTTTTTTCATGTGTGGTTAAATTCCATCTCTGTGGCTTCAGATAAATAAAACATGAGTTCCCATTATTCACAGAATAACTATAGTTGCCCTGGTTCTGCCTTGTGGCAAGAAGTCACACTGCTCCTAGGAATAAAATATTAAAGCAGTATGAATTAATGCTGATTTTTTTCTAGCAACATTTTTTTTCTCCCTGAAAACATCAATATTAAAGAAGCTGTGATTTCTGCAGGTTGCGGTGCCCCAGGAAGAGGCTGCATTATTGATTGCAATCTCACAGGTTAGAAAAAGTAACAGCACTTACTGTGTGTCCCCCATACCCTGTGCACTGTTCTCAGAGCTTCCTGTTACGAATTCGTTGAATCCTCACAACCATTTAGGAGGTAGGTGCTATCATCAGTTTACAGGTGAGGAAACTGAGGCTCAGAGGGGCTAAATGATGCAGCTCTGATAGGCAGCATAATGGCCCCCATAGAAGTCCCTGGTCTAATCTCTAGAAGCTGTGATGATGTTACTTTACACAGCAAAGGGGTTTTGTATTAGGTTGGTGGGTTGGTGCAATTCTTCCTTCCTTTGTTTTCTGTACCAGATCAGAGGAAAAGTTCCTGGGCCTTGTACCTGTGAGGTTTCCATTTGATGTAAGCCTTGAAGGAAAAATAGACAAAAGTAGACAATTTTCAATTTGTCAAAGTAGTTACTTTCAGTGGGAAAAACCTCAATTAATTTTGCATCAACCTAATACAAAGAGCACTGGCAGCTGAAGGGGTGTGTGGCAAAAGAGATAGACAAAATTTTAGCACTGGATGCCCCACTGCCAGTACCAATATCTGAGCCCGATTTGACCTCATCTTCCCTCACTAAGTTCTCAAATGCATAGCCTATGGCCATAGCATATGGCTTCTCTGTCTAAAACAAATGAGCTCTGCAAAGGTTCTCTCTAAGGCCATGTTTGGACAAAGATCTGATCCTTGGTAGTCAGTTTATTAATTCTGCAGAGAGGCATTGAGTGAGGTGTATTGGCCTGTGCACCCCAGAAGTGAACAAACTGGTTTTGAATTCTGGCTTTATCACTTAGTACTTACGTGACCTTAAACAAGTTCCTGGGCCTTCTCCAGCCTCAACTTCCCCATCTATCAGATGCAGAGGATAACAGTGGCCCATGTATACGGCCAGTATGCAGGTAAAGAACAGAATGTAGTCTGAGCTAGACATAGGGCTCAGCCACTCTGCTACCGAAGAAGTGGACCCTTGTGTGGACACACAAGTGCTATTTGCATTCAGACAATAAAGCAAATAACATCATGCCATAGATATTGATGTCCTATAAAAACATACAGTTTTCTCCCTTAGGTTTCTAATACCTGATGGTGGGTTTTGTTGCAGCTTTGCCAGAAAGGCTGACTTAATAATCCGGTTTAGGGTACAGAATGACACCAAATGACAGGCTTGGCCCCAGCATCTGCTGATTTAATTTTTTTGTCTGAGAGAAAATGAGCAATGTGCAGATTATTTTGTGAAGGATTTTATGTTCACAAAAGAGGTTCCATTTGAATAATCTTTTGGAAAATCTGGGTGAGCAAAATAGCCATGACCAAGCCTGCCAAAGAACATGAAGTAATTGAGAATCAGGGCTGCATTTTCTAACATGGTTTTTGCAGAACACGTTTGCTCATAGGTATTACTCAACAAAAGGTCCTTCCAAGAAAAGGGCCTCATGGTCAAATAAGCCTGGGCATGTAGGATTAACAAAATCAAATCTTTCTCATTCTTACAGGACTTATAGCTTTTAACATGCTAACAGAGATGATGAATTTCTCAGACAGGCCATGTTATGCAGAATCTTTCTCACCTAGTTTGACCTTGAAAACTCCACTCCTCTTTGCATTTTGGCAAGGATGGGGATTGCCCATCTGCAGCAGACAGGCTGGGAAAGGCTGTTTTAGTGAGTGCACTTTATTCTTCTCTGGCTGGTATACACTGGGCTTCTCAAATCTTCCTTCCTTTCTTTTCTGTACCAGATCAGAGGAAAAGCTCCTGAGCCTTGTCTCTGTGAGGCTTCCATTTAATGTAAATCTTGAAGGAAAAACAGACATCTGTCTGGGGCACGCAAACACACAAGACAAGGGGTTGATGTGAGCCAGTGGGTGCCGCACTATTATGATTCCTTTTGTGAGAAATATAAAATGTATTCAGGCTTATACATATTTTAGAAGTTATTTGATCAGTCCCGAAAGCCAATTCAGGTGCTCTTATTTATACTTGGTATAATACATAGAGTTAGATGAATGATATGTCAAAGAATAGTCTTAATTACTGTAATTATTATCTTTGCAGCCAGGGCTTGCAGAAAAGCACAGAATTTGCCACATCTGAGGATTAAATATTACTTAGATGTTTAACAGATTCAAACCAAATTTCAGCTCACAATCTTAGTATAAAATTCATCACTTCTAGAGTCTTTAGAGATGCAATTATATAACGAATTAGATTACAAATGAATATAATATAGATCTATTCTCCTTAGAGTCTAATGCCAACAGTATTATTCAAAAGTGACTTTATTAAAGGTTTATTTTATGCTATGTTATAAATACCTGAAATTATTTACATTTTTCTCTGTGGCATTTACTTTCAAATATACTTTCTTTATCTTAATATGATTTTTCAGATATATGGGTTTCTCCCAGAACTGTAAAATTCCTGCTACGGGAATTCCTTTCTCTAAATTTGGTGTCTAACCACCACTTAATGGATACGTGAATAAATGAACGAATAAATTTATTTTAAGAGTTGATTTTGGAAAAATGGCAAACTGCAATTAATCTCAGTACTTTTTGTGGAAATACACAGCTTAATAAAAAGTAGTTTGGATCTCTTCAAATGTTTTCTCTGGTGTTAAAGCAATACAAGATAGATCATCATTAAACAATGCTGTTTATTCCAGGAAGTAAGTCTTGATGCATCTTTAATATACAAAGGATTTAACTCACGCCATTAATTTTCTCGTTTCAGGCTATGTGACCCTTTTCTTAACTAGATGAAGAATTTATTTTGCCTGCAGGCAAAGAGTAATAATTTGTTGGTAAGGCTTCAAGTCTGGACTATCATGAAATTTTCTGTAAAGTATAAAAAACAGAACTAAATCACAGAGATTAGAACTCCTTCTAGTGCTTATCACGGACTGATGAAAGCTGTGATAATTAAAGAACTGAGTGTGGCATAAAAGTAGGAAGATAAATGGGGCAGAGGGGTTGGCACAAAGTATGACAGACCCGAGACAGGCAATCTGAGTTGGGAAGCCCAATCTTAAAGCCTGAAGGAGGGCAGTGGTGAGGGGAAGAGCTAGGAAGTGACAGCACTAGGGTAGAAATAAGGCCTATGAAAATGAATTTCAGGACCATAACATATGAGGATCAGGGATTTAAATAGGCAGGGCACTATGACTGATGGCCTGAGTGATACATTGAGCAACCAATACAAGTTCATATCCTGAAGAAGTGCAGGGTCTTCTGGAATAAGACAGGCAGGTAAATAGATAAAGAGGTCCAATCTGAGCCATGCCCATGAGGGTGAGTTTTCAGGGGTCATAAGGAGATGGGGTTGTGGGTCAAAGGAGGTAGGGGAGGCAGACAGGTACAACAGCACTGCGTTATGTGGCTGGAGGGGGCTCACTGGTCAGGTTTGTTTATTAGGAGGAGCTTGTACCAGTGTTGATGACGAACAGCAGGGGGAGGCAGCCTTATTAAGAGGCTGCTGACACAGTCCAAACAAGAGATGGTGGAAGCCTGAATTAATGCAACAGGAATGGGAATGTGAAAAGGGGGTCAAGTTCAAGAGACTTTACATTTCCAACAGGATCAGGGGTAGGAGTGAGGAATGAGGGTGAAGGAGAAGTCATGTGTAGTTTAGGTTTCCAGTATGGGAGGCTGACATGGAAGAGAAGAGAGAGTTTGGGGGAGAAGATAGTTTGGTTTTTGATATGTTACATTTAAGGAGACTGTGGGACATCCAGGGTTGAGTAATAAGTGGACAGATAAGAATATAGATCTGGAGCTCAGGAGGGGCCTGGGAAGGAGAGGTAGATCTGGATTAGGAAGTATTTCAAAAGGATGCTGGTGGATGGGCAACGGGATTCTTTTAGAAGACGTTGGAAGAGTGTGCAGCATCAATAGAAGCAAGGCAGAGGAAGAGGAAGTGCTCAAGAGCCTGGCATGGATTAGTCAGAGAGGAAGAAGAGAGACAGGGAAAACATTTGGAGGAAGCAAGGAGGACAGAGGTTCCAGAAGATGATGGGCCAGGGAGTAAATGCTGCATAAGGTTCAAGAAGAATCAGGACCAAAAAAAGCAATTCCTTTGGCAATTCATGGAGAGGAATTTACTTCCCCAGACTTCTCCTACACCCTCATTCGTCACTCCTAGCCCCCTTCCTGTTGGGAATGTAAATACTCTAGAACTTGGTCCTTTTCTACGTTCCCATTCCTGTTGCATTAATTCAGGCTTCCATCATCTCTTGCTTGGACTGTGTCTGCAACCTCTTAACAAGGCTGCCTCCCCTGCTGTTCATCATCAACACTGTGTGTACAAGCTCCTCCTAATAAACAAATCTGACCGGTGAGCCCCCTCCAGCCACATAACGCAGTGCTGTTCTATCTGTCTGCTGTTCCCTCTGCTAGCAAAGTCCCCTACCTCCTTTGACCCACAGCCCCATCCACAGATTGGAATGAGTGAAGAGTTAGTGGGAGCTAAGGAAGTGGACAGGGCCAGCAAGAGTAGACTATTTGAAGACATTCTTGGTATAAATGGCAGGAGGGATATTGGACAGTTTATTAAAGGGGTGTGTAGTGTATGAGAATTTTTTTTTTTTTAAACAGAGAAACCTAAGTATCTTTGTAGGGCAAGAGAAAGGAGTAGAAAAGGAAACAAAGGAAATGAAAGTAAAAAGATCTGTAAGTATTTGTGTTCTAGTGGTCAGAATACATATCAGAAATGGCAGGATATATAGAATTCTTGTCATATACACTAGGAACTGCTTCGGTCCTGTACTTAGAGCAAAATTTCCTCAGTAGACATGTCCCTGTAAATGCCAATGTCACACTTTTCAATACTAGGCATATAAAGTAGGATCATACTATTTTACCTGTTTTAATGGCAGAAGGCTAGACCAGTTAGCTTTTGAGGTCATTTCTAATTCTAAAAATGTATAATTCTGTGTGCTTTGATTTTTTTTTTTTTTTGTCTTGAGACAGGGTCTCACTCTGTCACCCAGGTTGGAGTGCAGAGCTGCAATCATGGCTCACTGCAACCTTGACCTCCTGGGCTCAAGATCCTCTCATCTCAACCTCCCAAGTAGCTGGGACTGCAGGTGCATACTACCATGCCTGGCTAATTTTTAAAATTATTTGTAGAGTTGAGGTCTTGTCATGTTGCCAGACTGGTCTCAAACTCCTGGGCTCGAGTGATTCTCCCACCTTGGCTTCCTGAAGTGTTGGGTAACAGATGTACACCACCACGCCCAGCCTAATTCTTTTTATTGATTTCGCAACCATTTTACCAAACCGGTTCTTGGTTAAATACTCAGCTAGACTATCCCAGTTTTCTTCTTATTACATACCCTTCCTAGAATATTATTATTCCCCAATCTATACTAACTTCTGTGACAAGTTGCATATCAGCCCTTTCGATCATATTCTTTTTTATACCTACAGATACAGCCACTGCATCAAACAAGATAACCCAGTTAACACCTTCATATTTCTCTATCAGTTCATTTCATTCTTTTTTTTTTTTTTTTTTTTTTTTTTTTTTGACAGAGTTTTGCTCTTGTCGCCCAGACTGGAGTGCAATGGCACAATCTTGGCTCACGGTAGCCTCTGCCTCCCAGGTCCAAGTGATTCTCCTGCCTCAGCCTCCCGAGTAGCTGGGTTTACAGGTGTGTACTTCCACTCCTGGGTAATTTTTGTATTTTTAGTAGAGATGGGGTTTCACCATGTTGGCCAGGCTGGTTTCAAACTCCTGACCTCAAGTGATCTGCCCGCCTCGGCCTCCCAAAGTGCTGGGATTACGGGCGTGAGCCACCGTGCCCAGCCTCATTTCATTCTTTTATACATCTCTTGGCATTGTAGTACTGTTGTGTGCTCCTCTCAGACAGTCTGTGGCATTGATCTCAACAAGGACTTTTTTTTTTTTAAATAAATCACTTTAATCTTTTTCACTGGAAAAATTAAAGATATAAAATTTAAAATATAATAAAAGAGAAAAATATACAAGTTTAAATATTTTATATTGGTTGAGAGTACTAATGGGAATGTAAATGAATATGGAAATTTTGGAGGGCAGTTTGTCTACATCTATCAAGTTTTTTTTTAAATTATTATACTTTAAGTTCTGGGATACATGTGCAGAATGTACGGTTTTGTTACATAGGTATACATGTGCCATGGTGATTTGCTGTACCCATCAACCTGTCACCTACATTAGGTATTTCTCCTAATGCTATCCCTCATGCTTATCATCACTGGTCATTAGAGAAATGCAAATCAAAACCACAGTGAGATACCATCTCACGCCAGTTAGAATGGCGATCATTAAAAAGTCAGGAAACAACAAATGCTGGAGAGGATGTGGAGAAACAGGAACACTGTTGGTGGGACTGTAAATTAGTTCAACCGTTGTGGAAGACAGTGTGGCGATTCCTCAAGGATCTAGAACTAGAAATACCATTTGACCCAGCAATCCCATTACTGGGTATATACCCAAAGGATTATAAATCATTCTACTATAAAGACACATGCACACATATGTTTATTGTGGCACTGTTCACAATAGCAAAGACTTGCAACCAACCCAAATGTCCATCAATGATAGATTGGATAAAGAAAATGTGACACATATACACCATGGAATACTATGTAGCCATAAAAAACAAGGACTTTTTTGAAGAGAACCCCTATTTTGAATAAAGTTCAGTAAAGCAAAATGTGTCCTTAAGTATTGTCCCTTCAACTTGGAAGGGAATGTTTTTTTTTACTCTGAGTTTTCCTAAAACGTATTGCTCTGGAACTTGGTGGATTAATCGATGTGGAAATTGTTCCAGGAAAGGATACCTGGGAAACTAAGGGTGCTTCTGTTGCTGACTTAGTATTTCAAATACTTTGGTATTGGTCAAATACATTTAGATTTTAATAAGATATTAGTGCTGGTAAGGAAAAGATTATGTTCTCTAATATCTGCATGGACCAGTGGTCTGGATAATATAGCTTCGGGGATAGTAAAATATTTAGAATTCTTACCACATAGATCAGGAACTGCCATCCGACAAGGTAATACTGTACTGTTCTTGCTGAGATTGCCTGAGTTATATTTGGAGCAAAGTTCACCAGTAAATATGTTCCTGCAAATGCCAGTGTCGTACCTTTAAATAAAATTGAAAAGAAAAACCAAATTGAAACCAACCTAAAGCTTTTGTTGACGCAGACATTGCCTAGAGACTGCGCATTACTTGTAAAAGTGCCAATCGCCCCTCCCTATTATACTCCGTTTCATCAAACCATCCTTGGATAGCGTCCACATTCACCTGAAGGCATTCCCTTTACAGGGGAATAGAGCCGGGGGATGGATGGGGCAGGACATAACTTCCAATTTTTCTCTATTGTTCTGGATAAATCCCAGCATCTTCAGGGAAACTTTCCCCAATGATTGGGAAGATCAGAATATGTGCTACGAAGACGTGAAAACACCTCCTAAGCTGACTGTTTCCTCATGGGTCAGTAAGTGCATGATGGATCTAGACACATCTAGATCTGTCTAGATCTAGATGGCACAGTCCAGAGGACAGGGAAACTATCACATGATGATCTGCTCTACACTCACTCATCCCTGGGGCTTTGAAGCACCCTCAGGTGATTTAACAATTTGAAACTCTGGTAATGAGCATCTTTAATCACTGCCATTTATTGGAGTCCTTTTAGCAGCAATAACAAAGGTGAATGCTGGCTTTGCTGTAGGAGTTTAATTAATCCAATCTAGAATATAGAATTCCAAGGTTAGCTTAGTAAAATAAAAATAAAATAGAAACCACGTCATAAACCTATGTAAGGAATGTGTTACTGCCATCGGTTTAGCATTACTTAAAATGACAGAAGGGAATGTGTGTAGGGGGATTAGGGGGTGAGGCCACCGAAGAAGGGGTGAAGGGAGGACTTGCCCTTCCAAATAATGTTGAAAACTGCTTATTTATATATAATTAGCAGTCTGACAAAACACCCGTGGTATAAGTAGCATATTTTAGATAGCACACTTGAAAACTTGCTTCAACTTGCTTCATCTCTGAGGTCAGTGCTATTGTGGATATAATTTATAACCAACATAGACTCCAACCTGAAACAATTTGGTTTGTCTACAAAGTCTCACAATTTGAAGGCACCAATTTCCTGTTCCTCGTATGCAAATGACTTAGGTTTTGAACTCTAGTTCCTGGAAGCAAATAGCATTTGATTTTTCGCAAAAGCTAGACAACAGCAATTCAGGGTATCGTAGAGCTACAAGGAAGTTTCCTATAATGTAACAATTTATTCTGTAATACTTTGTGAAGACAGATTATATGCAATCTTTAAAGCTATTTCTAATAAGAACTTTAAAAACAAAAAACAGTATACATTATTAAACACTAAATAATAAAACCATATATAAGAACTTGGGAGAAAATTATTGGTCAGTCATGTCTTTTCTTTGGAAAAAAAATTACATAATTGTTCAAAAGCAGGTTCCTAGGAGGAAGAGATTCAAAAAAACTGTTTTCTAAACTTGGTATGGTAAAGTAGCATATTACTTTAAGATGTCTCAGATACTTCTGTTTCTTTTGTGAAATCCAGATTTCTAGTTATATCAAGCTCCTCTGCCAGACACTCCTTTATCTCTTCTAATAGTATCCAGTTCTATTAACTTTCTTGTATTTAAATTTAGTTTTGAGTAGGCAACACATGTATATGGCAAAATTCCAACAATACACAAGGGTGATTGGTGGAAAGTTAAATCTCATGTACCCTGGTGGTTCACTAGTTTTCCTCCTCAAAGTTAACTACTACCACTAGTTCCTGGGGTTTTCTTTTCAGAGATGTTTTATGCATGTGTGTATAAGTGTACATGAGGTTTTTTTTTACATAAATAATTGCGTATTATATAAACTTTTTTGTATCTTGCTTTTTTTTTCTGCTTAGAACATTTTGGAGGACATTTCACATCAGTAAATGCAGGGTGGCTTCATTCTTTTTAAATCTACTGGTATTCTACCTCATGGAGGTAGTACTGTTTACTGAACCAGTTTCCAATATTGTCCCTGTTTCACATCCTGACATATCCCTCCCTACTTCACATCCACGTCTGCATTTGCCTTCCATGACTGTCCCTATCAATGTATATCTTCGTTGCGTTTCTTTCTAAATTTTGTAATTTTTGTGGGTACGTAGGAGGTGTATATATTTACAGGGTATATTTCACTGCATTTCAAAACTTTTTAAAAATATAAAATGGCTGATGCTTTTGCAGTTATACTTTCTTTCTTTCTTTTCTTTTTTTTTTTTTTTTTTGTTGAAACAGAGTCTTGCTCTGTCACCCAGGCTGGAGTGCAGTGGTGCAAACTCAGCTTACTGCAACCTCCGTCTCCTGGGTTCAAGTGATCCTCCTCTTAGCCTCCCGAGTAGCTGGGACTACAAGCACGTGCCACCACGCCCAGCTAATTTTTGTATTTTTAGTAGAGATAGGGTTTCACCATGGTGGCCAGGGTGGTCTCGAACTCTTGACATCAGGTGATCTGCCCGCCTCTGCCACTCAAAGTTCTGGGATTACAGGAGTGAGCCACCGTGCCCGGCTGCAATTATACTTTCTAAGTCCCTTTCACATATATTATTTCATCTGGGCCTCACATCACTGTGCATCTGCTACGTAACTATGGCAGTTCAGCAGGTCACACATTCTTTCTTCTTAATAATTTTTATTTCAGCTATCTGCAATAATTACAAAGGCAGTTCTGGGTAGCTGCCACCAGTTGCATGCTTGTTTATTTGGTGTCATTTATATTTATGTGATTTACTGTCCCCTTTATGAGTTGTATGCACATTTTTCATAAGTGTTTAGAAGTGTTAGTCATTTGCACTTCCTTAAATAAATTCCTTTTAAACTTATTTATATTCCACCTTTTTCTAAAAGTGGTATGAAACGTCAGTTCCTGCCCCCATTTTTATTTCGGTAAAGCCACATATATTCCTTCTTTTGAAAGACAGATTTCTGACTTAGGAAACTTGTTAGTTTACCTTCTGCTGGCCCATTTGCCGAAAGGAGTAATCTGGACATGTAAGATCCTCTGAAAAATCTGCTGCCAGATGTATCGGAGCTCTTTTGTATGTTATTTGTTTCTTTTCTCTTGCTGCTTTTAGGATTCTTTCTTTATCCTTGACCTTTGGGAATGTGATGATTAAATGCCTCGGGGTAGCTTCTTTGGGTTAAATCTGCTCGGTGTTCTGTACATGAACCTTCTTGTACCTTCTTGTACATGAATATTGATGTCTTTCTCTAGGTTTGAGAAGTTCTCTGTTATTATCTCTTTGTATAAACTTTCTAATCCTATCTCTCCCTCTACCTCCTCTTTAAGGCCAATAACTCTTAGATTTGTTCTTTTGAGGCTATTTCCTAGATCTTGTAAGCGTGTTCCATTCCTTTTTATTCTTTTTTTGTCTCCTCTGACTGTATTTTCAAATAGCCTGTTTTCAAGCTCGCTAATTCTTTCTTCTGCTTGATCATTTCTGCTGTTAAGAGACTCTGATGCATTCTTTGGTATGTCCGTTGCATTTTTCAACTCCAGAATTTCTGCTTGATTCTTTTGAATTATTTCAATTTCTTTGTTAAATTTATTTGATAGTATTCTGAATTCCTTCTCTGGGTTATCTTGCATTTATTTGAGTTTCCTCGAAACAGCTATTTGAATTCTCTGTCTGAAAGGTTACATAACCTTGCCTCTCCAGGATTGGCCCCTGGTGACTTATTTAGTTTGTTTGGTGAGGTCATGTTTTCCTGGATGGTCTTGATGCTTGTGAATGTTTGTTAGTGTCTGGGCATTGAGGAGTTAGATATTTATTGTAGTCTTTGCAGTCAGGGCTTGTTTGTACCCATCCTTCTTTGGAAGGCTTTCTGGGTATTTTAGGGAACTTGGGTATTGTGATCTAAGTTTTTGGTCACTGTGGCCATATCTACATGAGGGGGCATTCCAAGCCCAGTAATGCTGTAGTTCTTGCAGATTTGTAGAGGTACTATGTTGGTGGTCTTGGATAAGATCTGGGTAAATTACCTGGATTAACAGGCAGAGACTCTTGTTCTCTTCTCTTACTTTCTCCCAAACAAACAGTCTCTCTCTCTCTCCCTCTCTTTCTCTCTCTCTCTCTCTGTCCTGAATTGCCTGGAGTTGGGGGCGAGGGGTGGAATGACACAAGCACCCCTGTGGCCACTCCCACTGGGACTGCACTGGGTCAGACCTGAAGCCAGCACAGCACTGGGTCTTGCTCAAGGCCTGCTGTATCCACTGCCTGGCTACTGCCTATGTTCGCTCAAGGCCCTAGGGCTCTATAATCAGCAGGTGGCAAAGCCCAGCCAGGTTTGTGTCCTTCCCTTCAGGGTGACAAGTTCCCCTAGGCCCTGGGTGGGTCCAGAGATGCTGTCCAGGAGCCAGGCCTGGAGTCAGAAACCTTAGAAATTTACCTGGTGTTCTATTCTACTGCAGCTAGGCTGACACCAAAACCACAAGACAAAGTCTTTTCTACTTGTCCCTCCCCTTTCCCCAGGCAGAGGAGTCTTTCCTCTGTCCACCACCCTCAGGTACTGCCAGGGTACTGCCAATGGTGACATAAGGCCCAAAGGCTCTTCAGTCAGCTGATGGTGAATGCTGCCAGACCTGCCACTACCCTTCAGGGAAGTGGGCTCTCCTGTGGTTCAAGGGAAGTCTAGAAATGCCATCTAAGAGTCAAGACCTGGAATCAGGGACCCCAAGAGCCCTCTTGGTCCTCTACCCCACTGTGGCCAAGCTGGTACCTAAGCTGCAAGACAAAATCATTTTTATTCATTCATCTCCTTTTCTTAAGCAAAAGGAGTCCCTCCCCATAGCCACCACAGCTGTGAATATGCTGGGCCACACCTGAAGCTAATACATCTCTGAGTCTCACCCAAGGCTCACAGTGAGTACTGTGGCTATCACTGCTGATTATTCAGGGCCCAAATACTCTTTAGTCAGCAGGTGATGAATCCTGCCAGGACTAGGTCCTTCCCTTCAAGGCAGTGGCTTCCTTTCTGGCCCAGGGTGTGTCGAGAAATGTCATCCAGGAGCTACGGCCTGGAATGGGGGCCTCAGGACTCTGCCTGATGCCCTATCCTATTGTGGCTGAACTGGTATCCAAGTTGCAAGACAAAGTCCTCTTTATTCTCTCTCCTCTCCTCAAGTGGAAGAAAGGAGGCTCTCCCAGAGCTGTGAGCTGAGCTGCCAGGGGCTGCGGGAGGAGTGGCGCCTGCACTCCCTTGGCTGCCCAGCTGGTGTCTCACTGGATCGCATGCCCCTCAAGTCCACTGGTTCTAATCCTAGCACAGCACCAGGACTTGCCTAGGAGTTGCAGTTCTTGTGGCCTAGAGAGCCTTTCAAGTTTATTTAGGACCCCAGAGCCTTTTAGCCCACAGTGGCAAGGCTTGCCAAAACTCAAGTTCACACCTCTGGGGTGGTTGATTCCTCTCTGGATAGAGCTGGTCTAAATGCTCCCTCTGTGGCCATCAGCTGAGCTCTACGCAGTGTTGGCAGCATTGAGTTCCAGTGCAAAGTAATCACTGTGTTCTTCTTCCCCGAGTGTGCAGATTCTCTGTGCCACTTGGCCACTGCTGGAGGATGTGGGAGAGGTGGTGTTGGTGATTCAAGACCATCCTTCCTACCCTCTTCAGTGCCTCTTTCAGCAATATGAAGTTAACACCAGGTACTGTGATTGCTCACCTGAGTTTTGGTTCTTACGAAGGTGCTTTTTTCGTGTGTAGATACTTGTAAAATTTGCTGTTCCTGCAGGGAGGACGATTGGTAGAGGCTTCTATTCAGCCATCTTGCTCCACTTCCTTTGTCTGGTCATGTAAGATCCAAAAGGAAGCAGGGTATCACCAACATGTTCCTCACCCGCAGAAATGTTGCATTTTAGGTCAAGACTTGGATCCCAGAAGCCTAATCCAAGCTGAAACTGCCCCCACAAAATTCACATTTCACTGCTACTTGCTACCTGGAAGAGCTTAGGCAAGTTATTTACTCCAGACTCAGTTTCCTCATCTCTAGGTACAAATTAAGTCATCATACTTGCAAAATCCCAGGAACTTGGCTCTGCAAGAGGCCAGTCTAAGGAACTGAATACGCTTCAAAGCCCACTGAGAGGCCTGACATGACAGCAGACCCTGGATAGATCCATCTCAGGATGCATCTCAGGATGCAGGCATGCCATGAGCCAATGGCCATCTGAGTTAAGCTTAAAAATTAGTCCAAAATGATGTCTCTGATATTATAGCCTTGGGATGATCAGGGACCATCACTGGGGCTGTCTCTAAGGAGATAACCCAATTTGAGAATGGAAGGAATGAGCAGGAAGGAATTGGCTGGTGTTTTCTCAATGCCTAGCAAAGACTTCTTGCTGTTGGTTTTCAAAGAAAACAGAAAGAAGGACATGGCATAACTAACAGACATAACAAAGAAGAAGGAAAAAATAGCAGTCCTATGTTTTCTACCCACAGCTAGCCTCAGGAAACTAGTGCATAGAGTCCCAAGATCTGGATATTGGAGGGGACATAAAACAGCAGCCAGACAGCTGTGGGTAAGCTGCAGGTAAGAGCCAATGTCTAGATGCTAGATGCTACCCACAATGCAGGCATGGGATGCCATCCTCTGCCCTCATGCCCAAACCTGCAGCAAATACATTTTTCTTATCAAATACAACTCAAGTCACTTAGAAGTCTATAATCGTCTGGTGGGAATCTTAGATTTAGCTTGATAACATACACAAATATTAAATAAAACCTCTCCCTATAAACTTGATATTTGTGCAAAACAGGTAAACAAGCAAATCCCTGCCTTTTATAATAGATACACTAGTTATACTGGGAGAGCATATGCCAAGGGAATGTAATCTTTTTTGTTTTAAATAGAGACACAGTCTCACTCTGTTACCCATGCTGGAGTACAGTGATGCAATCATAGCTCACTGCAGCCTCGAATTCCTGGGCTCAAGTGATCATTTCATCTTGGCCTCCTGAGTAGCTGGAACTACAGGCATGTGCCACCATGACTGGCTAATTTTTTAATTTTAATTTTTGCAGAGATAGGGTCTGGCCATGTTGTCCAGGCTGGTCTCGAACTCCTGGTCTCAAGTGAACCTCCCACCTTGGCCTCCTAAAGTGCTGGAATTACACGTGTGAGCCACTATGCCCAGCCAGTAATAATTTTTTTTAGGTGATGTTCTTAAAATTATTGAGTTCATAGACATGTATGGCTGACATGAGAGTTATGGTATAATCAGCATCATGCTAAAATATGATGATGATGATAACTATAATAGTAATAACTAATACTTGTAAGCACAGTTCTAAATGCTTTATACATAACTAATTTAATCCTCACAACAAATCTGTGAAAATGATTTACCTTTGTGTTATTACACTGTTACAACTTATACTACACATAAGTTGTATAGTATATGACATATAATATGAATACTATATAATGTATACTCTTAAATTGTTACCATCTACATTTGACAAGTGAGGAAATTGAGTCACAGAAGAAATAACTATTTTGCCTGGGATTTTCCAGCTAAGAAGAGGAGAGCTGGGATTGGAACCTAGGTAGTCTATTTTCTTAACTATTATACTCCACAGCCTCTTATTTGCATTAAGAATTAAGGCCACTGAATGGACAGCTCAGGGCTGTCACTTACATTGAAGTCTATATGAGTGGCACCCCTAGGAGCTGTACAGAGCACAACCTGAGGCCATATGCAGCATCCTCATTGGGGATTAAAGGAATTGATTGTTCCTGGCAGAGGACCCTGGGGTCCTTGACTGGTCTCAGGTTATTTTTCTGGCCTTAAGTTTCCTTTAGAAGAGCACTCTCAAACTGGTGTTCCCTGGAACCAGTTTCATAAGGTAGATGCTCCACCAAAAAAGGTCCCAAGGCAAATGTATTTGAGCAGAGGTGAATTAAACAAACTTAAATCATTCTTTTACTGGAAAACCTCTCAGATCTTAATGTATTAGCATTCACCGTAAATCTCCCAGAGGAGGATATGGTTGTCATATTTTCTAAACATATTTGACCATTTATATTGCACTGAAGTAGTGTTTTGGGGGAATATTTTATATTTTGGGAAATACTTGATATTTAACTGGATCCAGCTGTGAGCATGCCTTTGTTTCAGGAGGCTACTAGTGTTCTGTTGCAAAAGTCTTCTATAGATACCTGTGCACCAAAAATGTGGTTGGAGGAAAACACCCCAGAATCAGGCTCCTTCTGAAGCTTCTGTTCACTGGCACCTCTAGCTGGCGGAGTCTTGGAATCTAAGATGTACTTGCACAGTTCTTCCACAACAGATATCCTGGTTCCCAAGCTCCTCTCTCCCCGAACTAAAACCTGAAATCTTGAATTTTGTCCACTTTCCAGCTGGATGCTACTTAATATTAAGTGCCCATTTGCTGACTTCTGGAATCTGGTCTGACCTGACTTTTAGGAGCCTTAAGAGTTTTTCTTATTCAGCTAACCTGACTGCAAGGGAAAGATTGCAGTCTAATCCCTTTGGTCCCTGCAGTATGTCTCCTGGTCAGTGGGAGTCCAGTTATTGCTTTTGTGGGATAACAGGAGTCAAAGAATAAATTGGACTCCTTAACATCAAACCATTTGGAAATACCCTCCCATAAGTACAGTCTCTCTGGATTCCTCAGGCTTATGGTAGCTAAACCTTGAAGGACCCCTCGATTGAAAATCTCGGTGATGTGGTGAATTCAAGTAGTCCCAGACCTTCCATCAGAAAGGCTCCCATTCTTGAGGCAGCTCTGCAACCAAAACAGTCAATCTGTCTTCTCAACCAGAGACGATGGGTCATTTAGCTAGTTTAGTATTCTAGACATTGGCTCCAAATCAAGCTGACTTCTGGTGTGGGAAATGGAAGGAAGGAAATGGCCCTCCTCTCACTGTTAATCTCCTGATATTCTATTTAGGCTGACTGTCATTTTTATTTCCATGATGACTCTATCTGGTCTTAAATCAACTAGGATCTCACAGATGATTTGGTGCTTTTGACGTCTAAGGGAGAAGAGAGAAGAAAATCCTATAGTTTTCAGCCGATTGAAGGGGAGAGAAATCTGGTGCTTTTTTTAAAAGGAAAAATAATCATTAAAATAATTAATCCACTAAGAATCAGAGCACAGTCCAAACCTGTCATTGACTTAATAACCTGGCGATTGCTTTCAGAAATAGCTTTGTGAGGTCATTTTTTGAGACTAGTGATGAAAAGCTTCACAGTCACAGAGTAACATTTGGCAATAAATTAGTTCAGCTTGTTTCCACATGGTCCCCAAATCTTCATTTGTTCCATCATGAAAAACAAACTTTCATTTGCTTGAAACAGAGAAAAATAAATGATTTTCCTTTACACATTTTGATAATTTAATTTTTAGCATGTTCATATGTTAATCTTTAAAAAACACCACTAACTACTCTTTTACCTGTTTGGTTTTAGTCCCTATAAAGAAAAAGATGCTTTTTTTAAAAAATTTTTTTTTTGCTTTTAGCAGAAAAAGCTACATTTTCTCAAGGCAACGGCAACAAAGGCTCAAAGAAAATACATGTGACTTGACACATTTCTGAGAGGGGTTGGGGAAAAGTCCTTCCTTGGACTTCCGTAAATATGAAGTGGGTTACGACATCTCAGATGATGATAATCTTAGGATATCGCTTGTTGGAGGCAAGGGTATAGAATAGGTGACTAAATCCTTTTTTCATTCCTATGACACTAGATTAAAGGCAAAAATTGGTCACGTTTAATTATGGTATGAAATAAATGTGACTTATGAGTTACATAGCCCTACTCCAAAAGCATTAAGTTAGGTAGGAAAAAACAAAACAGAGCACCCAATCAGAGTTGTGGGAAAGGTTACCTGGATTACTAAAGTTTGCAAAAATGTCCTAATCTAGGTTTCCTCTGATTAATTAGTAGAGTACAGTGGTGGGTGATGGTGGTAGTAGTAATAATGACAATTATAGCTAATATTATTGAACACATTATGTGATAGGCCCTGTTGTTAGAGTTTTACATATATGAACTCATTTAATCCTGTGAGGTATGTAATATTATCTTTATTTTAAAGATTAGAAAATTGAGGCTTAAAAAGCTTATTTATATAACTTGGCAAAGGTTACATAAGGTTCCTCTAGTGTGGTCTTAAAAAAGAAAAAAGAGAAAGGTTATATAAGGTTACATAATAGCTTTCTGATACTAAAGACTCACCCTAACTTTATACTATAGCTATACCAGATTGCCATTGTTAGGATACTGGTCTATCATGTACTAGTTATATGACCTTGGGCAGGTTACTTAACCTTGCTAAGTATCAGATTTTGCTTCTGTAAATGGATTGTTCCTACATTCAAATGAGATAATCCATGCAAAACACTTAACATAGTATTTGGCAAGAGTAAATGTTTAATAAATTTTAGCTGCTTTTAAAAGATGAGGAATTAGGCCAGGCGTGATAGCTCATGCCTGTAATCCCAGCACTTTGGGAGGCAGAGGTGCGTGGATCATGAGCTCAGGAGTTAGAGACAAGCCTAGACAACATGGTGAAGCCCTGTCTCTACTAAAAATACAAAATTTAGCTGGGCGTGGTGGTGTATGCCTGTAATCCCAGCTACTTGGGAGGCTGAGGCAGGAGAATTGCTTGAACCTAGGAGGTGGAGGTTGCAGTAAGCTGAGATCACGCTACTACACTCCAGCCTGGGCAACAGAGCGAGACTCCATCTCAAAAGAAAAAAAAAAGGTGAGGAATTAGCAAAGAATCCCAAATAATTAATTAAAGGTTTTATTTTGTTAGTTTGTTTTCTTGATGTGTGTGTGTGTGTGTGTGTGTGTGTTTTCCCCTTCCTTATATTACATTTTTAGTATTACCTCTTAGGAATCTCTCAGCAATGAAGGTGGTAATAGAAATTATGACAATTATATTGACAAAGCTTTGCATTTTTCAAAGTACTTATATATGAATTATTTAATGTGATCTTCAAAACTGTCTTACATATTTGCCAGAAAAGTGAGGCTTAGAGAAGTTAAGTAATACTAGGTTGCCTGTACAGTTGATAGCCAGAGTTGAATCCAGATCTGAAGTTATGAGAGTCAGTTTAATTTAGATCCTTTAATGTTGAGAGCTGGTTTATTGCTTCTGGTAATGTTTGGTTGATCATGCGTTCTCTAAGTATATAAGAAAATAAACTGTACATATTGATATTTTTATTTCTTCCTTTCCATAGTTACAACTTGCATTTATTTTTTCCTAAGCCTTACAGGCAGGAGTTAAGGTGCAGTATGAAATAGAAACTTACTTTACCTTTTTGTATCTTTGTTAACATTTCTCATGTTATTCCCTCTGTATGTCCTCCTCCAAATTATTGGATGTAGCCTATGCCTGTCCTGCCCAGCTGTCAGAACCAATTCAAATGTTATCTCTGCTGTAAAAAATTCTCTCTGATCTTCTCAGCTAGAGAAGAACAGGGCTAAACCTGAGTAATTTTGTCCCCTAGGAGACATTTTGGAATGTTTGGAGACATTTTTGGTTGTCATAACTGAGTGGGAGGATGTTAGAGGGATCTAGTGGGTAAAGGTCAGGAGGGATCTTAATGATCCTACAGTGCACAGGGCAGCCCCTACAATGAAGAATGATCTGGCCCCAAATGTCAGCAATGCTGATTCAGAAACACTTCTAAACTAAAGACTCATGACATTATGGCACATATTCTTTTCTACTTAAAAAAAAACCTATTTATGAATCTATATTATCATGGACTATAAATTACTTGTGGACGGGGATTCTGTCTTAATTATCATTTATCACTAATATTCAAGATTAGTCAGCAAATCCCCCTTTATATCTGCATTCTCTCATTAAATACCTTAGATTAATTTGATCATTATTCAATCATTAACTATAAAAGGTGACAGATATTAGATAAAAGGATTTAAAGTTCCCTTAAGCCACTTGATAAATGAGAAAAATAATATATCTAGGACCTAATTTTTAGTTTATAAAACTCAGGTATTGGTCATTTTTTTTTCTTTTTGAGATAGAGTCTCACTCCGGTTGCCCAGGCTGGAGTGCAGTGGTGCAATCTTGGTTCACTGCAGCCTCGTCCTCCCAGGCTCAGGTGATCCTCCTGCCTCAGCCTCCCAAGTAGCTGGGACTACAAGTGCATGACACCACACCTGTCTATTTTTTTTTTTTTTTTTCAGTAGAGACGGGGTTTTGCCATGTTGCCCAAGCTGATCTCGAACTCCTGGACTCAAGCAATCCGTCTGCCTCGGCCTCCCAAAGTGCTGGGATTATAGGCATCAGCCACTGCATCAGGCATTGGCCATTCTTATTTCTGAGTCCATACAACTTCCCCAAATGATTCTACAAACCACAATATATAAAAAAGGGTATAGAAAAATAATATGTTGGAAGAGATAGAATCCACATATGAATGCATTTAGAAAAACATTTAACCATGAAAAATTTGACAATGTTGACTAAAAACTCTGCTAGCAGAATCAAACCAAGGAGGAAAAGAAAAAGAGAAAACATTTTCAAGACATTACGCTCAAGGGAAACATGATCAGGGAAAACAAATGCTCAACATACCAACACTGGTGTCACATTTAGAGCTCAAAATTTAAAAAAAATATGATCTCCCTGGAAGAGGGTAGGCATTGTTTTATTTAAAGTGCCTAAAGTATTTGTATTCATTATCATATGTCAGCAGCAATTCAAACAGGATTTTGTCACGGAAGAAAATATGAATCTCTATAATTCTTCTCACCAATGATATGTCCAACAATAGCTGGAAAATTCAACACATAAGTGATGGCTTTGCCATACATCAGAAATGTTTCTTACAGCCAGGAAGGCTACTGTCATTTTCCATTAATAACTGTATTTCCAAATAAAATATTTAAGAACAATGGTCTGTGCTACTTTTGGGAAAAGCCAAATATAAATTTTAGTTAGTTGATGCATCAAATTTTTTGTGGTTTTCATTTTTATGCAATACTTTCGTGTAACAATATAACAAATATATCCTTTGGAGTGTAATAGTCTATTAGGTAACACAAATGTTTTCATTGAATTTTATGGTGTTCATAAAATTTTATAACATTAATATTATTATAATAACCCATTATAAAATATACAAATGCTCAACATACCAACACTAGTGTCACATTTAGAGCTCAAATTTTAAAAAAAATATGATCTCCCTGGAAGAAGGGAGGCATTGTTTTATTTAAAGTGCCTAAAGTATTTGTATTTTAATGGGTTATTATAATAATAAAATGTTATGAAATTATAATTCAGTGCATTATAATAATATAATCCCTTCAACTGATTAATATTATAATCATAAATTATTTTATAATAATTCATTATAATTATTAATTAATAATTTGCTATAGCAAAAATTGATCACATTTAGCAGTAGTCACAATAGAAATGGAAGTATTTTATGCGAGAAGAGATGGCAGCTCCAAGACAGAATAATGCCTGACTCTAAATGAGACTTACACCCATTTCAGTAATTTGTTTCCAGTTTTTATCGCACATATTTTTTATGGATTGTATTATTTATTTCCTGATCAAGCAATGCTACAATTACATGAATTAAATAATTACTTACCGAGTAAGTCTGAGGCTCTCAAATTGTCTTTCAGAAATGTAACAGAAATAATGGCACTACCTATAAAGAAAATGGCCATTAGTGGTAGTTCCAATATAAAAGTGTCTATTACGCAATGCCATTTGAAAGAAGTTAAGCAATTTGTGCCTTATGCCTGATGAGCTATGTCCTGATCAGAGACATTCAGCAGTTGTGGCTATAAAAAGGCCTTTCTTCCCCCTGTGGCTGAGGATATGTGGAAATTGGTGTGGTTTACAATGGATGTGGCTGAGACAGTGTCTTGTATATAGTGAAGGCTTAATAAAAGTTTGCTAAAAGACAGAACAAATGAAAGAAAGAAGAAAGGCAGAAAGAGCAGGAAGGGGCAGAAAGAGCAGGAAGGATTAGAAAGACAGGAAGAGATAGGAAGGAAAGAAAGAAGGATGGGGCAGGGTGCAGTGGATCATGCCTGTAAGCCTCAGCACTTTGGGAGGAGTTTGAGTCCAGGAGTTCAAGATAAGCCTGGGCAACATAGTGAAACACCCCATCTCTACTTAAAATACAAAAAATTAGTGGGGCATGGTGGCGTGGGCCTGTAGTCCCAGCTACTGGGGAGGCTGAGGTGGGTGGATTTCTTGAGCCTGGGAGGTTGAGGCTGCAGTGAGCCATGATGGCACCACTGCACTGAAGCCTCAGTGACAGAAGGAGATCCTGTCTCAAAAAAAAAAAAAAAAAAAAAAAAGGACAGGAAGAACTTTAAATATGTGCTAAACTGAAACTCATGATTTCCCAGCATCTCCTCCTATAATTCCTGTTCCGACAATTCCTGTATCTACTTAACACCAGAATCCCAGGACTGCTCCTATTTCTCTTCTATTTGACGATCCACATCCAACAGGTCACTGGGTCTAAATCTATAGTCCACTCTATTTTTTTCTTTTTTTTGAGACAGGGTTTTGCGCTGTTGCCCAGGCTGGAGTGCAGTGGCAAGATCATAACTCACTGCAACATTGGACTCCTAGGCTCAAGTGATCCTCTCGAGTAGCTGGGACCACAGGCTCATGCCACCACTCCCAGCTAATTAAAAATTTTTTTATTTTTAGAAATGGGGTCTCACTATGTTGCCCAGGCTGGTGTCAAACTCCTGGGCTCAAGTGATCCTCCTGCCTCGACCTCCCAAAGTATTGGGATTACAGGCGTAATCCACCGCAACCAGCCTTATTTCACTCTTTGTTAGGTCTGTTCCCAACTCTTCATTCCTGTGATCACCAGCCCTATCCCAAGCTCAGGGCAGCTTCTCTGGCTTAGACCTTTAGCTTCCCTCTGACCTCCCATTTCCCCCTTTTCCCCTTTCCCCATACCACCACCAGAGTAATCGCTCTAAAATGCAAATCTAATGTAAATCCACTGCTTTCAAACCCCTAAGTGGCTGGTCTACAGGACAAAGGCCACACTACCAAGCAGAACACTCAAAGAGCTATGATTTTGCTTCTGATGCTTTGGTCACCACATTTGTCTTTATTTGATAATCTGTAGCCCACCTTTACTGAAGTAATTATAATTCCCAGAATCCACCATGCAGTTTCATGCTTAATGGCTTTTACATGTCCAGCTCTGCCCTGTCCTTGTGACCAGCTCTAGACTCAAGTGTCACCTCTGGATTCCCCTGGGCTGAGCTGATCCCGCCACCCTTATGCTCTGATTACCCCTGTGTATAGCTTTTTCACTACACCTAAGATTTATTTGCCTGTCTTCCCCGAAAGACCATCAGTTCCTTTTAATCTGAGATATGTCTTTTTATTCTTCTAAGATCTCCAGTGAGTAGCTGTATCTAGCACATAAAAGGTGTTCAATAAATGCTCATTGAATGAAATGAAAGAGTATGGGATCTCAGCCTTGCAGTTGTTCTCTTTCCCATTAGTGACACTACTGGACTCTCTCCCTCACAGTCGAGCCATCGTCTGCTACTGTCGCCTCAGGTACCAGGGTTAAACTGAACCTCTCTGAGTTGTCCCTGTTATGGGGTCATTTATGAGTATAGGCATGGGAAAATCCAAAATTGCAATAATACAAAAAGATATGCAACATAATATATGCTGTAAATTTTTAACAAAAACTATTTGCTGGTTGTTTTTTAAAAGTAAAAGTACAGGAAAGAAAAGTTATCATAAAATAATATCATCCTGTAAAGAAAATTGCAGTTAATATATTGGTGTTTTTATTTCCCTTCAGTTGAGATCAAACTTTAATATCAAATTTCCTTTCTCAGTTTCCTCAGTTAACACATTACAATTTGCCATGTCATCAAGAATTCTTCATAGACATAATTTTAATGTTGGTATAATAATCCATTAAACAGATGCTGTGGTTAAATTTGAATGTGACTATATCTGATGTTCCGGCAATTTATTGAAAACAAAATAAGTCCACACCAGAAACCCTCATGCAGGATAAGATGAGATGCTATTTGTTTCCTTTTTTTTTTTTTCCTCAACTTAGCTTTTTCTCATTCTGGTTGATCTTTGTCCTTCAAAACTTTTCCCGGGCAGGTTACTTACAGGAATGGAAGTTTCACACAGGGTAAACCAGGCATGGGAAATGCTCATCAAGCATGAGTTTGAGTGTTTTGGTTTTAAAACATTAAAGCAAGGTTTTCTGTAGATAAACTAATGCATGACTACATGGCTCATTAAAGTAAGAAATGAATTTGGGATAGGTATGAAAATGTATGCAAATTTTCTATTTCAGATTTGGGCCAAAATAATCCAGGGAAACTAATTTCCCATGGTAGAGCATGAGAAAAGGTATTAAAAACCCAAACCCCTACCCCACCCTCCAATCACAGACTTCCTGTGTAATTAAGTAAGGGATGTTTCTAAGTAGGAGATCGATTAGCAATAAAAAATAGGTGAAGTGTCGCTACATTAACACATACCAAATGTGTTCCATTATAACAATCCTTGAAATGACCATTTCACTACAAAGGATTATAGTAAGAAGGGAAACATTGCTTACATGGAATGAGATTTTAAGGTAGTAGGAGACATAGACATAATCTACTCCAGGTTCTAAACTTGATAATTGGGAAACTGAGGTCCAAAGAATTTGTTTGTCTATTCACTGATCCATCCATTTAAAACACATTTACATTACAGCAGAGCTGGAACTGGCACTCATATTTCCTTGCTCTCAGTCCAGAGCTCTTTCTAGTACACTATACCCCATTGGCTCCCTTGAAGTAAGAAAACACATCATTTTACTTTTCTTGTTGCCAAGCCACAGTTTCATAAATACATTTACTTTCAGAAGGAGGAGGGGAAAATGTTATATGGGAAATAATTTCATTGCTAAAAGCAAAAAGGACATGATTGGTAACAAAAAACTGGAAATACACTACTTGTATCAAATTATATCAATTGCTATAAAACAATTGTCAGAATTTTATGAAACATAAATATGCTACTCTTCCTTTCTGAAAGATAATAGAAGTCTAATGCACTTCCACATTCAGCCAATAACATTTTTTTTCTGTTTTAAGAGAACTTGAGATTTTCTACAAAATTTTTAGGTAATAGAACAAGATTTTTTAGTTTTATTTATCTAGTAAAAAAGGCAAGAAAAAAAGAACATTCTATTAAGATACATTTACTTTCAACTCATTTATCTTGCAAATATGCTAAAATGAGAGCTGTGTTGAGCAAAAAGGCAGTATTGAGCAACAGCTAATAACATGACTTTTAAGTAGAGTAGTAAGTTTTTCAAATGAGAAAAACATCAACTGAAGTACTCGCATATATGTTTGTAATCAGAGGTCTATCAAGCCCAACACTTTCTAGTAGTTGCTATCACAATAACCATTGCCTAATGAACACCTAGAAAAGGGGAAAATCTATTATACTTTTATTCCTATAGTAAAATTTAATATTCAAAAATAGAGCATTTCAAGATTAATCACTTAAAAAGCATGAAAACAGAACATAGCTGTAAATTAAACAGATTTGTACTAGTTATGGTTAAACCATAGTTATGACTGGATATTTACTTAAGCAATCAATTGTGTGTGCATTTTTGGTTTGAGACATGTTTGGGCAGAGACTCATGAATGCTTTTCCCTCTGGCCTTCAGAAGACATGGGTCTACAGAGAGTGCTCACTGATCTTGGTGCTTTATTAAAAAGTACTTTTTCGGGGGGAAAACTGATGTAAGAAAAACCAGGAGGAAGATGCGGGCTCTCCTAAGCACACAATAGTCCTAGCAGGTTAATAAAATGTCCCTGATTCAGACAGGCTATTTTCCCAGCCAAAACTCACTGCCCATAGTCAGTGAACTGTTATTCTTGGCAGGTGGGAGATGTTTATAAAATGTGACACCCTTTCCCTACAAGCTTATCAACAAGTGATGGCGGATGGTGCTATTGCAGTTGTCCAAGAATCATCTTATCTTGGGGCCGATATATAAAATTTGCAAAAGGGGGTCTAATCTGAGCTGAGCTGTCTTCAACTCATCCTTACTTCATTATTCTTAAGGAAATGCTCTATTGGAAAGGCTAAGGCTGATTCATGAGAATGCTGGGAAGTGGAATATGGACAGGAATTAGCCAAAAAGACTTCCCTACTGTTTTGTTACTCAGAGTATCACTCCAGGTGAAAAGAAGAAGGTCCTGTTGAAGAACTGAAGTTCCACAATACTGCCTAGGTGGCCGGGTGCTGGGCTGGGATGTAGAACACCTGGGTTTGAGTGTTGCTCTGTCCAGAACCAGCTATGGAATACAGCACATGTTAATGTGCTAGCCTCGGTTTTATTTCCTCAACCGGTGAAAGGAAGCATTTGTGCTTCGTCCTTTCTAATTATTCTCCTTGCTTGAACATTTTATAAACAGTCAGTTACTAGAAATAAGAGTGCATGGACCAAGCTGTGCTCTTTGTGTTTTCCCAGGTGGCTTTGAGTATTTGAGGGAAAAGAGACAGGTCCTCTGTTTTCCAAGATGACCATGGTCTATGTGTGTAGGTATAACTGAAAACACCAAGATTTGACACAGCATCTTTTCTTTACTTAGTGATGATATGTGTGAACAGGTATACCCACCAGTATGCAAAGAAACACAACCCCAGTGGATAAATGAATGGGCAGGAACACAAGTAATTCACAAATGAGAGTAGACAAACACATAGGGGAAAGTCCAAATCATCAGTAATAAAGATAATTTAGAGCCAGGTGCTCTTTTCCACACACAATTTTAAGGCTGAGTATTGACAAGGAAGAAGTAAAGTCAGTACTCCCTCACATTGCTAGAGTCACTGTAAATTGATAGAAACTTTCTGATGAGTGATTTTACAATATCTATCAACAGCATCAAACTATTCAAATTCTTTGATCTAGTAATTCTGCATCTGTGAATCTGTCCTAAGGAAGTATTCCAAAAAATGGAGAGTCTCAAGCCTAAAGGTGTCAATTGCAAAATTATTTTTCATAGTGGAAAACTGGAATAATCTAAACGTTCAGCAATAATCAGTAGGATATTATGCAGCTAATAGAAATTATTATGGAAAATTACACAGTGATATTGATAATTTTATGCTATTATGTTAAAAGAGGTAGAAAATTATATTTATACAATGATTATGACAGGAAAATATATACACAATAAGGGTGGCTGAATATTCTACTTATTAAGGGTTTGACACGGAATAATTAACTCTTTCTATCCTCCCAGCGTCTCAATGAGATAGTTGGCATTGTTATACTCATTTTACAGATAAAAAAGCTGAGGCTTGGAGAGTTTAAGTTTATTACACAATGTCACACAGTGACTCCAGAGTCAGGCACTAGACCACAATGGCCATAATGCATTAAAAAAATAAAAGGTGAAAGGTAATACACCATTGGTATACCATGGCATAAAAGGCAAAAGGTAATGTACCATTGATAATATACCAATTTATCAAATTTCCTTTAGACAGGAGGAATAAGTTTTAGCGATCTATTGCACAGCATGGTGACCCAGTTAATAGTGATACATATTTCAAAATTCCTAAAAGAGTAGATTTTAAAAGTTCTTTTTTTTGAGACAGGGTCTCCTTCTGTTGCCCAGGCTGGAGTGCAGTGGCGCAACCATGGCTCGCTGCAGCCTCGACCTCCTGAGCTCACGTGATTCTCCCACCTCAGCCTCCCAAGGAGCTGGGACTATAGGCAATACCGTGTACTAACACGCCTGGCTAGTTTTTAATTTTTTTTGTAGAGACAGAGTCTCACTATGTTGCCCAGGCTGGTCTCAAACGTCTGGGCTCAATTGATTCTCCTACTTTGGCCTTCCAAAGTGCTGAGATTACAGGCAAAAGCCACTGCACCTGACAGATTTTTTTTTTTTTTTTTTTAACTGAGCCTGGCTCTGTCACCCAGGCTGGAGTGCATTGGCGATCTCAGCTCACTGCAACTTCCGCTTCCCAAGTTCGAGCGATTCTCCTGCCTCAGCCTCCTGAGTAGCTGGGGCTATAGGAGCCCACCACTATGCCCGGCTAATTTTTGTATTTTTAGTAGAGATGGGGTTTCACTATATTGGCCAGGCTGGTTCTGAGCTCCTAACCTCGTGATCCTCCCGCCTTGGCCTCGCAAAGTGCTACGATTACAGGAGTGAGCCACCGCGCCCGGTCTTTTGCCTAAATATTCTTAACCATACAAAATGAGAAGTCGATGAGATGATAAATATGTTAATTAGCCTGATGTAATGTTTCTACAGCATATACAACTATCAAAACACCACACTGTACCCCATAAACATATAAAATTATTTGTCAATTAAAACAATTTTAAAAATTACGTTAAAAAATAAAAAAGTTTGAAAAGATAACATGCCAAAACCCAAAGGGTGGTTCTGTAGGAGTCATGGGGGGCAGGGCGGAGGAAGACAGCAGGAATACTATCCGTAAGGGGAAAGGACATGCAACCTTCTTCTAGTGTTTCCTTTGGTGCAAAATGGTACCTCCATGGAGCAGTCTAATGTATTTAATGCATCCAGTTGCCCTTGAAGCTCTAATGCTTTAAGGAAGCTTTTCAGCAGCAATTGCTGACTGCTGACTGTGGACTGACTCCTATTGGTGAGTCATCTGTTCTTTTGGCTATTAAGTGTCACTTAGGTTGGCAATCAAAATGGAGATTCATTCTGTTCAAGGTTCATATAAGGAAACGTACACTTGGGCATTTGGATTCAGGTTTCCAGATGAAAATAGATAAAATAAAGGCCAAGCAAGTTTCCGGTGCCTTCCAAACCATGTCTAGATGTGGGGGAGGGTGCCAGTCCCAGAGCGAGGTATGTGTCTTGGTGTTGCACTTCCTCGTGCTTCTTGATTTACTTAGGAATCAACCCTCGGTTTGTCCTTCATTCACCTACTCTCTGAAATCCTTCAGTTTATGAGACTCGGTCCAAGACCAGCTCTTATTATGGAAGAGTTACTTGATGCTCTAAGACCCATAGCAGGCCACAAGAGAGAAAAAGCCAACCATAAATTAACCTGATGCATGAGTATTCAGAAAAGTTGTAAATACTTGGTTTGAGGTTCTTCTGTAATAGCTACTAATGTGGATTAATAAATGAGAAGTTAAATACCAAACTTCTCTGTTAGCAATTTAGCTCAAGGGCAGATTTTTACATGTCAGTTTAGAACCCTGTGTCTGTAGAATAAGAGGTAAATGGGCATTCCCTTTTTAAATTTGTAACATTAAGACATATGTGTGCTTTTTATTTAAACTCTCTTCCCCTAAAATAATAATTTTTTATTAAAAGCTTAATGGTACATAAGACTGTTCAATAACTGTTTCAATGTTTAGGGCATGGCTATTTTTAAATGATTTTGTTCACTTTGTTTATTTCTTTCTGTTTTTTTACCCTTTATTATCACTTCTTAAAGACAAATCTAACCCAAAGCTAAGACAATCAATTAATTATACTTTACTCAAATGTGATTATGGATATGATATTCTTATCTGATTCAGCTGGGGAGAAAAAGAACGTTTGGTTGACAGGTTACAAACTCAAATGCCTATAAGGGCCTTTAAGGTAATCCTCTGAAGACAAAAAAAAAAATGAGGGGGGTGTGGGCCACAGTAATAAGGGGGATGGGCTCTGGTGATGAAGACGGTGGGCGTGGTGATGAGAGGTAGTCTGTAATGATGAGAGGGTGGGCGTGGTGATGAGGGGTAGTCTGTAATGATGAGAGGGTGGGCGTGGTGATGAGGGGTAGTCTGTAATGATGAGAGGGTGGGCGTGGTGATGAGGGGTAGTCTGCAATGATGAGGGGGTGGGCTGTGGTGATGAGGGAGGTGGGCGTGGTGATGGGGGTAGGCTGTAATGATGAGGGGGTGGGTTGTGGTGATGAGCGGGTAGGCTGTGATAAGGGGGGTGGGCTGTGATGATGAGAGGGTGGGCTGTGATAAGGGGGGTGCGCTGTGGTGATGAGAGGGTGGGCTGTGGTGATGAGAGGGTGGGCTGTGGTGATGGGGGGTGCTGGCCATGGTGGTGATGGGCTGTGGGGCCGTGGTGAACTATTCAAGATCAGTGAAAGGTGGCACTCCTGAATCAGCCTTAGCCAACTGCAAATCCAGCACTACCAAATCTGATTCTTTAGCCAAAAATTCAGTTTTGTGTGTGTGTTATTGTCCAATTTTTACCCATAGGAAATTAATTAGTATTCTTTAAAAGCATTGTTTGAGCCAGTCAAAACATGGGCCAACTCTGGTCTACAGGCAAGTTTGTGAACTCTAATCTAGCCTACAAATAAAAATTTCATCCATTTTCATTTCCTGGACATTCAATTTATTACGTCATCTCTGTGATATAAAGAGAAACCAGGATGTATATTTATAATATAGGAAAATAGAAGATAAAACACTAAGGAAAACTCTCTCTTATAAAAAGAAAATAACCCATGACATGAAAAGAACATATTTACATAATAATGCTACAAACAGAACCTCACATGTAAATATCTGGCTTGTGGTTTCTGACCACTTATAATGGCAACTTTATTGTACTGCTAAAAAGCAAACCACAAAAACACTTTCATGTCAGTCACAATCAAGCTCCAAACACGTGGACACATCGAGCGTGCTCACAGGCAGAGTCAACTCTAACCATATTGAGGTACTACTACATAATTATCATTCCCCGTTAGTTGTAGAACTTTAGGAAAAGAGGTATGTCAATTACAATGTATTCCATGGAATTAAGATTTGAATATCTGAGGATATGTCAGTTTGAAAAATGTCATCTTACAGCGGGAAAAGTTCTACCATTCATGTTGGCAGGAAGAAAAGTGTCAAGTAATTCATGTTGATTAAAAAAATTGCTATTGTCATTTACTGAAGATAATGAAGGAACTGTCGTTCAGAGACAATTTGCATAATTTCAAACGAGGGAACTTACCTGGATTAAGAACAATAATCCTTTCTTTTCTACATTTTTCTTGGCATGCGTTAATGTTAAAGTTGAAAAGACTCCAAAAAAGTAAAAATACTACCACTGACTAGATTAATTCTGTATTACAAATTTAATTGTGTGTTACTTCATCATTAGCAGCCTCTCTAGAAATACTCTTGTGGCATGCTGAAAAAATAAGGATGAGTGGAAAAGATGTTTCAAATAAAGTGTTTAGGCTTCAGGAATGCTTTCTGCTGAGCGTATATGAGCAGACATAGATTAAAACTTCAGAGTTTTATTTCACACATTTTATGTAGGCTGGTTTTTGGACAAACACGCAAAAGCAGATAACTCATCAAGCCACTAAGAAAAGTGATATTTTCTGCATATCTTGAACATTAAAATCAATGTCCGTGTGAAGTGACACTATCACAGGCATCCTGTGAGGTTTTAGAGTTCCGGTGACCTCATCCAGGCTGGCAGTAAGCACACTGCTCTAAGGGACAAAGAGAATTCGCAGCATCTAGGTTTGTGTAACGCTATGGGTCACTTGCTCATTGGTCTGTTTATGTTTCCTTTCATTTGTTTCTAATAAAAATCTTGGAGACCAAAGTTTCTCCTTGACATGATTTCTTTGGAATTCCAAAAGGCCTCACCAGGGCTTCCTGGCTCTGCTATGACCGTCGTCTAATGGATTACAGATACATTTCAGTTTAGGGCTTCATAACAGCACCACAGAAATACACAAAACAACATGTATTCCACATCATGAATTTTGATTTGAGCAAAAACCAGCATATTGGGGAAAATTAGAGATGGAAAAGACTTATCAGACTCATGCTCTCCTCATTTTCTCAGTGCAGTTAGCTCTCCAACCTTAATACAAATTAGCTCAGTAACAGTGCGACTACTTCTCTTAGGAACTTACTCTAGGGCCATGGAGATCTTGCTGCTATTATCTTTCCATACAAAATTTCAAGTGCTTAATTTAATATAATTTATCCCAAAGTCAATCTATTTATTACTCATTTCCATTCAGCTGGGCAATGATTGAGGTAATGAGTTTATGTGTCTCATACCTGGCATAGTGGATGCTCATTCAATATTAGTTTCTTACCTTTATTACTTTGTCTAAAGTATTGCCCGAATTTAACTTGGAAAAAGCTGATATGTTCTTGCACTCTTTTCTAGTTACTTTTAATCAATATACTCAGAGGCATAGAACTGAAAAATGTCACCGGTGCTTCCATCACATTCTATTTCTCCCTCCCTCCCTCCTTGCCCCTGCAATGATCTCCCTCCATATCCCACTTCCTTGCCGCCCCATAGACAAGTTAATTTTATACTGAGAGAAGTCTGCCATGAAGCTATTTAATTCCATGTGGCTTCAATTCTTTGGATTGTTGATAACTTCATTGTTTTTAATCATCTCTAAATGTTTAGGCATAGCATAGATCACAGTCATGGGGATAAACAGAAAAAGGAAAACATTAAATGTAAGCCCACGCTTTGGAGATGCACAAATAACTGAACTCAATCCCCAAAGGACAGGCTTATAGACCTATGAGTGTTCACAAGCATGAATATTCATGAGTCTCTTGCAATGAACTGTTTAACCACCGTGCTTCATTAGGAATTGAAATCTTTTAAGCAAGTATTTATCTCTTCCAACACCCTAGAACGGAACATCCTATCCTTGTTTTGTCAAAATTCAAATTTGAACCAATTCTGCAGGCTGCATTTTGTGATTTCCCCGTGCTGTGCTCTCCCAGGAAGGGCAAATGTCAAGCAACGAGACACACAGTCAGTCACCAGTCCCCTGGGTCTCAGTTAAATGGTGAGGAAGGACATGAAACAGGTCATTGTGCGCATGCTGAGAGGTGCCAAAGGGGAAGTGTAGGGCAGGGTTGCTGTGTGTGGTTGGGCGGGCTGTGTAAGTTTTGCAATGCAGAGAGTCTCCACATCTGAGGTGGCACCACCCGCATCTCACACCTTGTTGATTTGTGTATTTCTCAGCACAATTCTCTGACAGATGGTCCCAGATTGTCCTGCTCTAACAAAATTAATGTATTACAATCATTTGCAGACAGACAGAAATAAAGTATTTTGAGAAAGGGCTCCCTTTTTCTAATTCACAAAACGGCACCACACAGATGAGAGGAGGGCCTGCGTAGGGTGTGAAGAGAGCAGAGAGTAAGTCTGTTTAATTACCTTAGTCTGAAAGCCAGGGAAGGCCTCTTGAGCAAGGGTTTACCTGAGACAAGAAGGATTAGCAGCAGTTTGAAATTTTATTACAAACTCCACAGAATATCTAACCTATTTCTTTGTACTGGATTTCTGGTATATTAATAGTTTCCCAGAAAACGTATCCTCAAATCACAGTTGATCTGAAAGGAATCTGCCATTCGGCCTCTCTGTAGTTAATGAACAAGAGAACACAAGTGCTTTGAAGCCAGAGCAAGAAGATGGAAAACCGTATATACATCTAGCTTGCTAAGCATTTCCTCTGACAAACTCCTGTATTGGTTTTTAAAATGTATTTCGTGTTGGTAGGTTATTTGGAAATTCTTCTATTTTCCACCGTGTTTTGGTAGGGAATATGTGAAGGAGTTGAAGGGTAATTGCTACTTAATTAGATGAAAAATGAGCTGTGAGGATCCTACTTTATTGCTCTCTGTAAATTTAGCCACTGCATAGATGAGAACAATAAAAAGCCTTTCTTGAATTGGTTTCTCCATTTTAGAGAATTTAACCATCAGCCATCTTTGGAGGCATGGAAGTATGCTCCATTATAAAGAATAAGGTATTTTATTTATCTACACGATAATAATTACAAATCATAGTGACAATAGCCAGTGTTGTCATTATGTCAAATACTATCTAACCAATACCAACACTGTCCTTAGATGTTTGAGTTTACTCAGTTCTTCTGCACAATGACCTCTCATATGGGAACTACTTTCATTCCCACTTTACAGGCTAGGGATCTGAGGCATAAATTGGTTTTAATAATTTGCCTAAGGTCACAGAGCTTGCCAATGGCAGAACTGATATTTGAACCCTGGCGGTGTGGCCCTAGAGCTCTTGACCTTTCTGCTGCCCTGGTTTATTTGGACGAGTATTGAACCTAGCCTCTAGGTGAAATTGAAAATCATTAATTAAGCTTTGTGAATTAATGGAAACACTAATCCACATCTAGAATTAACCACACTGCTAGTAAAACTAGCATTTTAGTCAGAATAGATTTTGGACGTATTATTCATTGAGAAAGACTTCCAGTGAGAAAAATAAAGTAAAATTAAAAGATGACACAAGGATACAAAGGTTCTGACTCTCTCAAAAAGCTGGACCCAGGCCTGGGCATCCCTGTGCACTGAGATCTTTCCCCATTGTGCCGTCTTCACAGTGAAGCATAGACGGGTTATTTAGGCTGAGTCTCTAGCACAATGTGACTGCCTGTGAGCTTTGCCTTAAGAATTCCCTAAAGGGTTTTCTGCAGAACTGCTGTCCCTTGAGATACAATCAAGGGAATCTCAGATGTGTTCAGTATGTTTTGGAGACCTGGCGTACTGCATCTGCCCCTCAAAGATTCATAGTGTGCATAGGCCTGTTTTAGGGCCCCAAGAAGCTCTACACTAATGAAACCTGTGTCGCCTTTAAAACCCCAAATTGCAGAATCCTGTTTGATTATGGAATTCTTTGTTTCTTAGAACACCTATGAATCTACCTGTAAAACTAATGTTGGACAAATGCTGCCTGAAGCTGAGCACGTCAGTGAGGAACAGCAGGACACACAGAGAGAGGGAAAGAAAGCACAGAAGAAAGATGCTTCAAGAAAGGAAAACATGGGTAGAGGGCAAGTTGAAATGCCTATATTGCTAACTGTGGTGCTTCTTACAAATGAGTCCTATATATGACTAGTATATGTCAGACATATGTCATATATGACATACATGTCATATATGTCATACGTATATACATGTCAATCATATGACATGTATACTTTAATTGAACACATATTCAATTAATATATTATCTATTAATATGTAACTATATTTAATATATATTAAATGTATAACATAATACAATTTAATATAATTATATTAAATATAATTAATATATTAAATATATATTAAAGATAATCAATATAATTATATTAAATATATTAAACATAATCAATAAAATTATATTTACATTATTTAATACAAATATATTAAATATCATATATTTAATATAATTATATATAATATATAATCGAATATATTACACTCAAAGTATACAAATATATATTATACTCAAAGTACACAAAAGGAGCAGAAATTTTGATTATGTGAGACAAAATAGCAAGTCTGGTATATTAGCAATCATCAGTGTAGTAAAACTAGTCCACATGTTTACCCGCACAGTCTCTCCCTGCTTCTGGAAAGGAAAAATGGAGCGCAATGTGTTGGTGTGAACCAGACTGTCTAAGGAGAGGGAGGAAGATGAAAGACTTAAGGGACTTAACACACTTGGACTTAAGGACTAAAACTATTGTAAGTGTTCTGGATTTTAATAGTCTCTCTCTCTCTCTGTCTCCTACTCTTAGAAAAGCAACAAAAGATAGAAGAAAAATCAGAAAAGAATATGCAATTTCCCAAGCAACACTGCAATAGGTTTTATTTTTTATTAAAATTCAACGGGAGATTTGATTTCTTAAAGCTCCCAATAAATGATACAGAAAAAAAGTTATAACATAGGAAAGTGTGGATTTTCTGCTTCATCTGTAGACACAGACATAAGAGACATCTGGTTTATACTTTCCCTTTTCCTTCAAATTCTCTAGAGTTTCTAGAGTCTTTATAAAGAATCTCAGGGTAGCAGGGGTTTGTTCTAGGGAAAATCCTCCATCACCAGCAGTCCCTCACCCACCCACAAAGCTTTACAATGACTTAAATCCAGCTCAGGACTGCCGTGGGAATACTATTTATGAACATACATTACTGTGTGCAAAGATTGTAAAGTAGGAAATGAGTTGTGTTTGAGGCTGTAAGTTCACATCTTTGAATCACTTCAGATGGACAGAGAGGGAGGTAGCTAAAAATGTTCTGAAGCTGAAACATTAATTGGGGCTAACAGCACACAAAGAAAAATAATCTGTAGCATGAAGAAAAAGCCCATCTGTCAAGGCAGTGGGCTCAGAGTTTTAAGGTGGGTGGACCAGCTCACAGAGGACTTGGGGAGAATAGGACATTCTTTCTGAGTGGAAGATTGGAAAGCTTCAGCTTTCAGGTTTCGATGAGAGCTTGGATCAAGTCTTGCCAAGGTGGGCAGACTCACAGGCAGCTTCACTGAAGGTCTAGGAAGGGTGCCACTGCTGACCCTGAAGTGCTGAAAACTGCCCCATTCTCACTTCAGGCCCCATGAGGTCTGGCTATATCGCATTTCTGTGAAATCTCTGATCTTTACAATATTTCCCCTTTGTTTGAACCACCTGAGGTAGCACCCTTTTTCTTATATCCCACTCCCGCAAAAGGCTTCCCAGGACCAGGACACATGAGATAAATGGAGAATTTCAATACGATATGGTGCACTCACCACCAGCCTTCCCCAGTTATCTATCTAATATGCCTGGACACATTTTTCTCTGGCTATTTCATGGAAACGGCATAAAGTAAGGAAAAAAACTAAAGATCAGCATGACATACACTGTCATTATGGAGAATAAAACAACATTTTCAAGACAGCAGGAGTCTGGAGGGATCCCAAGTTCATCATATAACTAGATCTTTTATCTGTTATTTCCCAGATTTTGAAAACATAAAACGTCTAAAATGTCTATGTACATGTTAGTGGTTTACTAAATAGAAAGTGAGGTTTACCCAATTTGCTTATTCTATTGGAATGTTAAAAACAGTAAATGATTACATAAATTGTGTGCCTCTTCGGAGTAGTAACAGGATGGCTCTTTTAAGTAGGCAATTTCTAGAAAGCAAAGTAAGTGTTTTTTGCTAAATATTCTATTAGACCTCATTAAAGTATTTTAAATAAAATATTTTAAATGATTGAGATAAATGACTTACAAAATAAAATTCTCTTCGAATCTACATCGTTTCAGTTTAAATGATGTTTTCTTTAAGAATATCATATAGTTGTTTAGGAGGAACATTTAAATTGGGATATGTAAACATGTGATATGCTTGATCTAGTTGTTAACAGCTAATGACTATCAATTTGTTTCTCTTTCAATGAAGTTCTAAATTCACGCAAATTTAGAAACATTCTGTTTCCATAGCAGCAGATAAAGAGTAAAACCAAAAAGATTTTATTGATTTTAACAGGGCTTAGAGAATTTGTTCTCCTTTTTAGCAATGATTTTTGCTCATTTTTTTCAGTCTTTCACATCTCATTTTTTCTTTTCTAAATGTATTTAGTAAATTACATAAAATTTCAAAGTAGATATTTGTGACATTACTGTAAAATTACACATTCTTATAGTAATGTAGACTAACCAATATTTAATTCTTAATGTCAAAGAGATACTAAACTATGAAGTCAAGACCAGGCATCAAAGACTCTAACTACAGGCATTATCAGTTTAACATATGAATAAAACATTGCATTACAAATGCTTTTAGGTAACTCATTAATGATTACAAGCACAGTATAACATCTTCTGTCACCGTTAATTTATTAAGACTCAGGCATCAGGCTTTCACACATAGGTGTTAGAGTCACAAAATGCAAGTTTCTTCATGGTTAATGTGACAGCATGACAATGGATCGCTGAAATTAGCAGAATAATTGTTCCATGTTAACGTGATAAGAAACCAGGCAATAGACTTTCTTCTTTGGTGCATTTGTTGTTTCAGTTGTGTGTTTTTCTCCGATTATTCTGCTCTTTAAGTTTCTATTTGTCAAAATACAGAATGGCTTACCTGTAACAGACACACAGCCTAACGGAGCGATCAGAGTAATGGGAGCAAATCCATAGGCTGCAAAGTTCCCCGTCTCTCCCACGGCCATCAGCAGGACACCACCCCACCACAGCACACTCTTGAAGTATGGCCTTGGGTGCTCTTGTTGTGCCAGCTGAAGGTGAGAATATTTCTGAAAGTAAATCAGAAGACAAATAAGAAAACATTCTGAGCTATGAGGGGAATGCCACTTTTTTTCTTTTGTATTCCTTTAATTCTTTTTATAAGAACGCTAATTTATTTTTGTATTTTTTTTTAAGAACGAATACATTTTTGGGGAATTATTGAAAATTATATTAGGTCATTTTCTAGCAAAGATTTGTATAAACAAATATAGTAGTTACCCCCCGATCCACGGATTCATTTTCCGTGGTTTCAATTACCCATGGTCAGAAAATATTAGATGGAAAATTCCAGAAATAAACATTTCATACATTTTAAATTGCATGCTTTTCTGAGTAGCAGGATGAAATCTCTTGCTGTCCTGCTTGGTATGTGAATCCTCCTTTTGTCCAACGTATCCATGCTGCAGATGCTCCCTGTCCCTTGGTCATTCAGTGGCCCTCTCGGTTATCAGATCAGCTGTTGCAGTAGCACAGTGCTTGTGTTCAAGTAACCCTTATTTTACTTACTTGTTCTATTTTATTATTAGTTATTGTTGTTAATCTTTTACTGTGCCTAAGTTATAAATTAAATGTGATCATAGGTATGTATGTATAGGAAAAACATAGTATATACTGAATAGGGTTCAGTATTAGCTCTCGTTTCAGACATCCACTGGGAGTCTTGCAATGCATTCCCTGAGGATAAGAGGGAATTACCATATAACATCCTGGGAGATATTTTGATGCTCAGGTTTATTTTGATTCAAATCGTTTTAAAGACTGCACTAATTTGATTCTATTTAAAAGTGATTCATGAAATGATTTAAAATTTTTTATTTAATTCATGATTTGGTTAAAAATTCATATTTCATTCAGTTTGCAGTTTAGCAAATCAGCGATTTATTCATGTTTCTAATTCATGTTCAGTTATAGTTCCTATTTTGTATTCTACATTCTTTCCTCAAGACCATTAGTCTATAGTGGCATATTTAACAGTATTTTAAAGAAAGGGGAAAAAAACCCTATAATCTGTACTTTCATGAACTGCTTCTAAAAAGTGTCCGAATCCCATCTGGGGTAAAGGCTATGGAAGAAATCAAAGTACTGCAAATCAAACCAGTGCTATTTATCCATTAGACACCGTCGGCCCCTTACCTAGGGTCTACAATACTGTCAGAGACCACTCCATCCTGCAAAATTAATTTCTTTTAAAATCAGAAGAAGAAGAGGAAAAATGAATGCACTCCAGCCTGAATTATATTTGTGTTTATACCAATGAGGTCATAAAATATATATTTTTTATAATTTTTATGGAGAAAAGAGCCACAAAGACAAAAGTGCCCAATGCCCATGAGAGTCATAATGTGTCCCTGGATCAATCTATAGTGTTAGAAAAATAAGCTTTTTTCTTACCTGAATATTTAGAGAAATACTGATCACCAAGTTTCCTAAAATAGCCAGCAAAACTCCAAAAAGGTGAATCTGTAAAAGAAAATGTTTTCCTTAAATAATACTTGTAAGATATTTACTGGAAGAAAAAAGACAAATTTAGGTGTTCATTCATTTGTTCAGTAATTCAGCTTTAGCCTAGCACCCATTTCCCAGGGTAGGTTTGGGATATTAATAGGATTTAATTAGAATTAGTTTTTCACTTTTTTCGAACACTATTTTTAAGAAATCACTTGGTCCTTTATGAATTCTCTAGATATTTTTCTGCCTCATTTACTAAAATAAATAAAATAGTTAAATAGTTATTCGGGTTTTTCCAATCAAGATGCTGCTTCTTACGTATCCTTTCTTTTTATTTTCTTTTCTCTAATATCTTTTGGAGGACTGTGATATGAAAGAAAGATCATCGGACTACAAGGTAAAGGATAAATCTGAGACACAGATTTGCTCTTTTCTAACTGGGTGACCTTTTGAGCAAGTTATTTCACTTCTCTGGCCTAAGTAAAAATGGGATATTGGATAAGATGTTTCCAGAAATCCCTTACTTCTAAGGTTCTATGATCTCCACTGGAGATGGGCTAAATTTTCCTACTACTCCCCTGGTCAAAAACCTAAAATGATTCTCTGCAGTCTACTATATCAAACAATAAACTGCTATACCAGCTCACCACAATTAGTCCTCACCCAGGCCTCTGTCCATGACTTACTTTTAATGTGCTTCCTCTATCTCAGGTATGTGGCACGCGCCATCCTCTAGCCAGATGTGACACTTTCTCATGCCACTGCTCTCCTAGGTCATGCAGGTATGCCTCTCACTCACTCCAACCAAACCTCGCCCTCCTGGCCTGCAGAGGTACATCTCCTTGAGACCTCCTCAGACCACCTTGGCCCACCTTGACTTTCTCAGATTCTAAGTGGTAAGCCTCCCTTATTTACTCTTTTATATTATCATGTTTGCTCAAATTCTCTGAGGGAAAAGAACCAAGTCTTATGCTTCTTTCTATTGGGTCTTCTGCTTCTTTCTATTGGGTCTTCTGCATCATCTACTGCTATATAAAATTGAAGATTTAATAAACACCTGCTTGAAAAAATATATAATCGTGTAACACAAGAACTATAGATGTTAAAAGGTAAGTTCTTACACGTTGCCCAAGATGTTTATCATAGATAGCTCATGTATTATTTAACGATTTCAAAAGATGCATTTGTTGCTCCCATCTAGGTCCAAAAGTATAATATCTGCTATTAGTGTAAATTAGCAATGATACAAAGGATCATCTCCCTCTTATTCTACAGCACATAACTTCTAGCTAGCTTCAAATTCCAAGAAGTTATTTGAATTTCAAATGAGCATTGCAACCACAAAGAACCCTTTTCAGAATGCAAAATGTCTTTGAAGTTTTAGAGCTTTATTATATGTGATTTTTGTAGCAATAAGACACCAAATTCCAGCCTGACTCAAGTATAGCATGAAATTTAGTATTTAGAAATGAAATTTAGTATTTTTTAAATGAAGTAAAAAGTGGAAAACTCATTATATAGTTGATATATAATATCCATATTCTTTAATCAGTTAAGAATTTTCTTTTCCTAATAGAGGCACTTGGTAATAATTTTGATCACTATCCCTCATGGGGAAACAATTGAGGCACAATGCAATGTACTATTTCCATGCTTGCTATTTACATCTAATGTACTTGGCATTAATCAGGAAAATGAAGACTGAGAAAAAAATTTGGCCATGAATGGATATTTATTAACATCTCCCATAATTATAAAAGTACATTGTTGAATAGAAATAACTTACTTTAAAATTCTTTAAGTCATTCACTGAGCAGTTTAAATGGCTTCAGGCTGGGTATTCAAAAATTGGTGGCAGGATTTGGCAATAATTTCTTGGATATGACACCAAAGCATAGGCATTGAAAAAAATAGATAAATTGTACTTCATCAAGATTAAAAACTTATTTTTTTTTTTTGAGACAGAATCTCGCTCTGTCACCCAGGCCAGAGTGCAGTGGCATGACCTCGGCTCACTGCAGTCTCTGCCTCCTAGAGGTAGAGGTTCAAGCGATTCTCGTGCCTCAGCCTCCCCAGTAGCTGGAACCACAGGCGTGCACCACCACACCCAGCAAATTTTTGTATTTTTAGTAGAGACGGCATTTCGCCATGTTGGTCAGGCTGGTCTCGAATTCCTGACTTCAAGTGATCTGCCTGCCTCAGCTCCCAAAGTGCTGGGATTACAGGCATGAGCCACCATGCCTGGCTGAGATTAACAACTTTTTGCATCAACACACACTATCAACAGAGTGAAAGGCAACCCATGGAATGAGAGAAAATATTTGCAAATCATATATCTGGATTGAGATCCAGAATATTTAAAGAATGCCTACAATTCAACAACAAAAACATCCTGATTAAAAAATGGGCAAAGGACTTGAATAGCTGTTTCTCCAAGAAGACACACAAATGGCCAATAAACACATGAAAAGATTCTCAGCATCACTAATCATTAGGAAAATGCAAATCAAAACCACAGTGAGTCACTACTTCACATCCAGTAGGATGGCTATAATTAAAAAAAAAAAGAGAAAAGAAGTGTTAGCAAAGATGGGGAGAAACTGGAACACTTGTGCATTGCTGGTGGGAATGTAAAATGCTGCAGCCACTGTGGAAAATGGCGTGGAGATTCCTCAAAATTAAACACAGGATTACCATATGGTCTAGCAATTCCACTTTTTGGTACATATCCAAAAGAACTCAAAACAGGGATTTGAACAGATATTTGTACACTTATATTCAATAATAGCAGCATTATTCATAATAGCCAAAAGGTGGAAAAAACCTGTGTCCCTCAATGGATGAATGCATAAACAACATAGAGTACATATATATAATGGAATATTATTCAGCCTTAAAAAGGAAGGAAATTTCAATATACACTACAACATGGATGAACCTTATAAACCAAAAATAAAATTCTAAGCCCCTCAACTGACTGGTGGACCCTCCCCTAGGCCAAAGGCATTCCAAAGTTAACCTGAAAAACTAATTTAGGCCATGATGGGAAGTGGGGGTTGGGACATACCTCATTATACCCTCCTTCCTTTAGAATTAGGGCACAGCTGACCAGCATTAACATTAAAACAAAGATCTGAAGACTGACAAAACAGACTTTTTATAGCAATAAGACACCAAATTCCAGCCTGACTCTAGTATAGCATCACATGACAGATAGCAGGCCCTGAAAGGAATCAAAGTATTTTACCCCTATATATTTTTTTCTTTCTTTCTTTTTTTTTTTTTTTTTTTGAGATGGAGTCTCGCTCTGTCACCAGGCTGGAATACAGTGGCATGATCTCAGCGGCTAATTTTTGTATTTTTAGTAGAGACAGGGTTTCACCATGTTGGCCAGGATGGTCTCGATCTCTTGACCTCATGATCTGCCCGCCTTGACCTACCTAAGTGCCGGGATTACGGGTGTGAGCCACCACACCCGGCCTATTTCTTTGACATATTTTGAAATGGCCCTGCAAAGCTGTCTCTTATGGGGAAAATCAATGTTCTGTAGAGAATCTCCATCCTTTTCCAGGTCTTTTCCCTGATCCAGGAGAGAATTTACTAAGACTCAGGCACCTTTTTAGGTCTGATGAGAGCTCTGAAGCCTGCTACCCAGAGGCTTCATCTGCATAATAGAACCATGGTCTCCACAACCCAGATATTCCCCTTCTATTGATTCCAGGTCTTTAGATAATAACTCTTTCAACCAATTGCCAATCAGAAAAGCTTGAATTCACCCATGACCTGGAAGCCCCCACTTCCAGTTGTTCCGCCTTTCTAGACGGAACCAATGCACATCTTATGTGTATTGATTGATGTCTTATATCTCCCTAAAATGTATAAAACCAAACTGTGGCCTGACCACTTGGGCACATGTTCTCATAATCTCCTGGAGCTGTGCCATAGGCCATTGGTCACTCATATTTGGCTCAGAATAAATCTCCTCAAATATTTTACAGAGTTTGACTACTTTTGTCTACAACCTTGAAGACATAATGCTAAGTGAAATCAGCCAATCACAAAAGAACAAATCTTGTGTGATTCCACTTACATGAGGTATCTCAGATAGTCAAATTCATGAAGATAGAAAGTAGAATGGTGGTTGCCAGAGTTGGGGGAGGGAAGAATGGGGAGTTTGTGTTTAATGGGTATAAAGCTGGGATAGATGAAAAAATTCTGGAGGTGGATATGATGACAGCTGTACATCAATGACAATGTGCTTAGTGCCACAGAAGTGTACACTTACAAATGGCAAAATTTTATATTACTTATATTTTATAACAATACAAAATTGGTGGTGAAGTAAGTCAGAGTGTGCTTTGACTTGGAGAAGTAAGGAAAAACTCACCTGCTGCAGAATAGATCCCTGGCCCAGGGTCAACAGTGTTAAAGCCAACTAAATATGGCCTGAGAAGGACTCCGTACTTCTACATTTGAGTCCTTGTGGATGAACTGTAACCCAACTTAGTGGGTAACAAGACTGAAACCCGAACTTAGGAGTATGTGCCTGTAAAAATAGGTGAGTCTTGGCCAATACCAGAAGCCATACTTCAACCAGTCATATGCTTCTGAGTGTTCAAACTGTGTTCAAATAAGGTAAATGACAATCTGTAACCAATTCAGCTATTTCTCTATCTCACCTCTGATTTCTATATGCCACTTCCCTTTTTTTTTTGTCTATAAATTTGTTCTGACCACAAGGCATCCCTGGAGATTCTTTGAATCTGCTGTGATTCTGGGGGCTGCCCGACTCCTGAATCATTCGTTACTTAATTAAGCGCCTTTAAATTCAATTCAGCTGAAGTTTTTCTTTTAACAGTCTGCGTATTAAAAAAAATGGTGGCAGGATTTGGCAATAATTTCTTGGCTATGACACCAAATACACAGGCCACAAAATAAAAAAATACATAATTTTTCATCAAGACAGCATTATGCTGCTGTTCCTTTAAATATTCCTTTTTTTTTTTTTTTTTTTTTTTTGAGACGGAGTTTCGCTCTGTCGCCCAGGCTGGAGTGCAGTGGCGCGATCTCGACTCACTGCAAGCTCCGCCTCCCGGGTTCACGCCATTCTCCTGCCTCAGCCTCCCGTGTAGCTGGGACTACAGGCGCGCGCCACCATGCCCGGCTAATTTTTGTATTTTTAGTAGAGACGGGGTTTCACCGTGTTAGCCAGGATGGTCTCGATCTCCTGACCTCGTGATCCGCCCGTCTCGGCCTCCCAAAGTGCTGGGATTACAGGCGTGAGCCACCGCACCCGGCCTCCTTTAAATATTCTTCTCACAGGTTTATTTTTGCCCAAAGCAGGTATTCCTGGAAAGGTATAAACTATTACATTATTAATATCTTAATGTATCAGACAAGTTATTTGAAAGTAATCAGAGTATGGCAGATTGCAAAAATGGACACAATTCCTTACTCCTCCCTATATCCGTGCCCTTGGCCAGGTAGTCTTGTACCTCCACCTGTTAGGAAAAACAGTCTATTTCCCTATCCCTTGAATTCAGGCTACAAATGCAGCGAAAGTACGCTAGTTCCAAGACTAGGCCTCAAAAAGTATTGCACGCCTCTGGTTATGAAATATTTTGAGAACAAGCCCAGGCTAGCCTGCTGGGTGATGACAGATGGGGACACACACAACCCTGCTGTGCTTGTGTCTATGGCCTTAATCAATAGTCAATGTCCAACCCCAGAGGGGGGCCATCCCTAGAGCACCCAGCCCCCAGCTGACATACCAGCTGGCTGCAGAGGCATGAATGAACCCAGGTGGACTCAGCCAAGTCTGACCCATATCAATGAACCCCCAGCTGACGAATTGATTCCAAAGCACTCATTGATGGTTGTAATTTTAAACCACAAAACTTTAGGATGATTTATTACACAACAAGAAATAATAGACTAAGGTTGACTAAGAAGGTGAGAGAGTGGAGTGCGGATACTGTGGATCACTTACAGTGAGAAGAAGGGGGTACAAAAAAAGGTGAGATATTTTGCTGAGGGTTACCATGGCATAGAGGCAGCAAGCTATTGTAAAAGTCAGACCAAAAGGCGCTGTTCCAAAAGTCAGGAGACCTGTCCCTGACAGGTATTCACTATAAGTGACCCCTGCAAAGCCATTATCTTCTTTGACTCTCAGTTTTCTCAATTGTAAGATGAAAACAATACCAAGATGGCCGAATAGGAACAGCTCCGGTCTACAGCTCCCAGTGTGAGCGACGCAGAAGACGGTGATTTCTGCATTTCCATCTGAGGTACCGGGTTCATCTCACTAGGGAGTGCCAGACAGTGGGCGCAGCTCAGTGGGTGCGCGCACCGTGTGCGAGCCGAAGCAGGGCGAGGCATTGCCTCACTTGGGAAGCGCAAGGGGTCAGGGAGTTCCCTTTCCGAGTCAAAGAAAGGGGTGACGGACGGCACCTGGAAAATCGGGTCACTCCAACCCGAATACTGCGCTTTTCCGACGGGCTTAAAAAACGGCGCACCACGAGATTATATCCTGCACCTGGCTCGGAGGGTCCTACGCCCACGGAGTCTCGCTGATTGCTAGCACAGCAGTCTGAGATCAAACTGCAAGGCGGCAGCGAGGCTGGGGGAGGGGTGCCCGCCATTGCCCAGGCTTGATTAGGTAAACAAAGCAGCCGGGAAGCTCCAACTGGGCGGAGCCCACCACAGCACAAGGATGCCTGCCTGCCTCTGTAGGCTCCACCTCTGGGGGCAGGGCACAGACAAACAAAAAGACAGCAGTAACCTCTGCAGACTTAAATGTCCCTGTCTGACAGCTTTGAAGAGAGCAGTGGTTCTCCCAGCACGCAGCTGGAGATCTGAGAACGGGCAGACTGCCTCCTCAAGTGGGTCCCTGACCCCTGACCCCTGAGCAGCCTAACTGGGAGGCACCCACCAGCAGGGCACACTGACACCTCACACGGCAGGGTATTCCAACAGACCTGCAGCTGAGGGTCCTGTCTGTTAGAAGGAAAACTAACAAACAGAAAGGACATCCACACCAAAAACCCATCTGTACATCACCATCATCAGAGACCAAAAGTAGATAAAACCACAAAGATGGGGAAAAAACAGAACAGAAAAACTGGAAACTCTAAAAAGCAGAGTGCCTCTCCTCCTCCAAAGGAACGCAGTTCCTCACCAGCAACGGAACAAAGCTGGATGGAGAATGACTTTGACGAGCTGAGAGAAGAAGGCTTCAGACGATCAAATTACTCTGAGCTACGGGAGGACATTCAAACCAAAGGCAAAGAAGTTGAAAACTTTGAAAAAAATTTAGAAGAATGTATAACTAGAATAACCAATACAGAGAAGTGCTTAAAGGAGCTGATGGAGCTGAAAAACAAGGCTCGAGAACTACGTGAAGAATGCAGAAGCCTCAGGAGCCGATGCGATCAACTGGAAGAAAGGGTATCAGCAATGGAAGATGAAATGAATGAAATGAAGCGAGAAGGGAAGTTTAGAGAAAAAAGAATAAAAAGAAATGAGCAAAGCCTCCAAGAAATATGGGACTATGTGAAAAGACCAAATCTACGTCTGATTGGTGTACCTGAAAGTGATGGGGAGAATGGAACCAAGTTGGAAAACACTCTGCAGGATATTATCCAGGAGAACTTCCCCAACCTAGCAAGGCAGGCCAACGTTCAGATTCAGGAAATACAGAGAACACCACAAAGATACTCCTCGAGAAGAGCAACTCCAAGAAACATAATTGTCAGATTCACCAAAGTTGAAATGAAGGAAAAAATGTTAAGGGCAGCCAGAGAGAAAGGTCGGGTTACCCTCAAAGGGAAGCCCATCAGACTAACAGCGGATCTCTCGGCAGAAACCCTACAAGCCAGAGGAGAGTGGGGGCCAATATTCAACATTCTTAAAGAAAAGAATTTTCAACCCAGAATTTCATATCCAGCCAAACTAAGCTTCATAAGCGAAGGAGAAATAAAATACTTTACAGACAAGCAAATGCTGAGAGATTTTGTCACCACCAGGCCTGCCCTAAAAGAGCTCCTGAAGGAAGCGCTAAACATGGAAAGGAACAACCGGTACCAGCCGCTGCAAAATCATGCCAAAATGTAAAGACCATCAAGACTAGGAAGAAACTGCATCAACTAACGAGCAAAATAACCAGCTAACATCATAACGACAGGATCAAATTCACACATAACAGTATTAACTTTAAATGTAAATGGACTAAATGCTCCAATTAAAAGACACAGACTGGCAAATTGGATAAAGAGTCAAGACCCATCAGTGTGCTGTATTCAGGAAACCCATCTCACGTGCAGAGACACACATAGGCTCAAAATAAAAGGATGGAGGAAGATCTACCAAGCAAATGGAAAACAAAAAAAGGCAGGGGGTGCAATCCTAGTCTCTGATAAAACAGACATTAAACCAACAAAGATCAAAAGAGACAAAGAAGGCCATTACATAATGGTAAAGGGATCAATTCAACAAGAAGAGCTAACTATCCTAAATATATATGCACCCAATACAGGAGCACCCAGATTCATAAAGCAAGTCCTGAGTGACCTACAAAGAGACTTAGACTCCCACACATTAATAATGGGAGACTTTAACACCCACTGTCAACATTAGACAGATCAACGAGACAGAAAGTCAACAAGGATACCCAGGAATTGAACTCAGCTCTGCACCAAGCAGACCTAATAGACATCTACAGAACTCTCCACCCCAAATCAACAGAATATACATTTTTTTCAGCACCGCACCACACCTGTTCCAAAATTGACCACATACTTGGAAGTAAAGCTCTCCTCAGCAAATGTGAAAGAACAGAAATTATAACAAACTATCTCTCAGACCACAGTGCAATCAAACTAGAACTCAGGATTAAGAATCTCACTCAAAACCGCTCAACTACATGGAAACTGAACAACCTGCTCCTGAATGACTACTGGGTACATAACGAAATGCAGGCAGAAATAAAGATGTTCTTTGAAACCAACGAGAACAAAGACACAACATACCAGAATCTCTGGGACGCATTCAAAGCAGTGTGTAGAGGGAAATTTATAGCACTAAATGCCCACAAGAGAAAGCAGGAAAGATCCAAAATTGACACCCTAACATCACAATTAAAAGAACTAGAAAAGCAAGAGCAAACACATTCAAAAGCTAGCAGAAGGCAAGAAATAACTAAAATCAGAGCAGAACTGAAGGAAATAGAGACACAAAAGACCCTTCAAAAAATTAATGAATCCAGGAGCTGGTTTTTTGAAAGGATCAACAAAATTGATAGACCGCTAGCAAGACTAATAAAGAAAAAAAGAGAGAAGAATCTAATAGATGCAATAAAAAATGATAAAGGGGATATCACCACCGATCCCACAGAAATACAAACTACCATCAGAGAATACTACAAACACCTCTATGCAAATAAACTAGAAAATCTAGAAGAAATTGATAAATTCCTCGACACATACACTCTCCCAAGACTAAACCAGGAAGAAGTTGAATCTCTGAATAGACCAATAACAGGATCTGAAATTGTGGCAATAATCAATAGTTTACCAACCAAAAAGAGTCCAGGACCAGATGGATTCACAGCTGAATTCTACCAGAGGTACAAGGAGGAACTGGTACCATTCCTTCTGAAACTATTCCAATCAATAGAAAAAGAGGGAATCCTCCCTAACTCATTTTATGAGGCCAGCATCATTCTGATACCAAAGCCAGGCAGAGACACAACAAAAAAAAGAGAATTTTAGACCAATATCCTTGATGAACATTGATGCAAAAATCCTCAATAAAATACTGGCAAAATGAATCCAGCAGCACATCAAAAAGCTTATCCACCATGATCAAGTGGGCTTCATCCCTGGGATGCAAGGCTGGTTCAATATACGCAAATCAATAAATGTAATCCAGCATATAAACAGAGCCAAAGACAAAAACCACATGATTATCTCAACAGATGCAGAAAAAGCCTTTGACAAAATTCAACAACCCTTATGCTAAAAACTCTCAATAAATTAGGTATTGATGGGATGTATGTCAAAATAATAAGAGCTATCTATGACAAACCCACAGCCAATATCATACTGAATGGGCAAAAACTGGAAGCATTCCCTTTGAAAACTGGCACAAGACAGGGATGCCCTCTCTCACCACTCCTATTCAACATAGTGTTGGAAGTTCTGGCCAGGGCAATTAGGCAGGAGAAGGAAATAAAGGGTATTCAATTAGGAAAAGAGGAAGTCAAATTGTCCCTGTTTGCAGACGACATGATTGTATATCTAGAAAACCCCATTGTCTCAGCCCAAAATCTCCTTAAGCTGATAAGCAACTTCAGCAAAGTCTCAGGATACAAAATCAATGTACAAAAATCACAAGCATTCTTATACACCAGCAATAGACAAACAGAGAGCCAAATCATGAGTGAACTCCCATTCACAATTGCTTCAAAGAGAATAAAATACCTAGGAATCCAACTTACAAGGGATGTGAAGGACCTCTTCAAGGAGAACTACAAACCCCTGCTCAAGGAAATAAAAGAGGATACAAACAAATGGAAGAACATTCCATGCTCATGGGTAGGAAGAATCAATATCGTGAAAATGGCCATACTGCCCAAGGTAATTTACAGATTCAATGCCATCCCCATCAAGCTACCAATGCCTTTCTTCATAGAATTGGAAAAAACTACTTTAAAGTTCATATGGAACCAAAAAGGAGCCTGCATTGCCAAGTCAATCCTAAGCCAAAAGAACAAAGCTGGAGGCATCACACTACCTGACTTCAAACTATACTACCAGGCTACAGTAACCAAAACAGCATGGTACTGGTACCAAAACAGAGATATAGATCAATGGAACAGAACAGAGCCCTCAGAAATAACGCCACATATCTACAACTATCTGATCTTTGACAAACCTGAGAAAAACAAGCAATGGGGAAAGGATTCCCTATTTAATAAATGGTGCTGGGAAAACTGGCTAGCCATATGTAGAAAGCTGAAACTGGATCCCTTCCTTACACCTTATACAAAAATCAATTCAAGATGGATTAAAGACTTAAACGTTAGACCTAAAACCATAAAAACCCTAGAAGAAAACCTAGGCATTACCATTCAGGACATAGGCATGGGCAAGGACTTCAGGTCTAAAACACCAAAAGCAATGGCAACAAAAGCCAAAATTGACAAATAGGATCTAATTAAACTAAAGAGCTTCTGCACAGCAAAAGAAACTACCATCAGAGTGAACAGGCAACCTACAGAATGGGAGAAAATTTTCGCAACCTACTCATCTGACAAAGGGCTAATATCCAGAATCTACAATGAACTCAAACAAATTTACAAGAAAAAAACAAACAACCCCATCAAAAAGTGGGCGAAGGACATGAACAGACACTTCTCAAAAGAAGACATTTGTGTAGCCAAAAAACACATGAAAAAATGCTCATCATCACTGGCCATCAGAGAAATGCAAATCAAAACCACAATGAGATACCATCTCACACCAGTTAGAATGGCAATCATTAAAAAGTCAGGAAACAACAGGTGCTGGAGAGGATGTAGAGAAATAGGAACACTTTTACACTGTTGGTGGGACTGTAAACTAGTTCAACCATTGTGGAAGTCAGTGTGGCGATTCCTCAGGGATCTAGAACTGGAAATACCATTTGACCCAGCCATCCCATTACTGGGTATATACCCAAAGGACTATAAATCATGCTGCTATAAAGACACATGCACACGTATGTTTATTGCGGCATTATTCACGATAGCAAAGACTTGGAATCAACCCAAATGTCCAACAATGATAGACTGGATTAAGAAAATGTGGCACATATACACCATGGAATACTATGCAGCCATAAAAAATGATGAGTTCATATCCTTTGTAGGGACATGGATGAAATTGGAAAACATCATTCTCAGTAAACTATCGCAAGAACAAAAAACCAAACACCGCATATTCTCACTCATAGGTGGGAATTGAACAATGAGATCACATGGACACAGGAAGGGGAATATCACACTCTGGGGACTGTTGTGGGGTGGGGGGAGGGGGGAGGGATAGCATTGGGAGATATGCCTAATGCTAGATGGCAACTTAGTGGGTGCAGTGCACCAGCATGGCACATGTATACATATGTAACTAACCTGCACAATGTGCACATGTACCCTAAAACTTAAAGTATAATAAAAAAAAAAAGAAAATGAAAAAAAAAAGTTATATTAGGCTGGACGCAGTGGCTCACACCTGTAATCTTAGCACTTTGGGAGGCTGAGATGGGCGGATTGCCTGAGCTCAGGAGTTTGAGGCTAGCCTGGGCAACACAGTGAAACCCTGTCTCTACTAAAATATAAAAAATTAGCCAGGCATAGCAGCGTGCACCTGCAATCCCAGCTACTCGGGAGCCGAGATCATACCACTGCACTCCAGCCTGGGCAACAGAGCAAGACTCTGTCTCCAAAAAAAAAAAAAAAAAGCCATTCAAAGATTGTGAAGGCCATGTCTAAATCCTGTGATCCAACAATGTGCCCAGTAAGAGAATAAATGGACCTCAAGCGGATGGGCTGATCAAAGAGGGCCAGAATTCACTTGAAAATTCTGAAAGGATCAGAAATTCACCATTACACATGCGAGCAAAAACACCAATTTTATTTTGAAATGAAATAAAATCATGTAAATGCTAAAAAAAAAATAAAGAAAGAAAACAATACCATAAGGAGTTTGGAGACCTAAATGAATGAGGTCCGCTTATGAAACTATGATGCAACATGCTAGTAATCCAAAGTGATAGGCTAAGGTGATACTAAGAGGTAATAATAAAGCTTTATTTTGTTTATCTGTATCTAAAATGACAAAGCAATCATATAAATGGTTCCTTTAAAAAAAAAAAACTGCCAACCTGTTGTTTGGCAGACATAGTAAATGAAGGTTTTGCTGTTTCTTTATTCCCCATTTTTTTTGCCTCAGGGTGTATGCACCAACTTTATGATATGTTATTGCAACATTCATTTTGTTTTCAATAATGTCTTCCAAATCCAATGAATATGGAAAATATTTGTAAGATGTAGGTGATATTTTGGTTTTCTTAATAGAGGGATGGTAGAAACTACCAATTATAATTTTTTTAATGCTGTAGAACCAGAAATAAAAATATGTAGCATTTTATTTATTTTTCTCAGAAAACGACTTGACTTACAGATGTAGGTACAACTAGAGGGGATATTCTATTTTCCTTTTTTTTTTTTTTGAAACAGGGTCTCACTTTGTTGCCCAAGGTGGGGTTCAGTGGTATGATGACAGCTCACTGCAGCTTTGACCTTCTGGGTTCAAGCAATCTTCCACCTCATCTTCCCAAGTAGCTGGGACTACAGGTGTGCTACCACACCCACCTAATTTTTCTATTTTTGTAGAGATGGGGTCTCATTATGTTTCCCAGGCTGGTCTCAAACACCTGGGCTCCAGTGATCTTCCTGCCTCAGCCTCCTAAAGTGTTAGGATTATAGGCATGAGCCACTGCACCTGGCCAATATTCTATATTTTCTAATCAGTAATGCCAATCATACTATTTTATTATTTTAACTTTTTAAGCCATCATTATAAGGTTAAAAGAGCTCACCTTATAATATTTCCTTTCTTACCATTTCCCCATAAGCTTATGGGTTATTATAAAATTTACTCATATTTCAAAGTGACCTGAATATAAAACTTACTTTATAGTTCCTGAAGTTAGAATTAACTTTGAAGTTTGTTCCCCACCCCCTGGAACCTACATGAGGCAAAAATTTAGAGATTTAAAATTAGCCATATACACATTCCCCACAATTAAATAATAGTTGTCAAAATCATGTGGGAGTTCAACTTCACGTCCTAAGAAACCACGAAAAGAAGATTGTCCTTTCTTCAGTCCGAGTCTAGTTCTGAATATTATACAATAATTAACAGAGGTAGAGCAACCATAAACTGTACCTGAGTGAATCACATGTTTTTAAATTAGTGAGCAGAAACAAGTGGGCAGAGATAATTGAATACAAATAATTTCTTTTCATAAAGAATGCTGAAGGTAGATATCACCTTAGTTGAGTCTTTCCTAGCCCTTCTCATCTATCAAAGGATACCCTATACTATTTCTCCTTGAATACTTATGATGCATTTTTTTTGGTAATATATGTGTGTCTTTACTAACACAATAGAAACAATGTCTGGTGGCAGGTCCAATAATTACCACGAGTTCAAAGTAGGGTCAAGGCAGGGTGCGGTGGCTCATGCCTGTCATCCCGGCATTTTGGGAGGCTGAGGTGGGCAGATCACTTGAGGTCAGGGGTTCAAGACAAGCCTGGCCAACATGGTGAAACCCCATCTCTACTAAATATATAAAAATTAGCTGGGTATGGTGGTGCATGTCTTTAATCCCAGCTACTTGGGAGGCTGAGGCAGGAGAATTGCTTGAACCCGAGAGGTGGAGGTTGCAGTGAGCCAAAATTGCACCACTGCACTCCAGCCTGGGCAACAGAGCAAGACTGTCTCAAAGAAAAAAAAAAAAAACAAGAAGAAAGAAAAAAACCCCACAAAATAAAGTAGGAATGAGCAAAATTATACAGGCTTACCTCAGAGATATTGCAGGTTTGGTTCCAGACCACCACAATAAAGTGAGTCACACAAAGTCTTTGGTTTCCCAGTGCATACAAAAGTCGTGTTTACACTACACTGTAGTTTATTAAGTATAGTGTAACCTACACTTAATAAACATACTGCAATAGCATTATGTTTAAAAATGTTAGACATACTTTAATTAAAAAATATTTTATTACCAAAAATGCTAATTATCATCTGAACCTACACTGAGTCATTTCTACAATATTCCCAGCATCTTCACAAGAAGAAGATTCCATCTTAAGAAACCCCTTTCTTTGCTCATCGATAAAAAGCAACTCCTCCTCCATTCAAGTTTGATCATGAGATGGCAGCAATTCAATGACATCTTCAGGGTCCACTTCTAGTTCTCCTGCTATTTCCACCACATCTGCAGTTACTTCCTACACTAAGTCTTGAACCCTTCCAAGTCAACCACGAGGGTTGGAATCAACTTCTTCCAAATTCCTGTGAGGGTGGATATTTTGACTTCCTCCCATGAATTACAAATGTTCTTAAAGGCATATGGAATGGTGAACCCTTTCCAGAATTTATTTTGGCTAGATCCATCAGAGGAATCACTATTTATGGCAGCTATAGTCTTACAAAATGTATTTTTTAACTAATATGACTTGAAAGTCAAAACTACTCATTGATCCATAGGCTGCAGAATGGATGTTGTGTTAGTGGGCATGAAAACAACATTCATCTCCTTGTACATCTCCATAAGAGCTCTTGGGTGACCAGATGCATTGTCAATGAGCAGTAATATTTTCAGAGGAATGTCTTTTTCTGAGCAGTAGGTCTCAATGGCGGGTTTAAAATATTAAGTAAACCATGCCATAAACAGATGCGCTGTCATCCAGGCTTAGATGTTCCATTTCTGGAGTACAGGTAAAGTAGATTATTGTTATTTTTGGTTATTGTTTTTGTTGCTGTTGTTGGTTACTGTAGCTTTATTTATTTATTTCCATTTTTCTTTTAGATTCAGGGGGTACATGTGCAGATTTGTTAGAAGGGTATGTTCGCAAGATGCTGAGATTTGGGCTCGTATTGATCCTGTCGTCTAGACAGTGAATATAGTACTCAATAGGCAGTTTTTTTAACTCTTGCCCCCTCCCTCCTCCAGAGTTCCCAGTGTCTATTGTTCCCAACTATATGTCCATGTATACACAAGATTTTAGCTTCCACTTATAAGTGAGAACATGCAGTATTTGGTTTTCTGTTTCTGTGTTAATTTGCTTAGGATAACAGTATCCAGCTGAATCCATTCTGCTGCAAAGGACATGATTTCATTCTTTTTTTATGGCTGCATAATATTCTATGGTGTATGCACCATATTTTCTTTATCCAGTCTACTGTTGATGGGCACCTAGATTGACTCCATGTCTTTGCTATTGTGAATAGTGCTGCAATGAACATGTGAGTGCATGCATCTTTTTGGTAGAACAATTTATTTTCCTTTGGGTATATACCCAGTAATGGGATTGCTGGGTGAAATGGTAGTTCTAGTTTTAGTTTTTTGAGAAATCTCCAAACTGCTTTCCACAGGGGCTGAACAATTTACATCCCCACTAACCATACATAAGTGTTTATTTTTCTCCACAGCCTCACCAGCATCTGTTGTTTTTTTACTTTTTAATAATAGCCATTCTGACTGGTATGAGATGGTATCTCATTGTGGTTTTCATTTGCATTTCCCTGATGATTAGTGATGTTCAGCATTTTTTCCGTGTTTGTTAGCCACTTGAATGTCTTTTGAGAAGTGTCTGTTATATTCTTTGCTCACTTTTCAATGGGATTATTTGGTTTTTGCTTGTTGATTTGTATACGTTCCTTATAGATTTTGGATATTAGTTCAAAATCTCTAGACTAATACATCTTTGTCAGATGCATAGTTTGCAAGTATTTTTTTCTTTCTATAGGTTTTTTATTCTGTTGATAGTCTCTTTGGGTGTGCAGAAGCTCTTTAGCTTAATTAGGTCCCATCTGTCAATTTTTATTTTTGTTGCAATTGCTGTTGAGGACTCAGTCAAAATTCTTTGCCTAGGCCAATTTCCAGAAGGGTATTTCCTAGGTTTTCTTCTCATGCTTTTTATAGTTTGAGAGGTCTTACATTTAAATATTTAATCCATCTTGAGGTAATTTGTTTATATGGTGAGAGGGAGAGGTGCAGTTTTATTCTTCTGCATTTGGTTAGCCAGTTTTTCCAGAACCATTTATTGAATAGGAAGTCCTTTCTCCATTGCTTTTGTCGACTTTGTCAAAGATCAGTTGGTTGTAGGTAAGCTGCTTTATTTCTGGGCTCTCTATTATGTTCCATTGGTCTATATGTCTATTTTTGTACCAGTATCATGCTGTTTTTGTTATTATAGCCTTCTAGTATAGTTTGAAGTTGGGTAAGGTGATGCTTCTGGCTTTGTTCTTTTTGCTTAAGATTGCTTTGGCTATTCAGGCTCTTTTTTGGTACCATATAAATTTTAGAACAGTTTCTTCTAATTCTGTGGAAAATGACATTGGTAATTTGATAGGAATAGTATAGAATCTATAGATTGCTTTGGCCAGGATAGACATTTCAACGATGTTGATTCTTCCAATCCATGAACATGGAATATTTTTCCATTTATTTGGGTCATCTCTGATTTCTTTCAGCAGTATTTTGTAGTTCTCCTTGTAGAGATCTTTCATCTCCTTAGTTAGATGTATTCCTAGGTATTTTATTTTTGTGTGTGGTTATTGTAAATGAGATTGTGTTCCTGATTTGGCTCTTAGCTTGAACATTGTTGGTGCATAGAAATGCTATGATTTTTTGTGAATTTTGTATCTGGAAACTCTACTGAAGTCATTTATCAGGTCAAGGAGCCTTTTGGCAGAGTTGTTAGGGTTTTCTAAGTATAGAGTCATATCGTCAGTGAAGAGAGATAATTTAACTTCCTCTTTTCCTATTTGGATGCCCTTTATTTCTTTCTCTTGCCTGATTGCTGTGGATAGGACTTTTATGTTGAATAGGAGTGGTTAGAGTGGGCATTTCTGTCTTGTTCCAGTTCTTAAGGGGAATGCTTCCAGTTTTTGCCCATTTAGCATGATATTGGCTGTGGATTTGTCATAGATGGCTCTTATTATTTTGAGGTATGTTCCTTTGGTGCCTAGTTTGTTGAGAGTTTTTTTTTTTTGTCATGAAATGATGTTAAATTTTATCAAAAGCTTATTCTACGTCTATTGAGATGATCATGTCTGTTTTGTTTTTAATGCTGCTTATGTGGTGAATCACATTTACTGATTTGAGTATGTTGAACCAAATTTGCACCCCAGGAATAAAGCCCATTTGATCATGGTGAATTAATTTTATGGTGTGCTGCTGGATTCAGTTTGCTAGTATTTGTAATGATTTGTATTCGCTTCCTATAGATGAGGAAACTGAACCTGAGAGGTTTAAGTTACCTTCTAAATTTCCATCATTACTGGTGGATCCCAGGTCTATTTGACTTCAGAGCTTATCTTCCTTCCAGGACCTCATGATTGATGTTAACTCTTTTCTTACTTCTCTCTGGCTAAATGAAGATCATCAAGAGCGGAGGTTTTGTCCTGTTTTCATTCCTTACTCATCTTTGCATCCCCAATAATGGAACTGGATAAGACTGTGCTGCGAAAAATTGTGGTTAAATGTATAATCATAGACTGAGGTGTGGAAAAAGGAAGGGAGATTTATTGAATACCAGTTAACTTGTTTAATTTCATTTGATAAAATGCATAAATATTTTAGACTATTAGAAATGGCCTATTATTTAAAATATTATTACTGGTTAATGTAGTGTATTAAGAAACAGTTTCAATACAATTAATGCGTTTGTTCTTAACACCAGTTTAGAAAAAGCATCATAGTGTGTGCTATCTTTTTTTTTTTTTTTTGAGACAGAGTCTCACTCTGTCGCCCAGGTTGGAGTGCAGTGGCACAATCTTGGCTCACTGCAATCTCCACCTCCCGGGTTCAAACAATTCTCCTGTCTCAGGCTCCCGAGTAACTGTGACTACAGACGCGTGGCACAATGCCTGGCTAATTTTTTATAACTGTGTGCTATTTTACACAATTCTATAGAATCAAAAAACCACTTGAAATAGAGTCATAAACTTATGATGTCTGAAAACCAAGGAAATGCTTATTTTTTCCAGGAATATTTCAATAATGCTCAATATCATTGTGATATTAACTACCACTACAAAACTCCACAGTGATATTTGGGATAAACAAAGGATTGAAAGTGTCCATAAAAAGGTTATCATTACAGAGAAGAAATGATCCAAGAGAAATAAAGCATATGTTCACATAAAAACTTGTACACAAATATCCATAGCACCGTTATTCCTAGTGCCCCAAAGTGGAAATGACCAAATGTCTATTGGCTGATGAATGAATAAACAAATGTGATACATTTTATATAATGGAAGATTATTCAGCCATAAAAGGGAGTGAAGTACTGGTACATGCTACAACCTAGATGAACTTTGAAAAGTTTATGCTAAGTGGAAGAATTCAGTAACAAAAGATCACAAATTATATGATTCTATTAATATTAAATGTCCAGAATAACAAATCTGTAGAGACAGAAAATAAATCAGGGGTTTTCTTAGGGCTGGGATGAATGAGGGGCTTGGGGATGACAGCTAAAGGGTGAGGGGGTTTCTTTTTGAGGTGATAAAATGTTCTAAAATTAATTGTGGTGATAGTTGCATAACTTTGTGATATACTAAAAACCGAAAGATTGTACACTTTAAATGAGTGAATTTTATGGTATGTGAATTACATTTCAATAAAGTTGTTACTGAAAATAGAATACTTTAAAAAACACTATAGGTAGATAGAGATATTTGTCCAAAGAAACAAGATACTACAAATGTAGCTATTGCTATTTCAGTCTCTTCTCCCTCTCAGAGATACGTAATTTTCTGAGGTTGATATATTTAATAAATATATTTCTTCCTTAGATTTTTATTATCTTTATTTTGTTAACTCAATTTTTCCGTTTTCATCTTGTTCATTTGGACTCTTAACTCATTAGCTTTTTCCCTTTCTTCTTATCTAATAATATATGAAAGTACCACTATACATTTCCCTCTAAGTACACTGTCTGTCTCAGCTTCATGTGTAGTTTGGACGTACATAGTCATTGTCATTTAGTTCTAAATAGTTTCTAATTATCTCATGATTTTCATCTGAGCCTCCATATTATTCAAAAGTATGTTTTCTGAAAAAGTTTCTAAGTGAATGAGGTAGTTGGTTATCAACCAAATGAAGTTGGTTGCCACTTTAATTATTTCTAATTTTATTAAATTATTTCTAATTTATTGAGTTTGGGTCAGAAATGTGCTGTGTGTGAATCAACATTTGCTTTATGACCTAATACATGGTATAAACAGAAATTTGTCTTGTGACCAGGTAGCATGTGATCAAGTTTTATAAGTTTCCATGTATGCTTGAAAAGAAAGTATTTAGTTGTTAACATTATATATATATTCTACATATTCTATCATCTATCTATCTATCTATCTCTCTATCTATCTATCTATCCATCCACCCATCCATCCCATCTATCTCCATTAATACATTGCTCAAATCTTCAACAATCTTACTAAATTTTGGACTGCTTTGTCTATCAGTTGCCAAGTGAGATATATTAAAAATCTACCACAAATATGGCTTTAGACTTTTTTTCCTTTTAAATCTGCTGAATTTTGAATTACATATTTTAAGGCTATACTGTTAGGTATGTACAAGTTCAGGATTATTTTATCTCCTCAGTTAATTGTTCCTTTTATCAGTATGACTCTTTAATCTCAATAATGTTTTTGTTTTAAAGTCTATTTTATCTGATATTAATATAATATAATCACTCTTTTGATATTTCCTCTTCCTCCATCACTTTACTTTCAACATTTCTTTGTCATTACATTTTAGTTGGATCTCTTATATATAGAAAATAACTAGATTTTTTAAACTGAAATTTTCTGTCAAATGGGAAACTTAGTCCATTTACACTTATTGTGATTGTCAACATAGTTTCATTTATTTCTACTATCTTTTGTGTGTGTCTGTATTTGTAGTTATCTTGGTTTTCCTTTGCATCCCAATTTCTTCTTTCCTATATCCTGTTAGAATTGGTTGAGTGTTCTTTATCCCTCCCTCTGCTCTCACTCTTCTGGTTAGGAAGTTATACATCTTATTTCTATTATTTTAGTAAGTACTGCTATTTTTTTAAACCTTTAATTTTGAAATAATTATGGATTCATAGTAGGTTGCAAATAAATGTATAGGGGGTTCCCAGGCATATTTCCTCTAACTGCCCTCCCTAAATGTTAACATCTTACACAACTACAGTAAAATATCAAAACCAAGAAACTGGCATTGGTAAATACCTTATTTAGATTTCACCAATTATATATGAACCCATTTGTGTGTGTGTGTGTAACCACTGCCACAATCACAATATGCATCTGTACCATCACCATAAGACTCCCTTGTATTACCCCGTTATAGATATATCCTCTTTCCCTCACCATTCCTAACCCCTACCAACCACAATCCAATCCATTCTCCATTTCTATGTTATTTCAAAAATATTGTTACATACCTAGAATCTAGAAGTATGTGTACTTTTGAAGTTGCCTTTTTTCACTAAGCATAATTTCCCTGAGTCTCATCTAAGCTGTTGGGTCATTCCTTCTCATTGCTGAGTAGTATTCCATGGTATGGATATGCCACAGTTTGTTTAATTATTCACTCATTGAATGACTTTTGAGTAGTTTCCAGTTTGGGGCTGTTTTGAACAAAGCTTCTATGAACATTCGTGTACAAATTCTACATGAAAATAAATCTTCATTTTCTGGGATAAATGCCCGAAAGTGTAATTGCTGGTTTGTGTGGTAAGTCCATTTTTAGTTTTGAAAGGAACTGCCAAACTATTTTTCAGAGTTGTACAATTTTACTTTCCCATCAGCAATATATGAGTGATCCAGTTTCTCCACTAATTTATCTGCATTCTTGACATAAATTGTAAAGTTAATCAATATTTCCAGCCTCCTGAGCATTATAAAAGCTTCCATTTGTTTTAACTACAATCTTTCTTCTGTCCTATCTCATATGTTGCTGACTAGTGTATCAGTTCTACCTTGTATTTATATCCTCAAACTAGTCATGATTATCATTATTTTTTAACCAGTATTATTTTTTAGAGCAGTTTTAGGTTCACAGCAAAATTGAGAGGAAGGTACAGATTTCCTATTTTCTCCCTGCTGCCACACATGCACAGCCTTTCCCATTCTCATGAATCAAGAGTAATACATTTGTTACATTTCATGAGCCTACATTGAAACATCATCATCACCCAAAGTTCATAGTTTACATTAGGGTTCACTGTTAGTTTTTCATGCTCTATTGGTTTTGGTAAATGTACAATGACATGTATCCACCATTATAATATCATACAGAATAGTTTCACTGCCCTAAAAATCCTCTGTGCTTGCCTATTCATCCCTTCCTACCCACAACCCCTAGCAACCACTGATCTTTTTACTGTCTCTATAGTTTTGTCTTTTCTAAAATATTATATAGTTGGAATCATATAGTATGTAGCCTTTTCAGATTCACTTTTTTTGCTTAGTAATATGCATTTCAACTTCTTCTATGTCTTTTCATGGCTTGATAATATTCCATTATCTGGATGTACCACAGTTTATCTATTCAGCTACTGAAGGACACCTTGGTTGCTTCCAAATTTTGGTAATTATGAATAAAGCTGCTATAAACATCCATGTGCAGGCTTTTGTGCAGACATACGTTTTCAGTGCCTGTGGGTAAATACCAAGGTTGCTGAATTGTCTGGTAAGAGAATGTTTAGTTTTGTAAGAAACTGCCAAACTGTCTTCCAAAGTGGCTATACCTGCATTCCCACTAGCAATGAATAAGAGTTCCTGGTCATTATTATTGTTCCATACAGTCAATGCTTGCCTTACTTATCCATGTTTACCCATTTCTTTCTTTCTTTTTTTTTTCTTTTCTTTTTTCTTTTTTTTTTGAGACAGTCTCACTCTGTTGCCCAGGCTGAAGTGCAGTTGCGCGATCTTGGCTCACTGCAACCTCCACCTCCCAGGCTCAACCAATTCTCCTGCCTTAGCCTCCTGAGTAGCTGGAACTAGTGCATGCCACCATGCTCGGCTAATTTTTGTATTCTTAGTAGAGACGGGGTTTCACCCTGTTGGCCAGGCTGGTCTTGAACTCCTGACCTGAAGTGATCTGCTCGCCTTGGCCTCCCAAAGTGCTGGGATTACAGGCGTGAGCCAGTATACCCAGCCCATGTTTACCCATTTCTTGCTCACCACTGTTCTTATTTTAAATAACAGCTCTATTGAGATATAATTTACATTCCACAATGTTCAGCCTCTTAAAGTGTACAACTCAATAGTTTTTAATATACTCATACAGTTGTGCAGCCATCACCGCGATCTAATTTCAGAATATTTTCATCACCTGGGCGGACACAGTGGCTCAAGCCTGTAATTGCAGGACTTTGGGAGGCTGTGGTGGGTGGATCACTTGAGGTCAGGAGTTCCAGACCAGCCTGGCCAACATGATGAAACTCTGTCTCTACTATTAATAAAAAATACAAAAAATTAGCTGGGCATGGTGGCACATGTCTATAGTCCCAGCTAGTTGGGAGGCTGAGATGGGAGAATCGCTTGAACCTGGGAAGCAGAGGTTGCAGTGAGCTGGGGTCGCACCATTGCACTCCAGCCTGGGCGACAGAGTGAGAATCTGTCTCAAAAAAAAACCAAAAAAGAATATTTTCATCACCTCAAAAAGAAACTCCATAGCCATTAGCAGTCATTTCCCATTCCCTCCTCCCCACAGTCCATGGCAGCCATCAATTTACATTCTGTCTGTATGAATTTGCCTATTCTGGACATTTTATATAAATGGACTCATATAGTATGTGGCCTTTTATGCCTGGTTTCTTTTACTTAGCATAATGTTTTCAAGACTCATCACATTGTAGCATGTACCAGTATGTATCACCTCTAGAGCATGTACTATTTCTTTTTATGGCTATGTAATATTCCATTGCAAGAACATACTACATTTTATTTATCCATTCATCCGTTGATAGATATTTGGGTTGTTTTCATGTTTTGGATATTATGTTCTTGCATCTTATTTTTTTTCTTCTGGCTTCAGTGTCCTTCTTCCTGAAGAAAACTTTAGTAGCTCTTTCAATAAAATTCTTTGAATTGCAAACTCTCTGTCACTCTGCAAATATCTTCATCTTTCCTCTTGAGTAGAGAAGTATAGGCTGACAGTAATTTTACTCAGCACTTTGATGTTATTATTCTGTTGACTTCTGGCCCTTATTGTTGTTGTTGATAAGTAGGTTGTTAGTCTAATTGTTGCTCCTTTGTAGGCAATCTGTTATTTTTCTCAGAATGCTTTTAAGATTTTCTTTATCATGGTTTTTTGTTTGTTTGTTTGTTTGTTTTGTTTTTGCAATTTTACTACAGTTTCTGTATATGTGATTTAGGTTTTGTTTGGGACTCATGCTTCCTCAATTTGAGGATTCATGTCTTCACTAATTCTGTTAAGCTCTCCACCATTATCCCTTTAAATGTCATCTACCCTTTGTTCTCTCTTTCTTCTCCATATGGAACTCCTCTTATACATTAGGTCTTTTCATTCTAACCCCTTGTTTCCTAAGATCTCTTCTATATTTTCTAACTCTTTATCCCTTTGTACTGAATTCTGCATAATTTCCTTAGATCCATCTTCCAGTTTACCTTTCCTGACTTCCCTCTTCTGAATTGAGTCTTACATATTTCTATCAGGACATGTATTATACAATACTGCAATTAATTTTTACAAGGCCATTTCTCCACTAGACTATAAGCTCCTTGAAGGCAGAGCTGTGACTTACACACCAACTCATCTTTTAAACCCTAATGACTAGTATAGACCTGGCACAGAGACATTGTTTATTAAATACCATTTGAACTAAACTATCGGATCAAATATAAACTGTCTAGAAATAGGACATTTTGACCTTTGGCACTAGAAGGATCTCAGTGAGTAACTATTTTATAATAACCGAGGTTTGAATATACCAAACACACAGTTTCTGTGAGAGCAAAATTTGTCCCAGAGTTCAGATTTCAACAATTAAAAGTGTAGTAAAAAGCTACTTGCTGACTTTTAAAATCTAGTGAATTTGAATTATACTAAAAAAAGCAAGAAACATATTGGTATAAAGCAGCTGTCAGAAAGTTTCCTGATAATCCTCTGTATAAACTGATACATCTTATTCTATATTTTTTCTGAAATTTTGTCTAATTATTCAAGGTTGATTGCATGCTTATTAAATTTATTTAATACATTTCTTTGAATGGTAGTAACACAGTAAATCCTCATTAACTCCCCTAATTACTGGGGAGGAAAACTTCAAATTTGCAATGCTTTTAAAAGATGGTGGTTTGATTACCTTCAAAGACATACAGTAACTTGAGGTAACCATTACTAAATACTGCTTCCAATTACAAGCTCTGGTAAATGTACTTTAATGACTACAAATTCCTGCAATCAGAAGTATCATTTGCATACATTGAGCAGGCCCTTAGAAACTTCCCATTACATTAGATTAAAAATGTCTAGTTTACATCATTACTTATTCAGCACATTATCTCTTTTTCTAACATTTTAGAATTAATGGAAGTTTAAACATCTCTCTCTTTCTCTTGTTTTCTCTTTCTTCTACTCCCCCACTTCCCTGTCCTTTCACTGGTCAGGGAAGAGAACAGAGCCAGAGAAGGAAAGTGTCTTATGCAAAGTCACACAGCTAGATAGCAGCCAAATTTTGAGCCCAAGGCACCCAGGTCAAGTCTGAATCACTATTTATCTGCAGAATGCAATAGATAACTTTTTGGCTAGTCAATGTCAATGTACCACAATTTTTTAATTAGCAGAATTTGTTTCTTTTTCTCAATACAAATGAAATAAAGCAATGACAATAGTTAGGAGGAAAGGTTGTTCCACATCTTAATAATGTAGTTATAAGTAGAGGCCAAAACACAGGAAGATGTCTTTAATTAATGTCTGCAGTGCTCACTGTTGTCACCACTGCAGCGTAATTTCTGGCTTTTCCAGGATGTCTTGGCAAATACGTGGTGGCAGCCACAGCATACAATTTATATAGAATGAGGTTCAAAATAGCAGCATTGATAAGTATTCAGATATTTTAATTGTATTTGGAATAACAATTTTCTATCCTACTTTTATTAGCCAGAATGATCTTTAGATATTTCAAATTGACCTGTAGTACTGTGTTATTGACCTGTAATCCATTGTGGAGCGAAAGCAGTGATTTGGCCGTATGGAGACAGGATATGGTAATACAGGGGTGTGTGGAATTGGTGATCTGTCCCAGCTCTGGCTTTGAACTCAACCATATTCCTGGCTCTGTCTTCAAACCATAAATTCAAAATCAGATCCCAGTGGAGCTAGTACATGGCAGAAAAGCACCACAGATTCTGAGCTCGTTTTGAACACAGTAATGGTTGTATGCAACCCACAACTGGAATAACGCTTTGTATGCAACTCACAACTGGAATAATGCTATCTCTTGTTCCTGGCAATAAAACATGCATGAACTGGAAATGAGATCTAGTGTCTTGTATCAGCAATAGTACAGATTGAGTGATTTAGGTCAACTAATTACTGCAGAAATGACTGTAATGGCCTGTACACACCAGGGGACGTGTCTGAGACATGGGTGTTCAGCTCACCCCATTTCATGGTGAACTCTTAGGAATGAGCTGGAGTTGTTTTGCATTTGTACCCAGTAGACAGGTAGGCACATGATATCTCTCCAGGACAGTTAGGACAGGACAAGAAGACATCCAAACTCTTAGAGATACATCTTTAAGCATTTAGGGGTAAAGATTTATAACATGTGCCTCTGACTTTCAAATAGTCCATTACTATATATATATATATATATATATATAGAGAGAGAGAGAGAGAGAGAGAGAGAGAGAAAGCGAGAGAAACAAATATTTCACAATGTTAACAATTGGTGAATCTCCAGGTGAGGGACATATGGTATTTATTGTACTACTCTTTTTTACTTTTCTATAGGTTTAAAATTTTCCAAGCTAAAAAATTTTAAATACACCCTCCTTTGCAGGCTCAGTGAAATTAAGGAGAAGATGGATTTATTTAAAAATAGAGTTAAGAGGAGATGATAACAAGAGAAGAAATGAAAAGGAAGCTGGCAGAACCAAGAAAAGATGTTAAGGAGAAAAATAAAACCATTGCGCAACTGAAGACCGCATGTAGGCACTGCTTGAGAAAAACACACTATGTAGAGGGAAAGGACATGAAATGAAAGTGATTAGAGAGAAGAGGAGAGATGTAGGGGACAGACAACTTCAGCAAGCTCACATCAGGATGTTATCCATTCAGTCATGCATCCATTTGGTATTCATTCAGCAACTGCTAAATGTTAGGTCCTATGTCAGGAATCAAGGATGCAAAGTACCCCCAAGAAGCTCAGAAGGAGTAGAAGGATGTTACCAGATGCTGGGAAGGGTACTGGGGTAGGGGGCGGTGAGGTGGGGATGGTTAATGGGTACAAAAAACAGGAAGAATGAGTAAGATCAACTATTTGATAGCACAACAGGGTGACTACAGCCAATAATAACTTAAATGTGCCTTTAAAAATAACTAAGAGTATAATTGGATTGTTTGTAACGCAATTATAAAAGCTTGAGGGGATGGATTCCCCATTCTCCATGACGTGATTATTAAACATTGCATGCCTGTATCAAGATATCTCATGTACCCCATAAATATGTGTACCTAATAGGCACCCACAAAAATTAAAAATTAAAAAATTTTAAAAGGGAAGCTGAGAAGAAGTAGAGAAAGCAACCACTAACAAGCAGAGCACAGCCTGTTCAATCTCTAATAGAGGTGTGCTCCGCAAAACCCCAGGGAATAGAGAAGACAGAGTACAAATCTGTCTAGGGTAGGGACTGTACTTGTTTGCTGTGGCCGTTGTACCAAATTACCACAAAACATGGTGGCTTAACATAACACAATTTATTCTCTCACAGTTCTGGAGGCTAGAAGTCCAAATTCAACTTTATTGGGCTGAAATCAAAGAGTCAGGAGGATACCTGTGATGGCATTTAGGCCCACCTGGGTGAGCCAGGACACTCTCTCCATCTCAAGATCCTTACTTGAATCACATCTGCAAAGCCCTCTTTCTGCCAGGCAAGGTAACATTCAAAGAAGACTTTGGGATCTAGATGCAGATATCTTTTGCTGGGGGATCTTTGTTCAGCCTACTCCAGGGATGGAGTTAGGGAAGCCTCGCAGGGTGATATCTCACCAGGGTGAGTGCATTCCGGCAAAGGGCAGGGCAAGTACAGGGGCCCAAGGTGCAGCAAACAAGGGGCCCTGCAGGCCTGAAAGCAGAGGACTGCAGTATAGCTGGTCTGGAGAGGCAAGCAGGAGATGTTCTGTGCCACGGATCCGTAGGCGGTGCTAAGACACAAAGAACTCAAAGAACACAAAGATACAAACTAGAGAAGGATAAGTCCAGGTTTGGCTTTTGGAAGACTCATCCTAGCTGCAGTGTGGAGGATGGACTGGCAAGGAGACCAGGGAACAGGAAGACCAAGCAGGAGATAGATCTAGGAGTTCAGACAAGAAGTAGGGGCAATGAGGATAGTTAATTAAAACAGGGTCCTAAAGAAACAATACCAGCTGGGCGTGGTGGCACGCACCTGTAGTCCCGGCTACTCAGGAGACTGAGGTGGGAAGATCACTTCAGCCCAGCAGTTTGAGGCTGCAGTGAGCTATGATTGTACCACTGCATCCAGCCTGGGCAACAGAGTGAGACCCTGTCTCTAAAAACAAAAAAGAAAAGAAAAAAGAAACAATATTCATAGCAGCAAACATTGGAGACAATCTGAACTACGGTAATGCTTTTTAGATTACTGGGTGGGTTGTGCTATTTTTACCACTAATCTCCTTTGTTCTTGTAGATAATTGAGTTGTCTGCAATACTAACACAAACCGAGTTAAAACTATAATCCTATATGTGAAAAAGAAGAAAGAAAAATTTTCAGTCAGGAGCAGATTTTTAATTTGTTATCTTGGTTATTGTATGCTATTGGGTTGTTGTGTCCCTATCCTGAGAAAGCTGTACAACACCAGATCCAAATCGGGTTATTTAAAAGCCAACATAAAGGCTCAGGGTTACATAACACAGTACATCATTGCTATTCTACAAGCTGTTTCATGCCAATTTTTAATCAACCTTAAAGCCTAGGCAGAAAACCCCAACATATTGCCTTCCCATGCAATTAAGAACGATTACATTTGTCTTTTACTAGGGAACACATTTATTTATATAATTGTACATTCTTTGTTTTTAAAAACAAAATTTCATTAAGAATAAGCCTGAGTTTTACTAAGAAGCCACCAGGTTTTTTCATTTCTGAGAAATGTAAGTCTCAGCAGAGCAAATTTATGGAAAAAGCAATACATTTAATAACACACCCTTTGAGGGCTTTTAACACTTTGTCAAATGGAGAGCAACAATAGTCAAGAAAAGGTGAGATTCCAGTTAAGGAAGTCTTAAACTTGGTTCTATTACAAAACAGCTTAATCCTGTATAATATTGGGGAGGAAATTTTTGAAACAAAAACAGACATGCTGAACACAAAGAATGCCACTGTCTATGTCCAGGTCAATATAGGGCCTTATAATTTTCATGTTTTACAAGAACATGTTTATTATAATAGTTTTAACAACCCATAATCCTTTGTTTCCAAAGAAGCAGGATTGCAGGCCACCTTTTGCAGGCCCAGCCCAGGTTTGGAACAAGGCTTCCTCTGCAAAAGCTGGATGCTGTGAGCTCTGTCAGCTGCAATGCTCTACCCCACACCTGCCTGGGTTTCCGGAGTGCATACTCTATTTGGGAGCAATGCCTGCCTTGAACTCCAACAGTATTTTGTCAGCATCTTTCCCCAAAGACTAAACTCTACAGCCTATATCAAGTATCAGCCACTGGGTGAGTTTCTGCCTTGATATGGGGAGGGATTGTGATGATGTTGCCACTCACTCACTGATCTCTGCCAGAGACTCCTGAGGCCCTCACCACCCACCAGATTAGACCTTTCTGAAATCGAGGCAGACAATCAAGTTCAAGTGTGCTATACCCCTTAGACATTGTGACTTGGGCTCTTCACAACCTCTAAAGGGCCAATCCTCACAGCCAGGCTAATTTCCTCATCCCCAAGCCCACTATTCCTGGCAAAAGCCTCACATCCTACTGGCATAGCAGCCAGGTCCCAACACAGCTCATGGTCAATGCTCATATGACACCCACACGATTCACTGATGGCAATTGTCATTTGGGTCAAACTGCCCATTTCTCTACCATTGTGACTCCAGCGGCCATATCCAAATGTATATCACAATGTTTCCTCTTCTGCTTTGGCTCTCTTGTTCACAATCACAAAACAGTACCATGTTAGTTCTGGAAGTTTAATGTAAATAGCTCACCAGGTTATATAAGGAAGGTGACTTCTAACCACTCTTTCAAATGTTTTTCAAGTATTTCTAAGGCATTCTCTCTCTCTCTCTCTCTCACACACACACACACACACACACATACACACACAATGTATATTACAAAAAATACAGCTACTTTTTGAGGTCATAGTCCATGTTTTCTGACTCTTTGGTAACACTGCCTTATAGAGAAGGCCTCTCTGCTTACGGTTTTTCTTGAATGGAATGTTGGTTACATTTTGGACCCTCATTGATTCACTGACCCAGCCTAATGTGGGCTGTGATAAGAGGGAACACAATGCAGACAGCCCCAAAACAGCCCTGGAACGATCAGAGCCCTGCAAGTCCAGAGGCTGAAGAGGAAATAAAGACCCCCAGAATTCACAGGATTCACCTCAAACTTGAATGAGATATTCACAATGCTAACATGACCCCTAGGACTCTATACAGCATTATATTTTCACACCATAACCTAAGTCAGCTAAATGCACTAAACTTGTCCTACCTACTGAAGAGGTGTTTGTTGATGAGAAATTGCCAAGCAAGAAGCAAGATAGAGACCAAGCAGAGGACACTACCTTTGCCATTTATTCCCTTTAATTTTTCTATCAGTAAGAATAAGTAGAGGCCTTTCTAGAATTCCTTGGGGGTAAGGAGAGATATATTTAGAACTTGGAAATAGTCACTGCTTAGGGATGATGCTTTTGAAAATATTTCAGAAATTAAACCTATAATCTAAGCTTCTAAGGAGAGTACTGTTCAGGTCCCACCAACAAAGACAAGGCAGAGTAAGTGGGTTATTCTGGGGAGCCGCTCATGTGAGCCAGGACACAGAAATGAAAGGTCCTGGGTGAGCTGGGAGTGGTGTTAGCCCAAGGGTGTCCCATGAAGACAAAAATCCATAGGAGGAGGACTTGAGCCCACCTGTGGGGACATTGCTGTTGGGGCATACAGTGCCCTTTCTCTTGTTTACAGGACTCCTATTTCAGGTGGGTGTCCAGTCCTTCTCAAGGGTGCCCATGTGCTTTGGGAACACTAAGCCTGGTAACTCCAGCCTTGGCGACTGGTATGAGACAGGACATGGTCTTAACATCATCCAATCAGACTAAAGCCCATGTTTTTTCACTAGTGGTTGAGAAAGTCAAGCTCTTTCTTCCAGGGGGGTGAAAGGAAGTATGTACCCTAGAGGGGCGAGCCTGCTAAAAGTGGAACCAACAACCCTGAAGAACAAAAGTTGAAAATGAGAGTGAGGAACTGAGCATTCACCATATTTTTAAAGCCCCCCTGGATGGAGGCTTGACTGAACCTAGAGTTCTTCTGGCCTTTTACATCATCCAAATGGATTACTTTCTTTTCTTATTTAAGTCAGTTAAAGTTAGTTTCTTTCTTTCTTTTTTTTTTGTAACTTGCAACCTAAAGCCTCTTAACTTACAAAGCATTCATGGTAGGGAAGCCGAATTCAAAGACCAGAAGAGAGACTGACTCCTCTTGCAAGCTAAAGAAATCAGGTCAATAGTCCAAGTTCCTGAAGGAGGAAACAATTTGAGAGTTGCAAAGAAGGTGAAGTGGGGTCAAGTGATGAAATGGTTTAAATGTGTCCCCCAAAGTTCATGTGTTGGAAACTTAATCTCCAATGCAACAGTATTGAAGGTGTGACCTTTATGAGGTGATGAGGTCATGAGGGCTGTGCCTTCATGAGCGGATTAATGTCTTTGTTTCTGGAGTAGGTTTCTTATAAAAGCAACTTTGGCCCTCTCTTGCTTTCTCTTGCACATTCTTTCACCATGTGATGCCTTCCCTCATGTTATGACACAGCAAGAAGGCCCTTACCAGATGCAGCCCCTGGACCTTGGACTTCTCAGCCTCCAGAACCATGAGCCAAATAAACTTCTATTGTTTATCAATTACCCAGTCTGTGGTATACTATTATAGCAGCTCAAAAAAGACTAAGCTGATTTAGGGAACCAGTGCTGAGGCCACAGGCAAGCAGCCAGACACTCATTTTATGCAGACCTGGTATGACCTGCCAAGCTCAGGGTGGGTCTCTGAAGAAGTCATGTTGGGGCAAATGCAATCTTCAGTGAGGCATGGAGCTCATAACTAAATATATGTTAGCCCATATTTACATTAGGGATCAGTCAGCACCTCCTGATATGTGCCAAAGATGGCAAGATACCTTGTTGAGGCTAGGCATGGTGGCTCATACCTGTAATCCCAGCACTTTGGGAGTCCGAGACAGGTGGATCACCTGAGGTCAGGAGTTTGAGACCAGCCTGGCCAACATGGTGAAACCCTGTCTCTACTAAAAATACAAAAATTATCTGGGCGTGGTGGTACACGCCTGTAGTCCCAGCTACTCAGGAGGCTGCGGCAGGAGAATCACTTGAACCCAGGAGGCAGAGGTTGCAGCGAGCTGAGATCATACAACTGCAACTGCACTCCAGCCTGAGTGACAGAGTGAGACTCTGTCAAAAAAAAAAAAAAAAAAAAAACCAAAAACAAACAAACACGTTGAGACTGACCAAGGGCTGGGAAAGTGACATGGTGAGGCAAATGTGTAGTGTGTACATCCTGAGAGCTATATGGAGGGGCAGTAGAGTGCTATCTGTCAGGCCTCATGCAATTAGGACGCTTTGGTGGGCCATGACAGACTGGGTGAAGAGATTTGACTTTATGTAAAATGTAAGTCTATTGGAACATAGGATGGGGAAGGGGGTAGTTAACAGAAGTTATAAATGGAATAGAGGAATATCGGTCTTTCAGGAAAAAAAAACAAGCTAAAATAAATGGCACAAAGTCTTATGTTAACACTAAATGAGCTTTCCTAGGCTGGGGTGGTGGTCCTACTGGTTGGTTAAACTACAGTCAGGGTCTATGAAATATGATGACACTATTGCCACCAAACACCTCTATCAGCTGTTCCCAGTGCTACACGCACCACCTTTCTAACCTAGAAGTCTGGAAAGTGGCTGAAGACATGGGAAGAATCTCTGCCTTAGTACTTCGAGATATCAAGTGCTCCAATTAGAAAATGACTCTCATTAGGAAGTGTTCTGAAATGTGACTGAAAGGGAGGCAAACATCAAAGAGCGTGAGGAAGGCACTAGATGCAGAGAAATAGTGGTTATGGTTTAAAGAAAGCAAAGTTACATTAAATAACTGACATAATTTTTCTTATTTCCATTTGCAATGAGCTGAGTCCAAAAATTACTGATTATTAGATATATATTTTTATGACATGTCCTATAATATAGGTTGATTGCAATGTAATAATAGCTAGTGTTTATTGGGTACTTGCTATGTGTCTGGCATTTTGCTAACTATTTGACATGCATTATCTTATTTTGTGCCTACAACAACTCTATAAGGTACATATGTATTATTATTATTTCCATTTATATAGAGAAAGCCGAGAAATGGAGAAATTGAGAAACTTGGCAACACATCCAGTAAAGAGCTGAAGCTTTTATAACAGCACAATACAGGAACAAAAAGGATAGCTTTGGGGAATGCCAGCCTTTCCAAGGTAAGTTATCAAATGTCAGTGTGAACAATCATCAACACTGGAAAAAGAAATTGTTTAATTCTCATAAGCTAACAAAATGAATATGACATACCATTTCCCATGCTACCTAGGTGAAGCATGCAAGTTGAATAGTCATAGCAATGCTAGTATTATTTTTTATTTTATACATATATATTTTTTAATTATTATACTTTAAGTTTTAGGGTACATGTGCACATTGTGCAGGTTAGTTACATATGTATACATGTGCCATGCTGGTGCACTGCACCCACTAACTCGTCATCTAGCATTAGGTATATCTCCCAATGCTATCCTTCTCCCCTCCCCCCACCCCACAACAGTCCCCAGAGTGTGATATTCCCTTTCCTGTGTCCATGTGATCTCATTGTTCAATTCCCACCTATGAGTGAGAATATGTGGTGTTTGGTTTTTTGTTCTTGCGATAGTTTACTGAGAATGATGATTTCCAATTTCATCCATGTCCCTACAAAGGACATGAACTCATCATTTTTTATGGCTGCATAGTATTCCATGGTGTATATATGCCACATTTTCTTAATCCAGTCTATCATTGTTGGACATTTGGGTTGGTTCCAAGTCTTTGCTATCGTGAATAATGCTGCAATAAACATACGTGTGCATGTGTCTTTATAGCAGCATGATTTATAGTCCTTTGGGTATATACCCAGTAATGGGATGGCTGGGTCAAATGGTATTTCCAGTTCTAGATCCCTGAGGAATCGCCACACTGACTTCCACAATGGTTGAACTAGTTTACAGTCCCACCAACAGTGTAAAAGTGTTCCTATTTCTCCACATCCTCTCCAGCACCTGTTGTTTCCTGACTTTTTAATGATTGCCATTCTAACTGGTGTGAGATGGTATCTCATTGTGGTATTACATAGACAACTGTGAAGATAATTATTTTGATGAGTAAATTACTACAATAAATTGTCATACGGGAAATATCCAGATCAAGAATAGAAATTGGGTCCCCACACAAACCCTCCCTTTCCCTCCTCCCATCACAACCCTCTCTCTTCCCCAGAGGAATCGCTGGCCTGACTTTGTGGCAATCACTTTCTTGCTTTTCCTTATAGCTTTATCACCCAAGTGTGTGCTCCCAAATACTATAGTAAATGGTGTCTTTTTCTGCTGTGTCTTTTAGGTCTATTTTAATCTATAGGTCATCCAACTATCCATTTTTTCCACTTTTTTCCTCATAAAAATGATTTTTTAAGAAACCCTAAATACTATAGTAAATGGTGTCTTTTTCTGCTGTGTCTTTTAGGTCTATTTTAATCTATAGGTCATCCAACTATCCATTTTTCCCCTTTTTTTCCTCATATAAATGATTTTTTAAGAAACCAGGCCATGTATGCTGTAATCTGGCAGTTTCCCATAGCCTGGATTCAGCTGATTGCATCAATGCGAATATTATAACTATGTAGCATGACTCAAGCCATAAGGAGGGTATCAGGTAGATTTAAATGGAAATATCTAGTCTGCCACATATACAAGTATATTAAAACTCAGTTCCTCTAACAAGGGCCCCGGGGACTTATTTATTGATTTACAAAAGTTTTGAACAGTTGCTTTGAGGTAATCTCTTAATCTCTTTCTTCCTCCCTCTTCCTTCTTCTTGCTTTTTTTTTTTTCTTTTTAAGGGACAGCATCGTTCTATGTTGCCCAGGCTGGTCTTGAACTCTTGGGCTCAAGAGATCCTCCTGTCTCAGCCTCCTGAGTAGCTGGGACTACAGGCACGAGCTACCATGCTTGGCTTCTTGCTGCCTTATACATACATCTCCTAGAAAATCTGATAAAGGAAAAAATGTCACATTGGATACATAAGGAAGGGAACAAAATCAAGTATAAACAAAACAAAATAGAAAAAGGATTTTTCTTAGGAAGGAAATGGAAAGGACCAGCAAGCAACCTCTACTCAGCCCTTTGATTATTTGAAAGTTTTGCACTATTCTTTCTTTAAGGGATAGTCATATGCAGCTACTAGTAGAAAAGAGATAGATGGTAGCAAAGCAAAATTAATAAAAGGGTAATATAAAACTCAGCATGATTTTTCTCAAGTCCAGCAAGACAGAAGCCTTAATCATTTTCCCCTCGCATGGACTCTTACCACATTGTTTTCAAGCCTTAGTTTCTAGCAATGGCCTTCAGGCATGGAATAAAAGTAGTTTTGCAGTTAAACCCACTTGCTGTAAGATCTTGGGGCAAGATATTTAACACAAGTGTCCTTACATGAGCAGTGAGGATAACACATACCTTTTGAGGTTGAGGGGGGCTCAAATGAGATAACAGCTATAAAGTGTCACATAGTAAATGCATAACAAATGTCAGTCTCCTCACTGTCCTCCTCCCTGCCAAGTTGTATCAATTTTCCCTTAAATATGTTGACTTTAAAATCCAAGCCATTGAAAATCAAAAGTTCAAAGAAAGGGCATAAAAAATCCTGAAGTTTCATCTCACCCTATGCAGAATAAACCTTTCTGACTATGTCCTTGTGAATTTAGACATTTAACAATATGCATAAACTTAAAGAACCAACAACAAAATCCTCCTTCTCATTATTTCCCACATTTTCCCTCTTCTGTCCATTCTCTCTACAAACTTCGCTGGTTTGGCTCTTATTTATTCAACCACATAGCATGAGGGAAGCTGGAGATCTTTTGGTCCAACTTTAATTTTTACCAATAAGGAAACTGACATCCAGAGGAATTAAGTGACTTGTCCAAGTATGCTAGTTAACAGCAGAGGTGACAGACTCTAGCACTGGTTGCAAATTAAATGCCTATGTTTTGAAATTTCACATGGACCGCATAAATATGTACAAGTATTATGTATCCATAAAAATTAAAAAATCTTTAAAAATGCATATGGGGGTCAGTAGGTAAAAGAAAAGAGAACCAAGAGAGCTGCAGCGGGGAGCACAGCTTGCTTTAAACATGAGATCCAGCTCAGTGATCATGCGGGGGAAAAGGCCCGGCATTGCTGGAACTCCTAATATTTAAAAAGATGATGGAAACTTGAAATTTTATATTTAATCTTCTCATTTTTAAGTGTTGGCAATGTATTGAAGACTTTGAAGCCTCTCTGCTGGTCAAACAAGATGTATCTGTAGGCTGGATTTAGTCCACAGCTGGCCAGTTTGAAAACTGAATCCTGCTAGCCTTAATTTAAATTTTTTTAAATTTAATTTGCTTTGATTCCTGCACTCCTGCTCAAAAAAATCTTCAATGGCTCCCCACTGTCTGCAAGGTAAAGTCCAAACTTTGTCACCAGTCCTTCAAAGCAACCCATGACTATATCCAAGACCCCAAACCATATTTCTACCTTATAGTCAGTCTCCATCTTCCACCGCAACCAGAATGATAGTTGAATTGTACTCTAGGAAGGAAAATATTCAGAAAGGCACCAGTCCTGGCCATGAGGGCTGCTTCTGGGTCCCTAAGCTTTTTCCTTTCCTGCAGTGCCCTACACTGTGCATGCCTATCAATGAAACCCTGTCCATCATTAACCATCCAGCTCAAATACCACCTCTCCACAAAACATCCCTGATGGCCCAGCCAAATGCCCCTTTGCTCTGAATTTCCATGGGACTTTATATCACTCACATGACACTTACAACATACTGCCTTGTTTTGGCATTACCTACATAGCTCATTTTCCCAAACACCTAATAATATTCACAGAAGGAAGAGTTTGGGTTTTGCACTATATTGAATATCCCTGTAGTGCTTTGTACATAGCATGGAGCTCAATAAACATCTTGGGAACATTATCCTTCTCTACTGAAAACTTGTGGATCAAACATAAAGTGCCTTTTGTTTACCTGTCACAACTCCATCACTTCTATACTTCTATAGGCCAGGCTTTTCACCAAGCACACAGCGTCTGAGTAGTGCAAAGGGCAAAGACTTCACTTCCCTGCTCCTAAGACATCTTCCCCCACTGAACTACTACTTTTGAGTTGCTTTGAGGTTTCTTCCTCCAGAAGCACTCACACCTTTGTCTTAGACAACATTGATTCTAAGTGGCCACTGTTAAACATGTATTACATGAAAGCATTCCAGGGAAGTTTGTCTTTTTCTATGTAGTAAGGTTAATTGATCAGATTTGATGATAATCACTTTGGAAGGGATAAAGGGACAGAGAACTAGGCTATCAGCCAACACACACTGTGCAAATATTTTAGTTGTGATAAAACCAATGGAGGCAAGCAAATAAGCATCATTAAGCTGTGGCTAGTTAGCAACCAACATTCATTTTGATTGTGGGAGTGACACATTTATATCTCACACTTTGTTTTTCTGTATCCACACCCATTTTCAGCCATTTCTATTCAGTGTCAAAAAAGACAAGAAAAATTAGACTCAATTTTATTTTTACTGGCCTGGACAACACCAGAGGCACTCAATAAAATGCTTCTCGAGTAAACTTTTTAAAAATTAATTTTTACTTTTGCTTAACACAAATGCAATTACTGAAAAGATAAAATACCACCATCTTATAAGAGGGCCTAAATTTGCACAATAATGGCAAAACTTGATACAGTTTTATCTCAAACCAGCAAAGTTTAGATGTCAGCTCAGTAATTTCAATTAGCACATTCTGGATACATCCTTTCTAACCTGTACAAATACACACTGTCAAAGGCAAATTAAGCCTTGCAAACAGTATTTATTTGCCTCACATTTATGTCACATGATAATCTGTGTTTGGATATCAGACAGCCAAGACAATCAAGAATTCCAGGAAATGTCAAAGAAAACTAATGACTACAGAGGTTTCCACTGTGAAAACAATGTCCTGTTTTTGGATGATCACATCTGCTAACCCTCTATTTTTTTTTTTTTTTTAATCAAGAGGGGATAGATAACTCATTCTTAAACTTATATTGGGAATACTTCTAATAAAAGAATAATATAATAGATAGATTCAAGTTCCCATAAAAATGATGCTTTTCTTTGTAATTCCTGTGGGTAGAAGAAAGGAGAAATGGGGTTGGATTACAAACATTGATCAAGAGGCTCTGAGTACCCTCATTTTTCCTATTTTTATATCTTTTATGATGAAATGACTTAAAGCAATACTCTCCCCTCTTGAAAACTAATAAAGTGAACATGCTTATTTATCTTACTTATTCTTTATACAAATATATTCTCTTCTGCATTCAGAAATTAATATTTAGAACACTTCAGGCATAAAAGGAATCCAGATCTTTGATAATTGGTTAAACTCTCCGATTTAGGACAACAGCAACAAATATTTTCTGATTATATTGTTGCAAAAATAAAAGTATCCATGGTTTTGTTAAAGAACAAGAACAAAGTAACACATTTAATGAAAACAGGAGGAAGCCTGGAATCCACCGTGATAAAACTTAGTTGCAATATGAACGCTGCTAGAGGAAGGGCTGGCCAGAACACTTCCTCATCTTAAACCAAGCCAAAAATAAATGGGCGGCTCCAAGTCCCTTTGATTTTGTTAAATGTATATTTCCAGTGTAAACTGGCGTTGTTTAAGTTAACAAAGTTTTCCCAAAGGGCCGGTGGGAAAGAATGAGAGTCCTGCAAATGCAACCTGAGAAAATGTGTTCCTCGCACGGAAATGGAAGAGCTGTGTTGAGATACCAGGGACACACGCAGGGCATCTGCGCGAGGTGACATTAGGCTGCCCTTAATGAGTTTTCTGCTTCTGATAACAGGGTGTCACTTTTTTCTTTTCTTTTAACTGTAAAAGGATCCTGGGGTGAAAATGAGTGAATTGCCCCCACACTCCTAGATTCCTTCCGGGAGAAGAGGGCGGACGCAGGCTGGGGAGGCGGGATCGGGACCCGGAGGTCCCAGGAACGGGTGGCTGAGGTCAAGGCCGAAGACCTGGGCGCCCACTCCCAGTGCCGGGTGCCCGGGAGAGGAAGACTGGGCGGACCCCCGCGCTTCCGGATGAGGCGGACTTAGGTCAATGCGGGAAACATTGCATGTCACCTCTTCCCACTCGGAGAGGCCGGGTGTCTTCCTGAGAGCTGGCAGGAAAGCGGCCGAGGCGCAGAGGCGCCCGGAGCCAGCCGCCCTGGCCGCGTCCCCACCGGGCTGCGGTGGCTGCGGGGCGGCCCTTACCTGGTTCCTGCGGTACCAGTCGCCCGAGAGGGAGCCGTTGCCGGCGCCTGGTGCCCCGTACGTGAAATTCAGTGACAGCTCGTCCAGGGCGGCCGAGGCGGAGTCCCCGGGGCCCGCGGGCGCCACCGCTGCCATGAGGTCTCGCTCCCGGCGCTCGGGCTCCGGCTCGGGCTGCGGCCGCCTCCCCGCCCTGTTGCACCGCGAGGAGGCCGCGCCGCAGCCACTTCCTGCTCGGTGCCCGGGCGAGGCGGGCGCGCCGAGGCCACCTGGCTCCCGCCCCCGCGCGGCCGTAGGTGCTCCCAGCCTGGCCGGGCGCTGCCTCCTCTCCTCCTCCGGTGCGAGGTGTCCTCGGGGAGCCCGGCGGTCTGCGGCCTCCCGGGGCCGTCCAGCTCGCACCGCGCCCTCCTTCCGCTGGGCCAGTGTCTGCATCCTCGGGGCCGCACTGCCCAAGGGGGCAATCCCCGCGGCCGTCCGCAACGGGTCCCCGCGCCTGTCGGGGCCAGAATCAGATCATCTCCGTTGTAAACATTTGTCCAAGTCAATGGAAGAGGAGGAGACACTGACTAACCCAAAGCAGCTATCATCTCCCATCTCTACCTGGCAATTCCAGTCCTCTATCACATATGTAGTGTTTCTCACCGATATTTTAAAAATTGATTGCATATGAAAAAGTCATGAGTTCCCAGAAATATTGTAAGCAATATGAGAAAAAAAGATCCGAGCGATTGAATCTCAGTGCCAGTGCTTGATAGATCCTTAGTAAATATTCCTTGAATGAGGAATGTGGTAGCCATAGGACCCCAGTGTGCGATGACTGGATTGGGTTTGCTTCAGATGGGATCAGGTGGAGTTGCTGAAAAGTTGCCAGCTACTGTATATATGAATTTAGGATGAAAGATAAATGTTGTTATTAATCTTAAGAACTCTAACGAGATGTTCTGGTTTTACCTGTATTCAAATTCTAATGTGTGACCACAAATGATCTGTAGGGTATTTCTCACTTTAAAAAAACCATGATTCTATACTGTTGCCTGAAGGCTGATAGTTGCCTTCTTTTGTTTACACAATGCTGAGGTTTTTCTTAGATAATGTGCTTTGACTTCCATGAGTTCATGAAAGAGAGACCTTCAAGAAAAGAGAATTGCTGCCTAGAAGGGAGCAGGGACAGTTTTCAGTGTTTCTTAGGGGAAATGTGCAAATGAGAGAAAAGAGTGAGAAAAAGTCATTTCACATACAGAAAAAACAAGACATGTCGTCTCAGAAATTGTGTAGTTTCTTGCTTAAGCACTCGAGATGTTCAGTGAACAGCTAACAATTGTAGGTAACTATTCCCAATTTTAAGAGGCTGATTTACTTCAAATAAATATCTGAAGGAAAAAGGTCTCTATTTGTTATATTACATTTTATTTTATTTTTTGAGACAGGGTCTTGCTCTGTTGCCCAGGCTGGAGTGCAGTGGTGTGATCTTGACTCACTTTAGCCTCATATTCCTGGGCCCAAGTGATCCTCCCACCTGGGACTACATACAGGTGCATGCCACCATGCCCAGCTAATTTTTTTTTTTTTTAGATAGAGTCTCTCTCTCTTGCCCAGGCTGCAGTGCAGTGGCACAATCTCAGCTCACTGCAACCTCTGCCTCCTGGGTTCAAACAATGCTCCTGCCTCAGCCTCCTGAGTAGCTGGGACTACACGTGCACACCACCAAGCCCGGCTAATTTTTGTATTTTTAGTAGAGACAGGGTTTCACGGTGTTGGTCAGGCTGGCCTCAAGCTCCTAACCTCCAGTGATCCCCCTGTCTTGGCCTCCCAAAGTGCTGGGATTACAGGTGTGAGCCACCACACCTGGCCCTGGCTAATATTTTTCTATTTTTTTGTAGGGACAGGGTCTCGCAATTTTTCCTAGGCTGGTCTAGAACTCCTGGCCTCAAACAGTTGTCCCACCTCGGCCTCCCAAAGTGGTGGGATTACAGGTGTGAGCTGCCATGCCTTGTCTGATAAGTTTTCTATAACATCACATTCATTGATATTGGTGACTTCATTAATGCTTCTTTCTCTTCACATGCTTTAGGGTGCAAGTAACAGAGTATCCAAATAAAAGTGGCTTAAACAATAATTATCTGCTATCTCCAGAGGAATGTGTCTCTATGTGGTTCTATTATGTCGTCACTTCCACCTTTCTGCTCTGCTATCCCTGAGGTACTGGTCTTGTCCATTGAGGGAGGAAAGCCTTTTCCAGAATCCTCCTGGCATCCTTTCACCTCAGATCCCATTGGCTGGGACTGGGTCACATGCCCATGTTCTACCAGCAAGGGAGGCTGGGAAAGTGATTCTTGGGTATTTCCAACCTAGTGAGAGGTAAGCTCTACCAACCAGGATGAGTGGGAATGCCATGGGGTTATGGGGGAGGGGAACCAGTCAACCCTGGTACAACCACTCTAGTATTTTTCTATCAGCCAGATTGTAAGTAGTTGTACAGTTGCTAACAAGCAAAATACTAAATGGATTGTGTTACTTTCTGGTTTAAAATGCCTTGAAGCCTCCCTATTGCCATAATGAAGTCCACACTTTTTTTTTTTTTGAGACAGAGTCTTGCTCTGTCACCCAGGCTGGAGTGCAGTGGCACAATCTCGGCTCACTGCAAGCTCCGCCTCCCGAGTTCACGCCATTCTCCTGCCTCAGCCTCCTGAGTAGCTGGGACTACAGATGCCCGCCACCACGCCCAGCTAATTTTTTGTATTTTTAGTAGAGTCTGGGTTTCATCGTGTTAGCCAGGATGGTCTCGATCTCCTGACCTCATGATCCACCCACCTCAGCCTCCCAAAGTGCTGGGATTACAGGCGTGAGTCACCACGCCCAGACAATTTTTTTTTTTTTTTAATTTTTTGTAGAGATGGGGTCTCATTATGTTTCCCAGGCTGGTCTAGAACTCCTGGCCTCAAACAATTCAGTGAGACTTCTGAATAAAACTAAGTTTAATTCTTTAAAAGCTTGATTTTTTTCCCTTTAGTTGATACTCTGCTATACTCAACTTGTTCCCATTTTATTTCTTAATTTAAAAAAACATTTTCAATTTCTTTACATTTGTTTAAAACCTCTAATTTTGGAGGAAGATGGTACATGATGCAGAGAAGATTTGATGTACAGCCTACCACGTGGTGTTCTCTAGATTCCAAGATGTCACTGCTGTTGCTGCTGTCCTAGTGTGTGTGGGTGGTTGAAACGAAGAATTCGTGACCAGCGTTCCTTCCCACACAGTTCACAAGGAGGCGGCAGGAATGCCATGTGAACTATTTTGGTCCCAGCAGTGTAGGCAGAGCTGTGGAGATTGTTCCGTACTTTGTGACGGCCTCTACCTCTCGTGGGATTTCTTCAGGGGATATCCTGTTCACTTTACGGGATGCCAAAAGCTAAAAAAAGGGCTGAAACGTGGAAGTCTGTCTTCCTCAGTTAATTTGAAGAACTCTACTCTGGTGCCAAATCATTTACTTAGAGAGCAGGGTTAGATTTTGCCTACCTTGCCTGGGATCAGTCACTGGCAGCATTAACAAAACAGCTTTTTTTTTTCTCTCAACTTTTTTTTTAGATACAGGGGTACATGTGCAGGTTTGTTACATGGGTTTCTTGCAACCAAGTAGTGAGCATAGTACCAGTAGGTAGTTTTTCCACCTGTGCCCTCCTCCTTCCCTCCCCTCTCTAGTAGTCCGCATTGTTGATTGTTCCCATGAATAAAATGTTTTTTTTAAAATTCATCTCTAGCACAATTCAGTCAATACTAGTTGTGTTACAATAAGCATTACTCAAGTTAGGAGCTTTTAAGGGGCCAAAGTAGAGAAGGGTATGGATTAATTCAGGTATCTCACATCATAAGCCAAGTCCAGATTAGAGACTTTGATGAGAGAGGCGAAACTTTGAATCTTATAGAATAACATATGACATCATCTCTATAAACAACAGTTTGGCAATTGTTAAAGTGCAAACACAAGGCAGACTGTCTGGGTTCAAATCCTGACTCCACTGCTTATTTGCTGTATGACCTCATCTAGTTGCTCAATTTCTCTGAGCCTTGTCTTTATCACCTGTAAAAGGGAGATGATAAGGAGTACCCGAAACATAGAAAGTACTCAATAGGTGCCGGCTATAACCTTACAATAGGGAAGCATCCCTTAAACAAATTAAAAAATACAATCCACATAGACAAAGATTCATAAGTGCAATTACAATAAAACTAAGAACTTTTTTTTTTTTCGAGACAGGGTCTTGCTCTGTTGCCCAGGCTGGAGTGCAGTGGTACAATTTTGGCAGGACGAAGTCTTGATCTCCCAGGCTCAATCCATCCTCCCACCTCAGCCTCATGAGTAGCTGGGACTACAGGCTCACACCATGACGCCCAGCTAATTTTTGGGTTTTTTTGTAGAAATGGGGTTTCACCATGTTGCCCAGGCTGGTCTCAAACTCCTGGGCTCAAGCAATCTGCCTACTTGGCCTCCCAAAGTGCGGGTTTACAGGCATGAGCCACCATGCCCAGCCAAACTAAGAACTTTTATACATCAATAGGCACCATAAAGTGTAAAAAGATAAGTCAGAAACTGAGAATCTTAATACAAAAATACTAGCCAGGCATGGTGGCGCATGCCTGTAGTCTCAGCTACTTGGGGAGGCTGAGGCAGGAGGATCACCTGAGCCCGGGAGGTCAAGGCTGCCCTGAGCTGTGATCATGCTACTACACTCCAGCCTGGGCAATAGAGTGAGACCCTGCCACAAAAAACAAAACAAAACAAAACAAAACAAAAGTCAAACTCAGAACTTTTATTTCTCATACATGTGACTGACCAAGGATTCACATCCAGAATATATAAATAACTCCTTCAGGTCAATAAGAAAAAGTCAGACAACTGGTAGAAAAATGGGCAAAAATATAAACAGGTGGTCTTCATAAGAAAAACTATAAATGGCTAATAAACATATAAAATACTTCCATTTCACCAGTAATCAGAAAAATACAAAATAATATCTCCAATGAGAACCATTTTACACCTGCTGGTTGGCAAAAAAAAAAATTTTTAATTTGCATACCAAGTGTTGATAAGGATGTGGAGCAAAAGAAACTCTTATTTAGTGCTGATGCTATTGACACTGGAAAGAGTTTGACAGTATTTGGTAAAGATGAAGATGTACATGTGAATTTCACTCTTATGTACATACCCCAGAGAAACTTCCGTACCTGGACAGCAGAAGAGATGTATAAGAATAACAGCACTCTTTGTAACAGCAAAACAAACAAACAAACAAACAAACAAACAAACAAAAAACTGGAAGCAGCTCAAATGTCCATTAGCAGGAATAGTGGGCAAATGAATTTTGATACATTTATATAATGGAACACAGCAATGAAATTACCTGAATGACAACCACCTAACAGCCACAGCAACATGGATGAATCCCACAAACATAATAATAGCAAATCCATAGAAGATTATATTCAGTATTATTCAAAAGCATGCAAAATTAGACAATATATTGTTTAGAAGTACATCTATCTATATGTGGGAAGACCTAATGAAAAGCAAAGGATAGACCAGGTGCTGTGGCTCATGCCTGTAATCCCAGCATTTTAGGAAGCGGAGGCGAGCTGATCATTTGAGCTCAGGAGTTCAAGACGAGCCTGGGCAACATGGTGAGATCTGTATAGGTACAGTGAGCCGTGATGGCTCCACTGCATTCTGTCCTGGGGTACAGAGTGACACCCTGTCTGAAAAAGAAAGAAAGAAAAAGAGAGAGAGGAAGGAAGGAAGGAAGGGGCAAAAAATGATAAACACAAAAATTCTGATAGTGGTTGAAAGGTTTGGCAACGTTCTATTTTCTAAATTGGGTTATGTGTTATATGGGCATTTGTACTATTATTATTCTTAAAGGTATACACTTATGTCAAGTGTGCTTTTTTATAACCATAATATATTTTACAACTAACACAAAAAGACCCATCCAGAAAAAAACCGAGGTTTTGTGGTTAGAGGTTTGAAAAGTTCAAGATTGGTAGACCTGGATTAAAGTGTGGTCTTCTGACCTTTATCAGCTGTATGACTTTGGGCGAATTCTCTGAGATTAAGTTTCCTAATTCATGAAGTGGGAATGATAATATTTATCTTAAAGGCTTTTTTGAACATTAAGTAATGTGAGCTGTATTTCAGCTCAGTTCACCAAATACTTAAGTTTGTGCCAGGAGCCCAGGACATGAAATTGGATAAGGCATGAGGAGCTTAACTGGCTGTGAGCAGGCAAACATGCCAATAGGTAGGCTCAATGTTACAAGTTAACTTCAGCACAAGGGTGGGAGGAAAGAAAGAAGAAGCAGCCAGCTCAGGTTGGGCAGGCAGGTGCAGCCTGGGAGGGCTAACTAGAAGAGGTGATGACTATTGAGAGCCCTGAGATGAGTTAGCCACATGAAGAAGGGAGGTCAAGGGTGAACAGGGCTTGCAGCAGGCAGAACACAGGCAAAGACAGCAGAGTATGTATGTATCCACATGAAGCAATTCCACATTACCCTTAGGTGATACACTAACATAAGGATAGAGAGGCTGACAGGGCCAGGAAATTGAGGGCTTTGTGTGTTGGATGATCAAGGTCAGTCTTGACTCTTAACGGGGAACCACTGAGTAACTTAAGATAAGAGGGCAGCAGGGCAAGCTTAGAGCTGTAAAATCTCCCTTGTTGGAGGCACAGGTGTGGCTGGGTGTGGTTTAAGGGGAGAAACACAAGATAGGAGACAAGTTAGGGACTGCTATGGCTCAAATGAGGATATATGAGAAAGGCTGGGGAGAAGGAGAGGGATTAAGAAACGTTTAGAAGTAAAATTGGCATGACCTGCTGATGGGGCAGGGAAAGGTGGGAGAAGGGAGAGTCTAAGATTGTTGTAGTTGGGGCTATTAAGTAAAAAGGCAGCACCATTCACTGATGTGGGGAATAGGAAAGAGGAACCAGTGTAGGGGAACCGGAGTTTGGTTTCAAGACTCATTGAATTTGAGGAACTTGTATAATATTCAAGCAGGAAAGGGTGTACAGAATTTATTCTAAGGTGCGCTGGTGAGGTCAGGGCCAGGGAAATAGATCTGGGACTCACCAGCATACAGGTGGATGAGACTGGCCATGGCTAGCAAGTAGCCAATATCTTTTAGAGCAGTGTTCAGCACACTTTTTCTGTAAATGGCCAGATAGTAAATATTTTAGGTTTTGTGGACCATATGGTCTCTGTCACAACTACTCAACTCTGCCATTGCAGCGTGAAAGCAGCCACAGACAACATGTGTATAAATGGATGTGGCTGTGTTCCAATAAAACTTTATTTACAAAAACAGCATGCTCACTGGATTCGCCCCATAGGCCACAATTTGCTGACCCCTGTTCCAGATAGAGTACAGAACACAAGGCCAACAAAAACTGCCTAAGAGGTAAGAGCATGGATTTTTAGGGTTCTCAGAATTCGAGACAGGATCCCAGTTCAAAGGGAAATACATTAATTCCTAACTACAACCTGGGAAGGCAGGGGTGGAGCTGGACTACTGGATCTGGGAACCTGATTGTGCCATCTGGGCTTCATCCTCAGATCAGCTTCACATGGTGAGATTATGGCCACAGGGGCTCCTGATGCCATCCTTAGAGTGACAAAGGAAAGGGGGAGTGTGGCAGATTGGACTACACAGTTCTTCATGCCCCCGACACAGGAATATTTGCCTTGTACATCCCCACCCATTGCTCAGTGACTACAATTTCTCCCACAGAGGCATCTTCCCATTGATGGTGGGCTTGGGCACATGATTTGCTTTGGCCAATAGAAACGTAGATGGAGTGAGGGTGACAATTCCAGGCCAAGGTTTTTAGAGGCATTCCTGTGCTCCTCTCTGAAAAGATAACTCCAAATAGCCACTGGTCCAGGGAGGAAAAAGAAACCTGTGAAGTGGACCTAAAGCCAATCCTGGCTGTCTTCAATGGAGCCATATCTGACCTGTAGACTCTTGGGCAAGAAAATAAATTTAGATTGTTAAAAACCACTGAGATTTTGAAGGTATGTATTAAGCAGCAAAACCAATTGATTAAGGGTATTCCCAACCAGCTTCAGTTAGAAAGTTCAGGGAAAAAAATCTCTGACTGGTCTGCTTTGTGACATGTGACCCATTCCTGCACCAATCGCTGAGGACAGGATTTGGTGGTATGATTGGCCCACCTGGATCATACACCCACTCTATTCAAGGTGATGGGGCATTATCAAGGTGAGGAAAAGGGATGCTGAGCAGATAAAAGCAATTGCCAACATTGTGGAAGACCAGCATAGAGCAGTGCTGTAGAAACCTGGACAGGAGAGAACTACAAAAATGAAGGTGTGTTGAATAAAGCTGTCAGCTGCAGAAAGGGTACTGAGACAGTAAATGAAATGTGTTTATTGGCTTTGACAATAATAGGTGGTCACTGGTGATCTTTTCCTGAGAGTTTCAGTAGAGTGTTGGGGTGACAGTCAGATCATAGTTAACTATAAAATTTCACAAAACTCTAATTCACCATAGGAATGTCAGTTATTACTGTAAATAACCTTAGATAAGGAAGAGGTTAGGAATCAGGGGAGAGCCAGGAGTTTTATCACTTTGAAGCCATAGGAGGCTTCTGGGAAAGGGATGTTGGGATCAGTCCATACTCAAGGGAGACAATGCTCAGAGTGGGGGAAACCCATTAAGGGGAGTACCAAGGCTGCACAGTCCTGGTGTGACCCTCAGGGCCTGAGGCAGAATTGCATCTTTGGGAACCAGACGCAAAGGCAGGATCCAAGCAACGTGGAATTTAAAAACAGCAGTGAGAGATGATTTGAGGGAGGTAGAATAGGCCAAGGGAGGAGAGAGCTGATAAGAATATCTGGTCTCAGGCCTGGAGAAACAAGAACAGATCCAGCCCTAAACAAAAGTATTCAATGGACAAAATGTTAATCTAGTGCCCACCCTGCTTTAAGACTGACCTTTCCTTGACTTATTGTGAAGCCTTTTTCCATAACCCTCCGCAACTCCTGTCCTCCCTCCATACCCCATCCCACCTGCATTTACTGACTTCTGGCTATGCAGGGCTTCCCAAGGCTGTGTCCCATCCAGGCCAGTCCTCCACAGACAGCATCTCTTCCCCTGCCTTGTCTAAAATCATACCGTCTCACTTCGCATTCCTTTGCTCTCTACTTTCAAAGAGTAGTCTAAGAATGAATCCATGCCAAGATATGGACATAATAGATCTTCTGTGTCTATTTGCTTTCTAAATGGACTCTCCTGGCAACACAAGATCTTAACCCAAAGGAGTATATCAGTCATGGTAAGAATTTGGATAGATGGAGGTGGGAAGGGCAAAATTGCCCCTCAAATCTTACTACATAATAGGTTTGTTACTGTGAAGGCTGCTTGTGAATTGGAGAAATATTGAGGGGAATGAGATAAAAACCTTAATTTTAGAAATAAAATATTTAATTTGGGGTGATGACACAACAGATCTTAGATGTAATTGGTAAATGAAAAATCCCCTGGAGTGAGAAATATAGAGGTAGACAAATGGCCACAGGTCAGAGGTCAAGAGGTAGTTACTGGCTAGGCTTAGTGGCTCATGCCTGTAATTCCAGCACTTTGGGAGGCCAAGGTCAGAGGATTGCTTGAGCCCAGGAGTTTGGAGACCAGCTTGGGTAGCATAGTGAGACCTCGTCTCTACAAAATAAGAGAAATTAGCTGGGTGTGGTGGCATGTGCCTGTGGTCCCAGCTACCTGGGAGTCTGAGAGGAAGATGACTGGAGGCTGGGAGGTTGAGGCTGCAGTGAGCCATGATCATGCCACTGCACTCCGGCCTGGGCAACAGAGCAAGACCCTGTCTCAAAAAAAAAAAAAAAAAAAAAAAAAAGAAGTAGTCAGCCACATCATAGTATTATCTTTCCCTTCCAGTTCATAGTTTACAAATACTGTCACCTCTATTATTTCATTTGATTCTTTCAAAAGCTCTGTAAAGTAAGCAGAACATTTGTGTTTTTAGAAAGCATTTTTATGTCTTGTATTTTTATTTATTTTTAATTGATACATAATATTTGTATATATTTATGAGGTACATGTGATATTTTGTTACATGCATAGAATGTGAAATGATCAGGTCAGGGCATTTACGGTATCCATCACCCTGATTTTTTGATCATTTCTATGTATTGGGAACATTTAAACTCTTCTCTTCTAGCTATTTTGAAATATACAATACATTGTTGTTAACTATAGTCACCCTACTCTGCTGTCCAATGTTAGAACTAATTTCTTCTACCTAATTGTATGTTTGTACCTATTAACCAACCTCTCTTCATTAAAATTTGAATTAAAAATTCTTTTTCAGAGTCTCACTCTGTTTCCCAGGCTGGAGTGCAGTGGCAAAATCTTGGCTCACTGCAACCTCCGCCTCCCAGATTCAAACGATTCTCATGCTTCAGCCTCCCAAGTAGCTGGGATTACAGGCACCACCACACCCAGCTAATTTTTTTTTTTTTTTAATTTTTAGTGGAGATGGGGTTTTGCTATGTGCTATGTTGGCCAGGTTGGTCTTGAACTCCAGGCCTCAAGTGATCCACCCGCCTTGGCCTCCCAAAATGCTTGGATTATAGGCATGAGCCACCATGCCTGGTGAAAATTTGCATTTTTAAAAAGCAAAAGCAAACACCTCAGCTTAGAGAAACTAAATTATTTACCTAATGTTCACTGCTGGTTTGTGGTGGAGCCAAGACTTCTGCTGCTCAATGAAGATGTCCAGGTAGAAGCGTATACTAATCAGGGCTCTTCAGAGAAACAGAGCTAATAGGAGATAGGCATACACACATGCACACGCACACAGACTTATGATGAGGAATTGGCTCACATGATTATGAAGGTGAAGTCCCAAGATCTATAGTTGGCAAACTGAACACCCTAAAGAGCCAATGGTGCAGTTTCAGTCTGAGTCTGAAGGCCTGAGAACCAGGAGAGTCAGTGGGGTAGGTTCCAGCCCAAAAGTGGGCAGGCCTGAGTCCCAAGAAGAGCTGATTTTTCAGTTAGATTTCAAAGGCAGGAAATGACCCATGTTCCAGCTCAAGCCATCAGGCAGCAGGGGTTCCCTCTGACTCAGTCTTTTTGTTCTATTCAGGTCTTCAGTCAACTGATGAGACCCACCCACATTAGGGAGCATAGTCTGCTGTACTCAGTCTACCAATTCAGCTATGAAGCTCCTCCAGAAACTCCCGCACAGCCACATCCCAAATAATGTTTGGCCAAATGTCTGGGTACCCTGTGGCCCGGTCAAGTGGACACATGAAAGTCACCATCACAGTGGGGTCCTCAAGGAAAGGAATGAAAGAGACAATCCAGCTTTGCATTTAGCACTGATGCAATGGCCTGTGAAACCAGACGTGACAAACGTGGCAAGTAGAAGTGTCACAGACATAAATTTGAGCATTTCTCAGATTTTTCTTTGCCTGGAGTTTGATCTCAATAGTCATTCAATTTGTCCCTTAGGACAAATTTATTTTCTCTCTTTCTTCTCTCCTCATTCTCCTCCATCACCATTATCATCATCATTGTCACTGTCATAATCAACATCCAAAGTGTATGGAGTGCCTGCACTCACGTGGCTCTGTACCAAGAAGGAATTTGGAATTCATGGAGGAAAATGGATCTGTCCCTTGCTGTAAGTGGCTTAATTCCAGTTTAAGAGACAGAACATACATAAAAAGATAAATAAGTATAAATCAACTAGGAACTCGATAACTAAGTGCTAAATACAGGAGGATATGAATCTTGGATTCCAAAAAAAGGAGTGATTTTCGGGCTGGACAGGGTCTGGAAAAGCTTCAAGGAGGTCGAGGTTCTTGAGCAGGGCCTGAGAAAAGAGTGTGGCTGACGCAAGTGTGACAAGGAGAGAGTATGGCAGGAATATAGAACACCCAGAGGGAAGTGGGAAGTGCAAATGTGTGTGCAGGGACAGCGAGTCATGGCTGGGTGGGCACCCGTGCCATGGAACAGCTTGATGCCTGGAGAGCAACTCCCAGAAACAGCTTTTGGCCCAGATTGCTAATTAGAATTTTTTACTGTGTGTGAAATTTCCAGGATCAGCATGGAGTGTCATCTGCGTCTCCTGCAGGCGTCTCCTCCCAAACACGGCTTCCTAAACCTGTCTTGCCAGTCAAGCCCCACAGCTGCTCTGCCGAGTTATACAGGCTTCCTCTAAAAAGCTGTTCTCCTGGACTTGCATGTGCTTAAAGGGAAGAAAAGCAAGGAAAGCGAAACCCTCCACTTGTTTCCAGGTTCTGAGCGAATCTTGTTTTTATACTATTTGTCCTGTTATCTGGATCCACAGCACTGGTGTGTCTTAGACGATAAGGAAAGCAGGGACTACTCCAGTAGTTCTCTCTGCAGGGCCCTGCTGTGTGCTGTGGCCTCTCTGGGTTCTTCACGAGTGCCTTGGGGTTGTGATGAAAACTACATGTGTAATGAGGCAGAGTAAGCTTTGCCTCCTGTCAACCAATAGGGCACCCCCTAGCAATTCCCCCCCAAACACACACACCGCCCTGAAATTCCCCAAGGCCCTCATTTGGGTGCTCCTGGGGGCAGGGAGGGTTATGAAGAGAGGCATACACTGTGCAAAGCAGCACGTGCTCCAGGTCTGGTTCTGCCACCAACTAGCTGGGTGACCTTGGGCAAGTTCCTGTATCTCCCTGGGCCTCATCTGTGAAATGAGAGGCTTGGACTATATCATTCCAAATGTTTCCAACTCTGAAGTATGAGTCTAGAACTTTTATCTTCTTCACATTATAGCAGATTTTTTTTTTTTTTAACCCCTGGCTACTTAGGGGAAGAGAGAATGGCTCTAGAAGGTACTAATCCGTCTTCCTACAACATCTTGGGATATCTGGTAGTCGCTAGTCAAAGAGGGTTAGTTTTCCCCCCCCAATTTTTCCTTCTTTTTTCTCCTTCTTTCTTTCTCTCCTTCCTTTCTTCCTTCCTTCCTTCCTCTCTCATTCTCCTCTTCCCTCCCCCTCCCTCTCTCTTTCTCTCTTTCTTCCTCTCCTCTGCGCTCTCCCTTTTCCCCTCTCCCCTCTCCTCTCCTCTCCTTTTATTTATTTATGTATTTATTTATTTATTTATTATACTTTAAGTTTTAGGGTACATGTGCACATTGTGCAGGTTAGTTACATATGTATACATGTGCCATGCTGGTGCGCTGCACCCACTAACTCATCATCTAGCATTAGGTATATCTCCCAATGCTATCCCTCCCCCATCCCCCCACCCCACCACAGTCCCCAGAGTGTGATATTCCCCTTCCTGTGTCCATGTGATCTCATTGTTCAATTCCCACCTATGAGTGAGAATATGCAGTGTTTGGTTTTTTGTTCTTGTGATAGTTTACTGAGAATGATGATTTCCAATTTCATCCATGTCCCTACAAAGGACATGAACTCATCATTTTTTATGGCTGCATAGTATTCCATGGTGTATATGTGCCACGTTTTCTTAATCCAGTCTATCATTGTTGGACATTTGGGTTGGTTCCAAGTCTTTGCTATTGTGAATAATGCCGCAATAAACATACGTGTGCATGTGTCTTTATAACAGCATGATTTATAGTCCTTTGGGTATATACCCAGTAATGGGATGGCTGGGTCAAATGGTATTTCTAGTTCTAGATCCCTGAGGAATCGCCACACCGACTTCCACAATGGTTGAACTAGTCTACAGTCCCACCAACAGTGTAAAAGTGTTCCTATTTCTCCACATCCTCTCCAGCACCTGTTGTTTCCTGACTTTTTAATGATTGCCATTCTAACTGGTGTGAAATGGTATCTCATTGTGGTTTTGATTTGCATTTCCCTGATGGCCAGTGATGATGAGCATTTTTTCATGTGTTTTTTGGCTGCATAAATGTCTTCTTTTGAGAAGTGTCTGTTCATGTCCTTTGCCCACTTTTTGATGGGGTTGTTTGTTTTTTTCTTGTAAATTTGTTTGAGTTCATTGTAGATTCTGGATATTAGCCCTTTGTCAGATGAGTAGGTTGTGAAAATTTTCTCCCATTTTGTAGGTTGCCTGTCCGCTCTGATGGTAGTTTCTTTTGCTGTGCAGAAGCTCTTTAGTTTAATTAGATCCCATTTGTCAATTTTGTCTTTTGTTGCCATTGCTTTTGGTGTTTTGGACATGAAGTCCTTGCCCATGCCTATGTCCCGAATGGTAATGCCTAGGTTTTCTTCTAGGGTTTTTATGGTTTTAGGTCTAATGTTTAAATCTTTAATCCATCTTGAATTGATTTTTGTATAAGGTGTAAGGAAGGGATCCAGTTTCAGCCATATGTAGAAAGCTGAAACTGGATCCTCTCCTTTTCTTTGAGACAGGGGCTTGCTCTGTGCCCCAGGCTGGAGTATAGCGGCACAATTACGGCTCACTGCAACCTCGGCCTCCTGGGCTCACGTGATCGTCCCACTTCAGTCTCTCGAGTAGCTGGGACTACAGGGGACTACAGGTGTTCACCAACACACCAAGCTAAGAAGGCTAGCTTTTATCTTCCACACGTTTAAAATATACCTTTTTTAATTTTAATTTTTATTTTTTTGAGACAGCATCTTGTTCTGTTGCCCAGGCTGAAGTGCAGTGGTGCAATCTCGGCTCACTGCAGCCTCCGCCTCCCAGGTTCAAATGATTCTCATGCCTCACCTTCCCAAGTAGCTGAGATTATAAGCACGCCACCACACCTGGCTATTATTGTGTGTGTGCATTTTTATGGAGATGGGGTTTTGCCATGTTGGCCAGGCAGGTCTCAAACTCCTGGCCTCAAGTGATCTGCCCGCTTCGGCCTCCCAAAGTGCTGGGGTTACAGGCAGTGCCACCAACATATATATTTTTATGGGAACTTTAGAGAGATGGAATATTTAAAGAACTTTACATGTAAGAGGACTAAGATTCAAATAATGTTGCCACAGTTTAGTAGCTCCATGATCTTGGCTGGGTTATTTCACTTTTCTGGGATTCAGTTTCCTCAGTTGTAAAATAGCAACAGGCCAGGTGCAGTGGCTCACGCCTGTAATCCCAGCACTTTGGAAGGCTAAGGCAGGAGGATCTCTTGAAGCCAGGAGTTCAAGACCAGCCTAGGCAACAAAGTGAGAGACCCGTGCCATCCCCCCCCACACCGCCCCTGCCCTCTCTCTCTAAAAAAAGAAAGTTAGCCAGTGTAGTATGTGTATAGTGGTTAGCTGTGGAACACTGCATTCAGGCAGATCTGGGTTTCAATTCGGGCTCTGTTTCTGACCATCTGTTTGGCTTTGGGCAACTTATTTTACTTCCCAATCCTCAGTTTACTCCTTTTTACAGGAATAATAATAGTTCCTGCTTTGTAGGGTGATTGATTAATGAGGATTCCAGGAGACAAGGAATTAAAAGTGCCTGATACAGAGTAAACATTCAATACATTTAGTCATGATGAAAAACAAATAAATATCAAATGTCATGCTTCCCTATCCATTCTCCTCCAAAGACAGCAGTAGCAGAAACTCTCCTGATGAAGGGAGAGACTGAATCACGTAGCTAGAGAGCAAGCTTGAGGAGGGCAGGACCACCTTTGCCTGGTTTATCCTGTAGCCCCAACACCTAGCACAGTGTCCAGCACATAGAGCACTAGGAAGAAATCCTTTACAATGGTGCAAACAAGACAGAGATGCTCATAAATCATTCTACCTTTACAAGATATGCTTACGTTTCAGGTTTTCAGATTTGTTCCATTGCTGCCTTAATAGCTCCACCTGTTACTGAGCCAAACCTGGGTCCGCTCACCCTGCACACTAAAGACAAACACCCTCACCGAGGTTTGCAGTGAGGGAAAGGAGGGCATTTATTTACAGGACACCAAGGAATAAGAATTGGGCAGCTTGTGCTTAAGACTGCCTGCTGACTTACAGGCAAAGGTTTTTAAAGGCAGGGGTACACTTCAGGAAAGCAGAAGTGAAATCATAAATCAGCACATGGAGGTTAGAGATTGGTTTGGCCTAAAAAGATAGGATATCTTGAAGCAGGGGCTTACCGGTCATTGGGGGATTCAAAGATTCTCCGGTTAAGGAAGCAAAGCTTTGTCTAAAAACTTGGGGTCAGCAGAAAGGAATGTTGAGGTCTGGCCTCTGCATGTGACTCTTCAAGTCCCCTCAGGAAGAAATTTAGAACAAAGAATGGCACTGAGTCCTCACTTCTCCCTTACCTGAGGTCTATGTGCCAGTGAACGACATTTTCCATTTGGTGGGGGGTGTGAGTTTCTGAAAAACAACTCAGGGACATATGTGAAGATGTTATCTTTAGTTCTTCTTTTTTAGAGACAAGGTCTCCCTATGTTGCCCAGGCTGGTCTTGAACTCTTGAGCTCAAGGGATCCTCCTGCCTTAGCCTCCCAAAGTGTTAGGATTACAGGCATGAGCCACCATGCCCGACCTGTCTTTAGTTTCTATAGGGAACCGAACATCTTGTGGCTCTAACTTCCTTTGCTATTGTTTTCAGCAATTATTACCCTCTTGCTTATCAGGTTGCTTATTTACATCTCAGGGCTGGCTAGGTGTTTGGAATTTCCCTTGAAGGAACTCCAGATTTTCCTTTATTTCCATGCTTGGGGCAGGGTGGCAGTCCCCTAAGAAGAGTCTCTGCTCTGTCTCACACCCAGGAGGACATTCAGAAATGTCCAAATCTCCTCTTAAGTCTAGACCAGCGTTGTCCAATAGAAATGTAACTCAAGCCATATATAGAATTTTAAATGTTTTAGTAGCCACGTTAAGAAGGCAAAAAGAAACAGGTGAAATTAATTTCAATGTTGGATTTTATTTAACCCACCATACCCAGAATATCATTTCAACATGTAATCGATATAAAAACTATTAATAAAATACCTTATATTTTTTGTACTCATTTTGAAATCTAGTGTGTATATCATACTTGGAGCACATCTCAATCCAGATCAGCACATTTCAAGTGCTCAATAGCCACATGTGTCTAGTGGCTGCTCTATTGGAAAGCACAGCTCCAGACCAAGAGAGCAAGATCAAGCCTGTCCTTTCACCCACCCAAGCCACCCTTCAGCTCACTTCCTGTCTGAGAACACCCTTCTTTCCCAGGTGACTGCTCTGCAGAATGGCTTCCAGCTTCTTGGAAGACATGCCTACCACCCATACACATGGGTGTGCCTTACTTTACACATCTCACCAGAAAAACCACATCAGAATGCAACACCATAACCTCTTCATTCATTCCATAAGGTAATACACACAACAGGTAATTAACATTTCCAAGCACTTCCAGGCTTGTCATTTGAGGCAGGCAACTATCACCCTTCTCTTTTCCCCACATGCTTTTGTAGAGCTTCATCCACTGTAATCTTGCCTGTATTCAGTCCTCTCTGATAATTCATTTATTCATTGAATTTGTTGAGTGTCTACTGTGTGTTATGGAGTTAAAAATACAATAACGAGCAGGAAGGATGTAATCCCTGCCCTGGGGAACCTCAAACTCAAGTTGGTTGGGAGGAAGAGTGAGCAGAATTTTATAACATAGAGTAATGGGGGAAATAAATCCTACGGGTTCTGGAACCTCATAGGAAGGTAACTAACCTAACCCAGGAGGAGTGTGTGTGTGCACTTGCACATAGATATGTGTTTGTGCACATGCATGCATGTGTGTGTATAAGGAGGCACTCAGAGAAGCCACATCTAAAGTGAGACCTGAGTGGAAGTTGGGGTGTGGGTTGTGAGGTGTGGGATGGGAAAAGAGAGAGAATTCCAGGTGAGGATAGAGTGTGCACATGTTCCAGAAGGGCAAAGATCAAGTAGGGGGCCTGCCAATCACTCCATCTAGCTGGAGTCCAGGAAGAGGAAATCTGTGGCTTAGGGGAGACATAGGGGTGAAAAGCGATAATCACAGTCAATAGTTTAGGCTTCATTTAAATTCTGTAATAAAGGTTCTGGGAACGCAGCTCTGGTTCTGATTTCTCACCTGCATTCATATTCTGCACTTCCAGCTGTGTATGGAGCATCTCCATGTTTCACTCCGACACATGTTCAAAATCACTCAGCACCTTCACTCCACTACTAAATATTCCAAACTGGTTATCTGTCCTAATCTCTCTGTCTCTAATAATAAGATAAGCATAGTTCCAGTCTCCTACCTAGACTAAAACATCTTTCGTCTCTCTCATATCTTCATTCCATGTAGCCAAGTTGTCACTAAATCTTGCTAATTTTTTGACTGAGTATCTGAAGGCTTTTGGTTCAGGCACTTTCTGGCTTCCCTGAAGATAATTCATCATTCAGTTTTCTATAATAGCTTTAAATTTTCACCAGGCCTATCTAAATTCCAAGCGCTATAATTTGTACTCCTTTGAGATATCAGTTTGGAACAAACCAGCAGCTTAAAAAATCGCATCAGATTATACAGTAGAAAAATAATTTCAGCAGTCCAGAAAAGCCCCAAGTAATTTTTATTGGAAAAAAATTCTTAATGTTGTATTTATGCTTAGATTCTGCCATTTTCTTATGTACAATAAAGTTCATCCGCCTTCCTCCTGGAGTCATAAAGTTTTATTATCTGCATAGAGAAACCATAAACAGGTATTTTTATTTGTCTAATTGTGTCCCTCCTTTTATATACAAGCCCTTCCCCGGATACATTACCTGCACATTCACTCACCCTAAAAAAAAGTTCAACATTGTTTGAACTTGTCCTTGATTACTGAATATCTTACTTCATATTGGTTTGGCAATTCATTATAACCACACCCTGAAAACTGGACATGGAAAATTTAAAACACAAGAACCAGATTGCATTGTATGTCTCAGGAATAAATGAGAAGAGAAATGATAATTTCCCCCAGTTGTATTTTGTCATATTTTAAACAAAATGTCCACTGGCTGGAAATTCCATTTCAAGCAGTAAGTATTTATTGAAATTTACTGACGATGTCCAGCATGCAATTACATGTTAGAAGTATGGTGACCATGTTTCCTAAAATTAAAAATCAGGACACATGATGTGACAGTAAACAGAGCACCTGAAAACACTCCTGTCCCAGAAAATGTGAGTTATGTAATTGCAATCGCTACAGGAAATGCAAGAGAAACATTGTTCCTCAAGCTTACAACTTATTGGAAACATAAGCATAACACACATTCATTGACTTTGCCACTGAATGAAGAGTAAGTGAACACTAGCAAAGGAGGCACTTTGTTAGCTGGCAGGATTACAGCAATGAGAAAATAGTCACCTTAAATACTTTCTCAAACAAGGTAGGCTCTTGTGATGGCCAATTTTATGTGTCAGCTTGTCTAGGCTATGGTGCCCAGTTGTTTGTCAAATACCAGCCTAGACATTGCTGTGAAGGTATTTATTTAATTTTTTTAGAATGGATTAACATTTCAATCAGTAGACTTTGAGTGAAGCAAATTACCCTCCATAATGTGGGTAGGCCATATCCCATCAGTTGAAGGCCTTAAGAGCAAAGATTGAGGTTTCCCCCAGCAGGAGGGCATTCTGCCTCATTCTGCCTTCAAACCCAAGACTGCAACATCAGCTCTGGCCAGAATTTCAGCTTGCCCTGCAAATTTTGGACTTAACAGGCCCACAGTCACATGATCCAATTCCCTAAAATCACCCTCCTTCTCTCTCTCTCTCTCTCTGTGTGTGTGTGTGTGTACACACATCCTATTGGTTCTGTTTCTTTGGATAATTCTAATATGGTTCTTATAAGAATTGTTACTTATTTTTAATGCCTGATATAATTGATGCATTTTAAAACATAATTATATCTTTTTTTCCATAAATGGTGACATCCCTTTTAACAATACATCTTCTAGCAGTGTTGTTGTTGTTTTTTTTGTTTTGTTTTGTTTGAGACAGAGTCTCACTCTGTCGCCCAGGCTGGAGTGCAATGACGCAATCTCAGCTCACTGCAACCTCCACCTCCTGGGCTCAAGAGATTCTCCTGTCTCAGCCTCCCGAGTAGCTGGGATTACAGACACGTGCCATTGTACCTGGCTAATTTTTGTATTTTTAGTAGAGACGGGGTTTCACCATGTTGCCCAGGCTGGTCTCAATCTCCTGATCTCAGATGATCCATCTGCCTCAGCCTCCCAAAGTGCTGGGATTACAGGTGTGAGCCACTGTGTCCGGCCTAGCAATGTTTTTAAACATAGGGGCCTTTCACTTTCAAGGCCCACCTTGCTGCTGAGGAGAAAATTTAGAAGCCAAAGTGGAATTCTCAGATGAAACAAAATTGTCTGAATTTTAAATGGAATGAGAAATGAGGGAATGCAGGGAGCCTGAGGAAAGCTAACAAGGTCTCAAAAGAGGGAGACAACAGGGACAAAGGCACAGAGAAGGCAACTTTGACCTTCCGATTACAAAATTTGGGGAAAACGAACTGCATGGATAATAGGGCCTGTGCCTGTGAGTATGTTTCCAGCAGAAAGAAACTATAGAAAGAAAAGAGGACAGCAGAGCAAAATTGGTCAAAGCAATTGAGGATAATAATCAAAATTATTTGGAGGTGAAAAAGGAGCAAAGAATGTAGTTTAAGAGGCAGAATTGTGAGTTCAGCACTAAATTAAAGTTTGGGTGCTTTCAAGCTTCTATAAACGATTCCAGTGAAAAATGGTACAGGTTGATCTGTTCCACAAAGAAAGGTGAATGCTAGAGAATTCTCTCGTAGCAAGAGAATTCTGGATGGAATACTAAGAACATAGCAGGCCCACTTCTCTGAACTAGCAATAAAAAACCCTTGGAAGGGGGAAATAGGAATAATTAGACATAATTAGGTTGTCAGCTCGTATATCATTATGTCTTGCCTCTCAGGGATGTTTCACAGATTAATTAGTTAATGTTTGTAAAATAAGCTCCAAGTGCCATGTATCATTGGCATAGAATTTGATTTTCAGTGTGATGAATGTAATTAAGTCATGTTGCTTTCATACGGCCTTCACTGCAGGATGATGCCTGCTCCGGAATGTTCTGGGGGCATGGGTGCATGGGCTTGTGCACTGACATTTCAAGAACAGCTCTTGATGGTAGGCATTTTGCATCATGTGTGTTACACTTCTCAGGCTGGATGACATATTTGAAGTGTCAGATTAGAATTGTGTTCTCTATTGATGAATAAAGGTTACGTTTGTACATTACATCCATCTTGACAGTATAGTAACTAAAACTGAACATTTTAAAATCAAGATCAGCAGGGGAGAAAACACTGAGGGTCCTTTTTGGGCCCTGGGTCATTCTTGCCTACTATATGACATATGCGTTAAATAGTCTTTAGTTAAGAAATTCATTTTTTTTTAACCCAGAGAGGCTTCAAAAAAATCCCCAATCCATACCTGTTAGTAAGATTTTCTTAAACAGTACAATTGATTGTTGACTTACAGGTTCAACTATGTAGTTCATATTTTTAGATTTGGTGATTTTTTAGAAAGGAATCAAACCAAGGTCAAGGAAATGATTTTCAAACATTTTGGTCTCAGGACCCATGAATACTCTTTAAAAATTATTGAGGACTCCAAAGAGCTTTTGTTTACATGGGTTATATTAATAGCTAATGTTTATTGTACTAGAAATTAAAGTTAAGAAAGATTTTAAGAATTTATTTCTTTATTAAAATAAGCCCTTTATATAATAATATAAATAAGATACTTTCAATGAAAATATTAGTGAGAAGAGTGGCATCGTTTCACATTTTTATAAGTTGCTTTAATGTCTGGCTTAATAGAAAACAGCTGTGGTTCCATAGCTGCTTCTGCACCCAGTCTGAGATGATACATTGTTTTGGTTGAAGTAGATGAAGAAAGTTGGGCCTCACACAAACCTGTAACTGGAAAAGAGAAGAGTACTTTAACACCCTTTTTAGATAATTGTGGATATTTCTTTTAGATTTGACATCAACACTCAACAAGTGATAGTTTCTTCAAGGATGATCTCCTAAATCTGGTAGAATTGGTAGATTCTGAAACCGTATCAATGACTTTTTGTCCTTCATTGCATTAAAATCCGTTGGTCTCTCATGTATTGGCATTATGCATAGGTCATTTGGAAAACACTGATTCCCTGAGTAATGCAGGTCTTCTTGATGTTGACACATTTCATTATATGGTATCAAATAATCACTATGATAATATCACCACGGATTTTATCATAAATCCTTTAAATATTGGTATGCTGTCAACTTTTTTAGAAGTTCTCATTTTTGCTTGAAAGCTGGAATTTTATTATTGGCAATAAGTACTTTCAGTTGTTTTGCTTGAAGTGATAGTCTCATTTTGTTCATTTTAGGGAAAATGTCTGCCAAATCCTCACATCTGAATTACCATAGTTTGTTTTCGAGTAAAAATGGAATTCCATTAAAAAGCAACTAGTTCAGCTCACAACTCAAATAATCACACACATGATTTTACTTGAGTCAACCATTGTAATCGGTATGCATCAAAGTATTTATGAGAACTCATTTCCTCACACAGAATATTAAAACGGTATGTGCACAAGCGCCAACATTTAATACAATGAATACTTTTCACAGCTTTATCAAGGTCATTGTTAAATGAATCAGTGCTTTAAGAAAAATCTGTGAACACGTGGCAGTGACAATTCACAGACTGCCAGTACAATTTGGTGCCACTGCCTCAGGAATGATGAGTTCTACCCATTTTACCCAGCAGTTTTACTCATTTTGCCATTGCTTTACCAATGCTAGTGTCAGCACAGTGAAAAAGCAAATAATAGCCCCACCTTATAATGAAAATAGTATTGAACCTGTTGACTCCCTTGAAAAGGTCTTAGGGATGTCCAAGGATCCATGGACACTTTGAGAATCACTGGCATAAGAAATGCCCTGAAGGTAGGGCAGCGGAGAGAGGCAGGGTGATATGGTTTGGCTGTGTCCCCACTCAAACTCATCTTGAATTGTAATCCCCGTAATTCCTATAATCCCTACCATCTTGACCATCTGGTCAAGGGAAAGACCAGATGGAGGTAATTGAATCATGTGGGCAGTTTCCTCCATGCTGCTCTTGTGATAGTGAGTTCTCATGAGATCTGATGGTTTTGTATGTGTGGTAGTTCTTCCTGCATTCTTTTTCCTTCCTGCTGTCTTGTGCAGAAGGTGCCTTGCTTCCCCTTTGCCTTCCACCGTGATTGTAAGTTTCCTGAGGTCTCCTCAGTCATGCTGAACTGTGAGTCTTTCCTTTTTCTTTCCTTCATAAATTACCCAGTCTCAGGCAGTTCCTTATAGCAGTGTGAAAACGGACTAATACACAGGGTATCCTTTTAAAGAAGTGATTTCAGCTACAGGTAGAACAACGTAAGACAGTCTAATTTGATGAAATGTTTGGCTTTTTAATTTTAAGCAGCAGGAAGCCTGTTATACTGCCTTAAATCAGTTTCTCATTTGGTTTGTAATACACAAGAAGAAACATTTCTTACATTAAGGCAGTATACACATACAGATATATTTACTGAAATAAAAGTTTCATGAAATAATACCCTTAAAATTTGTAATACATGCTAACATTTAAAAAATTTTTATTCTATTTCATTTAACAAAAATTTGTCATGACCCACTAAATTGATTTCATAATTCACCAATGGGTTGGAAACCACAGATGGTAAAAAAAAAAAAAAAAAAAAAGAGGAAAAAAGAAAAAAAAAGAAAAAAAGAAAAAAAACTTGCTCTAAATAAAGATGCTTTCATTTTGTAATGTATAAACCATGGGTGTCCAATCTTTTGGCTTCCCTGAGACACATTAAGAATTGTCTTGGGCCACACAAAAAATACACTAGCACTAATGATAGCCAATGAGCTTAAAAAAAATCTCGTAATGTTTTAAGAAAGTTTACCAATTTGTGAGGTGCTGCATTCAAAGCCATCCTGGGCTGCATGTGGCCCGCAGGCCACGGTTTGATAAGCTTACTATAAACCTCCTAAGGGCTGATTACCTTTGGTTTAAAACCAGAGGTAACCAGGACTCTTTAACAGTTGCCCATTCCGCCATTTCTTGATTCATTTTCAAATGATTTTAGGGTGTGGGTCAAATGAGAAATACTTAGTTTCAAGAATGTAATGTGTATATTATTATGTGAAATACATATTTGATTTTATTTTCTCTAGAAAGTCTACATGTTTACCCGGGGTTTTTAAAACCTGACACTTTTTCTTCAGCATTGTTGGATAAATATACACAATCAACCCTTACTAAGGAGGCTGTGTTGAGGCTGGTACCATAGTTATTATTACTCTCATTTAAAAACAAACAAAACAAAACAAAACAAACAAACAAACAAACAAAAACCACCTTAGTACTTTTTCAGGATCTAGGTTTATATCCTATTTGTTTTTTTCTTTTAATTTTTTTTAATCCCCCTCTCCCAGGCCCCAGTGTGTGTTGTTCCCCTCCCTGTGTCCGTGTGGTCTCATTGTTCACCTCACACTCATAAATGAGAACATGCAGTGTTTGGTTTTCTGTTCCTGTGTTAGTTTGCTGAGGATAATGGCCTCCATCTCCATCCATGAGTTCTATTTGATACTGCCCTAATTTCCTACTCTGCCAATCCTTTGAGAATCATTACTCAGATCCAACTAATTGTAAAAATCAGAATAAAATGAGTGTCAATTTTGGTTTCCTGCTTTAAAGTTAAGTATTACTTTTTGTTGGTGATAATATTAGCAGAGAGGCAGTAAGAAAATAGAATATCTGAGATAAATGCATGTCTTCTTTTCCCTCTTGAGTGTTTGATCACTCCCTGCTTCTCTTAGTTGGCTCTCAGGATCTCTGTCTCTCTCCCCTTCTCTCTCTCCACACCCCCCATCTCTCCTACTATTTTTTTTTCAATCTCTTTTTAAAAAAAGCCTTGATCCTTGCACCCCCTTGTATTAGTTCGTTTTCACACTGCTGATAAAGACATATCCGAGACTGGGCAATTTACAAAAGAAGAAGTGTAATGGAATTACAGTTCCATGTGGCTGGGGAGGCCTCACAATCATGGCAGAAGGTGAAAGGCACGTCTCACATGGTGGCAGACAAGAGATGAGCTTGTACAGGGAAACTTCCCTGTTATAAAACCATCAGATCTCGTGAGCCTTATTCACTATCACAAGAATAGCATGGGAAAGCTCCACCCCCATGAGTCAATTACCTCCCACCAGGTCCCTCCCGCAACACATAGGAATTGTGGGAGCTACAATTCAAGATGAGATTTGGGTGGGGACACAGCCAAACCATATCATTTCACTGCGGCCCCTCCCAAGTCTCATATCCTCACATTTCAAAACCAATCATGCCTTCCCAACAGTCCCCCAAAGTCTTAACTCATTTCAGCATTAACTCAAAAGTACACAGTCTAAAGTCTCATCTGGGTCAAGGTAAGTCCCTTCTGCCTATGAACCTGTAAAATCAAAAGCAAGTTAGTTACTTCCTAGATACAATGGGTGTACAGGCATTGGGTAAATATAGCCATTCCGAATGGCAGAAATTGGCCACAACAAAGGGGCTACAGGCCCCATGCAAGTCCAAAATCCAGCAGGGCAGTCAAATCTTAAAGTGCCAAATCTCATTTGACTCCATGTCTCACATGCAGGTCATGCTGATGCAAAAGGTGGGTTCCCATGGTCTTGGGCAGCTCCACCCCTGTGGCTTTTCAGGGTACAGCCTCCCTCCCAGCTGCTTTCATGGGCTAGCATTGAGTGTCTATGGCTTTTCCAGGTGCACAGTACAAGCTGTCAGTGGATCTACCATTCTGGGGTCTAGAGGACGGTGGCCTTCTTCTCACAGCTCCACTACGTGGTCCACCAGTGAGGACTCTGTATCAGGGCTCCGATCCCATATTTCCCTTCTTCACTGCCCTAGCAGAGGTTCTCCATGAGGGCCCCACCCCTGTAGCAAACTTCTGCCTGGGCATCCAAGCATTTCCATACATCCTCTGAAATCTAGGTGGAGGTTCCCAAACCTCAGTTCTTGACTTCTGTGCACTCACAGGCTCAACACCACATGGAAGCTGCCAAGGCTTGGGGCTTCTGCCCTCTGAAGCTACAGCCCAAGCTCTATGTTGGCCCCTTTTAGCCATGGCTGGAGCGGCTGGGATGCAGGTCACCAAGTCCCTAGGTTGCAAATAGCACAAGGACCCTGGGCCCAGATCATGAAACCATTTTTCCCTTCTAGGCCTCCAGGCCTGTGATGGGAGGGGCTGCCGTGAAGACCTCTGACATGCCCTATAGACATTTCCCCACTGTCTTGGGGATTAACATTTGGCTCCTTGTTACTGTGCAAATTTCAGCAGCCAGCTTGAATTTCTCCTCAGAAAATGGGATTTCCTTTTCTATTGCATTATCAAGCTGCAAATTTTTTGAACTTTTATGTTCTGCTTCCCTTATAAAACTGAATGCCTTTAACAGCACCCAAGTCACCTCTTGAATGCTTTGCTGCTTAGAAATTTCTTCTGCCAGATACCCTAAATCACCTCTATCAAGTTCAAAGTTTCACAAATCCCTAGGGCAGGGGCAAAATGCCACCAGTCTCTTTGCTAAAACATAGCAAGAGTCACCTTTGCTCCAGTTCCCAACAAGTTCCTCATTTCTATCTAAGACTACCTCAGCCTGGACTGTATTGTCCCGTATTGCTATCAGCATTTTGGGTAAAGCCATTCAACAATTCTCTAGGAAGTTCCAAACTTTCCCACATTTTCCTATCTTCTGAGCCCTCCAAACTGTTCCAACCTCTCTGCCTGTTACCCAGTTCCAAAGTCACTTCCACGTTTTTGGGTATCTTTTCAGTAGCACCCCACTCCCAGTACCAACTTACTGTATTATTCCTTTTTCATGCTGCTGATAAAGACATACTCAAGACTGGGCAATTTACAAAAGAAAGAGAGGTTTAATAGACTTACAGTTCCATGTGGCTTGAGAGGTCTCACAATCATGGCAGAAGGTGAAAGGATGTCTCACGTGGTGGCAGTCAAGAGAAGAGTTTGTGCAGGAAAACTTCCCTTTAAAAAACCATCAGATCTCATGAGACTTATTCACTATTATGAGAATGTCATGGGAAAGCCCTGCCCCCATGATTCAGTGATCTCCCACTGGGTCCCTCCCATAACACGTAGGAATTGTGGGAACTACAATTCAAGATGAGATTTGGGTGAGGACACATCCAAACCACATCACCCCTGTGTTTAAGGTCAAAGTACCTGCCTGGTCCTGCCTCCTTTGCTTTGGCCTCACTTACTGCCCTGGCTTCAAGAGATGTGTAGGAAGGAATGGCAGAGGGAGGCAGTTGAAAGTGAGATGTTCAGAAAAGAGCTGAAGAGTCCCTAATTAGGAAGAAGCCAGTGGGAATGGAAAAGAGGGGACAGATCCATAAGAATTAGCTAGTGATTGGATTGGCGATGCAGAAGTTAAAAAAGATGACTGAGAATGTATTGTGGCTGAAATTGATAAGCTAGGAAGAGGAGGTCATGCAGGAAAAATGATGAGTTCATTTTCTAAAACATATTGGAGATATTCACCAGGCACCAGAATATATTGTAGTGGAAGCTGAGAGCATGCAGGACATGAGTTAAACTCTTGGATATAAATGAAGCCACTGATTTAGAGCACATGAAATAAAAAGGTAACTAAGGCTACATTTGGGAGACTTCAAAGCCCAAAGAGCAGTAAGAGGACGAGGAGCCCATGAAGGAGACAGAAGGAGAAATCCAAATAGCAGGAGAACCACTTAGAAAAATATAACTTGCAGAGGCAAAGTAATTTGGTAGCACGTGAAATATTATACGAAGTTATAGTCCTTTAGGGAAAGGACAACTCTCATCTTCTGAGCAAAGAGTAACAGACAACAGTGTTCAGGGATGCATGATGTGAAAAGAAACATCATAGAATTTGGGGCCAGCAGTCATGGATTTTCATTTCCTCATAAGTGCTTACTAGCTATATGACTTTAGGCAAGCCACAAAATACACATATGAAACCACTAGAGCACACTGGAAGTCTAATCTGGTGAAATATACTGCAAGAATTATATCAGGTCAGAAAGAGCATAAGTGTCTGTTTTGAGGAAATTAGAGAACACTATCAAGTGGATAGAACTCAAGTAGGGTATAGAAGGATTAATAGGATTTAGGCAGGTACGATAGTGGAGGGTGCATACATGATTTAAAAACCGATGATTCCTCATCTGGAGAAAAAAGAATCAAAGACATAAATTCCCCTGAAAAAGAATCTTTGTTCCCTTTTTCCTTGTTTTTGAACTGTTTTCTTGCTTATTTGAGATGTTGAGATATTTATTTGAGATGTTGATATACTATGGTATATATATATGGTATGATGTTTGATGTAAGAAGAAAAAGAAGGAACAAAGCATACTTTTATGTAAAAAGTCTTCCTGTAGGATGAATAGGTTGTTCTTTATTTTACTTTATTCACTTTCATTTTAGAAATGTACTCTGAAAGTTTTCAACAGATGTTCCTTGGGTTATTCTTAAGGAAGTTAGTAGCACTTTATGTAGAAAGTTGAGCAACCATGTTAAAATTCCCTCACTTTATAAGTAGGAGATATTGAATAAAAATGAGCAGTTCATTATTTAATTTAGAGAACAAAAGTGAAAGTCATACATGGCGATTTGGGAGGTATATATTAGATGTGATATGAATGTGTATCTTCCTGGATTGCAATAGGAGAGAAGTACAGGGATTGATTTCAAAATGAAGCGAGACACTGAGGGAATACAATCTGGAGGAATATAACTGTTTTAGAGTATCGTGACTTTAAAGATAAAATATCAGTTTGGTAGTAAACCAACATTCTTGGGTCATGATGCTGGTTCTTTTGGGAAAAAAATTAAATCAAGCAAACATAAAGGCATTTTATTCCACTCTTTTGGGAAAATACAGTTACAAGTTTTACCTCCAAGAATCAGTTCCAGAATACAATGGGCTTTATTGACTGTATATTGGAATGGGATCAATAGCTTTGGTGTGTGACAGAGACTCATTCATTGCCGAGAATTTTTTTGTTAGCCATTATCAGTGGCTTCAGAAATGGTCCTGGTGTTGTTCACTCTGCTTCTAATGAAACCGGTGAGATCACCAGTACTCACATTAGTGAGGACAAGCTGAGGATTAGCAGCTTTTCAAAATAAAAACCAGAAAGTACTAAATGTCTTCACTGGGAGGTGGGGCTCTGGGTCTTAAGAGGATTTAGACACATACAAGGATCATTACTATGTTATTAAGTTATTAAGTATGCATTCATAAGTTAGTTTGTATTTGCCAAATGCAAATATAAAAATCATTTCTTAATTATACAGGCATTAAAGTCTTGCATCATTAACCACATATTTAAAACCACTTTGTATCACTTACAAAAACAATTTAAAATATCAGATTATTGAATTTCCTCTGTTCTAGTGGCCAAATGCCTTCCAGCCAAGATTAACCTGTTTATTGTCCTGTAATTAATAAATTAAAAAATGTTATTTTTCCCATTTATCAAAATTTGAAGTTCAGATAAATGAGGCAGTTTATATGAAGTACATATATATTCATCAGTCCACTGTTAAAATTCAAGAATTGAGCTCCGATTTTTTTTTAACCTAGGCTGCATTTGTACCGTATGCCAGGCAGGCAGCATATTGCTAAGAGAAAAGCAGGACAATAATAAAAAATTATTAGCTTTGAGTTGAATCACAAAGGAGCAACAAATGGAAACTTATCCACTAGCCAAGAAGGGCGGTAGTTCACTCTTCCATCCATCACCACCAGCTGGCAGATGGGCTCGGGACTAATGTAAGTCTCCTTAGATGGCAAGTTCTCTGCTTATGCAGCAGTCTGTGTCCCTGCCATACAGGAAGAGGAGGACAGAGAGAGGACCGAAGCTTACAGTTCCACGTAGCAGCTCATCTCACTGTTAAGGAAACTGTGGGGTTAGCCAACAAAACTGGAATTCAAATTTGGAACCAGACCTCACCTGATATATTTTAATTGATTGCCATGTGATTGTCCATCTGTTTATAATTTGAGTGTCTTTTCTTTGTATGAGAAATGCTTTTGTACAGGGCGGGACCCATGCTCCTCTCAATTTCTATATGGAAAAAAATATTTTCTATTTTTTCATTGCTTTGCTGAGTAGCTTTCAACAAGCTTTTGGAAAAAGTCTCATTCCAGATTTATAAAGTATCAACTGATGTGATGCTCAAACAATGGGAGGATTTTATGGGCTGTAAAGCTCTTATTATTAAGTAATTTTTTGGGGTTATGGTAATTTTAATAATAGTAGTAGTAAACTATTTTACAGGTTGGAAGGCTAATAAATCCTTTAAAATCAATTGAGATTATTTAAATTCAATTTACACATTAAAATCCAAAATATTATTTGGCTATTGCTATAGTTTTATGATTTATTTAAATATCACCATTTAGACTACAAAAATTAATGCTAGGTAGAATAATAGAGTAAAATTACTGGGCTCTGAAATTTGTATAAATGCAAAAATTGCTTTATTTTTTCCATTTAAAATATGCTCATCTTCACTGGTCCAGCTTTGATTCTCTTGCCTAAACCTGCCTTATATGAGTCCCTTATCAAAATGTTGGCAGCTAAATTAAGACTTCAGAGCTGCATTTCTTGAGGAAAAAGAACAGAGGTTCTCAAATTATGTTCCATCAGAATCATCTGGGGAGCCCCAGCCCCAGCCCCAATTCAAATCCGTGACATCAGAATCTGGGGATTGAGTTTTTTTTTTTTTCTCACAAGTTACCCAGGTAATTCTGATGCACATCAACATTTGAAAACAAGTAACTAGACCAACCCAAGAGCCAAACACTCTCACAGCACTGCTTATTTTTGTAAATAACATTTGACTGGAATATCCTCACCCATCATTTCTGAATTGTCTATGGCTGCCTTCATGCTGCAATGGCAGAGTCAATCGTTGGGACAAAGATCATATGACCACAAACCTGAGACTATTTACTGTCCTACCCTTTATGGAAAAGTTTGCTGGCCCCAGAACTAGATGAATAATATAAATACATTGTTCCAGACCCAGTTGTTTCAATTCATTCATTCATTCATTGGCCTAGACAAATAGGAACTAAAAAAACTTAGAAACACTTATGGGGTTAAAAAGGACAGTAGACACTGCCTTTAAATTTTCTTTAAACCTTTCAATTGCTTCAAACGAGGAAAAAAAACTAAGCTGGATATGTTTTCTTTTTTAAAAAAAAATAACTGCATTCAGTGGAGGTTTTGAACATTTAATGGTTTTCCAACTTGTTGCAGCAAAATGATTCATCACTAAACTAAGCTCTGTAGTATCTGTAATATTGTAAATTTAGTAGCTCAGTCATTAAAGTAAAATTCAAATATAAGAAAAAGTAAATATATTCAGAAACATACTCACTTCAAAAGGTTAGGATAATATTTAAAAGATTATAGGGGCTTGGAAGTGTGTTTGAATTCAGCAAAGCAGCAAAACGGGGAGGGGGCTAATGATTTTTAAGGCTGCCTAGCCAAAGACAGCACATCATAAAACAAGGATGCTTTCTGGTGATACAGTACAAGAATGCTCTGTACACAGTATGAGGCATCTTTAAATGTGAATAAATTGGAAGAAGTTCCAGGAACAATAGATATGCTTAAGTGAATGGGAGGACTGAGCTGTAGCAAGGCCTTTGATTTACATAGCATGATTACTTCAAGGCGTGCACAGCTCTTCTTCAGGGCTGGGATGGATTTTCTTCCCAGCGTCTACAGAAGATGTTGAATTGACATCACAAGCAATTGTCAGCAGAAAAGAGAGACTGATTGCCAGGCTACAGGAGGGAGTTGGAGAGAGGAATTCGGCTCCTTACACCTTGTTCATCATGTCATTCACTCCCTCCTTCAAAAATCTTCAGCGACTTCTTATTACTTAAAGGATTAAAGTCAAACCCAGACTGGCATTTCAGGCATTCTTTAATCTGTGTCTTATGCTGGTATCACAAAGCATTTTCATGCCTATTATCTCATCTGATCTTTACAGTACGGCTCATGCAAGTCAGGGAAGGCATTAGTGTTCCCATTTTATAGACACATAAGCTCAGTTACAGCCAATGAAACAGACTGGTTAAAGGTCATGCAGCAGCAAGCCACTGAGTCAGGGCTGGAACTTGTGTCTCCTGCACCATACGACATGTCCCTGAGTCTTTTTCCTCTAAGTTAGATTTGTTCTCAAAATATGTCTCCCCTTCTCTACATGGAATGCCACCCTTCTAGTTCAATTGCTATCTCTACCAGCAAACCTTTCCTGAACTCCAGTCTTCAGTGTGCGTCTTCTCCTCTGAACTCTTTTTTATTGACCCCACTACTTTTCCTCAGAGTCCTATCCACTTTGCAGCATCTCCTGTCTGCTGGATATTTGTATTGCACAGTGAGACTCTTGAATTGCTTTTGAACTTTGCATGTGTGTATGTTCCATGTCTCCAACAGAAATGCACGCTCTTTGAGGGAGTACCTAAGTACTCTATATGTCTTTTCTCCTTTGATACCTTGCATAGTGCATAAAGAAAGCAGGGCCTCAATAATCATTTGTTGGACAAACAAATGATTTCATTCTCATGCAATCTCTGAATATGATTAAGAGAAATGAGATGAAACTGAAAAAGAGAGACCAGTTGAATACCACAAATGTGTTTTTAATAGCAAATTCTTTTCTATTGAATCGAAGTATTCCAAGGGCAACAACTGATGCTCCATGTTTAGCTGAAGCCCAGAATCATGAAGGCTGACTGCTCTTAAACTGGGCATAACATAAACCCACCCACAAGAAATTAAGACTTGGAATATACATTGACAAGAGAATCCTTTTGTACCTTTTCATTCTCAGGCCAGCAAGTCCCAGGCATTTGGCCTAATGGGGAGAAAGAGAAAGACAGTGTTTTCCTCTCAAAACATGGGTCTTGCCATATCCTCTCTTCCTAAGGCTAGCACTGCTCTATACTTCCCTGGCCTGTGCCCAAAGGTGCATCTGCGACAAGGCAAACCCTGCCTTGGAGAGTCTCCAAGATCTTCTCATTTCTTCAGCTGAGGGATTAAGAACTAAACACAGTTGCTCAGGTGGGTGGCTCATGCCTGTAATCCCAGCACTTTGGGAGGCTGAGGCGGGTGTATCACCTGAGGTCAAGAGTTTGAGATCAGCCTGGACAAGCTGGTGAAGCACTGTCTCTACTAAAAATGCAAAAAATTAGCCAGGCTTGGTAGTGGGCACCTGTAATCCCAGCTACTTGGGAGGCGAAGGCAGAAGAATCGCTTGAACCCGTGAGGCAGAGGTTGCAGTGAGCCGAGATCACGCCATTGCACTCCAGCCTGGGCAACAAGAACAAAACTACAACTCAAAAAAAAAAAAAAAAGAAAAGAAAAAAAATGGACTAAACATAGTTGCCTTTGGAAGGTCTGGTCAATGGGAAATAAATTCAGGGATGCATCACCTCACAGGTTGGGTGCCTCTTGCAGTGCAGGTTTGACTAAGCCCACCTGATGCCCTCTTTTTGCACCCTCACTCAGCCAATGTTTCCCCTTCCCTCCCCACCACATCTCTGTGTTGTGATTTCCTTTCCAGTTGCCCTGACCCTCGAGGATTAGGGCATGAAATGATTCAGGCCTGATCTCGCCTCCCATGCTGGCCACACCTGTAATCAGAGTTCTGAGTTCAGAGCCCCAGGCAGCTTAGGCAGGGCTGCGTGGTCTATACCTTTATTCTATGTTTGTGGATGAGTTTATTGACCAACTTAAAACTAAATGCTAGGTTATACCTGTTTACATTGATGACTTCCTCTCAATTTGCTAGGTCCTTCCATCACAGAAACTGATTATATTAATCTGAGTGCTACCTGGGAAGTCGAAAACTTATGTGGTTTTTATTACTCCTGCAAGAGCCTCTCAATTATATTCCACACACATATTTCTTCACTTAAGAGTCAAACAGAGCTATGTAAAGTGAGCAGCATGTTTACAGTAGATCCCTATGGCTTGCTATCAAATTAGTGGCAAATCAGTATTAGAGTAAACAGGGGTCAAAGATCAAACCCACAATTTCACATAAAATTCAAAACACGAAACACAAAACACAAAAGAGAAGGCTCGTGTCATGAGACCATCAACTACTCTTAAAAAATAATCAAAACCAGGAAAAGATGAGAGGAAGCAAAATTTAAACATGATTTTAGTCCAGAATTTGATGCAAAAGCCAGACCTTACAGAGATCTATTTAAAACTATGACAACTCACTACATGTCACTCATCTTAAATGGAAACACACATCAAAAGGTGGCAAGAACCAGGATTTAGCAACTCCCGCATTCTATTCATGGACTTGACACTGACTTTGGACAAGTAAAAAAATCTGTCTTCATTTTTCACTCTGAAAAGCAGGGTGGAAACTATTGTTTTACTTCTCTTGATGGACAACTCTGGAGTCATGCTAATAAGAAGGCAGTGGTAATTCTCTCCTAGATTTGATTAGATGTATTTTTGAAAAGTCAAATGATTTAGTAGCATGAAATTGTACACACCACACCCCATTTTTATTGTAGGCAGCTCTCCACTCTTGGCTTTTAAGCAGGAAACTAGAAGAATCACATTTATTCCATGTTAAAGTGTTCCTTGAAAACAAAACAAATTCTTTAAAAATCAGAAAAATTGATTATTGTTTAGACCATGTTATTAAAACAGGAGCCCTAAGTTAGTCAATAGTTTGTAGCTATTGTTATTAATCTAGGATTAATTACTCTTGAGTTAAAATAGAACTTTTTACCGAATGCTTACATGAATGGACTAGGCTAGCTGTTAAATAGTATAAGGGGAAAATGAAAGTCTTTTCAAATAGAAATTAGAAAAACTCCAAAAGATTTACAAATATTTAAAAACAACTCAGTAAATGATTTTAATTATAATACTGCTTATTAATTTGTAAGATTTGCTTAATCAATGCCACCAGATGTCAGTATATCCTACATGATTACTATTGAGTTCTCAAAAACATCCAGAGTTTTCATTCCAGTTAATAAAAATGATGTTGTAGCCAAATAATTAAGGCTCTCTAGGGGATGATAAATCCCATTCCTCAGCACTGTTATATTATGATAGAGGCCCCCCTTCAGTGAGATGCAAACTCCCAAGTCCCCAATAAATCTCAGCATTGAGGCTTTGAAAGCAAGAATGTCGTATTCTGAAAAAGATGCTTGGTGGTGGAGCTAAAGCATGTTGAGGAACACTGACGTGAGTAGAGCTTCAGCAGGTCAAGTCTAAGACCACGAATTCTGTGACCTGCTGATCCTATTGGCCTTGTTTTTCCATTATGGAAATATCTTATTGGGTTTGGCCTTTCACCCAAGGGACTTTTCAGCTAGATAAGTGGAATTTTTATTAACGAAGATAACTTTTACTGGATATGTGCTAGGATGTATACCTACTGAAACAATAAGAAGATGAGACAAAAAAAGTTTAATGTGTTTGAAGTATAAAAGTCTGGTGTGTGCCACTTTTTGACAATAGGAAGGATTTAAACTTATTAGCACTGAGTTCTCAAGCCTTCTAGAATTTTCTCTTTGGTTAACAAAGTGATGTAGTGCTCTTAAAAATTAAGGGTCTTAGTAAACTTGGAAACATTTTGCATTTTAAGTTAGTTTTATGCAACAACTGATCCATTCGTTGAAAGGATAAATCCGGGAGCTTTCTAAGAAGTAGTAAGGACAAGATCTAAAATGTTATTTAATAGTATGCCTGTAATTGTGAAGTATATGTGCATTTTGAGAACTATAAACTCTATAAATCTTCAAAGTTCCTGGCACTTTGCTAGTTTTCAGGAAAAATAAATTTTGCATAAACAAGAGCCATGTTGGAACTTCACATTCTACAGTCTCACTGTGGAGATTATCCTGGGCATGGCCCTGGGGACAGCATTGCCAGGCAGCTAGGCTTCCTGCTGCATAATGAAGAATGCACATTTTATCCTCGGAATAAAAGAATCCTCTTTTATCCTAGAAGTTGATATTTCTGTGAGCTTTACCCTTGAAGAGAAATCCTTTGAAATATTAATCTTCAGTAGAAGAAAAATTGTTATAGTCTTGGTCCTTGATGAAAAGAGAAAGAAAAGTACTGCAAAATTTCTTGGACTCTACTAAAACATTTGTACACCTGTAATTGTGTCTGTGAAAAGGTAACTTGGATTTTTTTTAAAGTTTATCTAATTTTAAGGCATTTGTGAAATTCACTACAAACAGAGCTCTCTCTCTCCATAAATGCACATGCACACATATTGTTTCTTTGGTACACAGAGATCATTGAACCAAATAATTAAGGATTCTCTATGGAATAATGCCAAATAAGAAATTTTAATTTGGTAACATATGTGTTTTATGACACAGTTCCCCAAAGTTACTGTATTTGAATATCTGCTCTCACGTATAATCATGAAGCCTTAGAAATCAGAAAATTTGACCTAGTACCTGAAAGCAAGTGCTACAAAAATCACTCTTAAACACATCTTACTTGTCCTCAAACCTTTCCCTATCAAAATGCATTTCACAAAATACAGGGACTGTCACCCACTCCTCAGGACCCTGGGCATTTGCACTACTTAATTTTTAATCGCCATGATTTTGTGAACTAATTTATTTTACTCACTAAAGCTGGTTTCTAGGTAATAACTAATCTTCCCAAGAGGCTGTTGGACAAATAGTTGGTAGGTATAATTGATTTTTCAAAGCTGGAAAAAGAAAACAGGAGGAAGTGAAAGGCATTTCACATACATCATCTCTTTTATCCTTCATAAAATGTATGAGGTAAGATTACCCTCTCCATTTGACTGATGAGGAAACTGGCTCAGAGAGGGTAATTAACCTGCCCAAGATCACTCTCTATTTAAGTAGGAGAGCCAGGATTTAAACTCAGATCTGTCTGACTCCAAAAACCATTCTCTGTCCAGCCCAAGATGTTTCCATTTAAATTACTTATCCACAATTACATGATGAGGGATAATAGAATTGACACAAAACTCACTGCCAGTGCACTGGAGTACGTTTGAATGGAATCCTCACAATAAAGTCCAACAGCACAACTCCTCCTCACCAACCAACAACATCCTACATTTTTTTCTCTCTTTTATTGCCAGTCTGATTTACTCTACAGAATCAATATCTTAACTAAATCATAGATTTGCTTTCTCTTGAATCCTGTAAGCCACCCTGAGAGGCTCAGTCCATAAATCACTGAGGAAACAAAATGTAAAGAAATTGGAACAGGCCAGATGCAATGGCTCACCCTGTAATCCCAGTGCTTTGGGAGGCTTAGGCAGGTGGATTACTTGAGGCCAGGAGTTCAAGATCAGCCTGGGCAACATGGTGAGACCTGTCTCTACAAAAAATGCAAAAATTAGCTGGGCATGGTGACGCATGCACTTGTAGTCCTAGCTACTTCTTTGGGAGGCTAGGGCAGGAGGATTTCTTGAGTCCAGGAGTTCGAGGTTGCAGTGAGCTGTGATTGTGCCACTGCACTCCAACTTAAATGACAGAGCAAGACCCTGTCTCAAACAGACAAACAAAACCACAGCAAGAAATGCCATTCAAATGTGGTTTTAGATGCACTGTGGATATGGTCAGCAGGCTTCTGTGTGCTCATGAATCAATCTGAATGGGGCATGAAGAGGGAATATGAACTCAGAAACTTCACGTTGGTTGTGGGTACTCCAAATGTCTTGTTCTCACTCATCTTTCCTCTATCTCATTTAAATTCAAAACCATCATTTCCAAAACAGAAGAGAAAGAGAAAGCGGGGGGCGGAGGGAACAAGAGTGCATATACCCAGATTATCTATCTATCTACCTATCTATCTATCTATCATCTGTCTATCTATTTATTATTGAGACAGGGTCTCACTGTGTTGCCCAGGCTGGTCTTGAACTACTGGGCTCAAGGGATCCTCCTGCCTTGGCCTTCCAAAGTGCTGGGATTACAGGCGTGAGCCACCGCACCTGGCCCCAGATAATCTTAGTATCAAGTTATGTGAGGTTGATATTGCATTGACAAGTCTAGGGTCAAAACATTGACATATTTAAAAACTCATCCTATTTATTCAGCGTGGATCTCAATAGATTTAGGTGGTACCAAGTTCTTGTACAGACCACAATACAGAGGAAGCAATGGGAAATCAACCTCTTTCCTAACCACATAGCTGTTTGCTTTTAACTGGATGATTGAGGCAGCTTCTAACTTTTGTGTCCAAATGATGATTTCCAGTGTTTTGGAAAAGTAATAAGATCCTTCCTGGGGCCAGTTTGGAGCCAGCTCTCAAAATCACAGACTATTGGGCTAAAAAGGCTCCTAAGGACACCAGCACTTGCTGAGTAAACACAGCCTAATGGTCACCATTTTGTTCTCGAGTGTACAGAGAACATGAGTAACCAGGGAGCGTAGAAAGGAAAATAATTTCACAGGGTTGCACAAGTATTACTTATTGCTTTGTTACCCACAGGGGAAGTTCATGGAGTTTAAGACACCATCTTGATCAGGGTGTTCACTCTGCAATCGGTCCTGTGGGGGGTTTTCAACACTGTGCCCAGCTATAGCCTTCAAAATTGTCTTGTAAAAATTCCTGCTGTTCTGACACAATGCAAGAGAAGGTCTCATTCTTGTGTGTTTGCATATTTTGTGCAGGAGATGAGAGCTTACCCTGGCTCGTCTCTCTAACACGGTCTTTGGTGAGGAATATGCCAAAACCTGGGTCACAGTCCTTGCATCACTCTGGAAGGTGCAGACTTCCACAGCATGGTGGCAATTCCTAAGGCCAGCTGCAGAGCTGCTGTCAGAGGCTCTCCCTGTGTGGAGCCAAAGATTTCAAATACTGCACATTTTCTGCTTTGTTTGATTTTTAGGGTAAACACCCTTCTGTGTGTAGGTAAAGGAAAAAAAAAATCAGCCAATTTTATGTCTCACTGACCTAGAAAGGGCAAGCTCTGAAACTTTCATATAACAAAAAGAATCTAGTCTGGAATGAAGTAACTCACTTTTGCAAATATTTGTACTGACAATACAGTCTGTGCATACAATTTTTTTTAGGATACTCAAATATAGGAATTTGAGATGTTTGAAACCTAACAAATAATTCTCACCATATGCCCATTTTTCTTAATCTTATCATAATATTTCAGAATAAATTCGCCAGCTTTCTTACATCCAACTGCCCTGATATAATGAAAAGAGAGCCCTTCTCTCTCTTTTATTTTTGGGGAGTGTTTTTAAATCAAGATTTATATTCAGCATGACATTGCTGACGTGATTCACTCCTCTTGGCTCTCCAGGGTCATAGCCCAACTTCATAACCTCAGCACTAATAACAAAATAAAAAAACTAATAGCAATACTTATTATTTATTGATTAATGTGTATGGACCATCACTTCTGAGAATTTTATATACACCATGTAATTTAATTCTCATGACAATTAGTAAACAAATAAAGCTAACACCAAATGTTTACTATGTGTGAAGGTTAATTTAATGCATCAACTTGACTGGGCCACAGGATGCTCAGACTGGGGCACAGTTAAACATCATTCCAGGGTGTATCTATCTAGGGAGTATTTGCGGAAAGATGAACATTTGAATTGGTAAAGCAGATGGCCCTCCTTAATGTGGGTGGGTCACATCTCATCTGTTGAGGGACTGAATAGAACAAAAAGGAGGAAGATCAAATATGCTCTTGGCCGGGCTGCTTGAGCTGGGACATAGCGCTCTTGGTTCTCAGGCCTTCAGGTCTGGACTGGAAACTACACCACCTGCCCTCCAGCTTTCAGGCCTTCGAATGACACCACCAACTTTCCCAGGTCTCCAGTGTGCAGATGGTCCCTCTTGAGAGTTTTCAGCCTCCATAGAGCCAAAACCATATATAGACATAGCCTGTTGGTTCTGTTTCTCCAGAGAACTCTGATTAATAGACTATGTATCAGACATGATCCTAATCATTTTACATATTAACTCATGAACCTTCATAATCCTCTTTAGTCTTATAAAATAGATTTTTACCCATTTTACCCATTTTAAAGACTACTATGTCCACATTACAGTTGAGGTAGAGATATCATCTGATAGGCTGAGAGAGTCAACAACTTGGCTCAAGTTTTGCACCTAGACTGTTACATTAACCAAAATGGCAACTGTTTCTTCTGTTGCGAATCTACCCTTTTGGGATATCAGAATTATAATCTTCTTTTCCTTCAAGCCTTCAATGGCTTACTGTTGCCTCTGGAGTGAATTCCAAACTTCTTAGTGTAGCATTAGAGGTCCCAACATTTGGCTCCAGCCTCGGTTCCCATCCATTTCTGCTCTCTACTCTGGGCTATGACCACCTTACGTGGGATCTCTCAGCTCCACTGCATTCTTTGGTGCTTATGGGCATGTGCAGGTGCTACTTGGGTCATTTCTCTCCATCCCTGCCTACTGTTACCACCCATTCCTAGGCCCTCATCATTTCTCACCTGAATTACTGCCGCCACCTTTGAACTGGTCTTCCTTCTCCCCTGCAAACCATCCTCTACTCAGTAGCCAGAATGATCTTTCTAAAATGCAAGCCTGAACATGGCATGTCCATGCTTAAGGCTTCTAATAATTTCCCCTTGCCATAAGAATAAAGTCCAGATTCCTTCAAACGGCCCTCATGACCTCGTCCCAGCTTACCTCTCCAGCCTCATCTCTCACTATCCTCCTAAATGGGCCTCTTCATTCTTCAGCCTTTGCATGAAAAGGCCCTTTTGCCTAGAATATTCTGCTTTAGTCTCACATGGACAATGCCTACTCAACCTTTAGTTCTCAGCTGGGATGTCATCTCCCTTAGGACACCATCCTTGACTCACCCCTACAAATGTTTTCCAGGCTGGAAGCATGCGGGGCCATAAAGAGGGCCACACACATCATGCCAGCTACTCATTGTTGCTCTTCTCCCACTGTGTGGTCATGGCCTGGCTCTTGCCAGCTTCTAACACTGGACTCTGCATTCCCTAAATGGCAGGACTGTTATTCACTATTGTTGCCCCAATACCTGCCACACCATAGCAAACTCAATAAATGTCCAGTAAAGAAAGTGACCAAATGAACAAATGAATGAGTATCTGGAATGCCTGCTCTGTCTTCACTTCCTGAAGAAATTTCTGCTTTGCTTCAAAAGTTGGCTCCAACCTCATTCTGCCTCTAAAGCTGTCCTTGTCCCGTCCCCTCTGTGGAATTAACAGTGCCCTTCTCGTCTGGAAAATGTGCTATTAGATAGATAGATAGATAGATAGATAGATAGATAGATAGATAGATAGTATATTTAGCAGGATTACAAATATGGCTCTACAAAATAGTGGCAAGGATTCTATGTTTACCCACTTCAAGCTTAGTCTTTGGTGCAGGGCCTGGCCCTAGTAGGCTGTCAATAAACATTTGTGGAATTGAATACTGTGTTTCACATCACCTGTCCATTCACATCAGCTGAGGCTTTTCATTAGGATTACATCATCACAAATGGAAGAAACTGAAGGATGCAAAGAGAAAAAATTAGGAAAGATGTAGCATTGCGATGAAACAATGTACGATATCCAGAAAGACACCCAGCCTTCTGCTCCTGGGGCTGTCTGCTTCCTCCCTAGGGGAACGTGCGGCACATTGTCTCAAAGCATAGTCTTTCTCCCCTATCTTGTCTCCACTGACTCCTTCACAATGGGTCTGCAGCCCAGCATATGCTTAGCTATTTAGACAGCAAATAATAGTGGGTTTTCCCCCACCATGTTAACATTCAGTGCTAAGCAGTAAGTATATGCAAGTAGGTGGCAAGCCTTGAGTGGCTAAACCTTGGTGTCATTTGATACATCAATCTGGGGCTCAACCATCCCAAGGAGTTTTGTCCTCAGAAGAAGCCAAGTCACCCCTTCACCCTGACTCTGTTTAGTCCAGTCCACATCTTTGGTTCAGCTGGAAATCCCCTCTCCTTAGGCACTGAAATCCCAGTGTGGACACTATCCCACTCCGCAGTCCACCTTTCACTCATTTATCACATTATTGTCTGCTTTGACAAATTCCCCTCTGCAGATGCATTTTCTAATTGCTGTTTCTGAGAGTTATTCAATCCCCATTAATTAATCCGGTTTTCCCTCACAACAGTTTCTGTAAATAACTTCTTTCTCCTCTTCATCCCTGTGCTCAATGGTTCACCCCTACAGGTCTTCTGCGGATGGTCCCCTATGTTTCTCAGTCTCCCCTATGGTTCACTTCAATAAGCATTTACAGAGAGTCCACTGTGTTTTAGGCACTGGTGATAAATAAAAATGAGTAACAAATAGTGCCTATCCTCAAAGGAGGTATCCTAGACACACAGAAGCAGATAGAACACAGAGCGATGAAAAGATCATGGATGTTTGTACATATTTCCCCCAAAAGTAGACCCTGAAATAGGGATGTGGATGCCATTCATTTATTTGAGAGGTGATCCAAGGAAGCACAATGAGGGAGTGAGAAAGTGAAACAGTGAGGAAGCAGAAGCCAATCGGGAGTGTATTGATCAGTAGGTGAACACTGTGGGCAACTGGGGCTCAGTCCCACTGACAGCCCTCTGAGACACGTGGAGGGCAGCCTTTGGAATTGTCCCATTGTGGAGCAAGGAAGCTGGGGTGTTTATCAAAGAATTCCTGTCCCTCACTGGTTAAAAGTTGCTTCTGAGACATTAACTCCCTGGCACTTTTGCCTAACCCATGTAGAGATGACATGCTCCTGTGGTCAGAGAAAGCCCTCAAGTCAAGACAGAAATGCTTGAGAAATGAAGCCATAGACAGGGACAGGAATTGCTCACTTGGTCTTCAGATGGTTTCTGGGATAGTCCCAGGGGATATGAGTGAGGCACCAATAACACCTGTTAAATGGACACAGAAATGTGTGTGGGGGAAGGGGAGGGTATTGTAAATTAGGAAATTGTTCATAGAAGTGTTGTCTTAGCAAGCTTTTGAAGGTCAATAGGCATTCTCCCAGATGGACAGATATAGAAAGTGTTTCAGACTGATGGGACATTATACACAAGGGCTTAGAGATGTGAACTAGTGTGCTGATGTGAAATATCCCAAGCAGATGGGTACAGATAAGCCTGCAGGGGAAGGAGACACAAGGTGAGATGATACTACTGAGGCTTGATAGCATTTGCACTACATCTTTCCAATGCTGGGAAACAAAATCCACAGCAAGCTGGTGAAAGGGTTTTGTCAGCTGTGGCCAAGATAAAAGGTTTTGTCATCGTGGCAATGCTGACAAAACCCTTTGACCATTTTCCTGATCTCTGATCTGCAGTATCCCCTCACCACACACACACACACACACACACACACACACACACACACACACACACATTTCTGGGCCCATGTAACAGGTGCTGAGTGTAGCTTGTGGGGCTATTTGGGTGGACAGGCAAGGAGGTCCCATTGGGGGTCTCGGCTAGCCTCCAGATTTATGGGACATGTTTTAAACCCTCTACATAATTTAGCTTCTTGTTTTCCCTTAGTTTGTTTACCCACTTTGATGGAAGGAGAGATTTCCTTTTCCTGAACTTCTCAATTTTACCCTAGTCATTAGCAGAATCATGTGGAATAAAGACCTCAAGGAAATTGCGGCATTTTCATTTCTTATGAGGAAGTGTAATTTGGGGCTCAAGGAAAACAGAGCCTGTGTTATTGACAGAAGAAACATGACCCTCACAGGGGAAAAGAGAACAATATGGATTGGGATATTCTTACTTCAAACATATACCACTGTGTTTAAATAAATAAATAACCCAGAAATACCCCTGGGGGGAAAGCACAATGAACAAATTATGATGATCATATTCCATCTGTGCACTGCATCTGTGTTTGAGGTGTTTGACTCTCTGAGTAGGTCGCCTAAGCAAGGCTCCAGGAGCCACCACTAATCTTGGCAGCAGCCTTGATGATGTTCTTTCTCCATTATTTTGTGTTTTACCTCATGGGCAAAGAAAAAAGGGGAAAAACCCCAATGATAAAAATAAAGGATCTTTTGGGAGTTGTTCTTGTTTATTTAACTTCCTTCTTTTAAAATAAAGAAATGCAGCTGGGAGCAAGGAAGGGAGAGAAAGGTAAGAATATTTTAAAACTAATTATAGCATAAAAATCATCCAAGAGTGCTCTGTTCCGGCCTCTGTTAAAGTCACAGCTTCGTCCTTATGCATGAGTCAGAGGCACCCAGGGGTTAAGCTTGTGACTGTCAAGAGCCATTATTGCATTTGGTTATTTTTGTGGGATGCTGGAATGCAGCTAGTGTCAGTCCCATCCTGTGACACAGGGCAGGGTTTCTCAACACTGGCCCTATTGGCATTTTGGGCTGAAGGATTCTTTGTCATGGGGGCTGTCCTGGTCATTGTAGGATGTTTAGCGGCATCCCTGGCCTCCATCCGTTGGACAGATGCCCCCTCCCAGATTGTGACAGCCAAAAACATCTCCAGGCATTGCCAAATATCCCCTGGGGGACAAAATCACCCCTGTTTAAGAACAAATGACATAGGGCTACAAAACTTGCTGCTATGGAAGCAAACTTGTTCCACATAATCCAGGAGGTCACTCCAGTTTTTTATCCAAATTAAAAAAAAAAACAAAACACTAAAAAACAGGTCCTCACCTTTCCCCGCTTTGGTCTGTAGTTGCTTTCTAACTTCTAGAGCCTTTTTATTGCCCAAAAATATACAGTTCCCTACAATACTTTGTCTTTATTTGATTTTTCTCAGGCCTCTCAAGCAGACCATGGCTGCTGAACAAAACCTAGACCCCTGTGGTTGGGAACCTTGGGTGAGCTGATAATCAGACATTTTTATATAGTAAAAAGGAAAAGAAATTTTTATGTCCTTCCTTTTAAAAATGATCTGTTGCAAATTATATTATTTTTAATTTCCAGGAAAATTGTCAAAGTTACAATCTCCTTAAAGGCAAGGACTATGTTTTGTACTTCTGATTGTAATTGTTCACAATGCTCAGCACATAGTAGATACTCAATAAATGCATAATGATTAACTGATTGAGATGGATCAACTAGCATTTAGACTTCAGCCATAGAAGCAGCAGCCATAGAAAAACCCAGAAACAAGCAAATAGACCTCTAGATGAGTATCTTTACTTGAGTGAGTCATTAGTAAGGAAATAAGTATCACAGAAATACACCTGCTTTTCTCAGTTCAGATTGGTTCAGCAGACATATATTGAGTGCTTTGTGCAGTGGGGACTCTCAAGGCACTTAAAAGCACATAAAAATACTTCAGTGGATAATTTCAGTGCAATATGGGACATTCTAAGACAGAGGGGCTTAAACAGCTCTGTGGGAGCCCAGTAGAGGGGCACCAGCATAGCCTTTGCAAGGAGGTGAGAGCAGGGTTGGAAGGTATAATACTTGAGCTATGTCAAGGGACAGTAGGCATGTGAAGGGGTGGGAACTGAAGGGGTGGGATGGTGGCAAGGACAGTCCAGGCAGAGGAATAGCATGAACAAAGTTACGAAAGCATTTATTGGCATGATTGGTATGGGAGGACCATCATGTATGATTTGATGTTGCAGGGGCTGGGAATGATGGAAGATGAAGCTGGAGACATGGAAAGGCCAGGTCATGGATGACCTGACACCCCTACCAGGGAGTGGGGGCCCTCTTCTGCATGGGGAGGGCACAGAAAGGGTTTAAGCGAGAGGATGAGGCAACACGATTTGTGTCTTGTGCAGCAGGAAGCATGGGCTTAAAGAGCAAAGGTCAGATCAGGCACTGCCATGACACTCAAGAAGAGAGGTCGCAGAGGCTTGCTCTAAGTAATGAAAGGTGGGTGGTGCAGAGCTGAGAAATGGAGCAGGATGTCCAAATAGACTGAACCACAAGTGGAAACCCTCTGAACAAGGGAGAGCCCACAGGTGGTTGGGTGGCCTTTGAAAGATCTGTGGAGATGTGAAAAGGATTTCTTCCTTACCTTTATGCTGCTCTCTCTTTCTCTGATTTTTGTGTCATTTTAGGTAGAGAAGAGAAGCTATCTTACAGATATTCCTTATCTTACAGATATTCCTTATAGAGGCCTTTGTGGTTTCAAGGTCTCTAAGCTCATCAAAGAGGTGAAGTTGGATATCACAGAAGGAGCAGCTGGTGTCCCCAAAGGGTAGAGCTACAGGGATGGGAGGGAAAAAGAGGGAGGGTCCAGATTTTGAAAGGAAGAGAGGCCTAGATTCCTAAGTTAGTGTCTCTAACATGACAGATGCTGGAAGGGGAATGATCTGAGTCGGAAAATTATATTTGATATACTTAATACCAGTGAATTCAGGACTACTTGTGAAGTTCTGGAGTGCAATGCTAAGATCTGGAGTGCAGGTGAAAGTGCTTAGAATTGAGCAAGTCAAGAACTCATAAGGCTGGTAGTGTGTTGAATGGACCATCCTCGGAGGCATTGACATGTCCCAGAATTGAATGGAGATTCAGTCCACCCCTAAGATTGGTGTGGCCTCTGCAAGAGTTCAAATGGAGGTGCCTGCCTTCTTTTCCCACACCCACCCCCATCTATTCTGAGATGTGGAACAAGGAGGACAGGGCAGGTGGGATGGGCTTGAACATCCAAGCTCCACTCACACCTTCCCAACCAGTAGCTACTTGGATGCCTCTAGGAGTGCACACACCAGTAGCGCTGCTCACCCTCTGGAGGACAGACCCATGGAGGAGGCCCTGGAAGTGGGCTCAGGGCCATATGGGCAGGCACTTTGAAGGTCCTAGGTATCCAGAACATAGTCTTGAAAGAGGGGGCATGGGCTGTCTGTGAGACTCTTCCCTTGGCCCCTTAGATTTCTTGTCTCTTAGAGAGCAGGGTCCTCTAAAAAAGGGGCCCAGGGTAGGAACCCTGGTGGATTAGATCTAAAGGCAGTAATGGCAGGTTTAGAGATGCAGAAAAAGGATATGAGTCAGGGCCTTGGTCTTCAATGAATGTGTGTGTGTGTGTGTGTGTGTGTGTGTGTGTCTGTGTGTTTTGAGAATATGGGTGGCAGTGATAGCAAATAGAGGGGAAATAAATAAATATAGGGGAAATAAAGGTGAAGATCCACCTTAATCCAACTCAATTGCCTTAGAATCCAGTGAGATGTAAGGTTATGCTCTAGCAGGTTGATTTTCTGGTTTTCCCTGGTAACCTTCAGTTCCTGCAGAGTTAAAAAGACAAGCAAGCAGAGTGAGGAAATGCTGAGAGATGACACACTGAGAAGTGGTAGCTGGCAGCAAAAGACAGCGAAAGAGTGAGAGAGAACAGTCCCCAAATAGAAAAACATATTAGGAGGGGGTCATCTAGTGCCAGGGCAAATAGCCTTACATGCCTCAAAAGCTCCTCAGGATACAACTCCATTACAGCATGGAACAATGATGAATGCGCTTTTAGAAGTTTCCATTTTTGGGAAAAAGCATTTGCTTTCAGTTGTCTAAAAAATCCATTAATTTAAACCTCTTCTTTCTCCAACAACTCGTGATGAGTTGGATATTGCTGCAGATCCCATTTCATCTGAGCATCAGATTCTGTTACCTCTCCTCTGGTTCAGTATCACCTGATCAAGTTTGATATTGCTTTTCCTCCTCCTGCCCCCCTCCTGGAGAATTTCACCTGCCTCATCCACAGAGGAGCATTGTATGGCTCATTGCGTGGTCAGGCAGGATAAAGTCAGCTCCACTAATCTAAGCCCGAAAATGAAGCGGCAATTCTGCTGTTATGCCCTAATTCACAGGCTCATCATTAAATTGTTATCATAGCCTCAGACGAGACTTTTAATTCTCTTACAACAGCTGGCAAATGGCAGGAACAGATGCTCTCACCCACTGAAGCAGCTTCTGCAGGAGCAGTGGAGAAGAGAGAGAATAATGGATACCAGCAAGGAAGGTTCAGACACTCCCTTATCCGCCACTCTCAATCCTGGAAAATCTGGGCTTCCACTTTGGGAGTCTTATTGCAGCTCACCAGGAGCTGGTCACAGTATGGAACCAAGAGAGGTGTGGGCCTGGGAGAGCTTTTGTGTGGCTTTTAGAGCTCCCCTTAGCTCCGGGTGGATTCCCACAACTTCCCTGTATCAAGTCCTCCCTCTAAATGTTGGCTCTAAAAGCAAGAATGCAGATGGAGTCCCCACCTCATGTGATGCTATGCTTACCCTCTTTACCCTGAGCAAGAAAGGCACTGTGGGCCAGTCTGGCAACCAAACCATTGTTCATAATATCGCTTTTATGGACAGGGATTTCCAGTGCCAAACGACTGACTGACAAACAAATTTGAGTAATTTGGGGCCATCGTGTTTGTACATGTGTGTGCATGTCATGCCAGCATGTCCCCAACACTCATCTGCAGAATCCACACCCAGGCTCTGGGGCCATTCCTGATCTGAATGGGTAGATGAGACATGATATGACAGTGGCGGTGTGGGAGGAGGAGGAGAGGAGCCGATGTGTTTTACGACCCTTCTCTGTAGCATCAAGGCCAGCTCAGTAGGATAAAGTGCTCTGGAGAATGAAATCCCACTTGGTAGTATCAAGCGTAGTATTAAGAGCTGACAGGTTTTCCAACCCCATTCTGCATTACCGAGTATCAGAATGTCTATAACTACTCCGTAGGTAGGAATTACTGACACCCTTTAAGAGATAAGGAAACTGGACTGGGAGAGATTAGGTAACGTTTCACAGGTGGAGGGGAGGTCAAAGAGCCAGGATTCTCATTTACCCCATGCTCTAACCAGTGTCCAGCAACCTCTCCTAAAAGGCACCTTGGGTGCTTATACTTTGTACTTCAAGGGCTCATTTGCCTGAGTTTTCTGATAGTCCAGGACTGATCTTATCTCTTGAGTCTAACAATAAGGCTTTGTCTTGTTCCCCGTGGCTGGTCACCTTGATTTAGGTCTCATTTCTGATAACTGCATCCTTATCTAATTCCTCTTCATCAGGTGCCGCTCACGACCAGGATCTCCATTCCTCTAGGACAAAATATTCACCCTGATCTTTCCACTGTTGCCTTTAAGTCCCAGCTACTGGGACCTTAGTCCCCCAGTGCCACCTTCTAGATTTATAGACAATGACCACTTACTAGTTGCCCCCATTGCTGACAGTCGGCTTCCCTGATCCACATTGCCTCTCTCTGATCTCCAAGCTCCTATCCTCAGCCCACCTGTAAGCATCTGGCCATCCCTAGCCACTGTGTAATGCCTCATCAACATGTCCTGTCTGTCCCCTAGGTCCGAACCACTCCAGGTGCCACTGAAGCATTTGTAAGAGACCTACAAGCAAGCCTGAATTTTCCTAAAGGGGTGCCAGGGAGTCTGGACCACACATTTCTACTTCTGCCTTGACCAGAGCCATCCCCCAAGTCTTCCCTTAGAGATCTGCCTTTTGGAAACTCTGGCCACCCACTGGGCTGGCAATTAATGATCCCACCCAGCCTCTTAGGCCGTTTCTTATCACTATTGCTGACCCCAGGGGTTCACTTGGAAGCTTTCTCCAATGCATTTTCCATTATTGATTAAATATATAAGGGAGAAAAGCTTTAATTATTAGTAATTCTTTCTTGCACTGACTTGCAAGAAAAGCACTCAGAGCAAGGGAAAAATACAATTCCCAGAGGTCCTCCCAGCTTCGCTCTGTGGAGAGCAAAGGAAGTATGAAGCCTCAAGGTCTCCCAGCTTTCCTAGTGCAGCCTGGGAGGTGTGGTAACTCCTGTGGCATTCTCTGCTGCGGTAGCAAGGTAGAAAATAGTGATAGTGGAGAGAATCATGGATGAGGAAAGACCCTCACAATGAATGTCAGGGAAAGTTTTAGAGCAGATTGAGAGGTGTAGATTGAGAGGGCAGCTTTGGAGTATGAGAGAATTTAAAAGGAGTCAAAATTTATTATCATTATTATATTATTTATTACACACCATGTTGCCTAGGATTATACACAGGATTCCCCATATTTAAGAGATACAATGAAAGGATGGTTACTAAAATTACTTTTAGTTTCTGAAGTGCATTTATTTGAATGTGATTTTGGAAAGAGACTGGGCCATGTGGAACTCCAGAACCATAAAAACCACATGTGGATACTGCCCCAGGCCACTGAAGAAAACATAATTGTTTTGCAAACTATCATCTGACAAGTCCTTAGGAAGGTACTGTTTTCATCTGAAGATAAATTTTACCTAAATTCTACCATGTTTTTCAATGCTGCAGTCCTCCTCACCTGGAATCCTTCCATCCTTGGCTCCCTGTATCTGCAATGCAAAAGAAATACAAACATTTACCTATAGCAAAACTCTGAGAATCTCCACAAAGTCAGGCTGCCAGGAAAGCCTAAGAGCCTGGGAAGGAGAAGGAGGGGACAATACATTCTGCATGGTTTAGGCATCCTTGCTGCCCAGTGCCTTTTAATCCCCTTGGCAAATGGCCTGGGTTTATTTTTTAGAGTGGGTTGGGCAAACTCAGATGGAAAAGGCAATACATGGCTGGAGCACAGGAGCCATGAGTAGAAAATATGGGACCCTCGGCCGGGCGCGGTGGCTCACGCCTGTAATCCCAGCACTTTGGGAAGCCGAGGCGGGCGGATCACGAGGTCAGGAGATCGAGACCATCCCGGCTAAAACGGTGAAACCCCGTCTCTACTAAAAATACAAAAAATTAGCCGGGCGTAGTGGCGGGCGCCTGTAGTCCCAGCTACTTGGGAGGCTGAGGCAGGAGAATGGCGTGAACCCGGGAGGCGGAGCTTGCAGTGAGCCGAGATCCCGCCACTGCACTCCAGCCTGGGCGACAGAGCGAGACTCCGTCTCAAAAAAAAAAAAAAAAAAAAAAAAAAGAAAATATGGGACTCTCCAAATTCTCACCTTGTGGTGCTAATCCCATCACCTATAGTAATGTTGCAAGGCAGGTGAAAGCTTGAATTCTATCTCCAAGGTTATAAAGGAGGTATAAAATAAAACATCTATCAAATATTTTGAGACCCTTAGAAGCACAGAATGTTATAGCTGAAAATCCTAGGTGTCTCTGAGAATGTGGAAATAGGCCATTTTAGCTTAAAACAAAACAAAAGATTGCAATCTACTGAGCCTGAAGTGGTTTGAGATCTATGTATGCTTAATCTAGCAATGTATGTCCCAAATACTGCAGGTCCTCTTGACTTTAATCATGGAAAGATGATCCCATATTCATTGAGAAGAAATAAATAAAGCAGCCTCTTTAACCTGCCTTTCCCAAATACCAAAACCACTCGTTTGCATGTAACACACTGAAGGCATCAGGTAACTATTGAGTGCTTTTCTCCATTTCATCTTAGTAGGAGTCACACTTTTTACTCCCCTTTTCTGCTTTTGGTAAGCCTCAGGCTTTGCCAGTGAGGAAGAGACCCTTTCAAAATATTGGACACCAGATACAGGATTTGGAAGAAATTGGAGTGATGTCATCTAGGGAAAGGCGGTCCAAAAAAGAGCCACCTAAAGGCTGGAGGAAGAATCGTCTGAAAATATTAGAGGGAACAGTATCTGATGTTCACATAGGACTGGAAATAGTGTCTGTTCTGAACCAGGCATGGAAAGAGGCAGGAAAACACAACCTATAATGAGGAAAATAATTAATCAGTAGAAACCATCCCCAGACTGACACAGATGTTGGAATTAGCAGAACAGGACACCAAAATAGTTTTTATTTTGAGTTCTTCTATATTTCAAAAAGTTAAATAGAAATGTGGAAAATATAAAAGATCCAAATTGAATTTCTAGAGATGAAAACTACAATGCCTGAGATTAAAATACACTGGATGGAACTGATGGCAGACTAGGCATTTCAGGAGAGAAAAGATTCATTGGACTTGAAGATCGAGGTATAGAAACTACCTAAAATGAAACGCAGAGAGAAGAAATAGTTTCAAAAGTTAACAGAGCTGTCCGGGCATGGTGGGTGCTCACACCTGTAATCCCAGCACTTTGGGAGGCCAAGGTGGGCTAATCACCTGAGGTGAGGAGTTCAAGACCAGCCTGGCCAACATGGTGAAACCCCATCTCCACAAAAATACAAAAATTAGCCAGGCATGATCTTGGGTGCCTGTAATCCCAGCTACTCAGGAGGCTGAGGAGGGAGAATTGCTTGAACCTGGGAGGCAGATGTTGCACTGAGCTGAGATCACGCCATTGCACTTCGGCCTGGGTGACAGAGCAAGACTCCGTCTCAAAAAAAAAAAAAAAAATGTTAACAGAGCATCAGTGGTGGGACAACTCCAACAGCCTAATATAACTGTCATTGGAGCACCAAAGGAGAGGAGGGGGAGTAGGAGACTTGAAAAAATATTTGAGGAAATAATGTCCAAATTTTTTTTTCAAATTTAATGAATACTATAAACTCATAAATCCAAGAAGCTCAATGAACACCAAGTAAAAGAAACATGAAGAAAAGCATATGAAAATAAAATTTCATAAAAGCACATCAGTATAAAATGTGTCAAAAACCATTGATAAAGAGAAATCATAAAATCATCCAGAGATAAAAGACCACAACATTCAAAGGGACAAAGATAAGGATAACAGCAGATTTCTCCTTGGGAGAAATACAAGTGAGACAGTTGTATCAATCTAGAATACTATACTCAGCAAAGCTATCTGTCAAAAACAAAAGTGAAATAAAAACTTCTTCAGACACAAAAATCTGAAAGAATTTATCTCCAGCAGGCCTACACTGTAAGAAATGTTATAGGAAGTTTCAGGCAGAAAAAAAAAAGATACCACATATAGATACGGGTCTACACAACAGAATAAAGAACATTGGAAATGGTAGCTACATATATATGTGTATAAAACTTTTCCTTATCATTTAAATGCCTTTAAAATATAATTATATTTTTAAGCAAAAATAATAATAATGTATTGTATTGTAGGGTTTACAATATATGTGAAAACAAAATGTATAGCTAACAATACCACAAAGCCCATAAAAGGAGAAGTGGAAGAAAGGATTTTATACTATACATAAAAATGCTATAATATCACTTGAAGGTAGAATGTAAAATGTTAGAGATGTATATTATAAACCCTATAGCAGCCACTAAATAACAAAACAAAGAGTTATAGCTAATAAACCAAGGAAAAAGATGATAAAAATATTTTTTAAAAAACCAGCGTATTGGCCGGGCACGGTGGCTCACGCTTGTAATCCCAGCACTTTGGGAGGCCGAGGCGGGCGGATCACGAGGTCAGGAGATCAAGACCATCCTGCCTAACACGGTGAAACCCCGTCTCTACTAAAAATACAAAAAAATTAGCCGGGCGTGATGGCGGGCGCCTGTAGTCCCAGCTACTCGGGAGGCTGAGGCAGGAGAATGGCGTGAACCCAGGAGGCAGAGCTTGCAGTGAGCCAAGATTGCGCCACTGCACTCCCGCCTGGGCCACAGAGCGAGACTCCGTCTCAAAAAAAAACAAAAAAAACCAAAAAAAACCACAGCGTATTAATCCAAAAAAGGCAGAAATCGAGAAAAATGGAACAAAGGACAGCTGGGACAAATAGAAAAAAATTACAATGATGAACTAAAGTCTACCCATATCAACAATACATTAAATATAAATGTTGAAACAATCTCAATTAAAAGGCAGAGATTGTCAGAGTGGATAAAAAAGCAAGACTGACCTATATGTTGCCTATAGGAAACATACATTAAATGTTAAGATACAAATAGATTAAAGGTAATAGGATGATAGAAAGACAAAGTCTTGTCAAGATATTCGTTCTTTCCAGCTTGTTGTAAAGATTCATCACAATTCAAAAAAAATTAAAAGTCCCTGCAAGATATTTTGTAATATCAACAGAGATTCTAAAGTTTATATGGAGAGGCAAAAGACCCAGAATAGCCAACACAATATTGAGGGACAAGAAAAAAGTAAACCTGATACTGCTTAACTTCAAGACTTACTATAAATCTACGATAATCAAGACTGATATTGGTGAGAGAATCGACAAATAGAACAATGGAATTGAATAGAGAGCTCATAAATAGACCCTCATGAATATAGTTAACTAATCTTTGACAAATGAGCAAAGGCAATGCAATGAGGAAAAGACAGTCTTTTCAACAAATGATACTGGAATAATTGGATATCCATATATAAAAAGATGGAACTAGACAAAGACTTTACATCCTTCACAAACAGTAGCTCAAAATGGATCATAAGCTTAAATGTAAAATCCAAAACTATAAAACTAGAAGAGTTAATAAAAGAAAAAGAAAGAAAGAAAATCTAGATGACCTGGGATTTGGCAATAACTTTTAGATGCAACACCAGAACCACAATCCATGAAACAAAGAATTGATAAACTGGTGTTTACTAAAATTAAAGACTTCTGCTTTGCAAAAGACATTGTCAAGAGAATGAGAAGACAAACCACAGATGGGGAGAAAATATTTGCAAAAGACGCATTTAATAAAGGGCAGTTATCCAAAATACACCAAGAATTTTAAAACTGAACATTAAGAAAACAAACAACCTGATTTAAAAGTGGGCAACAGATCTGAACAAGCATCTCAACAAAAATATACAGATGGCAAATAAGTGTATGAAAAGATGTTCAACATTATATGTCATTAGGGAATTTCAAGTTAAAACAGCAATGAGACATTGATTAGAATGTTGAAAATTCAAGACACTGATAACACCAAATGCTGACAAGGATGTGGAGCAACAAGTACTCTCATTCATTGCTGTGGAAATGTAAAATGGTACAGTCACTTTGGAAGGTATTTTGGCAGTTTCTTACAAAACTAAACATACTCTTACCAAACAATACAGCAATAATGCTCCCTGGTATTTACCAAAAGAAGTTGAAAACTTATGTTCATGCAAAAATCTGTGCATGATGTTTATAGCAGCTTTATTTATAATTGCCCAAACTTGGAAGCAACCATGATGTCCTTCAGTAGGTGAATGGATAAATAAATGGTGGTACATCCAGACAATAGAATATTATTTGGTGCTAAAGAGAAATGAGCTATTAAGTCATGAAAACACATAGAGGGAACTTAAATGTGTATTCCTATAAGAAGCCTGTCTGAAAGGCTGCATACTTTTGATTCCAACTATATGACATTCTAGAAAAGGCAGAACTACAGAGATGGTAAAAAGATCAGTGGTCATCAGGGGTTGGGAGAGGGAGAGATGAAAAGGAGAGGTATAGAGGATTTGTAGGGCAGTGAAACTACTCTTTGACTCCATGTCTTATATCCAGGTAATGCCGATGCAAGAGGTGGGCTCCCATGGTCTTCGGCAGCTCTGCCCCTGTGGCTTTGCAAGGTGTGGCCTCCCTCCCAGCTGCTTTCACAGGGTGGTGTTGAGCATGGCTTTTCCAGGTGCACAGGGTAAGCTGTTGGTGGATCTACCATTCTGGCTCTGGAGGATGGTGGCCCTCTTCTCCCAGCTCCACTAGGCAGCACCCCAGTGGGGACTCTCTATGGGGGACCCACTCCACATTTCCTTTCTGCACTGCCCTAGCAAAGGTTCTCTATGAATACCTCACCCCAGCAGCAAACTTCTATCTGGACATCCAGGCATTTCCATACATGCTCTGAAATCTAGGCTGAGGTTCCCAAACCTCAATTCTTGACTTCTGTGTACCTGCAGGCTCAACACCACAAGGCTTGGGACTTGCACCCTCTGAAGCCATGGCCTGAGTTGTACATTGGCCCTTTTTAGTCATGGCTGGAGCAGCTGGGACACAGGGCACCAAATCCCTAGACTGCACACAGCAGAGGGACCCTAGGCCCAACCCATGAAACCATTTTTTTCTCCTAGGCCTCCAGGCCTGTGATGGGAGGGGCTGCCACAAAGGTCTCTGACATGCCCTGGAGACATTTTCCACATTGTCTTGGTGGTTGACATTTGATTCCATGTTACTTATGCAAATTTCTGCAGCCAGCTTGAATTTCTCCTCAGAAAATGGGATTTTCTTTTCTATTGCATTGTCAGGCTGCAATTTTTCCGAACTTTTATGCTGTGCTTCTCTTATAAAACTGAATGCCTTTAACAGCACCCAAGTCACCTCTTGAATGCTTTGCTGCTTAGAAATTTCTTCTGCCAGATACCCTAAATCATCTCTCTCAAGTTCAAAGTTCCACAAATCTCTAGGGCAGGGGCAAAATGCCACCAGTCTCTTTGCTAAAACATAACAAGAGTCACCTTTGCTCCAGTTCCCAACAAGTTCCTTATCTCCATCTGAGACCATCTCAGCCTGAATTTCATTGTCTGTATCATTATCAGCATTTTGGTCAAAGCCATTCAAAAAGTCTCTGGGAAGTTCCAAATTGTCTCACATTTTCCTGTCTTCTCCTGAGCCCTCCAAACTGTTCCAAACTCTGCCTGTTACCCACTTCTAAAGTTGTTTCCACATTTTCGGGTATCTTTTCAGCAGTGCCCCACTCTACTGGTACCAATTTACTGTATTAGTCAATTTTTTCACTGCTGATAAAGACATACCTGAGACTGGGAAATTTACAAAAGAAAGAGGTTTAATGGACTCACAGTTCCACGTGGATGAGGAGGCCTCACAATCATGGCAGAAGGTGAAAGGCACATCTTGTGATGGTAGACAAGATAAGAGAATGAGAGCCAAATGAAAGGGATTTCCCCTTATAAAATAATCAGATCTTGTGAGACTTAGTCACTACCATGAGAACAGTATGGGGGAAACTGCCCCCATGATTCAGTTATCTCCCACTGGGTCCCTCCCACAACATGTGGGAATTATGGGAGCTACAACTCAAAATGAGATTTGGGTGGGTACACAGCACAACTGTATCAATGACCAACTTTAAGATACACTCTAATAAAATTGCAGGACTTTACAGAGAAAGAAAAATACTTTGAGCATCTAGAAAAAAAGAGTACGTGGCATGAAAAAGAAAGAAAATTAGATTATTATCACACTTTTTGCCAGAAGAAAATGAAATAACATATTTAAGGTATCCAAGACAGAAAATGTGAGCCCAAAACTGTATATTCAGCAAAACTGACTTTCAACATAAACATAAAGGGTACAGACATACTGTTTATCAACAACTTAGGGAAACTGGCTCCATAAGTCCCTCCTAAGAAGTCTTCTAGAGCACAAACCTTGGGTAACCAAAATAACTAGAGAGAGATTCGTGTAGAGCATTAAATACACAGTTACTTGTGAAACTAAGACTAAATGAGTGCTAATGATAAAGTGTATAATGGCTCCATGTCCTGACAATGGAGACATAGTACAACTATTTTTTTAAGTGGGGTGGATCGAGAGATCTTATGTAAAACACTTTTAAAATGTTTTTGGTCATAATAATGATGGTAGGATTAGTATTTTATTCTGAGTCTGCTGTGTATGCAATATGGGATAAAACAAATGAGTAATTGTAGGATATTCTAATTCTATCATCCTCTGTGTCCTTGAGAATAGGATTCTTGGCATGGAAGAAAGGATATATAGATGAAAGAGGTTAATAAAAGTTCTGTCATCAAATATGCTTTCTCTGCTATATAACAGAGCTGGGGGCTGCAGAGGGACTATATACATGTATTCCCTCTGCAACCCCCACCTCCATTCACTGAAAAGGTCTAGAAACAATGATCAACCTAGTAGCAAGGGACATCCCTAGCATTCAGGCTGATTCTGAAATACCAATTTTTACTCAAAAGATGCAAATCTCCTTAGAGAAATGGCTAATTCCAAATCCAAGTTAGAAAGTGTCCAAGAGGAACAATTTGTCACACCAGTCAGCAAGGAAGCTATTAAAGACTACTGGGGTTTGGCTGGGCGTGGTGCCTCACGCCTGTAATCCCAGCACTTTGGGAGGCTATGGTGGGTGGATCATGAGGTCAGGAGATCGAGACCATCCTGGCTAACACGGTTAAACCCCGTCTCTACTAAAAATACAAAAATTAGCCAGATCCCAGCTACCTGGGAGGCTGAGGCAGGAGAATGGTGTGAATCCGGGAGATGGAGCTTGTAGTGAGCTGAGATCGCGCCACTGCACTCCAGCCTGGGTGACAGAGAAAGACTCTGTCTCAAAAAAAAAAAAAAAAAAAGAGACTACTGGAGTTCTGACAAAAGGCCTCAACAGCCAAATTGTAGAGAATCCCATAACAAAAGATAGGAACATTTTGGCTTCAACAACAATAATTTCAAGGGAATGAAAGTCATTACACATGTTTAAATCCACAATTCACAATGGTCTTTAAAATTTTTGAAAGAATTAGTCATCTAAAGAGGAGGTGGGCTGTTGACTGATCCTGCTTTCCCCATATGAACTGTACCTGTGAGCACACATACAGGTTGAGCATCCCTAATCTGAAAATCTGAAATCCAAAATACTCCAGAATCCAAAGCTTTCTGAGCTCCAACATGATGCAAGTGAATGACGATGGCATTGTTAACACTGCAGAAAAAATGCCTATGGATGACTTGCTGAAAATGTGTGGTGGGCTTATTGAGGGACTACAGCAGCATGCATTCACAACAGAACAAGAAATAAAGGCAGTTTGTAACATCAAAGAGAGACTTGCAAGACAAAAACTGTAATTAATGAGGCAGATGACTCTCGAAGAAACATTTTAAAAAGTCATCCAGCAGAATGTTTTCTCATCCCTAGCAGACCTATATCCTGGTCCCTCAGCTACTTCTGATGTTCCTTCTTACCTAAAAGAAAAAAAAAACAATGTACAGTAACCTTTTAACCAAAATACAGCATCTTAGGTGGAGACTGAAGTCTACCTTTGTTGTTACTGCTGTTTCATAGCTGATGCCTGTATTCTGGTGATGCTACTGTGCTGCTTAGTTACCCTGAACACATATTTTTTCACTGTGTCAATGATATACTTTTTGCTAAGTATTTATGCATGAATAAGTGTGGGAAAATGATTGCTTATTGGTAGCATATACATTCAGAGTCAGGAATGATGGTGATGCCAAGCAACCACTGATTGTCCATATGGATGGCTGAGATAGTGATTCTTTGCTTTCTGATGATTCAATGTACACACATTTTGTTTCATGCATAAAATTATTTAAAATGTTATATAAAATTACGTTCAGATTATGTGCATAAGGTGTATATGAAACATAGGTTGGGTGTGGTGGCTCATGCCTGTAATCCTAGCAATTTGGTAGGCAGAGACAGGAGGATCACTTGAGCCCAGGAGTACAAGATCAACCTGGGCAACATAAGGAGACCTCCATCTCTACAAAAAAACAAAAACAAAAAAGAAAGAAAAATTATCTGGGTGTGGTTGTGCATGCCTGTGGTCCCAGCTACTTGGGAGGCTGAGGCGGGAGGATCACTTAAGCCAGGGATGTCGAGGCTGCAGTGAGCTGTCATTGCACCACTGCACTCCAGCCTGGGTGACAGAGTGAGACCCTGTTTCTAAATAAAAATAATAATAGTAAGGTATATATGAAACATAAGTGAATTTTGTGTTTAGACTTGGGTCTTATTCCCAAGATATCTCATTATGTATATGCAAATATTTCAAAATCCAAAAAACTTTGAAATCTGAAACCCTTCTGGTCTTAACCATTTCAGATGAGGGATATTCAACATGTAGCAGATGAAGGCAATAATCTCTCTATAAAAGCATTTCCCAACTGATAAATGAAAATTAGGATATCACCAACTTGCAGTTTCTAATGAATGAACAAATATAGGTAGATGTAGTAGATATAGGTATAGGTAGATATAATAGGTATGGGTATAGAGACCAAAGGAACCAGGAGGAGAGGTATGGGAAAAACATACTTTTGTTGTTCTCTGGGCAGACAGAAATAATAGTGACCACTGCCACTGCACTCCAGCCTGGACAACATAACAAGACTCAACTCTAGTAATATATTTTTTTAAAAAAAAGAACTCATAGAGCTGTGGAGCAATAGCTTGGCACCATTTGGGGCAGGCCTGAGCCTGTGTGCCCCCCTTCCCTTTGTGTGGTGTCCTAAAGAGAGGATCTGATCTGGTCTTTATGTCACCATTCATTTATGGAAAGCCCCCACTGGAAAGAAAAGCTCAACCAGGTGAAATTTCAAATCAACTTACTTTCAAGATAAACTTTCCTCAAGTCTGGTCTACCAATGGTTGTCTTGATTTAGGTCCTAAGTCCTGGTCCAATTAGTTGGAGCCAGGGTAATGGAGCTAATTTTACTGGAAGCACCATTTAGGAAGGGCTTCTTGGGCAGATTTTTCTACCTTCCTCATCCAAGGACTAAGCTCTGGCCAATGAGACTTCTGAGAAGTCTTAAAAGAAGAGGACACACCCTCCTCTCCTTCCTTCACCAGCTTCCAGAAACAAGAATATGGTGGACTCCTACAGCCATCTTAGAACATGAGAATGAGACGTTTAAAGGGAAGGCAGAGCAGAGAAAACTAGGGGAACAAACAGTGTCGGTGATGATTTCATCAACTTGCTGTGCTGGCCTCAGGCTACCTACCTCTAGATTTGTGTGAAACAGAAAGAATCCACAGTTATTTGGAGGTTTTCTGTTATATACAATTGACTATTCTCCTCATTGTTATAACCCCCATACATTCCAATCTGGTAAAATAGGCAAATCCTGGGCTCTTTCCCCTAAGGACATCATCAAATGGCTGCCTAAACTGATAAACACAGAGCACTATAGTGAGTAATGGCAGCAGGTATTACTTTTGCAGGAGTGTGAGTATTTCTTTTTTCTTTTTTGAGACGAAGTCTGGCTCTGTCACCCAGGCTGGAGTGCAGTGGTGCAATCTCGCCTCAATGCAACCTCCGCCTGCCAGGTTCAAGCGATTCTCCTGCCTCAGCCTCCCGAGTAGCTGGGATTGCAGTCGCCTGCAACCACGCCTGGCTAATTTTTGTATTTTAGTAGAAATGGGGTTTCACCATGTTGGTCAGGCTGGTCCCGAACTCCTAACCTCAGGTGACCCGCCTGCTGGGATCAACCTCCCAAAGTGCTGGGATTACAGGCATGAGCCACCGCAACCTGCCAAGAGTGTCAGTATTTCAATAGGAATCTTCCAGACTCTCAATGCCCTAGGCCTAGGTAATTAACCTCTGTGGTAGACACTTTTATTTGCCTGTACAGCACTCCTTCTCCCTTGCCAACAAAGTGTTAATTTTGTTCTGGTATTACGTGTCTGTGTGCTAAGATGAGGCTGGAATTTTCTCTCTCTCCACATGGTTACTTATACCTACTCCTCTCTGCATGTCTGGCTCATTCTTCCTGCTCTGCTGTACAACTTTCTTTGCATGTGGCAGAAAATGGCTTTGCCCAAGCTCTCCAACTGACATGCACCATACAGACTAGCTGTTTCTGAACCACATTTCTAAATTTCTGAGAGTGATACTGGCTCTGCTTTAGTTAAGTACATTCCTCTGATCCAATAAACTGGGTCGAGGAGGGCTGTGTAGTACCTACATGATAGCAACTGCTGGGGGCATCTCTATGAGAAGTTTGGGTGTAGCACTCAGAGAAGAAGTGCAGGAACTGGGCAGACACCCCAAGAGGGCATCTGCTATAAGCTTGACTGCACTTGATACATACTAGCTTCCTGGTCCCCATAGCTATACTCCCAAGGCTGTGATCTTACTGAGGCCAGGGCCCAGAAGGGTCACTGCCCAGTATAGATACTGCAGAAGGACCACCAGATATTGTAGGTAGACAAGATGGATGTAATACCCATCAATGCCAATCACCAAATCTTTCCAGCTCTCTGCTTTCTGGATGGGTAGAATTTTATTTCCTGGTCCCCTGAGGTTGGATGGCGCTATGTAACCAGTTCTGGTCATTATGGCATTTAATTACTGGTGAAGGGGCTTCTAAGATGGTTCTTTCCTTCTTCCGTGATCATTGGTAATGTTTCAGATGGCGGTTGCTCCATCAGTTGGATCCTAATGTAGATGTTATAATGCAATGGGCTTGTGATGGACAGAATATAAGCAGAAAGATGTCACTGAGATTTGTGAGTGCTTGTTACTGCAGCATGCCTATCCTACCATGGGTGATACCATGCAGATTGGGCTGGGGTTAGCAGCATTGCTGGAAGAAGACACTTGAAGATTCTAACTCACAACCAAGCCTGTCACACAGACTTTTTTTCCTTCCTCTGTTCTGGGTCCCCCTTGAATCCCTTGTCCCTACTTCAGAAAGGAAAGTGCTGTTTCCTAGTAGTGAAAGCATCAAGGAGCAATAAAGTTGGAGATTTCTTTCTTGCTTGGACAGGGGTGGTGCCCAGGGGTGTGCTGGACACATGGACAGAGTTTGGTTAGGGGAGTTTGGTGCTCACACCAGACTCAGAGAGAGCTGTCTCTTAGCTGACGCTCAGCTTAGTTCGCAAAAGGACAGAGGCCAGGGTAGGGGGCGCAGCTTAGCTCTAAACTACCAGGTAAGGATCCAAATGCTGTCCCACCTTCCTGCAAAACTCATGGAAGTCAGGCTGAGGAGTCTGGAAAGCTAAGCCGAAAGCCAGGGGGGCTCCAGTACATGCAGATCCCAAATGTGGGAATGCTATGTGATGATTTTATGAAATACAAAAGTCAAATGAATTTTTCATGAAGAAGTTATCTTCCCAAGATGCAATAATGGAAAATTCCTTTCAAGAACTGGTGTTTAGACCTCACAAAAATGCGCGGCAAATTGCATTGTGATTTATTTGTCAATGTTTTTATAGGTTAGGCGTTACTTTCAACCCCACAGCTGGAGTCAATTTTTAATATTTAAAAGTGGAAAGAAAGCAAAACCTAAACACATCCAGAGCTGTCTGTTTTAGATTGTGCTTTTCCCAAACAGTGATGTTTAGAACTGAACCCTGAGCGTGGTCGGTCTGTGGCCAGCTGGCACTTACTTCTCTGCGATATAGAATTAAAGTATCTGGAACTGGGCAGATTACATATAAGACCTCCTAAATTGTAATTGGTGGGTCTGGTGTTTATAACCATTTTCAAGTGCACGTAGCCTGTCTGCCCTCTGAATTGAAGAAGGAAAGAGTCTTTGTGCTTTTTATTCTGGGTTTTCCTTCATGCCCTGAGCTTAAGATGCCATGAACATAATTTTCAAGTCCAGTGGGTTCTGGCCTTATTAGCTGACTGGATTAGCAGGGATCCAGCACTCCAATCAACTATAGAGATGCAAATTGGGTCTCCAGACTTTGACTCCTAAGGAGCCTAGTCTGGAAATGACCCAGGGTTTACCTGCCTGGGTCTCCAGGTAAAACCAGGATGCTGGCCTTGAAGGTGGGTTCTCACAGCAAGGATTCTAATCTCAAAAGAGATCAAGCCTTGAAGCTTAATCCGATTCTCTTGGGCCAAGTGTCCAGACTCTAATGGGAGTCTCATTTTCACAGAATGGTACTCCCAGAAGCACGGGATTCATACCTCAGTGCATAGCACACCGTACCTCATGCTTAACTGCAGCCACCATGGTTGGAGGTGTAAGGCTGGCACTGGCACTGGATGTGGCTGAGGCTGCCATGTGTGTGCTTACTAATAAAGGACTCTGTAACACACAACATCTGGAGGGAGGAAAAACAACTCTAATTGTGATAGGCACAACCCCTTTGGGTAACATAGTTGATACCCTTCTAATGGAGGGCGTGTTTCTCTTTGCCTTCTCCTTTCTGCTTCCTCCTGATAATTTGGCCAAGGCCCACAGGAGTTGACCCATTTCCAAATGTGTGAGTGGGTCCAGCTGAATCTGCCAGTGGGGGGCCTTTGAAGCTGTGAACAACACCCCCTCATCAGACTTTGAGACACATCCACCCCTTAAGAGACAAGCTTCAGGATATAAGGAGCCTCGGCAAAGCATGGAAATGTCAGATGTACAAGCATCTGGGGCTCAGCTTCAGCTACTGTGGCCTTTCCCCAGGACCCATGCCCAGGGTCCTCTTCCTGAACTCCAGCATCAACAGACCCCCTTCAATAAACTCCAACATTCAGAACATCAACAAGCGAGGGGATGGGGAAGGGCAGTGATTATTCCAAGGGCAGAGATGCTATCAGGTTTTGCTCCAAAAAGGATTTTTCGCCTCACACAAGAATTTGCTACGGATTTCCTTTTAAAAGTGCACACCCCAAGAACACTCAGCAGCTGATTCAGCTTAATGTGCAAATCCCCAGGAACACAATGCGTGAAGTGAGGTACACGGGCAATTGGGGCCAAGGTGCAGCAGAACTTCCCACCAGCAGGGGGAGCTCTTCCCCGGGTCAGGCAGCCATGGCAGGTCCAATCACACGCCCGTTACCCAATAAAAACATGCTGCAGTTTCAAGAGGGAGGAACAGAACTGAACCCTGCTGTCCAAAAAAAGACACCACAGATGCCCAGTAGGCTTGTGCTTTATCCTGAGGGCAATGGGGAGCCACGGAGGATTCTGAGATGTGTAGGGTTCTATCAGGGCTTCCAGTCGTTCTTGCCCAGTGCCTGTGACTTCTTTGAGGAATCTATTTCCAGGGATGGTGTTCCCTGCATTTTCGGCTCTTCTTTTAAAATGCATTACAGTGATGATCCATGAGCCACCTTCCAGGGACCCAGGGCAGGCTCAAGCTTAGGGGTGTTTCTCAAGAAGTGCATAGCTTCGTGTGTTGACTCAGAGGAAAGGTAGGCATGGTTTAGGGGAATGAGGGGGGAGTGACAGGCAGAAATGCTATTGTTTTTTGCTGCAGTGAAGCGCCAAGCCTTCAAACAAGAAGCTTGGCACCAAAAATGGTGCTGTTAGAAAGTTAATGGGCAAGACATTTTGAGAAAGTGTTGTGGAGATAAGCATCAAGAGGAAACGTCACTGTTTTAACTTTGCCGGCATCCAGGAAACCAAGAAAAGCAGAGCCACCCCTGAGCTGGACTGCAGCGCACACACGCACATGCTCATGGAATCCAAGCCCTGTCCAGAGACAAACATCTCCCAGAAGCAAATCAAGAGTGACTTTTCCGAAGAAAGAGCTGGGGAAATGGTATTTCCTTCCTGTGCTGAAGAACAGAGTTACGACATTCTAGGGAAGAGATGTGAGCTCCCAGGGGCAAGAACTGGGCACCATCCCGCTATTCCTGCTGAATATTAATAGCAAAAGCAAATATCTTGACTTCAGAGAGCTCCAAAAGACAGAGTCACCCAAGAGGAAGTGATGAAAAGGAGAAATGAGTGCCGGGCGCGGTGGCTCACGCCTGTAATCCCAACATTTTCGGAGGCCGAGGCGGGCGGATCACCTGAGGTCAAGAGTTTGAGACCAGCCTGACTAACATGGTGAAACCCATCTCAACTAAAAAAAAAAAAAAAAAAAAAAAAAAAAATTAGCCTGGTGTACTGGTGGGCGCCTGTAATCTCAGCTACTTGGGAGGCTGAGGCGGGAGAATCACTTGAACCGGGGAGGCGGAGGTTGCAGTGAGCTGAGATCAAGCCATTGCACTCCAACCTGGGCAACAGAGCCAGACTCTGGCTCAAAAAAAAAAAAAAGAAAGAAAGAAAGAAAAGGATAAATGAGTGTTTTCTTGAATGCTTTCTACCAGAATCAGGCCACTGTGATCTCCCTCACTGCAATAGTCTCCTAATGGGTTTGCCTACCTCTGATCTTGACTTCCTTCTCCCATTCAGCCTCCATAGAGCAGCCAGGAGGATCTTTCTAATCTGATCTGCTTAGAATCTTTCAGTGGCTCGCATACCCCAAATCTTTGATATAAGTCATGAGGCCCTCCAGACTCTCATCTCTGGGGAAATCTCAGAGGCTCATCTCTTGCCACTTCTTGGTCTTGCCCTTTCTGCTCTAATCATTCTGAAACCCTGTAGCTCCCTGAATGTGCCATGTTTCCAGTGGCATGGGAAGGGTAAACAGTCCTGGGGACCTTGTAGCTCCCTGAATGTGCCATGTTTTCAGGGGCATGGGAAGGGTAAACAGTGCTGGGGACGTTGTAATGTACCTTGTGTCCTTTCTCTTTATCTTGGCTGGAAGTTGCCAAGACTCTCATCTTTGAGGGCCCACCATAAACTGGGACATATGGTCTCTTCTGTCCCCTCTTTGCTGTATCCCTGTATGGTTTTTACTTACCTTCGGGGTCTTTGCAAATACCTGGGGGTTCCCCTTTCATCCTTTTCTCCCCATTTTGTCCTTCAAATCTTGAATTAGAAATTATTACATTAGAAAAGCCTATTCTGACTCCCCAAAACTGGGAGGGACACCTGGTATCTCTCTCCCACGTTGCCCTGTGCTTATCTCTCTTGCACCATTTGCACACTGTGTGTAACTCCCTGCAGACCTGCCCATCCCATCCACCCTGTAAACTTGCGCTCCACAAAGGTGGGACCTTCTTCCCTCTGTGTCTCCATGCCTAGTCCAGTGCCTGTCATACTGTGGGAGCTCAGTAATATTTCCTGAATGATCATATTCCTTTCTCCAAGGCTACGAAGACAACCATGTCTTTTTGAGCCAATTTCTTTCTTTTTTTTTTTTTCATTAATTTCCCCAAGCCCCCAACAAACAGTAAGATCTATTTTTAATGATGCCACAAGCTGGCCTGTAAATGATGCATTCATTGTCAGATACATTTGGCCGTTGTTTGTACTTGCAAGGAATATTCCTCCTTCCTTGAGAGCTCTCACTCACAGACACTTTCATTACTTTAATATTTTACGATGCAGCCATTTTGGAAGACATAAGGGCATCATCTCTGTTTAACTAAATGTCAAAGTAAAGTAGTCAAGGCTAGTGGCTCTCTTGGCATGCCAGTGATTAGATAGCTTTGTTAACAGGCCAGTTGGGCTGAGGCTATGTGATTACACGCTCTCAGCTACTTCTATGCAAAATGATCCATAAACAAATAAAGATCATGGATTGCAAAAACATTTTCCAGGGGTGTCAGAGTGTCCCTAAACGTTCAGTTCACTCTCTTCAACCTTCCACATCTATAGCACCCAAGCTCCACAGGACACAAAATCACAAGGTCAAAATTGGATTTTGTCAGTCTGATAATCTGCTATTTTCACACTCCTGTAGACCCAAAACCCTGCAGAATGTATAAACTAAGGTATTAGATTACACTGAGTACCCCCCTTCCCAACCAGACTGGACAAGAGAGAACTTACACCTGACTTTAATGAGTGCTCAGAAGTGGCCAGCGCCCTTGGAGGCTGAAGAGCTTCATGCTGGGAGTTTAAGGCCCACACACTCTGCAGACCAGGCCTTGCCTCCTGCCCACGGTGCCAGAGGTGGTAGCTGCAGAAAAAAAAATGCAGTGCTTCTTTTTAAAACAAGGCATGACCCCCATATATATATATTATGGTGTGGTTAAGGGCATAGGCTCTGGTGCTGGGCTGATGGTTTGTAGTTTGTTCTGGCACTTGATAGTTTTGTAAACCTGTGGGTTATTTAACCTCTCTGTGCCTCAGTTTCCTCATCTGTGGCATGCAGGTAATAATAATTTCATGGTTGTTGAGAGGGTTAATGAAGTACTCAGAATAGTGCCTGACACCTCTGAGCATTACAATAAATTGAGCTATATTTATGATCTTAACAAAAAGGATGGTCAGGCTTTAACATCTGTTTGGGTTGCCTTGAAGTCATGAGTTCAAAATGCCTGCCTCCAGTCCCCTCTCTGTGTTAACAACGACAAAGCAGCGTACCTTGTATAAATGGCATATATTTCATTGGGACACTGGATGTTTTCACCCCAGGCACACCAGCTTCTAGAAAGGACCTAGGAACAAGGTGGTTTTGCTGGTCTGATGAGGTTGGAGAGAGCTGCAGGGACAGGCCTTCAACATGTGGCCTTGTGGCTTCAGAACAAGGGAGCCACAAGGGGGTTCTGTAGCTTCTTGGCTCAGGGCACCTAGCATTTTGAACTCAAGCCAGTCCCAAGGGTTTGGTGATCTCAGCTGAGTCCTCACTGCCAGCCTGAATCCTCTGTCAACTGGAACTGGCTTTGCAGATGCTGCACAAGCTCCTGGCAGACTCCATTTGGTTGGATTCCAGGTGGCAAATGTCCCTCTGGGGAGGATTGTGCAAAAGTGTTCCTTCCTCCCAGAAGGAAGGTCGGTTAACCAACAAAGAAGTCTACCTAGAAGAGAGCAAAGGAGGGTGGAAGAGCGGAAGTTAGGCTCATTTTAATAGTCAAGAGATCCCTTTGAGAGAATGTAGAGACGAGCTTGGGTGAAGCTTGCTCAGTGGGGAGAAGGGAAATGCCCGGTTTGGATCTTTACTGGAGCAAGCACTGACAGCACTTATTGATGGCTTGGATGTGAGGGGTAAGAGAGAGTGGGCTCAAGAATGGCTGCAACACTTTTTTTTGAGACACTGGGTGCTGGCGTGCCACTGTCTGCACACTCCCTTTACAGGTTGAGCTGGGGGGCTGTGACCGCTCTGCTGGTCCTGCTTCTATTATTCTATTGGTCAAAGCTACCCTCCCCAAGGTCAAGACAAATCCACTGCGCTTTAGAAGATCCAGGGTGATGGGCGATACTGTGGGGGGACACTTTTCCCTGAAGTCAAATCTGCATCCACCCAGCGTCTAGCTGATTCCCGAGGTGGATTGCCAGGAATGTCCATCCTTCCCCAGATCTAGGGCAAAGGCTGCTTATGGGAGGAGAGCATCCATTTATTTTACCTCAAACAAATTCCTGCAGCACAGGCTTAGAAGCTGGGGTGAAGTGGGGCAAAAGTATGATGCTTCCACCTAAATTCCTATCACACAGTCACAGCTAAGCCCAGGGCTGTGCAGAAGAGGCCGCTCCCTTCACTTCCTTAGCCACACCTCTTCCCTGGGTCTGCTCCCACAGCTGGGCACCTCAGCAACCCAGAAGGATAGATATTCTGCAGGTCTAATTTGGGTCAGCAAATTCCCATTTGCAGAAAATCATTTCAGATCTGACAAGAGTTAGTGATCTGTTTCTAAAAAGCTTTGACACAATCATTATCAGTCTCTCTCTCACACACACTCATACCATGTTATCTACAGTCCAGGAAAGGCTCATGCATTCTGAATGTATACTCCACCCTCTTCACAAACCACTGTAAAATTCTCAAAGCCTACACATGCTTGCAAATAGATCAGCCTTAAATGGAGCAGGGTCTTTGAAGACCCCATGAGTCATGTAGCTAAAATGTCCACTGGGGAGACCGACTTAGCAGCATGCATTTTTCTATAACAAATCAAGTTCAGAGCTTTCCATGGCACCCAGCTCAATGCCAGAGAAGGTCCATCTATCTCTGGTGGGGAGCCAGTGGTCAGGAAACATATGAGGCTAAATGCTATGCCCTTCACCTGGTGGAAATGCACCCCCAGAAAATCACTTCGCAGAATAACAAGGAGACTCATGCTGCTGGAGTAGAAAGAGCAATGGACAAGGAAGAAGGGGCCCGGGTTCCGGTACAGGCTCTGCCCTTACTGTGCTCCCCCAAGGACCATGCCTACCATCATGGGGCTTTGGTTTCCTTGTCTCTGAAAGGAAAGGGCTAGATCAGATTAAATTAAACAATCACTAAGTACCAGATATGTGCAGGGGAAATGTTCTGTTGGAATGAAAAAAAGAAAAAAGAAAAAAGCCAAATTTCAGCTCCAGTCCTCAAGGAACATGCAGTCTAGTTGCAGTTGGTTAGCCATGGTACTGCTTGGTTAGAACTTGAGGCCCCAAGGGGGGCTGAGTGACATTCACCTCTTTGAGATTTAGGAGGCAGAGCCTCCTGGTCTCATCTCATCCCTCCCTGACTTGAGCAGTCTCAGGTTGGAAGTGATGTCACCGCGGAGATTTCACAGCCAGAGGAGGGCCTGAGGACCCCTTCTTCTGCCACTGGCCATTGCTATAGTATGGAGCCTCTAAGTTCATATACCCCACCAGACACTCAAGAGTGCCAGGCAGGATGGGAGGGGAGTACAGATGGTCAAGATGCTGCCCTGGCCTGAGCTGTTGCCCAGCGCTGTTCTCTCTATCACAGTCAGGCCAAACAGACCTCAGCTGGGAAGCCCGGAGCTGAGAGAAATCTTAGTGAGTTGGTGGGTGTCACTGTCTGCTGGAGGGCCACTGTGGGAGGCAGCGAGCCTGGGGTTCCTGGAGGCATCTCCAGACAGCCTGGAGCCTGGGTAGTGGGACAAGCAGTTTCCTATGAGGCCTCAGGCTGGAGGGTCGTCTTGGCGTTAGGATCCGGCAGATGCTGGGTCTCACATACAGCGCCTCTCACTCCCACTCGCCTGCTTTCCATCAGCCGCCCGCTTCCTTCCACATCTGTGCACTCAGCAGCCGTGGCTACCTATGAATTCCCACTTGGAAGAAGCAGATGGTGCTTTATAGCCACTGGCTGCCAACTCCCTCTGGGCCTATCTTGAAGTCCCCTGTCCCTCTCCTTCTGCCTCTCACACTGGGTCTCGGGAGGCCTGCCAGTCTGTTTCCCCGGAGGCTGAGTAAGAGCCCCAATTCCAAGCCATATTTCTCTTCTTTGGTTTCTATTTCCTTAACAGTGACCTCTGTCCAAGGGCAGCATGCCCCAGCATGCGCCTCTCTCCCTCTGCTCTTCCAAACGCAATTATGTGGCTATCACTAGCTTAGTGCCAGGACTTGGATTCCTTTAGCTCTTAGGCTGCTGCTTCTCCATCTTCCCCCACCCCTATGCCAGATTCGTTCTCTGCCCTCCTAGGGAGAGAGGAGGTTGGGGATGCGGGGTGACTCCTGTGGACTACATCTCCCAGAATGCCTCGTATTTGCCTTCCAGTTGGACTTAGCCAACGGGAGGCACCCAGAAGAGGTTAGCAGTTGGGAGGAAAGATAGCTCACGGTATTTCTTCTCACCGATTTTCCACCCTCTCCCTGCTTTGGTGTCATGTACTGGTCTTAGGTGCTGCCCTGCATGACTCCAGTTGCCACCAGTCATCCCCTCCTCCGGAGTTTCCGTTTTTACTGGACCACAATTTTACACTGTTTTTCTCCTCCTCCCTTTAGCGTTGGGGTAGTAATGACTTCCGCTGTTGCTGGTCCCCAGAGCCTCACCATCCCGGTGCATTCCCACAACTCTGCCTACACCACTGTGAATAGTCTTTTTATGTACGTGTCTGAGCCTTCTGGGGTGAATATTACCATACCGATGCAGTAGTCTTCTAGCTTTCATTTCAGAGTTTGACTCACAGCACTTTAGAAATCATGTAATTTTTTCCCAGCAAGATCACTGGAGTGGATGCTTTGCTTTTAATATCACGCTTACTACAAGTTCTAGACGAATGCTAGAAAGGTTAAATTCCTTGATAAAGCCAGGGGAAGAAAAGACACTGTCTCAGAGACAAGATAAAAAGGTCCTACAAGAACAGCAAGAAGTTGTTCCCATGATTGATGACATTCTTGATTCTAACTCCTTGATGAAGAGAAGGGAGGGAGGGCCAGGCTCTGGAAGAAGAGAGTGAGACAGAGTGACCCCAGGTATGCTTATTTTTAAAAGGAAAAATCACCCTGAAAGAAGCCATGTGCCTGCCACCACAAATGAACACATGCTTACTTGTAAATTTTTACTTCAGATCTTTTTAAAAAGAAATAAAACATTACAGAATTAAAATATCTCATGTCCTCACACCAGTCCTGTTCCCCTCCCTCCCTCCCCAGAGCAACCCTATGATGGTTTCCATGTGTCCCAGTTCATGTCTTTATATTTTCACCACACATGAATGTATTGATAAACAATATATAACATTTTTCCATGTTTTTAAATTTGTTTCAAAAAATGTATCATCCTATACATAATATTCTGCAACTTGCTTTTATTGCTCAAAATTGTGTATTCTAGATCTAGCTATATTGATATATGTAGATTGGCTCCATGCCTTCTAGTTGCTGTACAGTAATTCATCATACAGACTTATTTGTTTTACTCATATCCTCAATTGTGGGCATTTTGTGGTTTCCATTTTTTTTTTGTTTCTATAAGCAGTATTTATAAAACATGTACAGGAATTTCCCTAAGATATAACCTAGAAGAGGAGAGTTCAGTCATGGGTACAAGTGTTTGCAATTTTATTAGATGTTACCAAAATTGTTCTCTAAAATGGTTTTTCCTACCTGCTGAATTCCTGTTTCCCTATATTTTCACCAATACTTTGTATTGTTGTGATTTTCTGTTTTTACCAAGCTAATAATGTGCAATTGAATTTCCTTGTTTAAACCAAATACTCTCACTTACTGTTGAGGCCCAGACATCTTTTCATAGGTATATTGGACATTCAGGGTTCTTCTGTGAATTGTTGGCTTATAGTCTTCATTTTTCTATTGGAATCTTTGTCCTTTAAAATAATGACTTAAAGAAATTCTTTATATTTTTTGAATATTAATCCTTTTTAATTTGTTTTTTACTTTTCCAGAAGTTTATAATTTTAACATTTTCCTTTATGATTTCTGACATTACTGTCTTATCTCCATACCATAAAAACATTCTCTTGAGCATTTAGGTCCTTAAGCCATCTGAAGTTTATTTTTAATTGTGGTGTGAGGTAGGGATCTAATGTTTTTGTTTTTGTTTTCCACATAGGAAGCCAACATACTTATTGAATGGTTCAGTTTGTCCACTAATTTATAACGCCTCCTTTATCATAAACTAAGCTCCATTTTATGGTGGATCTATTTCTGAGCTTTCCATTCTGTTTTACTGATCTATCTGTCTATTCCTGCTCCACCCACCCCCACCTGGCTTCAGCTGAGACTGTCACATAAAACCCATGGCTTTCTATCCTGACTCCCATGTCCAACATCAGCCTCCCCAGTTTTGCCCCACACACGTCTACTAGACCTATCTTTCCAAGAGTCATCATTGCCTAATTTATTGCATGCCCACTGTATGCTAGGCAGCATGCCAACTACACATGCATTATTCATTTGTTTGTCACTGCCCTGTAAGTCAATGCCTATTTTGCCAATCCGGACATCAAGGCTCAGAAATTGAGTAACTTTCCCATGTCACACAGTTAGTAAAAGACAAAGTAGAGACTGGAACTCAGGTCTGTCTCCAAAGTGTTGGTGGCTCTCCAGTTTCATTTTCCAGCATTCTCTACCTCTACAATCTGTCCATCTGTAAAATGGGGATATTCATCCCTCCCTCTCAGGGTTGTTATAAGAATTGTGTGAGATTAGATATGTGAAAGCACTTAGCACAATGCCTAGCCCATAGTAAGTATTCAATAATCATCAGCCAAATTTGAATAAGAAGCAGGCAGCAGTTGCTAAAAGTTTTCTTAAAAAGTCAAACCTTACCCCAGCCCATTTATCCTGGCTTTAGAATCCCAGCAGGAGATGAGTGAGTCAGTGGGGGTGAGTGCTTAGGGATAGAAATAATCTTTGGATCGCTCCCCCTTCCACTCTTCTTCTGGTTAGAGGCTCCCAAGAGCAACAGGAAGGCCAGAATATGGGAAGCTGATGAGGATAGGAAACCCTTAGAAATCATACTGAGTCCCTGCTGAACCTCAGAGGCTGCAGGCCAACTGCTGTTCTGAAGTTCTGGACTTGCACAGCAAGCCTGTCTACTGAATGGCCATCACGACCCAGATTTCACATCTCCAGGTACCTGGGGCTGGAGCGGGGTTTCTTCCTCCCTGTTTGGGCTGCCTGGACTAAGGCTATAGCCAGAGTCTCCTTCTCTTTAGTGACTGCCATGTCAACAAGGCAACTGTAGACCTCCCTCAGAGGAGGCAGGTGAAAGAAGACAGCCTTTCGGGGCAACTCTCTGGCTAATGGGAAGCACATTGATGAAGGAAGCCGACTGACTTGAAAAATCCAGCACCAGCATGCAGGCTGCCTTTAAGGCTGGAGGATTATGGCCACTTGCAATTTTCTTGCTAATTAAAGTTTTCATAGGAAAAGCAAACACATATCTACACATGTATGTATGAACTTGCACGCTGATTGTATTTCAGAAGCAGTGGGCTGAATGCTTTGGTTGCTGGCTTTCTTTGACTCCACCACTCACATCTGCGCTGTGTCATTGACAGCTCTGGCCATGGCCCCAGGGCACTCTGCAGGGGTCAGAATAAACAGAGAAAAACAGCAGTGGGGAGGACAGCACACTCTCTCCCTTGTTTGACTTGGAACTCCTGCCTGAGTCTTGCAAGAAGCAATATGTTGAATTTTAAAAGAGGTGAAAACTACGTCAGTTACTGAGAGAGAAATCTGAAAGAGCTATAGCCTATCTTCCTTTGCTGGGATCTGGCCTGGGGTATGGAGGCAGGTGCTCACTGCCACGGGAGTCCTCTGGAAACTGACTTACTTGGAAAGGGCAGGACTTCTCGCTGAAACAGTCTCTGCAGTTTCTCAAAAGTGGGTGGGGATCCTGGGCCCCCATAACATGTCTACATGGTTAAGAAGAATGAGACATCCAACCAGCATTTAGGATTGCAGAGATTTGAAGGAGAAGCAGTTCATTATAGGATCATAAAGGGGCCCCCGTTCCTTGACATGCTAACATGGGAGCACACAGGTTCCCACACAAACCCCTAACACATGGCAGGTGACTTGCATATGCACCCACACCTCCATGGACATGTCCAGGGTTAGGTTAGGTCAAATCTAGGGAATGGCAGCTGCAACCAAACCTATGTCTCCTGCATTCACAAAAGCGTGTCAGAATGAAGGTAAGTTCCAGTAATGTAACAGCAAAGGAACTCACAATTATCATGCTTGATTGTTTGTCACAGATGAACTGTGATGGTGCCATCACATCTGATGGTGCCATCTTGGAGGCAGCAGACCTGATTTCCAGCCCTGGTCCTGGCTGTAACTTGGTGACCTTACGTAGGCCTTCTCGGAACATTGAGCTCTTCATCTGTGAAAGAGTGAGGTTGGGGCTGATGGCCTCAAGGGCACTGGCATAACTAACATTCTCTAGGTCAAGCTCCTATTGTACTTTGCATCACTGGACATGTCTGAGATCCCTGGAAATGAGGATGTACCAGAATTTCCAACTCTCTCGCTATTCCTGCTGGGTCCTGCAACCCTTCTCCAGTGGAAGTTTTCTGCTCCCTTGATTGCCAAATATCCTCTTAATCTCCATCCCTTCCCCCTAATATTCTGTCCTCAGGAAAGGATGTGATAATTGTGTGCCCACTAAGTATCAATTACTAAAGCAGGAGGAAGAATTACCTTTTAACAGAATGAAGCTTTGAACCAAAGGAGTGAAGCCCTAATTGCATAATTGCAGCTGGTGAGTTGAAGGGGAAGGTATTTGGGAGTTAGGACCCTAATTACATAGATGCCTATCCTATTGCTGAAGCCTAAAACGCTACCATTAGCAACTAAGTTCTTTTACTATTAAGGATCTTCTCCCCACAAAAGCAATGTATTAAGATTCAGCAGTCATTTAAGGCCTTGGTAGGAGGGAGTTTTTTGGATCTTTTTTTGTGTATTTTTAATACGGGGGTTCAGGGGAGGTGAGTGTGAAGGCTGGGCAGAAGGCTAGGTGGTTTAGCAGCTGGAGGATGTAAGATGAATGTCCTGAAGGGGAAAAAAACAAAGGGCAGGCCTGGGATTCCAGAAAATAAGTTTCATGTGCCCTACAATTGTGATGAGGGTCTGCCTTGCACTGGGAGCTCCCTTGCAGGGAGGAGGAGGGGCCCAATAAAGAAATCAGAAGGAATTCTAGACATGTTAGAGCAGTGCAGGCCTCAGTGATAAAACAAGAGGCTCTGTTGAGTCACTCCATGGAGACGGGAAGTACCCCCACCCAAAATTTTGTTCAAATGTTAAGACTGATGACACCACCCATGCACCAAGAGGGTATTAAAAAGGTTTATTGCTCAAGTAATGAGGTTTTCTAGGGAGAGCAGGGCAAGCTCCCAAGCACATCTGAAATGTGGCTTGGGCTTTCATGGTGCCTATGGTGTGGGGATGGGGTGAGGGTTCCTGCGTGTGGGCAAAGGTTTATGTGTTGTGTGGCTTCAATTCCTGCTAGTGCTAAAGGAAGGTGAGCCCAGGCATTCTCACCCACCTGCACAGATATGGGGCAGAAGGGGTGGGATGGATGGGGCCTCACAGTCAGACATCAAAAATGGGATTTTGATTTTTTTTTTTTTTTTTTTTTACAAGCTGGGAAGCAGCAACAGATCCAGTTTGTCTCTAAGGCCCATCAAGCCTCTCCCTAACACCAGTAGCCCCCGGGAACCCTGGGCCTCCCAGGTCTTTAATGTTTGTTGGGTGGGGGCTGAAGTGACTTCAGCATTCTCAGGCCAGTGGACCAGGAACTTTCATTCTTTTAGGAACTAGAGAGGCCTGTTAAAAATATATCCTAACTCCACAGACCCCCTGACCTCTGCAGTGTGTGTGTGTGTGTGTGTGTGTGTGTGTGTGTGTGTGTGTATCCTTAGAGAACACTGGCTTTAACACTGATCCCAAGCTTCAGAGTCTTGCATAATGAAATGACTGGGCATCTTAATCAGAACAGACTCATCTTATGCCTGAAAAGCCGAAATATGCTAGAGAGGACTGGGTGGTAGCTCCATAGGTAAGGACCATCATCTCCCGGCTACTCAGCAAGTGCACATAAACCCAAGGATGAGTAGGACTAAAACCAAGAAGACACAGTGGGGTGTCAGCACAAATGTGTGCCAGCCTTCTGAGCTGGACTCAGGGGCCCACATCATCCAGGAATGCTGACATTACCTCTCTTGTTCTTGGAACCAGCTTCCCTTTGCATAAGGTTCAGAGCCAGATAAAATGTAAGCTTGTCTACTTAGAGTCACAGTTTTGAAATTGTAAATGGTATCAAGGAGATGAGGTCTTGGGATCCAAACAAGTCAGGTTAAATCCCATCTGGATGATCTTTGGTTGTTTTCTTTACACCCGAGTCTCAGTTTCCTCACCTGAAAAATGCAGATGCTAGGACCATACAAAATATTGTAAAATGTAGGGGTATTATATGTGAAAGACTTTGCCTAGAGTAGGCACTTAACACTTACACTATATTTTAGGAAAGAGATTGGGAGCTCTGGTAAGATCTCAGACCACTGGACCCAAAATGTTCCTAGGATGTTGAAGGTCCCAGAGGAGCACCCAGGACAGAAAAGAAACAAAACTTACTACATTGTTACATGGTTGTTTGTGCCTGCAGGACAAGACTTGATCTTGTTATTCATTGCATCCCCAGGGCCCAGCCTAAAGCCACTTGTGTAGTAGGTGCTCAATAAACATTTGCCGAACTGGTGAAGTGGTAACTGGTTTATCCATCCCTCTGATCCCATCCAGTAAGGACGAGAAAGAGAAATTAACACATATCAAATACTTGCTATGTGTACTTCCCTGTACATAACATAATTTCACTCTCACAACACTGAGTTAAGTATTTATGGTCCCATTTTAACAGATGAGGAAAACCGAGGCTCCAAGAGCTTTGAAATAATACTCCTAAGGTTAACTAGCTAGTGAGTGCTGGAGCAGGGCTTTCATTCGAAAGCACATGTTCTTTGTAGGCTGCTGGATCGCAAGTGCAGTAGGAGAAAGCACAAGGGCGGTACATCAGAGGGGAGCCAGCAGCAGGAATGTCACTCTGATATTTTCTTCTTCAAACATTCAACTCTCCTCAACCAAAACACTTCCCAGATGCTTCCAGGACCTGGCAAGTCTTCAGTCACAAAGCTAGGGATAGTCCCCACACCTGCAGGAGAACAGAACTTTAGAGGCTGACCCCTCAAGATTATGCTTTTTAACTTGTCTAAGGGCCACTGCTGGAACCTTCGTCTCAGTTGCATTGAGGGCTCTAGGGCCACATGAGACAGTACTTTTACCCTATACCAAGTCCTAGGACATAGGACATGGTGGTGTTATGGCTTGAATTGTCTCTCCCCAAATTGCGTGTTGAAGTCTGAACCCCTAGTACCAGTGGAAAGTGACCTTATTTGGAAATATGGTCTTTGCAGATCTAATCAAGTTAAGATAAAGTCATACTGAGTGGGATCAGGGGGAGGGGGGTCCTTAAACCGAATATGACTAGTGCCCTTTTAAGATGAGGGAAATGTGGACACAGACACCCACACAGGGAGAACACCATGTGAAGACAGAGGCAGAGGTTGGAGTAATGCAGTTGCAAGGCATGGAATATGAAGGATTGCCAGCTGCCATCAGAAGCTAGGCAAAGGCAAGGAAAGAGTCTCAGACTCTGGGTCTTAGAGGGAACATGGCTTGCTGACACCTTCATTTCAGACTTTTAGCCTCCAGAACTGTGGGAGAATCCATTTCTGTTGCTTTAAGCCACTCAGTTTGCAGTACTTTGTTAAGGAACCCTGGGAAACTAATGCAGAGGGCTCTTCAGGGCAGCCTCCAAGTTCCAGAGCCTTATGCCTCAGCCATCAGCTGGGGAGGCCCGCAGACTCCAACAGCCAGGACGCCACAGCTCCCCGGCCCCTCCACCCACTCCTGTGAGACGACGCAGACTTCAGCTCCAAACCCAGCTCTGCCCAGTGGGGTTTTTTGTTGTTATTTTTCCTAGGCTTTTCTACCTGAACACCCAGTGGTTTTTTGTTTTTTTTTTTCCCCTTAACTCTTGGCTCTGAACATCCTTCACTGACGTGAGAGATAATACAAACAGCTTTCTGTTAACATAAGCACCAACATCCTCGCTACTATTTATCCACTTCCACATTGTAGGCAGAGGGTCCAGAACATTGGCTCCGCTTCAGTCTGGGGAACAGAGGCTCTGGAGACTTTGTGCTGTGCACCAGGAGGAGGCAGAGCAGGATAATGAGAAGAGCATGGGTTGTGAACTCTAACAATTCACAGTCTAGCGCTGCTCCCTTCCAGCTGCGTGGCTTTGGGAAAGCGCTTGGTCTCTAAGCCTGGTGTCCTCATTTACAATGTGAGAAAAATAACACCATGCCCTGAGGTTATGATGAGAATTGAATGAGATAATGTGCATGAAGTAACTGATAAATATTATCAGTCTTACTCTGGTTATAATGGTTGCTATTATTTCTTCTTTATAATTAACTTCCCTGAAATGGAATTTCACCATGAATTAAAGCACTGTAGGAGGGGAAAGACAGAGAGAGTCAGATGAGGGGAAGGAAATTCGTTGGGTCTGCCCAGCCTATATTGTGATTATTTGAGAACAGCCCCTCCCACCAGAGTTGGTGCTCCATAAATGGCAGTTATTATTCTTGCTTTTTTTGTGATTGCTGTTTATGAGTTTCTGTTTTTGAGCCATATCAGTGCCCTTAACATCTCCTTCTGTGTCCGAGCCAGATGATTGGATCTTTTCCCCAATCTCTACCCTCCTGTAACAGGATTCTAGATCCACATTCTTTTCCATGTAAAGTGCATTTCCTCCCACCGTGGGCAGAGTGTGCTTTCTACATGACTTGGTTTGGCCAATGAAATGTCATCAGTCATGACATTTACTTATGGTCTGGCTTATTCTCTTACATTCCTGATAATGTCTATTGAACATGTGTGTGCTGGGCATTGAGCTAAATGTTCTTACTGGATCATCACAACTGTGTAAGGCAGGTACTATTTTCATGCCAGTTTTTAGATTAAAAACTGAGGCCTAGAGAGATAATTAACTTGCCCCAAGTCACACTGTAATGGACCCAGGACTGAACCCAGGCAGTCAGCTTGCCTGACCATGTCGCTTCACCATGCTGCCTCACCGCTGGAGGAAGGTGGTAGAAATTCCTTCTGCCCAAAGACACAAAAGGTAATATCTGCTTCTTTTCTTTCCTTTTTTTTGTGAATGTCTTATATAACTTATCCTGTCATCCTTATGACCACACAGGAGTTTTATAGATGAGGAAACAGGATCAGAAAACCTAAGTGGCTTGCCGAAGTCACACAACTAGTAAGTAGCAGAGATGGGATTTAATCTCAGATTTTGAATATTGGACTCCAAAACCTATATTCTTTCCATCTTTCCACCATACCACACTGTCTCCTCCCATTGCATATTGCTGATTTATGGAGGCCTCTGTTTTTCTAGATCTGAAATGGAATGATCAGTCTAGAATCTAAAATCTAGATACCCACCCACAATGGAGAAGTGTGAAAACAGTAGCATTCTTGTCGAGGCTTGATCAAGAGTTTATGTGAAGCAAACGTTTGTATTATATTTCAGAAGCGTGATGAAGGGAACGTTTTACAGGTTTTAGAAAGTGCAGAAGGTTGAGGATCAGTGAAGATCAAGCACTGGAATGAAAAAGCATCCTGGGAGAAGCATGGCAGAGATGCAGGCTGTCTGGTCTGAACAACTGAGGGGTGGGTACAGGTGAGCTAAGCTGATCTGGCCATGGAAAGAGGCCGTCTGTCTAAGCCAACAGTCCAGGTACCAACCACTCATATCTGGTGGCTTTACAGAATGGAAAGCCAAGGCCCAGGCATTAGATAGAGTGCCCGAGTTCCCTTCCAACCCATTTATTCTACAAACATTCACCAGATAAGCCAGGCAGTCTGAAACATTAGTTCAAATGTGAACATTGATTTCTGGCAGTAGCTTAGCCCTGCACATGGCAGTGGACTATGTGCACTGTGTACCTGGCTAAACACTTTAGTAAATAGATCCTTCCTGCCTTTGGGTGCAGTCAGTCCTGGAGAGCAAATGCTTCTTCCTCAGGAATTTTGCATGCAGTGTGTGAAAAACATCAGCTAAAACAGATCCAAGGCTGCAACTAAACCTTCTCCTAGAATTTAGCTCTCTACCATGGATGTGGGAAGAACTCAGGATATATTAAGTAAAATAAGTACTGTGTAAACTACATTTCATGAGAATGCAGGAGAAAATGAAAATAATATCCAGATTTCCTTGTATATACATAAAGATACTCTGGAAGGATACATGAGAAGCTAGAGGGGCTAGAGAAGGTTGGTAGGAATGGAATAAATGGAGGTCAGGGTGGCAGGAAGACCCTATTACATACCTTAAATTTTTTTATTTTCAAAATTATTAGGCTGGGCATGATGGCTCACACCTGTAATCCCAGCACTTTGGGAGGCCAAGGTGGGAGGATCACTGGAGCCGAGGAGTTCAAAAATAGCCTGGGCAACATAGTGAGACCCTGTGTCTACAAAAAAACAAACAACAAAAAAAAAAACTATTAGCCAGGCATGGTGGCTCATGCCTGTAGTCCCTGCTACTTGGGAGGCTGAGATGGGAGGATTGCCTGAGCCCAGGAGGTTGAGGCTGCAGTGAGCCATTATCATGCTACTGTACTCCAGCCTGAGTGAGAGAGCAAGAAGCTGTTTCCAAAACAAAAAAAAAACAAAAAAAAACAAAAAAAAAAACCTATTATACTTAGCTAGTGCAATAAGACAAGAAAAAGAAATGGAAGGCATACAGGTTGGAAAGGAATAGATAAAACTCTCTGTCTTCAGAGATGGCATGAATATCTACCTAGAAAATTCCAAATTATTTAAAAACTGATCCTTTCTTGGAGACCCTTTTGTAGAGTAGAATTTTAACATACAGATTCATTTAATACTACTATAATCAGGATACTGAACTGTTTCATCACCTGTAAAAGCCCTGCTGTGCCCTTCCTTTATAGTCACTGCTTCCCCAGGCCTTAATCCCTGGAAACCACTGATCTATTCTCCATTCTAATAATTTTGTCTTTTCAAGAATGTCATGTCAATGGAATCATGTACTATGTACCCTTTTGCAACTTTTTTTTTTTACTCAACATAGTATCTTTGCATTCACCCAAGTTGTTGCATGTACCAAAAGCCCATTCCTTTTCATTACTGAAAACTCTTCCATTGTATGGATTATAGATGCAACACAGATGTCCTTCTTTCATCTACTGGAGGACATTTGGTTTGTTTTCAGGTTGGGACAATTATAAATAAAGGTACTTATTATATGATATTATAAATATTCATGTATAGGTTTTTGTGTATGCATACATTTTTATTTCTCTGGAGTAGATACACAGGGGTGGGGTTATTGGGATGTAAGTATATGTTTAACTTCATGAAAAACTGTGAAACAACTTTTCACTGGGGCTATCCCATTTTGCATTCCCACCAGCAATGTATGAGCATTTTAGTTGTTCCATATCCTTGTCAGCACTTGGTGCTATCAGTATATATTTCTAGAGACATTCTAACAGGGGTTGTAGTGGTATCTTGTAGTGGTTTTAATTTGTATTTCCCTAATGGCTAATTTTATCAAGCATCTTTACATGTGTGTATTTGTCATTTTTATTTCCACTTTGGTGAAATGTCTGTTAATGTCTTTTGCCCATTTTAAAACTGGGTTGTTTGCTGTCTTACTGTTGAGTTTTGAGAATTCCTTCTATATTCTGGATACAAGTCCTTTGTCAGATGCGTGATTTGCAAATATTTTCTCCTAGTCTGTAGTTTGGCTTTTTGTTCTCTTAGCTGTGTCTGTCTCAGAGCACAAGTTTTCAATTTTGATGAAGTCCAACTCATCATTTATAAAAAAGATTATATTTTAATACCATGTCTAAGGGCTCATTGCCAAACCCAAGGTCGCATAGATTTTTTCCTATGTTTCCTTCTCAAAATTTTTTAGTTTATGCATTGCATTTAGATTTATGTTCTGAGTTAATTTTTGCTTAAGGGCTGATGTTTAGATGGAGATTCAGCTTTTGCATATAGATATCCAATTGTTCCATCTACTCTAAAGGGAAGAGAATGTACGTTACTTAACTTCCCTCCCAGTACAAAGATATTTAGAGTTCAATGGAAAACGTATGTTTATAACTTAAGAGTGAAATATCTCTTAAAAAATATCCAACATCCAATTGCTTGCAATTAACTTGGGTGAGAGTGTATGATTTGTGAGGAATAGATGTAACCGGTAGCCAGGAACCTGGGTTAAATGTCTCATAACACCATGTTTTATAACATATGACTCAATGATCTTCAACCTATTTTGCTTGTTGATTCCTTAACTTTGAAAAATAAACTTTTACCATTGACATCTTTTCCTTCTTTCTTTTGCCAGTCTCACCACACTGGGCTCTTTGGTGTTCCTTGAACATGCTGGGCACGTTCCTTCCCTCTTTCAGGGCCTTGCATTACCTGGAAGACTCTTCTTCCAGATATCTGCTAATGCTGTCATTTTAGACATCAACTTCTCAGTGAGGCCTAGCCTAGCCATGTTAATGAACACAGCAATCAATTCCCCTTAACCTTATCTACCTTCCCTCCCAGCACCTCTCATCCAATAAGGTGATATGATACTCACCAGCACCCATTTAAAAAATGCATCAACATTGCTATTTGTTAGGAGTCAGAATCTTATATTAATTCTTTTTCCCCTTGATTTTATATTTGAATTTCACTTCTTCGGCAGAATTTAAATTTTATGTAATTTATTTTATGCATGGAAGTTTTTATATTAACTCTGTAATATTTATTTGCAGCCAAATAGAAATTTCAATACATTATTTTTAGGAACCATAAAGTTCCAAATGTTAAACATTTTCTTCTGAATTGAATTATTGAATTATTATTATAATATTAATAGTAAATGTCTAATTAAAGACAAATATATTATAAATTTTCATAATAATTATACTAAAAACATTCATTGAAAATATAAGAAAAAAAAACCTCATGCACAACTTCTGTGTCCTGTTAAACCATCCAGCACTGTGAGCACTGGAAAAAGTAATTTGGGGCACTTCCCTCTTATGGGCCAATAGGTTTAAAGGCCCACACCCAACTCTGCCATCCTGAGAGCTGCTTCTTGCTTTCTCAGGCTGGGGCAGTTCCAGCCTCTTGGTGGTAATCAGCAGGGACATGGACAAGGTGTGAGTCTCAGGGACTTCCAGCCTCAGCCACTCCCCTGTAGTCGAGGCTTTGCAGAATGTGGATACTGCAGGCCTCAGGGAGGGAAACGTGTTTCTTTAGCAGCTAGTAAGGTTGAAGCTCCACTGCTCTCTCCTGCCTCTTGTGGGGAAGCCGTGAATGCAGGGACATAAGAGTAGAGGCTCTGCCCCTACCTGCCAGGTGCCCAGTTGACTTCAAGAGGTGTCTCCAGCAGTGCCACATACAGTCATATCTCCTTCAGATCCAGAGGAGAGAGGAGGAAAAGAAGCAAGACAGCTTCAGAGAGAACACGGGTTTAAGAATGAGTTGTGTTTCACTGAACTCATTTAGGAAACAATGGATTTAGATGGCAAGAGGTTACGGGGGAACCGAGGAACTGACCCCACAGCCCCATTCACATCCAGCTAAGACATCACCCTGAGGTCTGTTCCTTTGCAAGCATCCACCTTTCTCTACAGTCAAGAGCTGAACAAAGACCTCCAGCACTTGGCTTCTTGAAGAGTTACTTTGTCACCTTTTTAAATGCCTCAGAACACTCTACTTGCCTCTCTTTCTACTAGCTTTATCCTATACGTTTCAGGATCAATGTCATTCGGTGGTTAAGACTTAGGTCTCAGAGTCACACAGATCTGGGCTTATACTGTAACTGTGCTGCTTACTGTCTGTGTGACTTGGGCAAATTATTTACATTTCCTAAGCTTTGATTTCCTCATCTCTAGGATGGATAAAAGAATAGTATTTGGATTGTGAGTATATGAGGAATGTGTGCAAAGCACTTAACATACTGCCTGATACACAGTGTGAATACGTGTGAATAAATGATAGCTGTTTTTATCAACCTCCTCTCCGCCTTCTCTTCCTCCCCGCTTCCTTATCATCATCATGATTATTATTAATTTCAGGCTCCAGTCCCTTCTCTGGCTGCTTTCATATTGGAAGGGCCCAGGATGCAAACACCACTGATCCAGCATCACCTGCAAATATCTGTCCTGCCTACAAAACACAACTCTCCACATGGCCCCTCCCTCATCATGAAGCATCTCTTCACCAGATGGGCTTTGGCCTCCTTGATCCCCATGGGCCTTTTGCAATCCTTTCAAAGCTCAGAAATAATTAATAGTATGAAAACCCCACTGAGAACCCTGTGGTGTTTGGGGTGGGGAGGAAGCTAGGGCAGACCCAGGGTCCCAGGAAGTTCCAAGCCTTGGCTGCTGGAGGCACCAAGGATCCCAGGTCTGTGGGTTCACTTGATGTCGGTCTCAGATAATCTGCTTCTCACCTAGCTCAGATGGGGGTTAGGGGAAGCATGGTTTGGGTAAGCCAAGCAATTCAAGGGTTAATACCTAAGAGGTCTCCAGAATCATTAAAGGCTCTGAATTCTCAGTGGCTGAAAAGCTCCTGCAAGGAAAAATAACCTTCGTGAAAATATGTTAAACTCAAAAGTTGATTTATTATACTCCCAACAACGGACTGATCTGTTTGCTTAAGTGCCCTAAGTATAGCAGCTAAAGTTCACAAGCACTATTTGACCTTTACAGAATAATTAGCTTAAAACAATTATTAGCACGTTTCTTTTCAGGCTCTGTAGTATTAGATAATGCAATCACTCCACTCAAAAACTTTGTTCTTTATTGTTACTTCAAATCAGCCAAATGTTGCAGAAACCTACACCAGGCTCACAGATTGCTCCCACACTGTGCTGACCATCTTGGTTTGCAATGACCTGTGGTGCAGCTTGGAATCCTCCCCAACCCCACTCCTTCTTCAAGTGCTCAGGGACTAGAGGACCGGACACAGCAGATCCAGAAGTCACAGGTGCAGGGTCACCCACAGCACACTCTCCTCCCCAGGATAATCAGACCCTTGAGATCTTTCATTCTTAAAACAAAATTATTATAAAAGGCAACATGTGTTCATTGTAGAAAATTGGAAATACACAGAAAAGCAAAATAGAACTACCATATGATCCAGCAATCCCACTTCTGGGTATTTATCCAAAAGAATTGAAATCGGGATCTTGAAGAGATGCTAGAACTCCCATGTTCATTGCAGCACTATCCACAATAGCAAAGATATGGAAACAACACAGATGTCCGTAAACAGAGGAATGGATGAAGAAAATGTGGTAATTACATACAATGTAATATTGTTTAGCCTTAATAAAGGAGGAAATTTCACAATATGGGACAACATGGATGAATCTTGAGGACACCATGCTAAGAGAAACAAACAAATCAAAGAATGACAAATACTGTGTGATTCCACTTTATGAGGTATCTAAAATAGTCAAATTCATAGAGTCAAAAAATGGTGGTTACCTGAAGCTGGGTAGGGTTAGGGGGTGGTGCAGATGTGGAGTTACTAATTAACAGGTGTAAGTTTTCAGTTAAGCAAGGTGAATACGCTCTACGTTCCTCTGTACCCACAGTCAACAATAATGTATTGTACACTTATTACGGGGATAGAAATCATGTTAAGTGTTCTTACCACAATAAAATAAATTTTAAAAAGGAAAAGCAAAAAATAGAAAATACAGCTCACAATCTTATTACCCAGAGATAACCACCGATAACACTTTGATGTCATCTACTTACCTTTTTATAAACTTTTAAAAAATCCTCTATTGTAGGACACTCAAGTGATGTTCAGCGTCCTGTTAAGCAATTCTTTGCTGAAACTAACATTTTTTCTCACATCTATTATTACCTTAGAATAGATGTTATTTCGAGGAATGCTATTTCTGAGTCAGAGTCTGCACATTTTAAAAACTTTGTATTCAAGTTGGCCTCCAGAAAAATCCTATTTACTCTTCTTTCAGCAATGTATGGATTACCTGTTTTCCTCAGACCCTCACTAGTACCAGAAATTGTAACTTTTTAAAAAGGTGATAGTTTAATCCATGAAAAATTTGCATTTCTTTGATTATTAGAAAAGTTGAGCATGCTTTCATGGGATTTTGGGTCCTTTGCATTTCTTCATTTGTAAATTACCTGTTTATGTCTGTTGTTCATGTTCTCATTGGGTATTCTTTATCATTTTCTTGTAGGTTATCTTATAACAAGAAAGTCAATCTTCTTTCTATCACATAAGTTCCAAATACTTCCCTCAGGTTGTTGTGTTTATTTTATTTTAATTAATTAATTTCTCTCTCTCCTTTTTTTTTTTTTTTTTTTTTTTTTTGAGATAGTTTCACTCCTTTTTCCCAGGCTGGAGTGCAATGGCGCAATCTCGGCTCACTGCAACCTCCACCTCCCAGGTTCAAGTGATTCTCTTGCCTAAGCCTCCTGAGTAGCTAGGACTACAGATGCCCACCACCATGTCCGGCTAATTTTTGTATTTTTAGTAGAGACGGGGTTTCACCACGTTGGCCAGGCTGGTCTCAAACTCCTGACCTCAGGTGATCCACCTGCCTCAGCCTCCCAAAGTGCTGGGATTACAGGTGTGAGCCACCACATGTGGTCTATTGTGTGTATTTTAATTTTACCATTTTGTTGACCCACATTTTTACTCCAGGGGCCCTGAGATCTGCATTTCCACCCTGTGATGGGGCTCCTACCACTTCTTTCAATCTTAACTGTAGATTCACTTCACTGATCATTTAATTGATAGCTCTGGATCAATTTCCTTTTCCATATTTAATCCGGGCATTAAACAGACATACGTGACTCATTTGCCAGGTGCAGGCACTTGGGTTAGGGGATAGAGCAGATTAATTCTAGTCCGCAATGTCTCCTGTGAGGTTCGGGAGAAAAAGCCTGGTGGGAAACCACAGGGTTGGGAGTCAGTTCTTAGGGAATGGCTACAGCTCTGTGCTGGGCATTTTGTCTATTGTCCGTCACTTAACTCTCACACCTTTTGAGGTAGGTGTTACTGTCCCCATTTTACAGATGAGTACATGGAGGCTAAAAAAGTTTCACTCACTTAACCTAAAGTCAACCAGTTGTTAAGCAGCAGAATAGGATCCAGCCCAGTGCTCCCTGCCCTCTACCCAGGCTCTGGGGATGGTGCTTGCAGCAAACTTGAGGCCAATGAAGGTGAATGAGGTGGTCATGTAGATACATGGCTGGATCCTACCTTTATTTCAAAGTTTGATATTTTGTACATCATAGATTTTTCCATTCATTTTGCTTTTTAAAATTAAATTGCATTAAAATATTATTTATCTTGAGTGTTGAGTTTTTTGTCACCTCCCCCCACTTAAATTTTGTGCCCAAGAGATTGTTTTATTTACCTCACTCTAAAGGGGAAGGACCTCCATCCTTTTCAAAGAAAAATAGTTGGGGACCTAGGAGGTGGTGGGCTGGGGAGCTGAGTGCAGACTGGGGCAGGAGCCCTGGGTGGAGACACACTGCCACGGTGACCCTTCCTGGCTCTGTGCAGCAGGCTGGCCTTCTGCGTCTCTTGTTTTATCAGCAGCAGATATGCTTCTCCCTGCCTGAGAAGCAGGCCTGGAAAGTGAACCTGGTGCTCCATTTGCCTATTTTTGGAGTTCTTTAGAAGAAAGGTCTTCCACACAAATGCACATGATTTTGACGTTTGCTGATGAGCAGCATTCTAAATTATCGCAGTGTACATAACATTTTGTTTAAAAGGCACACTTCCTTCCCAGCCCAGGGTCCCAGAAGGCAGAGGAGGTCAGAGGAGACATTCCCAGCCCCAGGGTGGTGAGAGAAAAAGCCTTCCTTGTTCTCTCAGGCTGTCTCCTCCAGCCCAGAAACAAGTCTTGCCAGGGGTGGTCTGTGTTCTAAGATTGGAGGCGGGGGGAGCCTGCTTTTTTAGCTCTCAGACTTGAGAGACCTGCCCGGGCTGCTCCATGAGGTGGGGTCTGCCTGGTATCCCCACATTCTAACCAGATTCCCCATCTGAAATACTCCCACTCCCCTGCCTGGAAAGCGGCCTGACAGCTCATCACATTCCTGCCTGCACCGTCCACTCCAGCGGCCACATGACTGAGGGGAAAAGGCAAGAAACCCGATTCCTGAAACTGGGCCCAACTGATACGGCCGGTTCCTGGAATCCCAGCAAAGAGGCGGCCGGCTGGGGTGGGGACCAGCCTTCCCAGGGCTTGGGCTCCGTCCTGCATGGCAGCGTTTCAAAGTCCAGGCAGGCCGCAGCTGGGCCGCCTGCCTCCCACAGAAGAGGAAAGAAATCCAGGCCCCAAGGTCCCCTCCTTACTCTGGGAACCTTCTCTGTGCCACAGCGTGAGGGCTCTGCCTGCTCCTAGCCTCCCCCTAACAGAGCCCATTCTGCCTTGGCTCACAGGTGCCTGTGTTCTTACTTGCTTCGAAGGGTTAGAATCTTGTCAGCAGGGAGTTTGTCTCATTCATCCTTAACAGCAATAACTGCCATTTGCTGAGCAATTTCTACTTGTCTTCTGTGCTCCTTGTCCTGGGAGATAGGCAATTCTTTTCATTGTCATTCTACAGATAGGGAGGCAAGCTTCAAGAGGTCAAATAACTTGCCCAAAGTCGCCAGTAGGTGGCCAAGTCAAGATTTGAGCCTGTGTTTTATGAAAGCCCATGCATTGAATCCTCAAGCCAGGCATTTCAGACATCAGGGCTCACAGGTGTCAGACTAGATGTATAAATGAGAGACATGGAACAGGCAGGATCTATTATAGAATAGCAGGTGCATGTCTGTCTGAGGGAGCAGCTGCTCCAACCTTCGAGCTGATTTTGCCTCTTGTGAATACTGGCTCACCGTGGCCAAATGGATTTTTTAAGAATAGCCTGAGATCCACATTTCTAGGTGAAACGTCCTGATTTTAAAATTTGGGTAACTAGTTAAAAGTAAAAGCAAAGCAAAGCAAAACAAAACAAACACTATGTGGGCTAAACAACAGAAGTCACTGGGTCAGATATAGCCCATAAGCCAGCAGTTTAAAAATTCTGTACCACGTAGTTGTACCATGTTGTGCTCTGTGCATATTAGGTGTGTAGTGAATGTTTTTTGCTTTAAAGTAAAACCAACCTTACTTCTAGGAACATCTGTATCTACAGGAGGAAAAACGTACAGTCTCAGATATTCCCAAGGATGTACAATTTTGAATGATCAGTGCAGATGTTGCCTTCCAGGGCAACAGATGGTCATCAAATGCACATATAGACCAGGCTAGTGTATTAATGAGATGCTCTAAGATGGATTCTCCTCCCACATATCCAGGTGAGACCACATCGTTAGAAGAAAGACACATTCACATGTGGCTTGGCCCAGCAAATGAGGCAGGAGAATAGAGATTTAGGGTAACCAAGGGTTAAGGCATAAGCAAAAGAACAGCAGGTGCAGCCAGTTCTAGGCAAGATTAGGCACCATACAGGCCACATCCTCACTCATGTGATAATAAGACGTTTCCACTTTGGCCTCTGATTGGCTGTGAGCCAAGTCTCCACTACCTCTGGTCACAGGCCAATCCTTCATAAGGTGTAACCAACTGGAGGCTTCTAAAGGACACCTAGGGGTGTAACCAAATTCTTTTAGCCTAATAAAAACCCTAAAGACCATTGCAATAGGGGCTCTTGAGCTGCTTGTCCCAGCCTGCTTCCACTTTGTGGAGTGTGCTTTCTTACTCCATTCTTTTGTTGCTTTGTCTTTCATTGCTTCGTTCTTTCGTTGATTTGTTTCTGCGTTTTGTTCAATTATTTATTCAACTCTTTGTTTAACACTCCAAGAACCTGGACAACTCACTGTCAAGACCTTCCATCCAGTAATACAAAGACTTGGCCTCTGTGAACCATCCTCTTTTTCTTCCTACCTCCTACATGGGGAAGTTTCCAAGGCTCAGTCCTGAAACTTCAGCAACTCTCTCTGTCTCATCTTCCAGAAAGAAGGGATCTCAGGCCCTTTCATGGATTTGATGATCACCTCTACACCTCACCCAAGCCTAAAGCCAAGTTCTCAATCTTCCTCCCAGAATCAGGGTGCCCACCCTCCTGCTGGCCCCATGTCTGCCACTTGCACTATCATTCTTCTGCTTGGGCAGCTCCAGATCCCAGCATCATTCTTGAATCCTTTCTGCTTTCCTCCTTCAATAATCAGCCCCAAACCCTAGCCAATATCTCATTCCACCTCTCATCACGTCATACCTGGGCCATTGCTATATGCTCTTAACTGGTGTAACCGGGATAACATTTGGAAATTAGCTGAGTCCCTCCTCCACATTCCTTTCTTTCACCTTATGGCCCTCCCACACAGCAGGCATCCATCCATTGCTTCAAGGGAGGGTTGTTAAAGGCAGTCAAGTTCTTGGTTTTTGAATTTCAAAAGCCAGTCATCAGTTTTCATCATACCCCTTTTCCCCAGGAGAGAAATATTTCCCAAGCTGGGCACTGGGGAAGGTGTAAAAGGTTTGATGGGTCCCCGAGAAGAAACCCTGTTGTGCCTTCCTCCCACACCTGGGCTGAGCCCTAGATAGATTTGGAGGGTGGGTGGCAGAGGGGTTTGAGTGGGGGTCGGGGGGAGGTCGTGCAATTCAAAGCAAAGGAAACAAGTCCCATTTTCTGTGAAGGAACTCAGCACAGCCCAAGAGCTGAGCAGTAGAAATGGCTACATGGGGTGTCCGGGAAATAAGACTTTAAATGTCCTCCCAGAGTCTCCTCTGGTCCCTAAGTGGTGACAGAGAACAGCCAGATGTCCTTAAGTTCACGAGAAAGGCCTGAAAGAACTAAGGGCCAACCGAAGAAAGACCCCGGATGAAAGTGGAAGCCACACACAGCTGCAACCTCCTTGCCTCAATGACTGAGGACCTCCAGGAAGGAGGGCGTCTCAGCTGGTGCCTGAATGGGCAAATGATGACCAGGAACCTGACTCCCCTTCGCAGTGCCCCCGTCCGTCACTGTAGCCCTGCTCCAAGAGCCTGGAATTCAGACACAACTTCAGTGGGCGGGGGGAGATGCAGCAAAATCTGAACAGACAGAGATTAAATGTGTGCCCCCCACACCCTGAAAAAGAGAAAATATTTAGGAATTGTAGAAAAATCAAGTCACTATTTTTATGGCCTGAGTTTGGGTCCTGAAATTCACCAGCGCTCCTTGCCTCTTCTCCCCGTATTCCAAATGATTGTGTATTCTGTGGCTGGATTAATCTTCTTCCAGTGCCACTTCATGCTTTCATGGGTTCAGAGAATAATTATTGAACAGTTGCAATGAGCCAAGAGATGTGTTAGGGGATTAAAACTTTAAATTGAGAGTAATAAGAAAGACGAAAAATAGCATTACACCAAAATGCCATTTTTCAAGCAAAGCTCTGAAAGTTTGACAATATACTCTGTTAGGTAGGCAGTGGGGAAGCAGGCACTCAGTATATTGCAATTGGAAATGGAAAATATTACAACCCCTATAGAAAGAAATTTATCGATACCTACTAAAATGATATATATATTTGCCATTTGAACAAGTCCATCTACTTGCAAGAATCTATACCAAAGAAATATTGACAAAAGTATGAAGGGATATGTGCACAAGACAATTAATTGCAGCACTAGTTATAATAGCAAAGAATTGAAAGCAACCCAAATGCCTATCAGTAGGAAACTGGTTGAGTAAATGATGGAGTTTATTATTACTGAAATACATAATAGATTACTATGCAGCTATAAAAAGGAATGAGAAATATTTCTATATACCACTATGAAGTGATTTTAAGAACATACTATTAAAAGTGGGGAAAGGCAGAGAATACTGTTTATAGGGAAGTATTTTACCTGAGAAAGGTGAGATTATTAGATTATATATACATATTGGTTATATATTTTTTAAACGCAGGATAACAAAAACTAATAGTGGTTATATATAAAGGAAGTAGGAAATAAAACAGAAAAGCCAGGGATGCAAGCAAGACTTCCCTCAATGTACCTTGTTTTATAGACTTTTACCTTAAAACTATGTAAATGCCAGCGGGCATGGTGGCTTACGTCTGTAATCCCAGCACTTTGGGAGGCCACAGTGGGTATATCACCTGAGGTCAGGAGTTGAAGACCGGCCTGGCAAACATGGTGAAACCCCGTCTCTACTAAAAATACAAAAATTAACCAGGTGTGGTGGTGCGCAAGGCTGAGGCAGAAGAATTGCACGAACCCCGGAGGTGGAGGTTACTGTGAGCCGAGATTGTACCACTGCACTGCAGCCTGGGGAACAGGGCGAGACCCTGTCTCAAAAACGAACAAACAAACAAAAAATATGTAAATGCTTTACATAATTATAAAACAAAAATTAATTAGGAAAATGCAATTCTTAAAAATGGAAAATAAATAAAACAAGCCTAACTGTGTATCAATTTGGTGACTTACTTACATAGGGAATAGTTATTTCAAGTGACTTTAAAATACAGTAATTTGATTATATAACCCTAGTAAGATATGACATAAAGATTAAAAAAAATCTTGCATAGAAATACAAAGCGGTTTTTTCAGTTACATTGTTAATAATAATGTTTCTATTGTTATTCTAAAATATATGTGTAGTAGAACAAAGCACATAAGTTATTCACTTTAGGACCAAGGATTTTCAGAATAAGAGAAAATAGATACAAATATAAAGTCACAGAAGCTAAGTAAAAGCCACGTCATTTTAAACTTGAATTGGAAACCTAAGCATGAGTCCATGATGTATTTTCTCTTTAAAATAAAAAGTATTTCCCTTCTCTGATTAAAAGACCTAGAGACACTGGGCGTGGTGGCTTACGCCTGTAACCCCAGCACTTCGGGAGACCAAGGCAGGCAGATCACCTGAGGTCGGGAGTTGGAGACCAGCCTGACCAACATGGAGAAACCCCGTCTCTACTAAAAATACAAAATTAGCCAGGCATGATGGTGCATGCCTGTAATCCCAGCTACTCAGGAGGCTGAGGCAGGAGAATCGCTTGAACCTGGGAGGCAGAGGTTGTGGAGATTGTGCCATTGCACTCCAGCCTGGGCAACAAGAGCGAAACTCCATGTCAAATAAAAATAAATAAATAAAAGACCTAGAGACAACAACCTACCTAGTAACGGTGAGCACCCCAGGGCCCAGATTGTTGTCTCTAAATACTACTTCCCAGAAAAAGAAACCAGAGCTCTTTGTAAAATGCCCTTTTTTTTTTTTTTTTGTCAGATACGGAGCAGGAATATTCAAGGTAAGTCTGGAAACCAAGAAAGATAGCAAAGACTATGGCAATCACAACAAAATGACCCAGAAACTACCTGAAGGGGTTCCCATTGATCAAAATGGGACAATTTGAGCACTGAAATGAACAGTAATTGCAATGCATTGAAACATATCAAAAATATTAAAATACCTGAGTCTATAATAATAATAAAACAAACTAATCAGTTACCTTTGGAATATGCTAGATAACTACTTCAGTATTCTGAAAACTTACAAATAAAGGGAAAGAAGCATCTATTTTACCTTTTCAGGTAGCCAAATAGTTGATGTGCAAATGGTCTTTATGGGAGAATTCTAGCCTATAAATGAAGAAAGAATGATAGAATTAGACTGTCATCATATTGTAGCCCCCACTGTTATAATGGAACTAGGCAATGATATCAATGGCTGCTAAAACCCTTAGGTGAATAACTGATGGGAGACTTCATAATGAATGGATCATGCTGACAATACTTGAACCCAATGATCAATGTTAAGATGATGAAAAGAGAGATGACCAAACATTGCATGTCTTCTAATGCGATGTATTTGGCAGCACACACCACCACTTATGAAGTATTCTTCTAAAAATGAACCTGAATCTAATCAAGCCCCAAGATCTAATCATGGTTTCCAGGAAATACAAGAGATAAAAGAATATGTAATTGATACTATTGGGATGAAGTCTGTAAAATCCAGAATATTTCAAATAACTTGCAAGAAAAAAGGGGAAGGGAATCTAGAAATTTTAAAAGCAACTTGGAGGACTTACCAACTAAATTCAATTTGTGAACCTTGTTTGGATCTTGAGTCAAACGTCAAAAAATTTTAAAAGACTAGATAATTTGCTGATTGACTAGTTGACAATATTAAGAAATTGTTGTCAAATATTAGCTGATGTCCTTTGCCATTATAATGAAAAATTTACTTTCTGACCTGACATTCAACATCTTTCACTTGAACAAAAACATCTGATTTAAGTTCTAGATCTGCCACTTACATTACTGAGAAAGTCATTGAATGGCTCAGAACCATCTGTGAAGTGGGAACATCATAATATACCACCTTGTTAAGTCATTGTGAAAATATGAGATGATGAATATGAGAGCACTTTATAAACCATATAAGCCACCTCCCATGACTGAGCTCCATGATTCTCTCAAGCATGGCTGATTGTCTGCCTTTGTTCAAGTGATTTCCCCTTACTCAGAATATTCTCCTCTCTCTTGTCATCCTATGGATGTCTCACCTTTCCTTTTACCTCCAGCCTGTTTCACCTTCTCCATGAAAACATTTTGAATCACTTCAGCCCACAGCAATTTTTTCCCTTTTCTTTTCATAGCCCATATTGTCTGTAATGCTCACTTGGCACTCCGAAATGACATTTCTGGGTAAATTCTCTTCCCAACTAAACTGAAGGACTCTCGACAACAGGGACTCTCTGTTCTTTATCAATTCTCCCCTCCACCAGAAGTCTAGCACAATGCTTAATTACAAGATAGCTAAAGCTTCAAATAAAAAATTATTCAGAACTCTTAACAGTCACGAAAACACAACTCAGTGTAGCTTAACTGAAGACAAATTAACAAGTTCACATAATCAAATTACAGGAAGGGCATGGGTGGTGCTAGCCCTGAAGGATGACTGCTACCAGGGATTGGGGTGCAGGACTGGCTGTCATCTCATTCCCTATGACTGCATGCAGACAAACCTTTCCATGTGACAGCAAGCATACCTGTGGACAGCTTCCTGTCACATATCTCCCTGCTTAGTTCCAATTCAAGAGTCCTAGAGAACTCTGATTGGTCTGGCTTGATCTAGTGGCCACCCCTAGACCAACCACCAAAGCCAGGAAGTGAGATGAAGCTTCTATTTGGATTATGTGTTAGAGACAGGAAGAGGAATTGTTGCCTCCCCAAATGAGCCAAAGCCACCAGAAGGAGGGAGAAGAACCGGACAGCTAAACTATGAAGTGTCCATGAGATGGGATGCGACTGAGCAGAGGAGGGATGTGATTTGACATGATCTCACTTTCTGCATGAGCCCCCCTTTCCCCACAGCACTGAGTTTTAGAACTGCGGTTAACATGTGCCCTTGGAGTACCCTCAGGGCTGATGTAAAATTGGCCAAAATTGGAATACCTTTGCATTTTCAATAAACTGTTTCCAGTCATTTACCATTTCTGTTGCTTTTCCTCCATTCTCAGTGTTCCAAGTTTTCATCTGGTATAATTTTTCATCTGTCTGAAGAACTTCCTTAGCAATTCTTTTTGAGCATGTCCACTGGCAACAAATTCTCTTAGTTTTCTTTATTCTGATTCACAGAATGTTTTTATTTTAACCTTCATTCCTGAAGCATATTTTCATTGGATATAGAATTCTGGAATGACAGTTCTTTTCTTTCAGCACTTGAAAAATGTTGTGCCACTTTGTTTTTGCCTCCAGGGTTTCTGATGAGAAGTCCTCAAGCATTGGAATTATACCACTATAAGTAGTATGTTGTTTTTCTCTAATTATTTTCAAGATTCTCTCTGTCTTTAGTTTTTAGCCATTTGATTATGAAGTGGCTGGGTATGGATTTCTTTGGGCTGATTCTGTTTGGGATTCATTCAATTTCTTGAATCTGTAGGTTTATGTCTTTCACCAAATTTGATAATTTTTCAGGCATTATTTCTTCAAGTTTTTTTTTGTTTTTTGTTTTTTTCCAGCAATGCACTTTGTCTCCTTCCTTTCTGGGTCTCTGATGACTTAAATGTCAGACTTTTTGGTGCTGTGTGATAGGTCTCTAAATCTGTATTCACTATGGGTTTTTTCTCTGTTTTTTAGATTAGGTCATGGTTATTTATTTATCTTTAAGTTCATTGACTCTTTCCTCTGTCACTCAGTTTTGCTAGTGAGTCCATCCCATGTGTTTTATTTTGGTTATGATTACATTTCTACATTCTAAAATTTCCATTTTGTTCTCTTTATATTTTCTATTTCCTTGTTAAGACCTTCTATTCTTTCTATTCATGTGAAGCAAATTCACCCTTACTTTTGGATTATTTTTATTATAGCTGCTCTGAACTCTTTGTCAGATAATTCTAACTCTGTGTCATCTAAGCATTGGCATCCGTTGACTGCTTTTTCCCATGCAAGTTGAGATTTGTCTGTTTTTTTATGTGCCAAGTAATTTTGAATTGTATCCTGGACATTTTGATTATTAGACTATGAGACTTTGTGTCTTGCTTAAATTCTATGAAGGATGTTGCTATTTTTGTCTTAGCAGGCAATGAACCTGGTTAAGCTCAGGCCTCACTTTCCAACCTGCCTTCTGTGGGCTGTAGTTCCAGTGTCAATTCTGTTTTCAAATTCAAAGTCTTTGCAGTGCCATTCAGTTCTGCCCCTAGGTTCTTCCCCTAGTGTTTAGTCTGGGACCTGGGCAATGGTCTATCTGTTAGTGTTTCTCTGCTGTTGGGGATCAGATCCACACATGTGCAGCTCAGGGATGAGACATGCAGCTCATAAACACCTTTATGCGGTCACTTCCCATGAGTCTCCTTCTCCACGATCTCTCTGTTACTTGTCCACTCCTTGGGGCTCCCCTTTGCAGTTCTCTGGTCAGAAAGCTGGGCTTTGGTCACCCTACTCTGCTGTGCACCTCCCACAACTGTACCCACCTTCAAGTCCAAGCTGGAGGGAAAAAGTAAACTCACCACCAGTTTAATGGTACACCAAATTTGTGCCTTTTTCTCCAATCTGCCTATTACTATTTGCTCTTGAGCGTCCTTGCATAGCATCTCGTGCAGTCTTTCCAGGTTTTTAGCTGCATTTCACTGGGAGAGACAGGGTAGAGTGTGCTTACTCCATCTTAACTAGAACCGGGACACAATAGAATGGTTTTAGAGGACATTCTTCAATATGTGCCTCTGAAGATGTGCCTAAAGACTCATCTTAGAACTCAAAGTCAGGTAAAGGTAGTTTCCTGATGAATTTCTACAGATTTATTTTATGAAACTGATAGTTCCCCCTTTTTATCCCAGTTACTGAAAAACTCAGAAAACATGATTTAGTTCACACAATCTAATTGCAGTGTCTGACACATAGGAAGTGCTTAGTAAACATTAGTCATCTCCATACCTGTCTATCTCTCCTCTTATCCCCCAAGAACTAAATGTTATACTCAATAAAAGAAATCTTTCTGAGTCTGTTTTTTTAAAAAAATATAATTTGACTCTTCCCACGCCTTTTATTACTTGACTTTCTCTTGCAGTTCTGTGATAGTCGTTTGGGGACTTATTTTCATCCTATTAATCTTTTACACTGCCTCAAATTGTTTGGAAGTAGTCAAGGCATAAATGAACAAATAGATGACAAAAATACTGTATTCATGGAATGCTTCCTATTTCTAAAACTGCTTCTACACCTCTTTCCATATTTCATCCTAAACAATACCCCATATTAGTGAGGAAGAAAGGTAGCATGAGGCTCCTCATCAGAAAAGCCCAGCCCAGGCAGCACTGACTTGGGGATCCTCTGGGCTCCCCTCCCACCGAAACCGAGATGAATTGTTCCCATTTTTATCTTCTGTTGAATGTTATACCAAGATGAAAAGAAGTTTTGAGAATTTCAGTGTCCTCTGGGACCCCATGCCCTAGGAACTCTCAGTCTAGGACATTCCCAGCAGGCCCTCTCTTCTCAGACTGCCCCATCAGTGGCTAATGCCTGCCCTTGGGGTCCAGGGATCCCTAGAGAAACTGGAGGCCTGATGTCACTTGAGGAAACATGATACTGGTTTCTACTCCTTCCAATATGACTTGGAATTAGGACTCATCTCCTGAGTAGGGTCATCTTGTCCACTTGAGGGGGGCTTTCCACTTCTTCTCCTGTCCATGAAGCCAAGTACCTCTTCATGGGTTGGCACTGAAAGGTAGGCACAGAAACCACTTCAGCTGGCACACAGAAAAACATCACTATGACCCTTGCCTGTTATTCAGCTGTATCCTGGATCCCCCCTTCAGTTCAGAAAGGGAGGCAGAACCTAGCACTCAGATGGGCCTCTCTTCTTCCCTCCCTCTCTCGCTTAGTGACACTCAGGAGACAAAGATTGCAGCCATTTCTCTCTGAGGGGGAGTCCACCCAAGGGCAACTTACTTGCCTCTGACAGTTCTAGGAAGTGACACTAATATGCAGGAGGCTAGGAAGGAGAGAGCACTCAGGAGGCTTCTTGAAAGGTCCCTTGCCCCCTTCCCAGGTCAACTTTAGCAGCCACACATTCCTGGGGCTTAGTTGAACTTGGACTAAGCTCACTGCCTGGTACTGGCATGTCTGAACATGGTCAAGGTCTACAGACCAGTACCAGAGTCAGGGATGACTCTGAGTGACCCTGGGCCTGTCACTCCAATGTCCTCAGCCCAATTCCTATGGATCGCCACCTCAATTCCAAGGAGAGGCTCTGGAAGGGTACAGATATGGCAATAGTCCTTCACTCCTTCTTGTGTCCATACCCTTTGCAATGTGACTTTATAGCTCCTCCCATCAAGAGGTGGACTCCTCATCTCCTTGATTTTGGGCTGGTCCTGTAACTTTCAGTGTAATAAGGCCAATAGAATCAATACAAGTGATGTTTGCCAGTTCTGAGCCCAGGCCTTAAGAGGCCTCACACACTTCTGCCCTTTGCTTGGGATTCCTGCCCCAACCACCTGAACAAGCCTGAGCTAGTCTGCTAGAGGATAAGAGGACTTTTATTACCAGCTCTGGCTCCCTAGTCTACTGGAGGATAAGAGACCTTTATATCCTCTTATCCTCCAGTAGGCTGGGGAACCAGAGCTGGTTGGCCCAGTTACCTCCCAACAGAGACCCCAGGCAGGTGAAAGAATCCAGTCAAGGTCAGCAAAGTTGACCCATGGCTGGCCACAGATACAAGAGGAAGCCCATCTAATTCCAGCCTGAATTGTCAACCTACAGAATCATAAGCAAAATAAATGCTTATTGTTTTAAGCCACTGAATTCTGGAGTCATTTCTTTTATAGCACTAACTAGCCACTGTAGAGGCTGAAGCACTAAGAGAGCTATTTGTCTACCATTTCTTGGGATATTGGAGTACAAGGCTTTAGTGGTACCAGTCAGTCAATGGATAGAGACAGGAAGGGATGGGGGTGGAGTGAGCAGCAGGATAAGATTGTGTCTTGGGAGATGTTGCTGTAGTCTCAGAACTCTCAAGTAGTGGGAGGAGCCAAAGCAGGAAGAGAATGTAGCAAACAGGAGCCCAGAGAAGTGGCTAGAGAAGCATGCTTAAAACCATCTCAGGGACTTCCAGAAATATTTAGGAGAAAGATGAAAGGCTAGAGGTCTTATGGAGACAATGTGGTTGGAGCCAGAAAGACTATGTAATTTTAACATTACATCCAAGGCTACTCTGATTGAACTTTTTTTTTTAAACTCAAACGAGAGATTGTAACTTTCCAAAAGACATTAGAAATAGGAAGTTTTCAGCCAGGCACAGTGGCTCACACTTGTCATCCCAGCACTTTTGGAGGCCAAGGCAGGAGGATCCCGTAAGTTCAGGAATTTGAGACCAGCTTGGGCAACACAGCAAGACCCCATCTCTAGAAAAAAACAAAATAAAATAAAACAGAAATAGAAAGTTTCAGCAGATTTGTTACACATGAATTCTTCCAAATAGTGAAAAAAATATTGGTAGATTGTGTTTACTTTATTCATCCTCAAAGGATTCTTTATTTCCAATTCTTTGGGGATAAGAAGAATAAAAATTGAGAAATGACTGCAAAGACTAGCAGCATTTATCACATATTCTTTGTACACATGAAGAAAGTGAAGAGCACACCAACAAATACTAAGTTACTGTGGCAAAGAAAGAAGTCTGGTGCTTACTTATATTGGGTTCTCTTCTCCTTCCAGGCAAGTGTGAAGATTACACATCTCTGCTCACTCCCCTTGCCACAGAGAGAAGAAACATGACTAGTGGAGTCAATGCGGCAGTGAGCAGCAGGGATCCTGTCATTTCTGAGCTGAAGCATTTCAATGTTTGTTTAGAACCCTCCACCATTCTCGCCTGCCACATGGACTGAGGAGGCTTTGTGTTCCAGATGGCAAAGCCACAGGGTGGTGGTGTCTCTGTCTGTGTGGATCGCTGAGCCAGGCCATGAAGTGAAGCTGCCTTAGAAGTTACCCAGGCCTGCAGCAGGTATTGCACAAATATGAAATCTATTTCAATTGTGTCAGACTTCTGGGATCTTGGCATTGCTTGTTACTGAAGCATTGCCTGACCTAGTCTGACTAATACAGTATTGAAAAGCTGGCATCTGATTAAAAAAAAAAACTATCAATGTTGCAAATACATTACAAAAACGAGGAAAAATTATTGTGCTATTGTTCACTGCAGATTTTACATGGTTTAATTTTTGGCAAGCAAGATCTAGTGTTCAGAGGAGCATCCAAAAAACTTTGTGAGCATGCACATGATAATGGAAATTTTATCCATTTGGCAGAAGCCACAGCCAAATTTGATAATATTATGGCAGAATGTTTCTGCATAACATAAATGTTGACACTAAATAATATTGCACCTATTTGGAGAATGAAATACAAAACTAATTAAAATTGTAGCAGATGCAGTGAGTGAAATAGTCTGAATAAGGTAAAAAGAGCTAACTATTATTCATTATTTTGGCTACAACCTTGATGTGTTTGAGACACAATCCCTGACAGATATAGAACAGATAACTTTTTTGTTGTTGTTGGATTTGTGGATTCTCAAAATGCAAATATTTCTATATGCAAACATATTGGGGATTTTTTTCTCCAGCAAATGTCACAACTGGGGAAGGATTACAAACAATGTTAGTAAACCACCTACAAAACCAATCAAGAATAAAATAATTTGAAGTGCCTTGAATATCACAATGTTGCAAATATGCATGGAAAACAGGACAGAATGAAACAGATGATTCTAAGAGATGATTCTAGGGCATTTTCTCTTTCTTGACTAGATATTTTAATCTTAGTGGTGAATGGTGCAGGAAAAATCTCTTCTGACACCACTGAATTTTTTTGTACCATCCAGATCTATACAACTGCCTTTCAGCTTCAGTGAAATGTTGTGTATTAAAAACACATTTACCAAACATAAATTTGAAACACTGTCAAATGCATGATGGGAGAGTTGAGTTTATGCCATTATGGCACTAAAAACTCAATTAGAGACTCTATCCAATTCTTCTTTAGAAAATTTTGATATATTAATAAAGACAAGGATTATAAAATTCAAGCCAAAGGTAAGCTTTCAAAAACATCCGCTGTTAAGTTTATTTGCTCAGGACTCATTTGGGAAGATGTTTTACATAAAATTAATGCTATGTATATCCAAAATAATACAGGAGCTGAAATTCAACATATTGCCCTAAGAAGCATCCAAAGCAATTGTGTATCTGCAGATGCTTATTGTGTCTACTGGGAGATGGGGTGAGAGTGGAGGCTTTTCTTCCTGTTGAAAGAAGAAAGAAGGTTGTTGGCATCTGGACTCATGGTAAGAGGGGTGGTTGACGCCATGGCTTGGGAGGAGGCAGTCTGCCCTGCAGCATGGTAGGCAGGAGACCAGCCAGGAGTGGTCCCTGGTGAAGGGCCTCTGCCATTGAGATCCTGGAATTTTCATGTCTGATGGCCAGTGGCCAGTGATCTTTTCTGCATGGATGTTCTGCCAATCCAGGCCTTCAATAAAACTTTGTCAAACTCCACAGCCTCTACTTAGGTCCAGACTCAAACTCCCACTCCCTGGGAGGCAGTGACTGGGTGGCAAGACAGAATGAGAGATGCAGTGAGAACATCTGGCTGAAGTGACAAGCAGCCACGCTGACTGCTGGTGTGCAGTTCTGATGACAACCAAGGCAACTTCACACATGACTGCACAAAGTTAATTTAACATGTTTGACTCTGCCATTTCATCCTAGTACCATAGATAAGATTTTTTGAGTAATTACTATGTACCAGGCCCTATTCTAAGTTCTTTGTGAATATTAATTAGTTTAATCCTTGAAGCCACCTCACTATTGTGTCCATTTTATAGATAAGGAAACTAAGGCCCAAGGAGGTTACACTAATTACCGAAGGTCAAATTAATGACAGAGTCTGGCTCCAGAGTCCACACTTTTAACCAGAGTGCAACAGAATCTGAACGTTACCCTTATAACCAAACAGTTCACAGTAGTGTTCTGAGTTTTACTCCTAGAAAGAAAACACACACACACAGTCCCCCATCCCTCTGTCCGACAGATAAATCCAAAACCTGCTGCCAGCTTACAATTAGCTTGAAACTGCTTCTGGACCAAGTGTGGTGGCTCATGCGTGTAATCCCAGCACTTTGGGAGGCCAAGGTGGGAGGATTGTTTGAATCCAGGAGTTCAAAACTAGCCTGGGCAACACGGTGAAATCCTGTCTCTACAAAAATTACAAAAATTAGCTGGGTGAGGGGGCGGATAGCAGGTGCTTGTGGTCCCAGCTACTTGAAAGGCTGAGGTGGGAGGATCACTTGAGCCCAGGAGGTCAAGGCTGCAGTGAGCCGTGATCATGACACTGCACTCCAGCCTGGGCAACAGAGTGAGACCTTGTCTCAAAAAAGACAAGAAAGAAAAGGAAATAAAAAGAAAAGAACTGCTTCAGATTATCAAGGTTTCAGGAATGCTGATGTCCAGCCTCAGAAACTGCTTCTGCTTGTTTGTCTCTGATATGGGTTGGCTCTGTGTCCCCACCCAAATCTCATGTTGAATTGTAATCCCCACTTGTTGAAGGAGGAACCTGGAGGAAGATGATTGGATCATGGAAGCGGTTTCTCCCATGCTGTTCTCATGATAGTGAGTGAGCTCTCACAAGATCTGATGGTTTAAAAGTGTGTGGCAGTTGCCCGCTTGTTCTCTGTCTCTCCTGCTCCACCATGGTAAGACGTGCCACCTTCCCCTCCACCTTCTACCATGATTGAAAGTTTCCTGAGGCCTCCTAACCATTCTTCCTGCACAGCCTGTGGAACTGTGAGTCAATTAAACCTCTTTTCTTCATAAATAACCCAGTCTCATGTAGTTCTTTATAGCTGTGTGAGAATGGACTAATATAGCCTACCAAGCAAGCTGTGGGCTTCCCTATCTCTTAGTGTGGGCTAAGAGCATGTCAATGCCCCACATTGGCAGGAAAACCTGCTGCCACCCCTCAGCAGAGAGCGAAGGGCATCACGTGTCTGGGAAACTGAGCAGGAAAACTTTCACTCTTACAGTGGTTGGGGTGGATGGGGAATCTTTGTTTCCAGACCCGAGGCCATGCAGCAGCTACTTGGGAAGGAAAGAGTGACCCTCCCATTCCTACCCAAAGCTTTGGATGCATCTTAGGGCATGACTTACCAAAGTTAAGGAACATCAAAATTATGGTGACCAACTTCTCCTAGTTTCCCACAACTTTCCCCTTTTTCGCTGTGAAAGCCCCACATCCTGGGAACCCCTCAGTCCCGAGCAAACTGGAACAGTGGGCATCATGATCAAAGATGAAATCAAGGAAAACCCTTTCCACCCTAGCCTTAAATATGGAAGGCCAAAACCCCCAATTCTCCCATCCCATGGAAGCCAGGAGATCCCAAACCCTCACCATCAGACTACAGGCTGTGCCTCGCCGCTCTTAGTCCTAGGGGACTTGACATCTCCTCAGTGCACTGAGATGAGGCATTGAGGACACAGACCTCACATTCCATCTGCATGCTCCCATCTCCCCCGAGGCTGCCAAAAATTGGACACTGGGAGATGGAGATGCTTGGCAGCTGGAGTCACTCCCAGCCTCGGGCAAATTTTCCAGGCTTTTACATCTTTGGAGAAGATGGTAATATTCCCTGTTTCTTCCAGATCCACACCGCCTAGGGTCAGAGATGCAGGGAGCTGGCCAAAACGCCTTTCTCTGTGATAAAGAGGCCACAGCGTTAAATCCCGTGAGTTCATCAACAGGTAACAAAATATTTTGCATGATTTGGCCTTGACTGAAAGGAAACTGTGAAATCTTCAAGGTGCTCTCTGTCCCTAGTGTGGACTCTCCAAAGAGGTCCTGGTCCCCAGCATGGCTACAGACGTTCACTGCATGTAATCCAGACCTCGTCTAATGCTATAAGCAAATAAACTGAATATTCAAAGAGAACAAATCACCAGTCCATCAAAATCCTTGGGGTAAATTAGTTCAGCAGACTGGACTAGAGACATACTCCGTGACTCACCCCCACCCAGAGTAAATAAGGGAAGATTAAGCAAAACTTGATTGAATCATGCTGAAGTTTGGCATAACTCAACAAACAGATCAGCCTGAAATCTCACATTAGGAACACATAATCTCATAAAATTTATGACTGTTATTGCTCACCACATATGTTTCTGGGTTACTGTGTGCCGGGCTACAAGCGAGCTTCATTGCTGGGGTCTTGAGGGGGCTGCCTGCTGATCCATAACGTATTTCAAGAAAGAAGACACATTCCCGGTTGACGCTCTTTGGCATGAGTTTCCACGTGGCCTGGCCACGGCAGGGAAGGAGACTGGAGGGGAGATATTGACAGTGGGAAGGGGGTTTTGTGCCATGCCCCAAGCGGGCCCCTTGGCAAAGTCTTGTTGAGATGCTGAAGGGAAGACTGGCAAACAAAGCTTTTCTATCTCTCTTAGCCTCAGTTTCCTTATTTGCAAAATAAGAGGTAAAATTAGACGATCTCTGAGGTCTTTTCAAGAAGATCAAAGGGGTGATTCATCTAAAGATAATTCACCTAAAGAGAATGAATTGCCGATCTACTGCCCTCCATCTCCAAAAGGAAGCCAGAGCAAGAACTGGCCACTATGTCACCAACTGAGAGCAGTAGAGAATGGGGTGTGGCTTACAGGAGGCCATGGAATGCCAGCCCTGAGATCTGGGAGGAAAGGAGAGATGACCACGTGCTTCGGGAGGGTCACCCTCTATTGCTGCCCAGAAATAAAACAGAGTTCAGAAGTGTTTGCAAACTTGTATCACCACTCCACCTTCCACTGCCCATTGATCGAGGCCCTTTTCCCCTCTGATCCCAAATGCAACCTCATGATCCTTCTTGATAGAAGCTGCTACCCACGCATCAGATCCCGGTGGTGAGCAAGAGCTGCTTTCCAACCCAAATGACACTCAGGCTCCCTCCAGACCCATGCTCAGGGATTCCAGGTCTGACTGTAGAGATGCAAGAATGCAGAGTCAGAGTCAGTGACAAGCCAGAGCCCCCAGAGGGGGAGCCAGTTCCTTGAAGTGAAGGGCCATCGTTTGCAGGAGATGGTTACTGAAGTCCAAGTCCAGGGATTCCATAATGAAAGGAAGAGCAAGCCCGTGAGCCCTGGACTCATTTATTGAAGCCCAGAGCAAGGCAACAGATTCCCAGGCCCCAAGGCTGTGCCCCCAGGTGTCACCACGAGGGAACACACATGTAGCAAAGGCAGGTGACATGTAGACACAGCAGGCGCCTGCCGTACTGAGGTTTGTCCCTCCCTGCACCCATCCCGGGCTCTGTCCTGAACGTCTCAGCTCAGCAATCTCTCTCACGCAGATCCCTGCCTTCCCTGCCAACAGCCAAGGTCTGACCCTTCTGACCCTCGGGCCCTCTTCCAGGCTTCTCCTGTTCCATTTCCAGCACTGCTGGCTCCATCCAGAAAGTTTTGAACAAAAGAGTAACATTTTTCTTTCTGGCTTGTTCACTTTCATGATGATTTTCACAGCCAATTCCAGTAAATCTGCTACAATAAAAGTCCCTATTCTTCATCCATGTTCTTCTAAATAATCTTAGATTTGATTTGAAGTCTATTTCAGTTAATATTTTGTCTTTTTTAAAAAAAAAATAGTTTTGTTGTTTTTTCCTGATTGTAACTCAGATATCAGCTGGGGACTGCCCTGCCCCTCAACATCTGTGAAATGTCCTGTGGCAGACTGTATTTTCCAAATAAGGCCACAACATTATTTTCAATCCCATATGTTCATTCCAGAACTTTGCAATTCCTCCATCGAGAGATGGCGGCTGTGTCATCTCTCCTTGAATCTGGGTGGGCCTTTTGACTGCTCCAACTGATGGAGTGCATATAATTGACTGTGCAACTTCCAAAAAGCAAGTTAGGAAGGCCACACAGCTTCCACCTGGCTCTCTCTCTCGGGACACATGCCTTAGGAGCCATGGACAGCCACGTAAGAAGTCCAGCCCCCTGAAGATGCCCGGCTGCCAGCACCATGCAGAGACCACATAGAGATGGAGAGAAATCGCAAGAAGCCCCAGGTGCTCCAGCTCCAGCTGCCTGAGGCTTTCCAGCCCAGACACCAGACATGTGGATGGGGAAGGCTTTGCTGGGACTCCAGCTGCAACTGCAGGAGAGACCCCATGCAAGAGCCACCCAGCGGAGCCCAGCCAACCCCCAGAACCTGGAAAGATATAATAAATGATTATTGTTGTTTGATGCCAATAAGTTTGAAGTGTTTTTTTAATGTAGCAATGGATAACAGAGACAATTTGGCTCAAGCTCAAGCAATTCTGTGTCCTGTGGAACTCACAAGGCTTTCCAAGGCTTCTGCTGATTCCTGGAAAAACAGAATGGATTGTTCATTTGTGGGTTGTATGTGTTCAGATGCTGCCTCTGTCTGACCCCACACAACATGTGAAATGTGGCTCCAATTTCATATCCCACAACAACAATCACTCACACCAAGCATCTGAGTGGGTAGTAGACCACGTGGGAGATTTAAGATTATGTTGCCGACCACATGGGATTTTGTCAACTTGCTCCCTTTTCTCCCCTACCTCTTCCCAGTCTCATCTCCTCTCAGGTTGCTCTGGGAACCCACATTCTTCTCTCCCTGCTATGAAGAGTAATTCAGGTTCCCTCAAGTGCCTAATCCCAAACTTCCAAACTTAAGCATATCAAGAATCCAGCCTTTACTGGAGCTAATTGAGGTTACAGACGAGCAATTATTCTTGTGCGCATGCATTGTAAAAAAAATTCAAGGAACACCCAGAAAAATAAAAGAAGAAAGTAAAAATTACCCCCAAATCCCACTACACGGTGATAACCACTATTAATGTTTGGTAAACATCCTATCTATATACAATTTTATATACATAAGATTATACTATCCTTGCTGTTCTATACTTCCCCAGGTATAATTGGTATTAATAATAGCTTTACCATTTATTTAGCACTTACTAAGTACTTAGCAATTATATAAAGGTAGCATCCTCATCACATCATTATCTTCTTTTTCCTAAGGGATCTTAGGGAGAGTCAGAGCAGGGACCTGAACCCAGACCCACCCAGCCATAAGGCCGGTGCACTTGCCACTAACCCATTCAGCCATAGCAGAATCTTTCCCCAAGATCTGCATACCACTGTGGAGAGACTATCCTGGCCTGCATATCTTGAGCCAGATCTAGCATCCTAACACATTCCTGTGTCCTCTTTCAGAGAGTCCAAGGGATCGGAGCTCCCTGGAGTCTGTGTTTGGCTCATTCCTGGTGAGGCTGAGTTTCTGAAAGGAAGCGAAAGTCTGGGCCCCACAGGAGAAACAGGGAGGGTTCTGTGTCCCCAGTACAGCAGAGCAAAGCCAGATAGGTGCTCTCCTCTGCCTCCGTGTCCCCTCCGGGACGGAGGGGGCCCTGCTGTCCTGGGAGTCTGGGGTGGTCTCCCATGAGTTCAGCCTGAATCATCTGCCTCCTCCTCCCAGGGAGTGTTTGTCCCAACTCCTGAGGGCCTCATCTGTGCAGGGCCAGCCAGGCGAGGAGGACATGCCTTGGGAACAGTCTGTGCTTGTTCCCTCAGCCCTAGAAGAGACTCTGCCAGGTGGTACTTGCCCTTCCCTGGGGAGGAGCCTGCAGTATGTTCTCTGTCAACCTTTACTGATGAGCACATGTTCCAAGCAGAGCCCCAGGGGACTAGCATCTTCTCTGACCCCTTCCAGAGAAACCCTGGGTGAGAGGCTGAGAGAGGAGACCCCACAATGGGGACACCGCAGCCCCAGAAGAGGAGGAGCAGCCTCTGGGGAGGGCCTGACCTTTCCTTTGTTGACTTTCTTGGGCCTTGCACTAATTGTGAAGAAGTAAAAACTGAGTTATCAGTCTCCAGCTGTTCCCACAGCTGCTGACATTTGAGGGAGGCCAAGGGCAGTGGACTCCTCCCCACCACACAACCACACTCGCAGCTGTCCACTTGAAGGTGGGCCTGCCTTGCAGGAGGTCCCCTTTGACTCCAGAGACTCAGACACTCCCAGCTCAGGGTAGGCGTTTAGAAGTTAGGCTGTGAATCCAAAAACCCCAGACTTGAGTTCTGGCTGCCACTTAATTACTTGAACCCAGGATAGTTTGCTTAACTCTTCTGAGCCTGGGCTTCCCCATCATCTTAGTTTTGTCTCCCCCATAGAAGTACCCCCTAAGATGGGTGTTCTGGTGCTGGTGTTTTAATTGGGAGGTGATCCCAGGAAGCCCCAGCAGGGGAGCAGGTAAGGAAGGGAAGTAAGCCAATGAAAGATCATTGTCAAGCCAGTGACAAAACAGAAGTTTAATCCTGCTGGGGAACTCTTAGAGGCAGTGGAAAATACATGTCCTGGAATTATCCCCCATCTCCCTAACCCCAGGGCAAAGGAGCTGGCATATTGATCCACCAATTCCCACCAGTCATTGTTTGAGGGCTGCCCCTGGGGAGGGGGACAGGGATCATATCTGTGTCCCTCTGGCCTGCCCTATGCACAGGTAGAGCAGGCTCCAGCCACAAGAGATAGCCTAAGGCAGAGTCACACACTACTCTTGCACACTACCCTTGTTACAAAGTAGACTGCGTGCTATAGGCAACCAAGGACGTGTCTTCATCCTCCAAACCTCCAGTGCCCTCCAGTGCTCTGGTAAGTGCCAAGGGGATATGGTGGGGCACCCTCAGCCTCTGCTACCACCACCTCTAAAACAAGAGAAATGACACTGGCTGCTTAGGATGGCTGTGGGGATATATGCAGATTTTGTTTTATTTGATTTGTTTCAGTAGGCAGTTGACTTGGTTGAACTCACACTGCATATTCTGTCTCCTGGGTGGCAGGTCAAACCCCCACAAATGCATAATTCAGAGGTCAGCCCAAGATTGAGGCAGAGTTTATGCACTGAATTTAGTGCTTATCCTCTTTTGATCAGTCTTTTCAATGATATTGCCTCCATTTACAGCGAATCTAGTTTCCTCAAACCCTGTCCTTTTGCCAGAAAAACTATATGCTGTCTCTCAGAGTTCTATTCTAGCATCTCTCTATGGGACATGCTCCTGCTGGCTTTTTAAAAGTTGACCGTGGGGCAGGTGCAGTGGTTCATGCCTGTAATCTCAGCACTTTGGGAGACTGAAGCAGGAAGATCACTTGAGGCTGGGAGTTCAAGACTAGCTTGGACAACATAGCGAGACTCCATGTCTACAAACAATCAAAAATTAGCCAGGTATGGCTGGGTGTGGTGGCTCACGCCTGTAACCCCAGCACTTTGGGAGGCCGAGACGGGTGGATCACGAGGTCAGGAGATCGAGACCATCCAGGCTAACATGGTGAAACCCCGTCTCTACTAAAAAATACAAAAATTAGCCAGGCACGGTGGCGGATGCCTGTAGTCCCAGCTACTCGGGAGGCTGAGGCAGGAGAATGGCGTGAACCCGGGAGGCGGAGCTTGCAGTGAGCCGAGATGGTGCCACTGCACTCCAGCCTGGGTGAAAGAGCAAGTCTCTGTCTCAAAAAAAAAAAAAAAAAAAAATTTAGCTGGGTATGGTGGTGCATGCCTGTAGTCCCAGCTACTTGGAAGGCTGAGGTGGCAGGATTGCTTGAGTCTGGGAGGTCAAGGCTGCAATGAGCCATGATCGCACCACTGTACTCCAGCCTGGGCAACAGAGTGAGACCTTGTCTCAAAAATAAATCAATAAAATAAAACTTGACTGTAGGTTACCATTCTGCTTAACAATAAGCTGAATGAATAAGCACACAATAACTAGGGTTGAGAGAGTCAATCAAATAAAACCCACAATCAAGTTAAGGACCAGTCCTGAATACAGATAACCTGTCTCATTGTCCAATCATGCCTCCAACCACATGACTGAACTTTCAGTTTGGGTGAAAAAAAGGCCCTTGTAGCTATGTAGCCTTTTATTATTTCTGTAATGAATCCCTATTTGGCCCCAGAGATATCAATATTCCAACAGTTCCTGTTCTTGCCCCAATGTTCTCATATAGGACTTCTTGTCCCCAGAAAGTCTACAAGTCTACTAATCCCCATAACCTTATCCCACCCTCTCTCACTCAGCTAAAATTTTCTGAGAATCCACTTCTGATGGTGCCCCTAGGAGAGGGGTGACAATTTTGGATGAGTGGGGAGATGCCAGGTTTCCAGATTGTTCTGAGGATTAAATAAGTTAATACACATAAAGTGCTTAGGATTTGTCTGGCATGTAGGCACATAGTAAGCCCTTGATAAATGGTGGTGGTGGTAATATTGTTATTATTATTATCTTATTATTATTCTCTCTTCTTAGTTGTAAATATCATAAGCATAGAGTAGGAACTCAATCACTGTGCGTGGAATGTAACTTAATTGGAAGGATGCCCTCCGTCATGGCCTAGAACCTAGACGCCTCAGAGCCTAATTAGCAGTGGGTCAGGAAATACAGATGCCTCTCCTGAAATGGTGATACTAAGGTGTATTAGTCCATTTTCATGCTGCTGATAAAGACATACCTGAGATTGAGCAATTTACAAAAGAAAGAGGATTAATGGACTTACAGTTCCACACAGCTGGGGAAGCCTCACAATCATGGCAGAAGGCAAAGAAGAACACATCACATCTTACATGGATGGCAGCAGGCAAACAGAGACAGCTTGTGCAGGGGAACTGCTCTTTTTAAAACCATCAGATCTCGTGAGACTTATTCACTCTCACGGGAACAGCATGGGAAAGACTTGCCCCCATGATTCAATTACCTCTCACTGGGTCCCTCCCACAACACATGGGAATTCAACATGAGATTTCGATGGGGATGCAGACAAACCATATCATAAGGTGACCCAGGTCAGTGTCACCTCCACCAGGAGGGCTCTTTTTAACCATCTGAATTTGGCACCCTCCTCTATGTTCCCATTGTACACCACTCTTGTTCCAAAGTAGACTGGGTGCTATGGGCAACCAAGGATGTATCTTCATTCTCCAATCCTCCAGGGCCTGACACACAATAAACATCCAGTAAGTATTTGCTAACTGAATATAGGCTTACTTATCTTCCCCCCAGGCATTTTATTTTATTTTATTTTATTTTATTTTATTTTATTTTATTTTATTTTATTTTATTTTATTTTATGTTATTTATTTCGGCTTTCATCTTAGGTTCAGGGGGTACACGTGCCGGTGTGTTACACGGGTAAATTGTGTGTTGCTGGCATTTGGTGTACAAATGATCCCATCACCCAGGTAGTGAGCATAGTACCCAATCATTTTTCAACCCTTCCCCTACTCCCAACCTCCCCCCTCTAGGGTTCCCCAGTGTCTACTGTTCCCATCTTTGTGTCTGCCCCCACACATTGTAATGTCTAGCTAGCACAGTACCTGCCCATAGTAGAGACTTACAGGTTTATTAAGTGTATGAAGGACATAGATTTCCTTCATTACATGCAGGTGAAAGAAACATACTTTTTCCTGCTAAATCTAGTTAAATCTGGCTCTAGCCTGACTGAGAAGTGTCTGATACATTGATTCAGTAACACCCAACTCTAATCCCTTATCTGCGCCTACCACAGAGGCTGGAAAAGCTACAATGCTCTTTTTTTCCCAGCATCCTTTGCAGTTAGGAGTGGTCAGGAGACACAGTATAGGCTGATGAGATGTAAGATATTTGCTGGCAATGTCCTTACTTTCCTTCTTCCTGTGCGATATACAGACACATGCCTGGGGGTACAGCAGCCCCCTTGAAAATATGAGGTGACAGTGTGAGGAAAAGACTGAGACAGTCACCCACGAGCCAGCCTTAGCGTCCCTGAGTTATGAACCAGTGCCTCCAGACATCTGCCTGCAGGCTATTGGCTAAAAGGACTCCAGTTAAGTCTTCTGGATTTAATTCCTCACTGAAACCAGATGGGGCACCTCTCTTTCCAGAGGAGCCTGAGGAGGGATAAATAAGAGATGTTTATCCAGTTATCCTGCCACAAATGAATGAAAACATCTTGCTCAGGTAGTTTAAGTCCAGAATTAAGCATAGAATTTCCCTTCTGTAAAAAAAGGAAGTTGGACCAGGTGATGGCAAAGGTTGTCGCCCTGGAGTCCAGCCTGGAAGAGGCGGCCACAGTGGTGACATCCTGTGATCCCCACCCTTCCTGACTCAAGCTGAACTTGCTAAGAGAGTGCAAGGCTCAAATAGAGAGTGTTCCAGGCTATTCCTACGTCCTTCACCAACCTGCGAGCAAAGGGAGCACTGGACAGGGAGGGAGTGAGGATACACCCAGCAGAGTCACTGGGACTGGAGGAGGCCAAACGCCATGCGTAAGTCAGCAGGCAGGTGTGAGAACCAGCTCGACTTGAAAGGCAAAGACTTAGAGAGCTGTAAAGTTTAGAGCTGAAGAGGGAACTGCCATGAATGTGAGTGTAGTGGAGAGAGGGTGGGGATATTTATGGAGCTGATTCTACAGACCAGAACAGTAGCTGATGGGGAAGAGCTGTCTTCCTCTTAACCTGCTGCAGATTTTAAATTCCGAGAGGAGCTCACCTTCTAGCCCACTCAGATGAGTGCATGTGTGTGTGTGTGTGTGTGTGTGTGTGTGTGTGTGTGTGTGTGCGCGCGCGCGCGCATGCATGGTATGACTACTGGCCCCTTAGCCTCCAGGCTGATTGAGGGAAAAGCTTTATGCTGTCACATCTCAGCACCAGTGGGCTTCAGAATCTCTAAATGGAACCTGCAATCACTTGGATATGGGGGAAGAAAGGGAGCAACTAAGCCCTTGGCACGGGTCTAGCGTTGTGCTGGCACCTGCATATCCATTATACTCGCAGTGAACCTGCAAGTTAGAGATGATCAAACCCACTTCATCGGCTTTGCAGAGAGCACTTGATGAGACGCACTTGATGAGACCAGAACTCACCACTGGCAGGGCAGCTCCCCTGAGCTTCCACATTTCCTGCTTGCACAGCTTAGATCTGTGTGGCTATGTGCAAGTCACCCAGCCTTTAAGAACCTCAATTGGCCATTTGGAAAAAGGGGGTAGTTTGGAGTTGCAGGCCCAGATGATGATTCCCCTTCTCCTTGGCCCTCAGTGTTATAGTGAGGATGGAATTAAATAACATTTGTGAATTCTTATAAAATTATGAAGTGCCATGACAATTAAAGGATTATAATTATTTTCCACCACAACAATAATAATAAGCTAAATTTGATTCTGGCATAAAAATGCAATGGCTAAGATTCAGTGATGTAGAACAGATCAATTTGGGGAAAATTATACTTCATATGCATTTCACAAGCTAGTGGAAGTGCACATTGCCACGGCCATGAGAAAGACCAGGAGAAGAGAAAGGCTCATAAATTCAGCAAGTCTACCCAATTTTGGTTGACTCAAACGCACAACAATTTATTCTCAAATACTCTGCTGGGCTTAAGGGAAGACTCAATGATTAAAATATACTCTTAAAGCGTTTAAGAGAGTTTAGGCAATCATTTGTATTCTAAATAGGCCTTCCTGACACATCCTCCTTAAAATGTTAGATCAGAAAAAGAATTCAAAGCCAGAGGCTGGCTGGCAGCGCTCCTGCTGTTCTATCAAGTTGACTGTGGGTTCCCGTTCTGCTTAGACAATAGGCTGGATAAATGAGCATGCATAGCCAGGGCTTGGGAATCTAATCAAATGAAACCTTCCATTAAATTAATCTGACACAGCTTTGGCCATTTTTCTGGACCAGTCCTGAATTCAGATACTCTATCCTATTATCCAGCTGTGTCTCCTACCATGTGACCCAATTTTGAGTTTGAAAGAAAACGTCCCCTGTTGCTATGCTGTCTTCTACTGTATCTGTGATTCTGCTCGCCTTGTTGAAACCCCATGAACACCCTGACCTCGCACTCCTCTACTTGCCTCTCTCTTCTCACACAGGATCTCTCAACTGGAAATGGTCTCCTCAGCCCCATGCCCCAGTCCACTCAGTTGAAGCTTTCTCAGAATTCACTGCTGATGATGCCCCTTGGAGAATGCTGATTATTTTGGGTGAGGAGAGGTGCCATGTCTTGGAGCATCTAAATTCACCAGCCCATGAGATGTGAGAGCAATGCTGAGTTCCATACAGAGATAGAAGAAGAGTGTCTCCCACATTTAGTCCATAAGCCTCAAAGCACCTCTGCTTATACCAGTGTCCTCAACCTCCTTATAACAGCAGCCCCTCTGGCTTTCCTTCTAAGCCTTCTGTCTGCACGAGGAGCCCGTGAGGCACTGACCCTCTGCCATTCCCTGCATCCTTCAGTCTCTACTTCTCTTCCTTCCCAAGGCAACTCTGCCATCGACATCTTCCATGCTGTCTGGCCAGCAAAGGCCTTGTGCATGTCACTGCCCATAGACAGGTGCTCAGAGTTCCACAGATGGGCTATCAGTTCAACCAAAAGCAAACCTCTCATCTCTCTGAATCCCACTTTGGACCCAGCTACCGCACCTTGCAATGTGAATTTTGCAATGTGAATTTTCTAATTCCAGATTCTCTGTCCTGTTGTAACTTATGTGTCAAACCATGTGTTTCCATTTTACATCTTGAAAAATATGATCAGCCTGGCTCTGGGGGCTTGCACTGCCCTTAAGTCCCTTCTGACTCATGCCCAGCTGTCTTACAGCACAGAGCAGGCTCCTACACCTCCCTTGCCAGATGCCTTCTGGCCAGGCTGGGTGCTGGAGGGAAGACCTGTGTCTCTCAAATACCCTCGTTGGTCCCTTCCTCAGCCGGAGAGTGCCATGTGCCCAGAAGGAAAAAGTTGACTCCAGTCCAGTCCAAGGTCCAACAATCAAGTTTTGTTTAGGATATAAGGCCATTGAACTGGTCTAATTTATTTTCTCTGCACTTGTGTTTCCTAAGTTTTTCCACATTATTTCTAATTTGGGCTGTTAGAAAAGGGGAAAAATTAAAAACCAAGGATCTAGAGATAATGGAATATCTTGGTGGTTACTGCATTAAAAACCAGCTGGCTAAAATCGGTTTGGAAGATCTTAGAAGGCAATCTGACTCAAACACTGTGCAAATCAAAATTGGGAGAGTCCACAGGCCAAGGAGCAGCGGAAACACTAAATGCACTCCCTCCCTCCCTAGTGAAAACACATGTGGACTCATGTGAACGCCGTCCTCTCGCCTTCATCTACTTCTGGAGATAATGAAATAGAGAGCTAGGAACTGCTGTTCAGATTGGGGACCCCCAGGCATCACTAACATGTGGCCCTATCTGTGACCCTTTATCTGTCTGCCTTGCTCAAAGCTGTATTTTCATGAGCACACGGTAAGACCTTAACGAATATTTGTTGAATAAATGAAGGAAGGAGGAATGGGATAAAATACATTTCAGCTGACTCAGATGCTTTTTTGGAGAGTTAGATAAACATTTACAAATGGGTGGATATATAAAGAAATAGATGAATAACCAAATTGGCACTAATTGATATGGTTGATAGAACACTGACACCATCTCTCTTGTCGACAGTGTGTGATTGAATTAATAGTATTAAGTATGTCTATGATATGACCCTCCCTGCTCTTTTCTATCATCCTCCTTACATCTTTCTTCACCTCCAGAAAGTATTCCCTCCACAAACACACAGACATTTGCGTGTCTACAAAAACAAAATCTTTCACAGATGGTACAGGTGCTAACAGAGAGAAGAAAGGGGAAGAGTGGATTCTAAGTGTTTCTTTTCACTTAATAATTTACCCTCAGATCAATAGGAGTTTTGGTACAGCTCAAAGTCCTAAGACTGGGAATATAATTTCTAGCAGTGTATTCTTGACAACAACATGTCCTTATTGCAATGAATTATGTACTAGCAAAGCATCCATCACCACCCCCCAGAAAGTCTGACCAATTGGTTTCAACACTTAGATGAGGCTTATTTTCAACCATCCATGCCCATTTGTACACGCCTACTAAGTGTAACCCACATAAATTTGAGTGTCCTCATGGCCTTTTCAGCTCTTGCATAGTCAAAAGAAATAAACATTCAACTCCTAAATCCTTGAGGAAAAAATGAAGATTTGGAGATGGGTTTTCTGATGATGTGGCACAAGGATTTTGCATTGCTCTAACTGCTCTTCTCATGAGAAGCCACTGGCCTGTGCTTTGAATTTAGTGCAACAAAATCTATCACCTTACAACTCTTCTAGAGCCAACAACTAGGCTGCATAACTCCCTTTTAGAAGTATGCGGGAAACATATTCACAGGAAAACATCTTCACTTAAGGCCAATAGGCCCCCTCACAACACTCAATACGTCTCCTCATTCAACCTAGCTTCTCCTTTCTTCTTCCCCTATAGAGTGTGGAGCCTTGGGGATTTAAGGCGGTGGGGTCTGGTGCCTCTGCAGCCTGCCCTGCCCCTGCCACATCATTAACATCTGAGCACAACATCCAGTCTTTCCAACAAAAGACTCTGCCCCTTGGCGATATCCACAGACCACATTTACTCCAAGTTACAAGCTAAAATGTTGTTTCTTGCCACAAATAAAACACAAGTTACTTACTCCAAAATTTAATGTACCCAGGGGGGCGACACTGTCTCATTTATGCTGAGGCCTGAGAAATGCCTTATGTGTGACCAACATCACTCCTCGAGGGACAAATCAGGGTGTACTAAGTCCCAGGCTGGATCTGAAGTGTTCCCTGAGTGGGACCAAGGGAGCTTCTCTCCCATTCGTCTTGCTTCTCAGCTTAAGACACAGCAGCCCCCAAACCACCCCACTGCCCTAGTTTAAACTCAATTATTCCATCTTGCTTGCAGAAGCTGCCATTTTGCCTCTTTCTGTTCCTTGGGCTTGATTAGCCACATCAACAGAGGGAATTCAAAAGGCCCCTCCAGTTTAAAATCAGCTCTCAAATTGCACAGCCACTCTTTGCCAAAAGTTGCTGATCTATCTCCCGCAAGGATTGATCCAAGTGCTTCTCATTATCCAAGCTAGCTTCTATTGCTCCCGAGGTGCTGCCTGCGATAGTAGCTCCTCCTACCACAACACAGGAAAATATTTGTGCCAGTAACAGATTCCTACTTATGAATTAAATACATAAATCCTAGCTAACCTCCTCTCTACCCTCTACTGTCTCTAGGGCAGTGAGGTGGTTGGCCACTAGAACAGACATCTGGCTGCGTTAGAGTTGCAAACAGTCTCCATTGTTCAGGCCTCATCTAACAACATCTTTCCTCTGCCTTTGCTGCATACCACCCCTGAAACCTTCAAATGGAGCCGCTAACACAGCTCAAAGCCTTTTTCTCTGGTTCCTTGCATGGAACTTCCTGTGAATTTCTTAGGTTTCTAGTAGCAATCAGCTTGTATAAACAGTTTCAAAGCCAACTTGATTGCCAACCTTACAGTAGCTGTTGTGCTCCCGGGGAGGTGGTCCCAGCTACAGCAGGGCAACAATGTGAATGAGTCCAACTGTCCTTATCACTGACCTCCTCATTCCTTGCACAAAGCTCCTGTTTCTTAAAGCAGTTGCATATCTATCAGGATTGGATGTGCTAATGTCCGATTTGCAATCTCAAGAGAGAGGGTTTTTGATTTTCAGGTTATAAATGCTTTACTTTTTTAACATAGAAGAAGCTCGGTGGTGGACGTGTACGTGGCCATTTGATGTTTTTATGACTAAAAGTTACAGTTCAGGCTCTCTCTCTTATAGAATATAAATGTATCCCTACATATGCATATGTAATTCTTACCAAAATTAAGCTTAGTTACTAAAAGAAGATTCACTATCTGAACTTTCTTCTATAATTTTTCACTTTCACCATCAGGCACTGGAGCATCTGGCCTCTCAGGAAGGTCTGGGACTAGTCCTTCTGATATCATTTTGCTTTTTGTTTTGCTTTGTTTTTGTTTTGAGACAGGATCTCACTCTGTCACCCAGGTTGGAGTGCAGTGGCGCGATCTTGGCTCACTGCAACCTCCACTTCCTAGGTTCAAGTGATTCTCCTGCCTCAGCTTCCCAAGTAGCTGGGATTATAGGCATGTGCCACCACGCCCGGTTATTTTTTGTATTTTTTGGTAGAGATGGGGTTTCACCATGTTTGCCAGGCTGGTCTCGGACTCCTGAACTCAAGTGATCCACCTGCCTTGGCTTCCCAAAGTATTGGGATTACAGGCGCAAGCCACCATGCCTGGCCTAATTTTGTTTTTGATTGCCATTGCTGGTACACCTACTTGAGCTATTTTGAGATTTCTGGCATATCTTGGATCCTTGGCTACAGTTAAGCTATTTCCTGCTGATCCCTCACTTTCCTGGGGTCCAGAGTCTTGTGTACTGTTCTGTAACTGCTCTGAAGTGGCTTCAGAATGTGCCGAAGTCCATTTGTGACACTAGTGACACTTAAAGGAGATACTTCAACTGTGACATCATCTAGGTCAGAGACAGATGACAACTTTGTGTCTAAAATGTTGAGAGTTGTTTCAATTTGTTGGATACAAAGACAAAGGTCTGCCAGTTTCTCCTCACAAACCGTAGAAAAGCAGTTGAGGAACTCTACAGTGTGCACCACAAATTGGTTTAGAAAAGCCACCGTTCTTTTCTGTTGAAGAGTTGGCACCTTGGTCAGGTCATGCCTGACCCCATGAGAGGAAGCCCATCGTCATCCATCTTCTCCGAGGGTGGGGGCCTCAGGGTTCACCCACAAACCCCTCCCAGATGGGGCCGCCCAAGCCAGTAATGGTGTGTCAAGAGGGAGTTTTCGTAGGCATCCTCCATTTAACTGGTTCACAGGGCCCTATATTTATTTGATTCTGTGTGTGGTACTGAGACCTGAAAACCATATTCTTCTCTAAAAGAGTAATTTTGGCCAGGCCAGGTGGCTCATGCCTGTAATCCCCACACTTTGGGAGGCCACAGTGGGTGGATCACCTGAGGCCAGGAGTTCCAGACCAGCCTGGCCAACACGGTGAAACCCCGTCTCTACTAAAAATACAAAAATTAGCCAGGCATAGTGGTGCATGCCTGTATTCTCAGCTACTCAGGAGGCTGAGGTGGGAGAATTGCTTGAACCTGGGAGGCGGAGGTTGCAGTGAGCCAAGATCGTGCCACTGCACTCCAGCCTGGGCGACAGAGCAAGACTCTGTCTCAAAAAAATAATAATAAAAAAATAAAATAAAATAGTAATTTCGACACCAGAATAGGGTCTACCATTTCCTCTCAGGCTTTCCCATGCTATTTGGTCCTTATAACTGACTCACCTACACTTGTTTGTATTACAATTCCAACAACTTAGCAATCCCAGAAGGTGTCTCTGTGAGTCAGGTCATGATTATTATTTTAATCTAAGAAACAGAAGATTGTGCCTCAGGCAAAGTCCCACTCATCCCTCCACCCCACAAATAGAACCTACACAAAGCTGGGTCTGTTTGTAGCTCTTTCCACATTGGGTTGCTTGCTAAAGCATACTCAAATCCAACTTCGAAACAGTGGGGACCTTTTGTGACATAAACTGGCTAGCTCTTCACCCCGCCTGATTCCTCTTCCTCCTGGCCACACAGGTAGATAAATTTCCCAGCCTCCCTTGCAACTAGGATTGGTCATGTGACTGTGTTCTGACAAATGACATGCCAGTGGGTATGATGTGGGCCACTTCTGAGCCTAGACTATAAAAACATCCTGTATCCATCTCTACTCCCTTTCTCCTTCTCCTGGCTTGATGTAAGTGAGCTCTGCACTATCGGAAGGATGTGTTGAAGATGGGGAGGTGCCCAGTCCCTGAATCATCACTTGTAGGAGAGATGCCCACTAATTTAGAACAAATATTTTGGACTCTACTATGATCTGAATTTGTCCCCCAAAATTCACATGTTGAAACTTAATGATCAATGTGATAAACAGGTGGGGACTTTAGGAGGTGATTAAATCATGAGGGTTGTACCTGCATGAATGGGATTAGGCTCTCATAAAAGGGCTTGATAGAGTGAGTTCACTCTCTTCCACCCTCTCACCATGTAAGGACACAACGTCTCCACTTCTGGAGGATGCTGCAATAAGGAACCATCTTGGAAACAGACAGCAGCCCTCGCCAGACACCAGTCCTGCCAGAATCTTGAACTGGGACCTCCCAGCTTCCAGAATTATGACGAATTTCTGTTCTTTATAAATTATCCAGTCTCGGGTATTTTGTTATAGCAGCATAAATCAACTAAGACAGACTCTATGTGAATAAGAAGTGAAATTCTATCATGACTGAGCCACGATACTTTTGTTGATGATAGTAGTCGGCATTACTTCATCTAAAACATTATAATGAGTGGTTTCCTGATGTGGCAGCACATCACACAGAAAACCTTCTTAAAATTCTTCAAACATCTTCTCATCTCCTTCCCAACCACTCCATCTCTATTCCCTCCTAAGAGTCTGCTTCCCACTCATGGATGTGCCTGCAACCACAATTCTTTGAGAAATATAATCCCACTCTTATTCTGACCCCTTTTCTTCTGAGAGGCTGCCATTATCTTTACCCTGAAATGTGGGTAAATTTTAAAGCCTTCATCTGAACACAGAAAGTTTGCTTTAATAGGTTAAACATGTTCTCCAACAATTTTCTCTAGACTCAATAAAAGTAAACTTCATCCTATTCCAGGCTAACTGAACAGATGATTTTTTGAAATTCCAAAGTAATCTAATATAATTAAAATAATGTGGTATTGTTGTACAATGATTATTACAAAAGCATTATTTGTTCATCAGGGTAAGAGAGACTCTGCCATAGGAGACAGCCAGTCCCCCTCAAATCTCAGTGATGTGACCCAGCTGTATGCACACAGTCTGTTTCAGGTCCCAGAGACTCTAGGGCACTTGTACTCCATGGGGTAGCTCAGAGATCCAGGCTGCTTTGGCCTTGGGGCACCATCATGTCAACATGTACTTCCACAGCAGAGGGAGAAAACACTGTAGGCTTTCACACAAGCTGGGCCATTCAATGCTCTGGCCCATATGCAAGTTGCCACCTCAGATCACAGCTCATTGCCCAGAGCAAGCCACGTGGTTCCTCCAAACTTAAGAGGGGCCAGGGAAATGTCATCCTTCCATATGCCCAGAAGGGACTGAGAGCTGGATTTGGGCGATCAAGATGCACTAGAAGACTCTAGCTTTGACATCTTTTATTTTTGTTTCTTAATATTTATACCTTAAACTTCTGGGAAGTCTAAATTTTTCTCAAAAATAATCTTGTGTTTGAAACTGTTTTTTTTTTTTTTTTTTTTTTGCTAAGTGATTTGGACTTTTTCTTTCTAGCCCCAGCTAATTAGAATGAATGTAATGTAAGGAAACATGTTCCTTTAATATAAACAAGAGCAAAGGAAATTAGAACCCTAAGAGAGGACCGCTCCTTCTCTCAGGAGACACACTCCACTGGGCAGGCCTGGAGGCCAGTGCAGGTGGGAGAGGGTCAGGAGAGGAGGTGCTTCCAGCATTGTGTTCCCCACCCCTCCTCTTTCCAAGTCACAGAGCTTTCTACCACGATAAAAATACCTAGAGCCTCCGTCATTTTAGCAAGATTTAATTAAACTGCCCTAAATTAGAAAATCTAGTCATTGTTTGCATTCCTAGATGCCTATGTTTAGTTGAGTCACACGTAAGCAGAGAAATGAAAAATTAGCTTAATTTTTTGGCTGCAGGGAAGGGTGTGAATTAGCTTTTTGTCACTCGTGGGGAACATCTTGTGTCTTCCCTCAGCTGGGTTTCTCTGATGGGATTGCTTCTTCCCACCCTCCCGAAGGTCTCTAAGGACAAGCTGCAGCTTGGCTTTGTCCTGGGGGAATCCTCCAGAGCCCACAGACAGACCAGCCAGATGGCAGAATCCAGGGGACTCCTCCTGAGAACAGCTGTGACCCTTCCAGGCTTCTGAGTAACTGACAGCTGCTCCCAGGTGGGCCTAGAATGGAAAGGGGGGCTTCTCACATGTGGGCTCAGAGCAGAGCTGAGTGCTGGGGAGGTGTTCAGGAACCTCTTGTCTTGAAAAAATGACTCAGGGAAACTTCCAGAATCCCAGGGGTGGGGGAGTGGAAGGCTGTAGAGAAGCAGTGAATGCAATGTTTAAGAACATAGTTTTGGCCGGGTGCGGTGGCTCATGCCTGTAATCCCAGAACTTTGGGAGGCCGAGGTGGGTGGATCACGAGGTCAGGAGTTTGAGACCAGCCTGGCCAGCATGGTGAAACCCCATCTCTACTAAAAATACAAAAAATTAGCTAGGAGTGTTGGCGCCCACCTGTAATCCCAGGTACTCAGGAGGCTGAGGCAGGAGAATTGCTTGAACCTGGGAGGCGGAGGTTGCAGTGAGCCAAGATTGTGCCACTGCACTCCAGCCTGGGTGACAGAGCGAGACTCTGTCTCAAAAAATAAATAAATAAATAAACAAACAAACAAACAGTTTCTGGAGCCACCCTGTTTTGCCTTGAATCCTGGCTCTATCATTGGTGAGTTCTGTAACTGTGAACACGGTACTCAACCTTTCTGTGCCTGTTTCCCCCTCAGATCATCCTAGCACATGCCCCACCATGTTGTTGTGATGATTAACCTAGTTACTAGACGTTAATCCTTATAACAGTGCCTGGCTTACAGTAAGTGCCCAATAAATGCTAGCTTTTGTTATTATTACAAAGAGGCCGTCCCAGCCAAGCACCTGCCTATCTCTGGGAACTTCCACCTGCTTTCCTGTGGCAGCCCCCCAGGCATTCTCCTTCCAGAACGCCTCGCTGTTCAAGTAGTGGAGAGTTTTTAATTTAATTTAATTAATTAATTTTTTTAGAGACAGGGTCTCACTCTGTTGCCCAGGCTGGAGTGCAGTGGTGTAATTGTAGCTCACTGCAGCCTTGAACTCCTGGGCTTAAGCAATCCTCCTGCCTCAGGTTCTCCAGTAGCTGGTACTAAAGGTGTGTACCACCATCCCCAGCTAATTAAAAAAATTTTTTTGTAGAAATGGGATCTCATTATATTGCCCAGGCTGGTCTTAAATTCCTGGTCTCAAGTGATTTTCCGACCCTGGCCTCCCAAAGTGCTGAGATTACAGGCATGAGCCACTGTGTCCAGTTCTGATTTTATTTTGGTCCAGAAAACTGATCACTTTGATGGACCAATCTGCAGGCAATGCCTGATCTGTGGGTAGGGAGAGCTACAAGCAGCGTGGTATCTCAGAAGCTATCCAGGATTTGAGTCCAGCAACAAAGCTGTCATGGGGAATAGCCTAGAGCTGGAGAATCTTTCAGAAAACCCAGAGCCAACTCAGGCCCTGGAAGTAACCATGGAAACAGGAGCCCACAGAGGCATCCAGGGTGTGGGATAGGTACGTGGGTGGATGGATGGATGGATCGATGGGCAGCGGATGGGTAGGTGGGTGGGCAGGTGTCACTTTCACAGCAGAAGGGCGAGGGCTGGGGCAGCAGCTGTGAGCACCTCTGAACTGAGGGAGGTTTGGGAGCTTGGAATGTGTCCTAGGGTAGACAGCTGGGCATGATAAAGACAAACAGACCAGGACAGAAAGGGATCTTACCCTGAGAGATTTCTCACAACTTCCCAGCCTAGGGAAGGAGTAGAGGTCAAGGGAGGAGGAGCGGGGTGGGTTTTTGGAGCAGGGTCCTTGAGCTTCCACTCCATATCTAGGTGAATTCTGCCCCATCTAGACTCTTACATGTTATAGCTCCCCCTGCCCTCTCCCTCCCATCTATACCAGCCAGGCTTTTCCAAGCCCTCTGTGCTCCACTCTGCCACAACCTGCAGACAAAGACATGCAGTCAGTGCATTTAGAGCAGTAGCTTCCAAGCACCTCCCACCACCCTTGGTGCCTGCATGGTGTTGTGTGCAGCACTGTGCTGGGACTGCAGCATCCTGCCACCAACGGCATGTATGTCCTGGCTCTGTAGCTTCCAAGTCTGGCTTCTGGCCCCAGGAGTCTGTGATCTGGCTAGGTACGGTGGCTCACGCCTGAAATCCCAGCACTTTGGGGGGCCGAAGCAGGAGGATCACTTGAGGCCAGGAGTTCGAGACCAGCCTGGCCAACATGGTGAAACCCCGTCTCTACGAAAAATAAAAAAATTAGCTGGGCGTGGTGGTGGGCACATATAATCCCACCTACTTGGGAAGCTGAGGCAGGATAATCGCTTGAACCCAGGAGGTAGAGGTTGGAATGAGCTGAGAGCACCCCACTGCACTCTAGTGTGGGCAACAGAGCGAGACTCCATCTCAAAAAAAAAAAGAGTCTGTGATCTACCTAAAATCCCTCACTACATTCTTCTGCCCAAACCCCTCCAGCTTCAGTGGGAACGTGGAATGGCACCCTTCTAAAATGCAGTGCGGATAAGTTCACAGTGGAAGACTTTATTCTGAGAAAAGGAAAACAAAGTCCTATTGAAGACTAAGAGAACATTTCTCAGTGCCAACCAGGACTCCTAGAGAGCCTGGGCATCCTGGGCTGCATCCTGGACCTGGAGTGAGGTCCTTCCAGCCAAGGATAGCAATGAGGACTTTCCTGTGCCCCCTGTCTCCACCTTGGGAGAAATGGATGCAGGATGTCTACCAGCTTCTGCTCATCCATCAGCAGCAGAGAATGCCAGGGACCCCAGTTTCTATGATCTGCTTCTTCCTATAATCTCGACACCCTGTGGTTTTATATGATTGAGTTCTGGCCAGGGGCTGTGCAGAGGTGAAGTCTGCCACTTTCAGACCTGGCCTCGAAAGCATCTTTGTGTCATTGTCCATGCTCTGTCTCTTCCCTTATCGCTCAACTTAATACAGAGGATGCCGGGAAAGGATTCTGGGGCCCTGGGAGCTGGCAGAGATCTAGATGGAAGGATACTGATCTTGGAATCACCATGTGGGGAAGACGCTTTCCAAACACCCAACTGGACCATAACACAAGCAAGAAATCATTGTTTTCTAGTTGCCCTCCCCCTTGTCCGAGGTTCTACTTTCTTTGGTCTCATTTACCTGAAGTCTGAAAGTATTTGATGAAAAATTGTGGAAATAATTAATAAATGTTAAATTGTGTGCTTTTCTGAGTAGCATGGTGAAATCTCTTGCTGTCCCATCCAGGACAGCAATCCTCCCTTTGTCTGGCGAATCCATGCTACAGGTGCTCCCCACCCCTTAGTCACTTAGCAGCCACACTGGTTATCAGATCAACTGCCTCAGGGCCACAGTGATGTCCAAGTCACCCTTTTTGTAATAATGGCCCTAAAGCACAAGAGTGGTGACATTGACATATTGTTATAATTGTTCTATTCTATTATTAGTTATTGTTCATCTCTTACTGTGTCTAATTTATGAATTAAACTTTATCATAGGTATGTGTGTATAGAAAAAAATTTCTAGGATTGGTACTATCTGTAGTTTCAGGCACCCACTGGGGGACTTGGAATGTATCCCCTGCAGATAAGGGGGGAATGCTGTATTATGTTAAGTCCCTGGGATTTGGGGGTTGTTTGTTACAGCAATTAGCCTACCCTAATTGGTCCTGCACCTACTTGAGACAGTTAAGAGGGCAGATTTGGATACCACAGAGACATGTTTGAGTCTAAACACCCCACTTAATGGGCATCATTAAATGAGGTAATAATAGTACCCAAGTGAGGGCAAGAGGCAAGCAGAGAGCTTGGCACAGGGCCGACGCATCACAAGCACTCAGCAATTGGCACTCGTCATGGCTAACATTTTCAGCACTTGCTATGTGTCAGGCCTTGGTATATAGCTCTTTAATGCATCTTTTAATTCTCACAGTAATCTTATGAGTGTGGGACTCTCATAGGTTTCAAGATGAGGAAAATGAGGCATAGAGAGAGTAAATGTTTCACCCAAGGATTCATGGCTAAGGGCAGGACTGGGACAGCTAGCTTCATGGTGCGGGGCTGGCTCTTCATTTTCTCTGCCATCTTCATCTTCCGTAGTCACCTGTTGTGGTGGGTGGTAGTTGAGGCTCCTCCACTCCCTGAACGCACCGGAGGGCCTCAGGGTGAATTGTTCTGATCTGGGCATTCCACTGGTCCCAGAAGGTAGGGCCAGTGAGAGGGGATGGGGGCTTCAGTTCAGCTGTCAGCCTCCCACAGAAAGTTCAGGAGAGGAGAGACAGCTGACTGCATAGGATATGCCTGAGGCCAAGGGAGAGGGAGCTTCTGGGTCCCTGGGCCTCAACTTCTGCACAGTGGTCTTCAGGAGGACCTAGGGTAGAGGGGAAAGATGGCCAGACCCCTGAGGCTGAGAGGGGCCCTGGAGGGAGGTGGTTGCCCCTACCCTTGCAGCCATGTTGTCCTCTTGTTCATTTCCTTTGTGGTGACTCTAAGTTTAAATTTAATCAAACTTCTCTTAATTATTCCAACCTTGGGCCAGGTGCAGTGGCTCATGCTTATAATCCCAGCACTTTGGGAGGCTGAGGTAGGTGGATCACTTTTAAGGTCAGGAGTTTGAGACCAGCCTGGCTAACATGGTGAAACCTTGTCTCTACTAAAAATACAAAAATTAGCCAGGTGTGGTGTCAGGTGCCTATAGTCCCAGCTACTCAGGAGGCTGAGGTGGGAGAATTGCTTGAACCCGGGAGGTGGAGGTTGCAGTGAGCCAAGATCGCACCACTGCACTACAGCCTGGGTGACAGAGGAAGACTCTGTCTCAAAAATAAATAAATAAATAAAAAATTAATTATTCCAGTCTTGTCTCAGGATGTCCTGAGGAATTCAGTGGAGGGCCCCCAAGGGAGCAGTGCCTAGTGGGGCTGGTGAAGAGCCCTCCAAGGATAAGGAACTTGGAGCAGGAGGCATCAGAGGAGGGAACTTGAGGGCTCCAACCCCACAGGTGTGGGCCCTGTGCAGGCCAGACTGGAGGATCTGGGCCCCTTTTCATTAAAGGACTCTTAGAGAAGCTCTTCAGACACAACCACACCCTTCTCTGCCTCATCGCTGGCCTCCAGGGAGCACACAGGGATGGAAGGGCTGTAGTCAAATGGGGGAGTGGCCTCTGCAGATAAAGCCAAATGGCCCAGGCAAGGACTCACCTATAAAACAAATTCAGTCCAGCATCCAGGAACAATGCAAAAGCCATATAAACATTTACTGTTGCCTCCTGAGAAAACACTTCATGAGGAATTGCATTTGTAACGTGCAGCAAAACTTCTAAAATCCTTTGTTCTCCAATTTTCCTCTCAATCTCTCCCCTCCCCCCACTCCAACTTCACTGGGGCCTAGACCTGGCTTCCCTCATTCCAGGGTCTCGCTCTCCTGCCTCCCTCATCTCCAGGCCTGCCTCCATCCCCAGCAACGCCCCTGCGCCCTTGCTACTGTAAAGCCACCCAGACAGGCTGGCTAGCTCCCTTGTCCTCCGTCCCCATTTCCACCATCAACATCAAAACGGCTCAAGAGGGGATCCTCTTCCAAGGAGGAGGAGAAACTGTGACAGATCCTAATCTCAAATTGTTTCCAAGGTAAAGAATTCTGGGAGGAGCAGGCACAGGAAACCGTCTGGGAGTCTGGCATGGAGGGAGGCGACGACAAAGGCACTCAGCCCTCACAGTGCTCCCACCGCAGGCAGGCCCTGCCCTAAGACCTGGGGCAGTGGGTGGGTGTCTGCCAAACCGAGTGAGACGCAGACCCCATCCCTGATACTGACCGCCGGGTGCAGACTCATGGACACACAGCTCTCGATCCGCACCCCCAAAGTCAGGCTGCTCAGGGGCTCAACCTTGGCTCCACCCTGGAATCATTTAGGAGCTTAAGAAATGCCGATTTGCCCTCACCAGAGACTCTGATCTAATTGGCCTGGTGTGAGGCCCAAGGCATCTAGGAGGATTGGCTAAATTAAAATCTCCCCAGGTGATTCGAATATGCAGCTAGGACTGAGATCTACTAAGCTGATCAGTTGCTCAGGAGAGCACCCCAGAGCCTGGGGGCTCCAGACCACAGCTCCAAGCACAGTGACTCCCTCCCCATCCAGTTCCCTTCTTGATGCATCAGGAGGAAGGAGTTGGGGCCAAGACTCTGGCAGGCACAGAATAACTTAACATAGCAGCTGGGGCCTCATTCATTCGTCATCCAATCCTGTATTCAATAACTATTTAATATACGTGTCGTGAAGGCACAAGAGAAACTGACCAAAGGCTCCAGTTTAGACTGGGGAGTCAGGCCTCTCTGAGGAGGTGATATTTAAATCACCTGAGTGGCAAGAAGGGGCCTGCCCCGTGAACCGCCATGCCAAGCAGGGAGTGTGGTAGTGCAGAGGCCCTGCACAGGGAGCAAAGCGGGCATGCGGCTGGAGCACAGCTGGTGGAGAAGAGAGCAGTGAGCCGAAGTTTGGGAGGTGGGCAGAGTGTATCATAGGGGGTCTTGGAGCTGTGGTTAGGAGATGGTTTTCATTCTCAGTGCAATGGGAAGTCCCTGGAAGGCTTTCAGGAGGGAATGACATGACCTCGTTTGTGTTTTTAAAAGACATTCTGGCTGCTGTGGGGAGGATGGCTGGTGGGGAGCAGGATGGACACAGGTGAACTGTCCAGTCCTTCAGGGCGGAAAGCACCTCTGTGCTGAAACACCAGGGGGAAGGTCAAGGACCCAACTGTTCCTCACAGTGGGGAATGTAGGTCAGGCAGCTCCCTCAGCCAAGCTGCCAGTGCAGCCCCCTCGCCTGTCAGGGGGAGAAAAGCTGAGTCTGAGATGTGTGGGCTCAGCTGAGAGATCATCATTGGCAGTGAAGGCAGAGATAACAGTCGGCCAGGTGCAAGGATCTGGGCCACTGACTAAGGTCTCTTCATCCCCCTTCCCAGGGTGCCTCTCCCTGCACACCTGTACCCCCTCACCATCTTCCCAGCAGGCCAGCCAGGCCAGCCCAGAGGCAGGCCTCAACCTGCGCCTGGAGCAGTGGCTGTATTTTAAGATCAGGGCTCAGACCTCTAAATAAACCATAAACAAAGCCAGCTTCCCCGGTATGGAAGGAGGGAGATGGCTCCATTTCTTTTCAGCACGATGACTGGGAAATAAACAAGTGGCTCTGCCTGTCACATACACTTAACCTCTGCAAAGGCATCTGTCAGACCCACAGAGCTTCTGTCTCAGCCTTTCCAATAAATAACTGATGTGCCCCACATTGGGCTTCTCCCTGCAGGCTCCAAGTTCACTCTGCCATTCAAGGAAAGGTGAGCAGGGGGGCTTGTCCCTGACCCCAAACTCACAGAAAGAGCTATCAAAGGGCAGGCTTAGACACAGGGCCCTAGTGTAGCTGGAAGCATGTTGGCACAGCTCTCTCAGCTGGGGAAGGGGACAAGGGGGAGGGAGAGAGGGAGGAAGGTAGGAGGTCGGGTTGTTGGCAAGAGCAGGGGCAGAGCTGAGAGGGGCAAGGAGTGGCCTCTGTTAGAGAGATGGGAGGGTGAGAGCCCCAGGGGCCCAGGCAGAGCCTGGTCTGCAGGTGGGGTGGCCGTGGGTGTGGAAGAAACAAAGAAAAACAGAAGGCAGAGGGCTCTCTCTCCATGGGTGAAATCTCCCACGACCACAGAGGATGAAGGAGAAAGAACAACAGACAGGAACAGAAGGAGGCGGGCAGATACATGAAGCAGGGGAGGGAGGAAAGCCCTGGAGGAATCAAACTCAAGTATGTGTAGAAGGAAGGACCCTCCAAATGCAGCAGAAAAAGGTGATTTATGCACTGAGCTAAACCAGAATAGCCAGGAGCCAAGGCCAAGGGAATGGGAGCGGCTGGGAATGGCGACATGTGGCAGAAGCCACAGAAGGGGGCTGTGAGCTCTGGAGGGGCCGGAAGGCAGGCAGCTCGTAGTGAAAGGATAGGGGTGAGAGCTAGGGAGAGCCACAGGGCCCATGAAGGCTGTCCCGTAGGTGCTGCTGCTCAGGCCCCTGCAGCAGAGACACCTTGCAGCCACCATCACCCCGCCGAAGGTGTGGAAGGGGGGATTGGAAAAGGGTGAAAGAGGCACTGACACAGGGATTATAAATGCACTGAAGCACACACCCCCTCAGCAAGGGTGGCACTCTCTCCACAGCACCCCCATGGGGATGAAGGAGATCCAGGGGCTCCCAGACTGCAGCCAGGTGTGTGGGAGCCACAGACCTCCAATGATGGACCCAGCAGACCTAGATAGAGGCTGCTGTCCACACACAGACCCTGAAAGAAAGGGAGATGAAGACAAGGATAACCAAGATCAGATTTTTCTCCGTCTCTCCCTCTCAGACACACACACACACACACACACACAAACACACTGGGAAATAAAGGGTGGCTTGTGTGTGTTTGAGGGTAGGGCAGAATGGAGGACTGGATTCCTCTTTTAGGGACCTGAAGAAAAGTTTCCCAAAGCCTGGGGAAAGGTCATACACAAGAAAGAGGAAGTGTGTGTGGCCCTCACTACCCTACTATCCCTCTCCCATGTGGCTGCCTCTGTGGAATCCACCACATTTGCAGAGGCCTGCAGGGGCATGGGTGTGAAGCCCTCTCAGCAGGAAACACACCTGCATTCACACCCACACACATGTCCAGAAGCCAGTGGGTCACAGGGATGGGTCAGACTTGGATGCAGGAGCCCCCATTCGAAGCCAGATTAACGGTCCTCTACAGGTCCTCCAAGGAGGCCCCAAGCCCTCCAGAGCTACACAGAGCACCTTTTCAGCTGGGACGGCATTGCCAGGATTGCGTAAAGAAAGAATGTACTTCCCACTGTGGCAGTGGTGGTTGCACCATGAATCCAGAGCCACCCTGCAAGGGCATTCCCAGGACTTCTGACCGAGACATGTAGACGCTAGCTCCCTGCTAAGCTCACACAACCACGGTGCTCCAGTCTTTGCAAGTGGACACCACAGAGAAACACCAAAGGGAGGGGGCTCCCCAGGGACTGGGTCCATTTCTCAGCTCAGCCCAGTAGGCAGGGCCTTAAGGACAATCCCAGCAGACCAAGAGCTCAGATCTGGGCCACGAGTCTTCTTAGGAATAGGGACACAGATCCTGAGCACATCTACCAGTCCCCACTCCAGCTTGAACCCCCCAGTCCCCACTGTCGGCAAGCACACCGCTCTCAACATATTCCACACACATGAGCCCGTCACAGTCCCAAGAGTACTACACTGTACACAGCACATGTACACACAGCACACGGTTCCCCATGCCACACACTGCGCTGACACACGTCCCAGGTCCCCCCTGTGCCGACGCATCTTCCCATCCGACAGAGGACCCATTTTAATGAACGCGGTACACACAGACACTGAAAAGTCCTGCTGTCCTCAGCCTACATACACACACAGCGCCCTGCAGTCCCGCACAGCCAGCACACCACACCGGCCTGGACACAAACTGTGCCCACACAGAGCTCCCGACCAGAACTCAGCGACTCCCGCCCCCGCCGTGCGGCCTGCGCTCCCGCCCCCCGCGTACTAAGCCGATCTCCACCTTGGACTTCCCGGCCCCCTCTTTTCCCCTCCAGCTCCTGTTCCCCAACAACCCCACCCCCGGGCTTCGGGAAACTTTTCTTCAGGTCCCTAAAAGGGGACACCTGGAGTTCCTCCGGTCCCGCCCTGTCCCCGGACACGCGCAAGCCGCCCTTTATTTCCCAGCCCAGCTCCCGCCAGACCCAGCGGGGAAAGGTCACCGTAGGCAGCCCCCTGCCTGCGCCCTGGGGGTGGTGATAATAACAGCTGTCACCGGGGGATGGTCGGGGGGAAGGGAGAGGTGTCGGCCCCGCGCCGAGCCGGGGGCGCAAGGTGGTCGCGGTGACGCGCCGGGGAAGCGCAGAGAAGCAGCGGCGGCGGCGGCTGCGCCTTCCGAGCCCGGGCGGCGGCCGAGGCACGCGGAGCTGTCCGTTCAGCACCACCGCGCCGCGCCCCGCGCAGGGCGGGCGCCCCGTCACACCCGCTCTGCTCCCGCCCCGGCTCACGGGGCGAATGCGGCGCGGGTTCCTGCCTCTCTGGGTGGGTGAGGGGCGCGCGGATCCGGAGAGGGGGCTCCGGGAGCGGCGGGACCACGCAGCCACCTGTGAGCCTTCGGCAGCTGCGGGCGGCGGCGGCGTACCCGGCCCGAGACGGGAGGAGACGCTCGGCGGCCCCCGCCCGCCGGCCCGCCGGGCGCACACACTCGCACCCGCGCACGCACCGCCAGCAGGCAGCGGCCACCGCCGCGATGCTCGCCCGCGGGTTGGGGAAGTTTCCCGCCGGCCTCGGCCGCGGGCACCCGTGCTCCCAGGTAAGCGCTTCCAGAACGCGCAGGGCGAGCCCGGGCAGCCCCGCTGGGTGAGGCGCAGCGCACGCGGCCCCGGGGCATAGCGCCAGGCCGGCAGGGAGACCTGGGCCGGGGACGCGGGGGCTGCAGGCGTGGGATCTGGACCCAGGGGAGGCCGGGCCGCCCCCCTCATTCCCGCGGCCCGGGTTTCCAGACTCCAGCGCATCCCCCCCACCCCACCAAAGCTACGCGCCCCCCGTGTCGGCCCGGCCCTGCCCGTGCGTATCTCAGCTCCGGTCCCGCCTGTCTGCGGCGAGCGGGCGGGGGCGTCTCCCGGGCCTGCCCATGGACAAGGTCAGCATGCAGCCCCCTGGGCGCTCAGAGCCGCGGGGACGCGACCCCGCACGCGCAAAGCGCCCACCGAGACCCCTGGGGTGGAGCTGTGCTAATAGAAACATACCCACCCCCAGCCTTTCCTGGGAGGGGATCAGACCCCTCAAACTCTTGCCCCAGCCCAGCCCTTCAGCACCCAAGACCCACCAGGAGGCCTGGGCCCGCCAGTAATGGGTAGGGAGAGGGGGCCCCGCCAGGGCGCACGGCGCTCTCGCCGACGCTGTTCCCTCCGCTTCCAGGTGTAGCGCCCCCGCGCGGCGCGGGCGGCCGGCGCCTCCAGCATGACCGGCCAGAGCCTGTGGGACGTGTCGGAGGCTAACGTCGAGGACGGGGAGATCCGCATCAATGTGGGCGGCTTCAAGAGGAGGCTGCGCTCGCACACGCTGCTGCGCTTCCCCGAGACGCGCCTGGGCCGCTTGCTGCTCTGCCACTCGCGCGAGGCCATTCTGGAGCTCTGCGATGACTACGACGACGTCCAGCGGGAGTTCTACTTCGACCGCAACCCTGAGCTCTTCCCCTACGTGCTGCATTTCTATCACACCGGCAAGCTTCACGTCATGGCTGAGCTATGTGTCTTCTCCTTCAGCCAGGAGATCGAGTACTGGGGCATCAACGAGTTCTTCATTGACTCCTGCTGCAGCTACAGCTACCATGGCCGCAAAGTAGAGCCCGAGCAGGAGAAGTGGGACGAGCAGAGTGACCAGGAGAGCACCACGTCTTCCTTCGATGAGATCCTTGCCTTCTACAACGACGCCTCCAAGTTCGATGGGCAGCCCCTCGGCAACTTCCGCAGGCAGCTGTGGCTGGCGCTGGACAACCCCGGCTACTCAGTGCTGAGCAGGGTCTTCAGCATCCTGTCCATCCTGGTGGTGATGGGGTCCATCATCACCATGTGCCTCAATAGCCTGCCCGATTTCCAAATCCCTGACAGCCAGGGCAACCCTGGCGAGGACCCTAGGTTCGAAATCGTGGAGCACTTTGGCATTGCCTGGTTCACATTTGAGCTGGTGGCCAGGTTTGCTGTGGCCCCTGACTTCCTCAAGTTCTTCAAGAATGCCCTAAACCTTATTGACCTCATGTCCATCGTCCCCTTTTACATCACTCTGGTGGTGAACCTGGTGGTGGAGAGCACACCTACTTTAGCCAACTTGGGCAGGGTGGCCCAGGTCCTGAGGCTGATGCGGATCTTCCGCATCTTAAAGCTGGCCAGGCACTCCACTGGCCTCCGCTCCCTGGGGGCCACTTTGAAATACAGCTACAAAGAAGTAGGGCTGCTCTTGCTCTACCTCTCCGTGGGGATTTCCATCTTCTCCGTGGTGGCCTACACCATTGAAAAGGAGGAGAACGAGGGCCTGGCCACCATCCCTGCCTGCTGGTGGTGGGCTACCGTCAGTATGACCACAGTGGGGTACGGGGATGTGGTCCCAGGGACCACGGCAGGAAAGCTGACTGCCTCTGCCTGCATCTTGGCAGGCATCCTCGTGGTGGTCCTGCCCATCACCTTGATCTTCAATAAGTTCTCCCACTTTTACCGGCGCCAAAAGCAACTTGAGAGTGCCATGCGCAGCTGTGACTTTGGAGATGGAATGAAGGAGGTCCCTTCGGTCAATTTAAGGGACTATTATGCCCATAAAGTTAAATCCCTTATGGCAAGCCTGACGAACATGAGCAGGAGCTCACCAAGTGAACTCAGTTTAAATGATTCCCTACGTTAGCCGGGAGGACTTGTCACCCTCCACCCCACATTGCTGAGCTGCCTCTTGTGCCTCTGGCACAGCCCAGGCACCTTATGGTTATGGTGTAAGGAGTATGCCCAGCCCCTGAGGGGAGAGATGCATGGGATATGCACCCAGGTTTCTTTTACAGTTTTTAGAATCGTTTTTAGAGGGTGGTGTGTCTGACACCATGCCTTTGCACCTTTCCATGAAATGACACTCACTGGTCTTTGCATCGTGGGCATAAAATGTTCACCTTTTTGCCAGATGAGTACACCCAGAATGCTAATTTTTCTGTCCATCGTGTACGCTATTCTAGTGCTTGTGGCCCAGTACTGTCTATGAGTTGTCGTGCTCCTGTTTCTGAGGTTGTCGTGTGAGTTCTGTACAAAAAGCCCCCACAAGTCGTCCAGTAGAAATGCATCTATGAGGTCAGCAAGGATATGATGAGATTTTGCTCACAGTCATGTGAAAACAAAATCTCAGCTCTTTATCCATTGCTTTCACTTAGTTTTAGTACCAAAACAAAGAGAATGCAAAGTTAAGCAGACTTGACCAATGCAAGTCTCTAAGTTGTTTTTATAAATGATCTGTAGTTCCGTGGCTTGCATGGGTGCACCAATCATCTTTAGAACGATGTACACTGATGTTCATCTCATAAATGTCACTCTTTAGAGAATGTTACTTAGTTAAACATGCAGTGAAGATCGAATTTTTTTCCCAAGAACAGATGTGTTAGGGAGAGGGGCTTCAGCTAAATAGTCCAAACCCTAGGGTGCTTAAAGCCAAGTTAGTGCAGGCTGAGCCCCTTGGTTCACAGTCAAGCCTCCTTGTTTCCTAGGGTGACTGTAGAGAAATGTATTTCCGGATGAGGTTTCTGATCTAGGCCATTTGACCAAACTTTGCTGTGTCTAAGATATTAGCATGTTTTTGAAATATTTATTTTTTAAGATGTTTAGGAGTAAGGTCGTGTTGTCTTCCTCAACTAAAAAGAAGTTTACTGTTGTATCGTCTCCCTGAGGTGAACGTTGTTGGGTTGCTAGCAAGGGCAGTAGCTTAAATACTTTTGTTGCCTACTCTGAAAGCTCATCAAATGAGAGCCCTTTTATTTCCAAGCAGAATTTAGTCAGATAATTTTGCTTCTAGGATATAGTATGTTGTATATGATGCTGTGATTGCCCTGGAGTTCCTGCCATGACATGGAAACCTGGTGGTATGGAAGCATGTACTCAAAATATAGACGTGCACGATGGTGGTGTGGCTTACCCAGGATGGAAACACTGCAGTTCTTACTTGCATTCCCACTGCCTTTCATGGGGGGTGACTGGGTAGAGGCCAGGAGAAAGGAAAGAGTTGTAAAATAAAAAACTGCTAGTTCATAAAATGTCATAAAAAATTGTAAACTTGAAAAGCTTAATGCTATTCAAAAGACCTTCAAGCTTCCAAACTTGTATTGAAGGGAGACGACTGTTTCCTCCTCCAAAATGCTCCTGCTCCTCTTGTTCGGTTAACCAGCACATAACATTGTGATGGGGAACCTGGGTTCCTCTATAAGATAATTCTTCTCCATCATCTTTAAGGTAATCTGATGGTTTTCCAGGTGGCTTTCATTATTGTTCCATCTTTGAAAAGGCAATAGAACCCAGGGGTCTGAGCATGGAGCTATCCAGGGTTTTCATCCAAAGGTTGGGCCTCTTCTTAAGAGGTCCTTTTGTGTTTCAGTTGATTGAAGATGATACTTACCTCATTGGAGGTGTGGCAAGGATCTTATCAGAAGGCTTTGTGTTCTTGTAGTTGTCATGGCTACTACAGTGTGGGTGATTTATTGAATGAATTCACTAGCCACTTGTGTCCTGGAGCCCCCAGTTCAAATCTTTCCATTGGACTGGAGGCTTGTGGGAGGCTGGGAGGTGGCTGTCTCCTAGTGTCTACATCCGTGTCTCTGAAGCATCAGGAAAAGTGAGATGACTTAGAGGCAACTGGGCACTGAATCAGAGGAGCAGAGTTATTTTTCAGAATTTGCACATGGAACACTTAGATTTGGCTGGTGCTTCCAGCCCTGGAAGGCATAACATTTACGGACTCATCCCCAGCTGCACTGAAGGCAGGTGGTGGTACAGACTTATGAGGACGGATCAGTTTGCCAAGGCTGATGGTATTGGGTCACTGAGCCTGGTATCCATGGCCGCTGACCAGGAAGCTTATGCAAAGTGGAAGCAAGGAACAAGGCAGAATAACTCAGTCACTTTCATGAAGATTTTTCTAAACAAGAAGGCTTACCACCAAAAAAGAGGTACCCTAGTGGTTACCCTTTGCAGATGTGAAAGCTGGAAAACTTGACTTTTCTTTTTGGTAATGACTTGCATTTATCTGGTGCCTTTCGTTGGAGGAATCCCAACGTGCTTTAGAGACTATCTTTTTAACATCTCTTGTACATACATATATACTTATATAAAATATTATCTTGCCCAACTGGACCTTTACTCACTTCTGAGCATGAGAATGTCCCAATAGCATTGAGTTTTTCAAGTGGTGGTTTCAGATAAGTGGGAGAAAGAACAACCCGGCTGGCTTAAACCCTGGAGCTAATTCCCACAAGGAATGTAGACTGAATGGTGACCCAGGGAGAAATAATCTTCCTCTCCCCTAAAGTCTCACTAAGGTTTGAAGTTTACAGGTGCTCTCCACTGGGTCTTTGATCGACCTTGCTAGATAACATCTAACCAGCAGTTTCTTTTAGTCCCTGAAGCTAACCAGGGAGAGTCAGGTTAATTTTCTGTAAAAATATGAGGTGACATCTTTGGCAACCAGGCTGTCAGACTGACCTGTAAACCTCCTTTAGGGGGACAGAGTAGAAACTGGAGATGACTTGTTTCCAGCTGTGAGCTTGAGAGAAGTGTCACTCCCAGCATTTGAAGGTTATTGTTTTCAATGCCAGTGGGCCAAATATATGGGCCAGGCTTTGATATCTGTGATGTGCATTTTGGAAGTGCTGGGTTGGGAAGTGACACGTCTGTTGCACAAATGCATATTGGTTATAGGTTTGTGTTTTCTGCCAAACCCCCACATTTCTCGGGTTTGTGAGTGAGGAAGGGCATGTTGTAATGCCAAGCTGATTTGTAGCTCGTAAGGTAGTAATTGGTATTTAACATTTGCATTTGTTATTTCTACTTATCTTAGCACTCAAATAATTGAACTACCTGCTAATTCTTGCCGCATTTCAAAGAAAATAAGTTGTTATGCACTTTGGGATAGTGGTGATCTGTACAGGCTGTGTGTTAGCTACTTGAAGGCGTAACTGGTATTTCTTGTGTGTTTTAACAGCATGACTTCTTACAGAGCTGTAATTTTTAAAATTGAGGATGCCATATTTGAGATGTCAGTTTTAACACTCATTAACACACTACTGTGCAAGCATTGACACAGGCTGCACTGAACCATTATGTCTGATTGCTGCACTTTCATCTCTGTGCCTCGATTCGGGAATGGGCAGTAATACTGACACACTCGGGACTCCAGCCTCAAAAAGTGTGCAGATTAAATAGACAAAAATTATTTGCATCTCTTGGAGGCATTTCAATTACATATGCAGTAGCAAACAAGGAGGGCATTCAAAGTTGGGGACCAGATTTCCTGAGAAAGCCTGGGTGTTTTTTTTGTTTGTTTGTTTGTTTGTTTTTGCAATTTGGGGAAGGAGAAGCTGTTGTTTATTCTTGGTAAAGGCGGAGTCCTAGTTTTCTAGGATCTCGAACCACTAGCCTCCTTGGTAGAAGGAATGGTCCTGTATTCTTGTAACTCTTGTGAAACAGACACCCCTGCAGGATTTTCCTCCTGCATGCTTTCCTGCTCAGCACCTCTGTCAGCCTGCCCTGCCAGCCCCAACCTGTCCCAAAGTACCACTCTCCCTGCTGCCGAAGTAGGCTCCCTAATAGTAAATTGGGGAACCCTGAGTGTCCTGGCTGGTTGGGCATGAATACTGCTGGGGGATACATAGAGACACTTCTTGGCATTACTTAAAATAGACTGAGTATGGGCCGGTCCAAAGGCCATGGTGAATCGGTAGGAAGGCCACTGGGCTGACTTGGTTCTGCTGGGTTTTGCCTCCAGCTCTGTGATTGTAGGCACATCCTGTGGCCTCTCCAAGCCTCACCTTCCACTGCTGCAAAATGAGAAGGTTGGATTAGATAATCCTTAAAGCCCTCCCTACCCACTTCTTCACCTCAATATAAAAACAGAATTTCTGCATGTCTCTCTATGTCCTCATTCTAGCCATGAGCCGATCCTGATATCCCTAATTTATTTTTAAGAAGAGCAGAGAGATTGCTTACAAACAACCTTCTATTTGGTTTCATTTCCTCTTCAGCAGTCAGCTACAATAGACGACAGTTGCAGGGACAATGCAATCAGGAAAATGCTTGAGCTAGGTTCTGATCCAAGTGAATCAAGTTTTAAAATCATCAGCTTGTCTCCTTTGGGATTTCCACTATTTCCACCTATGTACACGGAATCCAGATTCCTCCTATTAACAATCATTAGGCAGAGGAAAATCAATAAGATCCCATTCGACTTCAGGGCTAACTCTTTGCTCATTTTGGTTTGTTGCCTTTGTGAAGGCTAGGAGATCCCCTACCTGTTCCCATGAGGTTATTGGGCCCCAGAAGGGGCCCTGAGGTGTATGGAGCAGATGGCTCTCCCATCCAACACTCAACTCACACTGAGCAGTGGTGGCATCTGCAGGTGGCCTCGTCTGTGTATGCAGCAAAAGGGTGTAGAAATCTGTGTTAACCTTGCCCCGCACTCGTTAAGGCTGAGGAAGGACGCACAGCACTGCTCTCCAACCTCACCACAGTCTTTGCGTTCCATCAAGTGGGGTGTAGCTCAGCTCCTCCCCTTTAGCCACCATCCCTGCAGCAAGGGTATAAATGGATATTCAGGGGGTATTTTAGGGCCAGGATGCCTTACATCTTAAAAGGAAAAACAAACACCTCCCCTTGAGGGAAGAACTTAAATGTTGCATGTACACGGTTATTATCTCCTCCTACTTTTAGGAGAAATTTAAACTAGCATTTCCACCCAAGGCCCTTACATGGCTGTTACATCCGGTCAATGGTGCAGGTCTGAAACTCTGCAACATTTTCCTCCTTCTGGGACCTCACTTGTCAATAGCACCATCCTCCTGGGTAAATTCTCCCAAGCAAATGACTGCATCTGCAGCTGGCAGCTGATGCATTCAGAACAGAGATGCAAACAAGGCCTCAGAGACCCGTGGAGGGGAAACAGAGGGAGGGGAAAGAGATACAAGAGAAGGGGAGAAGAAGGCTGGCATGCCTTGGAGTTGTGTAAGGCCCTACAGAAGGAACAGTGGATAAAAAGAAACCAGAAATCGGAGGGAAAGAGAGAAAAAAAAAGAGGGAACAGGATAGAGTGAATAAAGGAAAGGGCAGAGAAGAAAGAAGGGAAAAGAGCAGAGAGCAAAAAGAGAGGCAATGTCTAGTGACATTATTCTAGGCCTTCCATTGAGTCTATTTTATTTCCAGTTAACCTAGTGTGCTCCTAGCCCAGCAAGTCCTCCTGGGGGCAACGATCACTGGGGCTGCTCCCACTGCTCTCCACCTGGACTGGCCCCCATCCCTGCTTGCCAGAGGGCTCCACAATCTGGTAGAATAGAGAGCACAGGAGCCCCCTGGAAGCATTTTTGGATGAAGGGGGCAATGAGGACACGAGGAAAGAGGAATAACTATTTCCTTTGTGAAGACAGGACTTCTGGGCTACAAACAGAAAGAGGACTCCAGGAGCCAGCCAGACAGGGCATGGTGCTGGGAGTCAGGGCTGGCCAGGTGGAGGGAAGGGAAAAGGAAAAAACCTTTTCCTCCAGTAACAGGGACCTGCATAGGCAGAGAGAAGGAGGCTGAAGCACCAGCATGTGTGCAGAACATCGAAGTCAGTAAGTCTAGAGAAAAGCAAGGTGCAGATGGGGGGCAGAAGTAAGCCATCTGAAGAGCCTGAGCTTCATTCTTTTGTCACCAGGGTACAGATATCCTGACCAGATGAATGTTGTCAGAATATGACTCTAGCATCAGCTTGGAAGTGTGAGAGGGGACAGGTGGCTGATTTGAGGTCACGGTCACAGTATAGATCAGATACAAAGGGAGTGGGGTGGGGAGGAGGGGCAGTGCAGGTGGACGGGGAGGCGGCTCTGCAGGACTCCATCAGTGACTGGATGTGGGATGAGGGAGAGGGAGGGGAGGATGGTTTCTGGGTTTCTGGCTGGGTTGGTGGCTGGATGGATGGTGGTGCCACCTGGAGAGACAGGGAATACTCAGAGCCATGTTGCCCGAGTGCCTGGGATACACAGAGCGGGTGTGCAGTGGGCAGAGGGAGGCCTGGAGGCCAGGCAGCACCCTGAGGGAGCCTGGCATGAGAAGGGGCCCTTGGGGATGAGTGAGGCCATAGCCTTGCTTTTCTCAGCTGACTCCTTATCTGCCAACCTATTTCTCTCCCTTTCCCTGAGAAATCCTGAGGGGGTGATCTCTACTGGCGACCTTGGCTTTCCTCTCCTGTCACTTCCTTGTGTTTTCTCTGTGACCGGCCTCTGTTCCCACCACCCTTTTGGAACTGCTGTCCTGATGGTCACCAGTGCTTTCCTAATAGCCAAATTCAGTGGCCTGTCCTCAAGCTCCCCCGAATTCTTTGGCCACACAGATCAACCTCTAAGTCCTGGGAACTCCCTCCTTTGTGATTTTGAGGCGCTGTGTGCTGCAGGCTCTGCTTTTCCCTCCCATCACCCCATGGTTCTTCCTTCTCCTCTGACCCCTCCCTCTTCCATTTCTCCCACAGCTCTGTCCACAGCCACAATGTCCATAGGAGCCTGCCACACCCTTTATCCAACTGCAGCCTCAACCCACCTGCAAAGGACCCCTGTGTCTCCTGCCCGACGCCCTCACTCCCGAGCCCCACACCCACATCACCCATGTGCATTGGCATTCACCCTCTCTAAAATGGAATTTCCCACTTCACTCCAAACTTGCTCTTCCTTCTGACTTCTTCCTCATTTCTATCAATGGAACCACAGTGTTCTTGGCCCTTCAGGTTGAAATTTCGGTCATCTTTGAATCCTCCCAATGTATGTATCCCTTTACTCACAATATTGATTATTTACTGGCAGCTGAGTAATTGCCAAGTACCATGTTAGATGCAAGGGAAATAAATCCAAAGGGCATTGCGCACAGTCATAAGCAGTGTAGACTTGAGAGACACTTTACTGTGCAGCAGAATCCTCTGGGGAGCTCTTCACAATGTAGATTTCTGGGCATCACCCATCTACAAATTCAGACTCTTGAGGTGAAACCAGGAATCTGCAGTTAAAGGCTCCCAGGTGACTTGGGTTCAGGTGGCTTTCAGACCACTCATGGGGAAACACTACTTCAGGGGTGCCCCTTGCAGTAGTGCCTCTGTCTCCTCACCTGCACCCACCGGACCAGGTGTCACCCACACTTTCCTCGGTATCTTGCACATCGGTCCTCTTGTATCCATCCTAAGGCTCTCACCCCGCTTCTGTCCGTGTTAACTCATGTTCATTCCCAACAGACTCATCCCTAGGCTCTCCCCCAACAACCCATCCTTTTCTGCAACCCCTCCACTCCCCTCACACACAGGCTAATCTTTCTCTTTCCAGTGTCTTAGACTTACTAGTGACTTCTTGGCCACCGTTGGTGCTCCTGTTGAATATAACCGCAGATGCCAAGGGCCACAGCCGAGGAAGTGGAAAATCTGCACGGGCCCAGTAAGGCTCTATCTAAAAGACAGAAAAGGATTTAGGAAGGAGTTGCCTTTCAACCAGCAACCAGGCACAGGCAGAAGAGACATTAGAGCTTTGTAACAAGGGACACACAGAGTTGGCAGCACAAAGGGCCTGGGCCTCTGAAGGTTGGATGACCAGGCTCATCATCCATCCAGGGATGACCGAGCCTGTGCCCTAGACTATTGGCCTCCCACAGCAGCCAGTCCATCTGCCCAGCAGTCCCTGGGCACCCAGGAATGCAGCCTACACGGCATGAGCGGGCAGGCTGGGGGTATGTGTGGCAGGAACAGAATTGGGGTTCTTGGGGAGGTTTTTTTCCACTTAAAACTCTTTTTGTCGCCTACGTCTCCAGACATTTAAAGATTTCTGAGCTATTTTCAGACCTACTATGAAAAGAACTGAGGTGCCAGCAGTCAGACACCCATCGAACTGTTTCCTAAGAGGAGAACTGGCATGACTCACTTTTGATCTGTCAGCTTTGTATTGATTTTTCTGGCAAACTTTGTAGGTCTGCCCAGGGTTGACTCCACCAGGAGCGGCTACGTTGTAACCCACTGCGTCCAGAGTCAGTCATTACAAAGGCCACCATCACAGGATCGGATTCTGCATTTCTTTTTGTGGGAATGTGGGAGGAGAGGAGGGAAACCACAATCCACAAAACCAAGGGTGTCCCTGGGCTTCCCCACTGCCTGCTGAAGGGAAGCCAGGCAGCTCTCTACATGCCTGTCCTGGGCTAGGGACTGAGGGCTACTTTTGGAAAGAGGGACTGATGGGAGCTGACAGAGGCCCAGAGGCAAACCATTTCCACCCTGTCCTTTCCTCTACACTGGGAACCGGGGAGCCAGCGATTGGAGGCTCAGAAGGAGGATGGTGAGGTTTTATGCACAGTTTAAATATATTGCTATGTAATTTTCCAATTTTAAAACATGAGATCACTGATTATTCAGTAGCTTCCCCATTTTTTTACAAAGCCCTCCTGTGTGTATGTTTGTGTGTGCGTGTGTGTGTTTAAAGCCTTTTCAGTCAAACTGAGATATCCTACCGACCTTCCCATTGTTCCTGAGCCCCCATGAGAATGTGTAGATGTGTGTCAGAGCTTTAGAGCCTGCAAGGAGCTCCCGAGTCTGAGGACTCACTTGTGCTGATATTTCAGGGAAGAGCTTGATGCCTAGAAACTGGAATGTGCAGATGTTGCATATTCAGAGACTGAAGTGCTGGCCTCAGCAAACAATGCCAGGAGAAGAACCAAGAGGTGGAACCACGTCAACCAGGAGCCATTGTTTCGCTGAGGGCAAAGCCATTTGCCAGGCCCTGTGCTGGCTGCCCTAGCCCTCAGTGCCTCCCCTCAACTTTCCTGTGGGTGCCCTCAGGTGAAACGGCCCCTCAGACAGCCCCTCAGGAGCAGGTTTGACATGTCACTGAGAGATGCATATGTGTGTGTGTGCCGGTGTGCATGTGTGTATCTATGTGTGTGTATGTGGGTCTCTGTGTGAGTCTCTGTGTGTGTGTGTGTGTGTGTGTCCATTATGTCTGTGTGCCTGGATGTCTGTGTGTTTCTGTGTGGCCATATGGATGTCTATGAGTCTTGTGTGTATCTGTGTGTGCATGTGTATATGTGTCTGTGTGTGAATCTCTGTGTCCACGTGTCTGAGTGTATGCATGTGGGTGTGTCTGTGCATCTGTGTGTGTCTGTGAACATGGGGGTGGAATGGAAGGGGACAGCCTCACCCGTGGGGAGAAGGGGATGGAAACAGCTGCTCTCCAGGGCTCCTGGTAGACATCACTTCCACAGAGAGGCTTTCTCTGCACTCCTTCCAATTTAAATTCTGCTTTCTGCCAGCCAATATCTCTCCCTCGTGTTGTCTCACTGCATCCAATGCTTTTCCTTCTTAGCTGTTATTGTAATTTGTCATTTTTATTTATTGGGTGATGTCTGTCACCCCCGCTAGTCTGGAAGCTCCATGGATACAGGGATATTTTATCTCCAGTGCCCAATACAATGCCTGGCACAGAATAAATGCTGACAAATAATAAATGAAACGAGGTCAGAAGGGCCTTGTCATTGCCCTTCTGGATAAATTGCGGGTCCCTGTGGAGTCGATTTGACCTGGTACATAGCTGCATCAAGAGTCAGGAGTTTCAGGGCACCGACATCCTTAGCAAAGCCTCCCAGGCTGGAGACCTGTGACATGCTAGCCAGGCACTGCCACCAACAATGAGATTGGAAGGGACAGCTTTCCTGAGAGGCACATTTCTGAATGACATCCAGAACTGAGGAAAGCTTGCCAGATATTCCCCTCAGGTAATGACTAATGCACGAACCAGTTCCCAGGTGAATAATGTCAAAAGGAATCACTATATAGGCCCCCAATCCCTCTGAGGCAGGGTTCAGTGGAAATCACACACTATTAGGCATCAGAGCAGTGGTCAACACATGCGCACACAGTTGGGTCGGCAGGTATTACTTTATACTAGTTAGAGGGATAGGCTTAACATTAATTAATGTCTCATTGCTGATCCTCTAGCAAAATCTAAACCCCAAACCCAAACCTGAGCCCTTCATTTAAATGTATCCTCTGTGGCCAGCTCAGCACAATGAAGTCTGCATACCGATTCAGCCCTGTGGTTCACTGGCTGGATCTCAAATGAAGCTGGCAGCGCATGTGCTGGTGTGGGAAGAAGAGCTTGCAGTGTGCATTTGTCATCTGCCATGCACTAGCAGTGAGATATTGGGCACAACACGGCACCTCTCTAGCCTTCAGGGAAGAGGTGACGCCTGAGCTAGGACTTGCAGGGAGAGGAGGGATATCAGAGGGAGGATGTGCGTACTGATTCCTGGGGGCAGGACCAGGGATAGCTGCTGCCAGCATCAAATCTGCTCCAGCGGGCCAGTCTAGCCCCAAAGGGATAAAGGAGTTGAGGGTAGGCTGCTCCTGGGGCCCTCCTGAGAGGCACAGACGGACAAAAGGTTGGGGACTGGGAGATGGCAGGAATCCAGACCGAGAGTGTGACCAGAGGCCCTGAGAGCCCCGGACACAGGCAGGGCCTTTCAGCTCCAGCTCCAGCTCCTGGGCTGGCAGTCTTAAGGCAAATTTCTCCCATTTCCATTTTTTAAAAATTTATTTTCTAAATTTTAATTGTGATAAAATAGCAGAAAATTTACTATTTTAAGTGTCTAGTTTGTTGGCATTAAGTACATTCGCATTATTGTGCAACCATCACCACCATCCAATTCCAGAACCCTTTTCATCTTGCAAAACAAAAACTCTGTGCCCAGTAAACAATAGTTCCTCATTCCCCAATCCCCTGTCCCTGGTTCAGTTTTCTATTCAATTTTATTACATAAGCACGTGTGTGTGTGTGTGTGTGTGTACCATTAACCAGTGGTACAGTGCAAAAAACTTACATAAATCTTCATTAAAATTCTAGGTCAGACATTTACTACTGTGAGAATTCGGTTAAGTAACATCTTTCTGAACATTTGTCTTCTCAGCTAAAATCTAAGGAGGAGGATGATGATGTTAATAGCTAACATTCACTAGGCACATGTCCGTGCATTTCCCTTTCTCAAAAACCCTATAAAATAGGTTCTAGTATAATTTTCACTGGTACATGAGGAATCGGAAGCACAGAGATGTATCCCAAGGCCACATTTAACATCTACCTTAGAGAGAAGGTCACTGTGAAGAAAGTGCCAGGTACAGAGCCCATGCTCAAAAATGAGGGTTCCCGTTGCCTTTTTCAGGAGTCCTTACCAGGTGTGGTTTATATAGTCTGTGTACGGAGCATCCTTTGTGCAGCAATGAGTCTAGAGTCATTGCATTTTAGTCTTCACCACAACACTAGAAGGTAGATATTTTAAATGTAGTTTCAAAATGTGTTAATTTGTAATTCCACGATAGTTGAAATCAAAGAAATCAAACCTTACAGGGAGAACTCAAAATTCACATGACTACCGCCCTCTAAACTCAGTCCCTGCTCCAGAGTAACTACTCTTATTGCACTAGTGTACTGTATGTCTTCCCAGACCTTTCTATGAATAGACACATCTTTATACCCGGAGAATTGAAAAATGCTTTTGCAGCTTGCTCTGTTCTGGAAACTTCTCAATATCACTCAGAGATATTTTTCCATATCAGTTCATAAAAATCAACCTCATTCTTTTTCACTGCACAGTGTGGTTGTATCAAAGTTTATTTAGCCACCTCCTTCTGATGATCAGTTACTGAGGTGGGCAATATCTTCCTTTGGGCCTGGGTACCTTTTCCAAGGCCATCTGACTGGCAAGTGGCAGAGCTGGGTTCTAGCCCCCTCGTTTCTGGCTCCAAACCCAACAGCCATCACCATTATAGTATAAATCAGCACAAACATAAAGTCTGTTTTCAAGTCAGATGGAAACTCAGTAGTTACTGACTACATTTATTTGTTCAATGCTCACTTATTTATTGAGCATCCACTATGTACTATAACCAGTGGTGGAGAATCTCCACCTTGAAGTGTCTCCCCTCTTGGCTTCCAACTCCATCTCATGCCTCCTGGCTTGTTGTCAAATTTGCTGGCCATCCCTCTTGCTCCACTGCCCCCTAAAATTTTATCTTTGTTCCCTTTTTGTTTCCTCACTTGGCACAGCTCCCGTGGGCCTTTCCATCCATGCCTCTGATTACTAAGTCTTCATTTCCAGGTCTCCCTCTCTCATTCAGCTCCAGACCCATGTTTCCAGCTGCCCCCAGGATACCTGCTCCTGCATATCCCATAGCCATCTAAAATTCAACATGTCCAATTCTGGACTCATTCTCGCATCCCTAAAACCCACTCCTATTCCAATAAACGGCATCACTGCTTTGGGGCGGCCCAAGTTGAGTCTGCAGGGCTAACTTCATCTTCTCACTCTTCTTTGTCCCACAAATTCATTTAGTGAACCAGCTCCATTGGCTCAATTTCCTAAATAGTTCTGGGATCTGCCCTCTCTTCTCTAACACCACTGCCCTATCATAATTCAAGCCCCCAGCCCCTCTCCCTGAACTAGAACAAAAGCCTTCCCCTCTCCAATTCTCCAAGCTCCCAAAGCACCTCATCCATTCCTGTTATCCCTCATCTCAGCACTCGGAACTTACAGGTCTATGTCTGGTCGAGGCATGGGCCATAGTCCAATCATCTTAATATCTCTGGTACATAATTGTTTAGACACAGTTTTCCTGAATGTTTGCTGAAGAAATGTTAGCACCAATGGCACTTCCAGAAATGCTAGATAAAACCACCAAGGTGCGTTATTTCAGGCCCTCACCTTTTACATTATGGTTTTAGGGAAAGTGTAGGAATAAGGACAGAGCAGAATGTCTGTTCCTACATCTGCATGTGTGCTGAAGCTGACTGAGCACTTCTTACTGTTAAACTCGTTCCTCAGTGTTGCGGCTTAGCAGCATTACGAATAATATCATTTCCACTATCTCTGTGTGGTAGCTGTTGGTCTGTCATTCACCCTTGATTTTTGCATTGTAATTGCACATATAACAAATGTATAAAATAAAGAACTAGAACTGGTAGCAAAAAGATATATTATTGCATTTACTGTGCTGCTTGCAAGTATGTTTTTATCTTCTCAACACCTCAACTGAGGATTGTATGTATTCTATAAAGCACTTTTTAGTACTGTGGTTGGGTCCTCACAGTGCAGGAAGTCCTGAGACTATTAAGATATCCCTCAATATTCACACAGATTTTTGTACCAACGACCACAGAATTATAGGAATAAAAATTAAACTGGCTCTTAGCTAAAGCAAAAAAAAAAAACAACAAAAAACCCAGACTCTGTTTTTCTCATTTTTGTAAAGCAGATGTGAGGCATCTGTCTGTTTTGTGTGAATTAAACGGTCTAGACATGCTTTCTAAAGAACTCCAGAGATGTGACTATTTTCATTCCATAAGACAATAGAGAAACTCATGTCTCTCCCTTTAGAAACTGGGGTATATTCTTTCAGGCCTGACAATGTAGTTGAATTCAGGAAATACAGCAGTATTTGCCACCTAAATTTTCACTTTCAATTGGATAATTATTTGTTCAAGGCCAAAATAAATGCTTCCCAAGCTTTCAGGGTATTGGCTATTGAGTAATCTAACTCAGGTTTGGGCGATAACAGGTATGATTTTGTGAATGGCAGTTTGTTTCCAGTGCATTTCTCTGCCTGTATCTATGTTCATGAGTTTGCTTGTCTTCCCAACCACCCTTCCAGCAAACACTGAATGATAGTGGCAACATAGTGATGAGCAAGATAGACACAATCTGTGTCCTCATGGAGGCCAGCAAAGGCATTTAGTAGTTAAAAATTGGGTTTCTAAGGCTTCTTAACCATAGGCTGGGCATGGTGGCTCATGCCTCTATTCCCAGCACTTTGGGAGGCCAAGATGGGCGGATCAGTTGAGGTCAGGAGTTTGAGACCAGCCTAGGCAATATGGCGAAACACTGTCTCTACTAAAAATGCAAAAATTAGCCGGGCATGGTGGCACGTGCCTGTAATCCCAGCTATTCGGGTGACTGAGGCAGGAAAATCGCTTGAACCTAGGAGGCGGAGATTGCAATGAGCCGAGATCACACCACTGCATATTTCAAATGTAGTTTTAAAGTGTGTTAATTTGTAATTCCACAATAGTTGAAGACATGCATCATAAGAAATCAAACCAGGGCGACAGAGCAAGACTATGTCTCTAAATAAATAAATAAGTAAATAAATAAATAAGATTTCTTAACCATTTGCTTAGATCCAAAATTTAAATCACGTTTATTTTACCTATGGTTCCTCCACCCATCATTTGACAAACGTTTATTCAGCATTACTTTGTCAGGGCCTGTGCTGGTGCTACAGAGATGAGGAAAACGTGGGCACAGTCCTGGCCCTCAGGCAGCTTACAGTCAGCAGAGAAGACAGAAGAGTAAGTAGATACCATAATGCAATACAGAAAGTGCGGTGACAGTGATCTATATCTGGGTATACAGAGGAGGTGTCCCTGAGCTAAGCTGAAAGGATGAGTAAGACTTGGTTGCCTCAATTTCAGGAGGGTGGGCAGGAGCTAGGCAGATGTAGGTCACTTAAAGGAATGTCAAGAGATGAGGAGAGGGAGGTGGGGCCCTGGTCAGAGAGGCTTTAATGACCCTTATCCTGCATGTGATGGAAATTCACTGCATCCTGGATTCACATGCTGGCAGATGGAGCAGGGTGAGATCGACTGAGGAGGAACAAGCCTGGCACAGAGCCCAGTTAAGGGGCTGCTGTGATATTCTGGCAGGAGACAATGAGGCCTGAAGGGTAGTGGAGGTAGAATAGAGGACACAGATTTGGGAACATCTTGGAAGACTGAACTGGCAGAGGTAGAATGGCATGGGGTGAAAGACAATGAAGATTTAAGGGGGACTCCCGGGTTTCTAGCATTAGTGATTGGATGGAAGATGGTGGCACCAACTGGGCAGAAAATACAAGGGGAATGGCGTTTGGTCATGTTGAACTTGAGGTACGTGTGGGACATTAAAAATGCAGATGTGAAGTTTTAAGGAGAAGTTTGGGTCAAAGGCAGTAATTTGGGAATCATTTGCACATGAGTTACTAAACTGAGTTTGAGCCACCAGTAAATATTAAAAACATCACAAAAGATGGGCCTGCAGGAGTTACCCCTGTGTTTACTCTGAGAATAGTGATAATTGAATATTGCTGTTGAATTCAATTTTGATGGCATGCTTCCCTATGGGTGCCATTAGAGAGACACTTCTTATCTTGGTACTAAGAATAGTTGGCTTTCTTCTGAGCAACAGAGTATACTTTTATCTTTTGTTTTCTGTAGTTCAAAAACTTTTATTTTTATGATTATAATATAGCTTAATACAATGTATTCATTTTTTAAAGCGTACAGTTCCACGGTTTTTAATATATTCAGAGTTCTGCAACCATCACATAATCAATTTTAGAACAATTTCATCACCTCCCCCAAAAATCCTGTCCCCATTATTTTATTCCTTTTTATTGCTAAATCATATTCCCCAGAATGGATATACATTTCATTTATCCATTCATCAGCTGATGGATGCGTTTAGCTAATAGACTGTCACTGTCAAATAGAAATGTCACGCAAACTACAAATGTGAGCTACATATATAATTTTATATTTTCTAGTAGCCACATTTTTTAAAAGTAAAAGAAAAACAGATGAAATTAATTTTAATAATATATTTCCACCAAACATATCCAAAATATTATTATTTCAACACATAATAAATATAAAAGATTATTGAGATATTTTACTTTTTTTGTATTTTTTTGTATTTTCACAGTAAAATATCGTATGTCATATCTTTTCTCATTTGTTCTTAATTTAGCTATTTTATTATGTTTTATGCATCCTTCTTTGTAAATTGCCTTAATTAAAAATGGAAAATGCTGATGGCCTCAAGAAGAAAACTGCTGACAAAAAGAAGATAAGCTTTTCACTCGGAGCATGCAGATAGTGAACTGATTTGAGGAACTGAATATAAACCTGTCTCCTCAGAAGCTGTTGCCAACTCTCTACCTACCTCTCTCTGCCCCTTTTTCCCCAACACCTAACCTCAGCAAGCCTCTGCAGACATCACTATTTCTAGATATTTATTAAACAGTAGAATTGAGTACAGCCGAGTGTGACCAGTATCTAAAGGCACCAGAAAATAGGCTAGCTCCAACTGGTGTTAATTTATCTGGAAAACATTCAGTGATTTGGGAAAACAAAAACAAAAACAGACCACATGATTCCATGACCTCTCCTAAACTGCAGGGCAGAGAGAGTAAGCAAGACAAACTACCCTCACTGCTTTAATTGTGTAATGAACTTTCTCAGACACCGAAAGGTATGCTAGACATTCTTTCTCATCTCTGTCTTTATATATGCTTTGCCCTCCTCAAAGTGCCTTTCTCCCTTTCCTGCCTTACATGCCTCAAGACTCAGTTCAAATATCTCATTAGTGAAGACTTCCTCTATTCCTACTCCTGCAGGGCTTTGTTTACATCTTTCTTATTGCAATGACCACACGTGGGTGTCCATGCCTGTACCAGGCTATAAGCACCAGCTCTTGGGTAGGAACAAAGCTGCCTTTATTTCTGTATTTCACACTTAGCTTAGACACTGGCACACAGTTGGTGCTTAATAGATGCTTGTTGATGAGTAAAGAAAGTGCAAGTCATGGGTACTCATGGGTGCCAGGTAGTGTTTGAAGGGTTTTCTGTGCATCTCTCATTTACTTTTCATAACCCTCTGAGGTTGTCTCTGCTTGATAAAGAAGGTAAGACTTCTGATCATTAGAGAAATGCAAATCAAAACCACTGAGATACCATCTCACATCAGGCAGAATGGCTATTACTAAAAAGTCAAAAAATAACAGATGCTGGTGAGGTTGCGGAGAAAAGGGAATGCTTATATACTGTTGGTGAGAGTGTAAATTAGTTCAACCATTGTGGAAAGAGCTAAAAATAGAACTACTATTTGACCCAGCAATCCCATTACTGGGTTTATATGCAGAGGAATATAAATCATTCTACCATAAAGACATATGCACGCAAATGTTCATTGCTGCATCACTCACAATAGCAAGGACATGGATTCAACCTAAATGCCCACCAATGACAGACTGGACAAAGAAAATACAGTATATATACACCATAGAATACCATGCAGCCATAAAAAAGAATGAGATAATGTCTTTTGTGAGGACATGGATGGAGTTGGAAGCCATTATCGTTAGCAAACAAACACAGGAACAGAAAACCAAATACCACATGTTCTTGCTTATAAGGGGGAGCTGAATGATGAGAACACATGGACACATAGAGGCGAACAACACACACTGGCGCCTACTTCAGGGTGGAGGGTGGCAAGAGGGAGAGGAACACGAAAAATAACTATTGGGTACTAGGCTTAGTACCTGAATGATGAAATAATCTGTACAACAAACCCCCATGACATATGGATTTACCTATGTAACAAACCTTCACATGTGTCCCCAAACCTAAAATAGAAGGTTAAAAAAAGAAGGTGAGACTTATAAAAAGGATTAAGGAACTCACTCATGGCCATGCAGTAAGTTAGGCAGCAGAGCTTCAAAGATACCTACCTTTGAGGACTTCCAATCTGTAAAAGATATAATCTTTCTTATATTTTTATAACAACCTCAAGAACTAAGGAAATGAATTGACTTCTAATTGGACAGAGTAAGGATAGGCCTTTTCTGTCAGAAGAAATTGTTTTCTCTCAGGCAAGTTAGAAAAGAATACCACAGACAAATATTGCATGTATTTGTATATATCGTATTGCATATATACTATATATATATATAGTATCTATATATTGCAATACTATATATAGTATCTATATATTGCAATACTATATATAGTATCTATATATTGCAATACTATATATAGTATCTGTATATTGCAATACTATATATAGTATCTATATATTGCAATACTATATATAGTATCTATATATTGCAATACATTATGTTGCATGTATTTGTATATATTTGTAAAATATATACAATATTATATATATGTTTGCTATCATTGCTGTGGATGAATGTCAGGGAACTGAGCAAGGCACCAGGATTCATTGAACAAGATTAAAAAACTAGCAACCCATTAGATTACTCTGAAATTGAAATAATTTTACATTAAGAACTTTGTATGTAACTAACCTGCACATTGTGCACATGTACCCTAAAACTTAAAGTATAATAATAATAATAATAATAATAATAATAAAGCAATATAAACTGAAAAAAAAAAAGAACTTTAAAAACATTCTGCTTGGACTTTTTTGACTGCCTGACACATTCAAATTCAAATCAAACTCCAAATCACTACTTACTTGTTAAAGCAATTAATTTACTCTCAGAATCAAAAAGCTTTGCTGAAACTTTTAAAGGTCCATTTCATTCATTCATTACTATCAGGCTGTAATATCACATATAATTTTTAAAGATGACATGCTAAGCATGCAAACTGATTTATGGTCGTCAGCTGGTGTGCTTTTAAAATAAACTCCTATATACTTTATGGAAGGACAACAGAGAAGGAATTCATGAATTTGCACACTGATTGATTAATAATGAAACAATTCCACATTTCAGATTCCTCCATGTACCTTGTTTTTCCTTGACATCAAAGACTTCTGTTCCAAGTGCTATTACGTCTTTTCATTCAAATGTTTTGCCAAGAATATTTTCTTTCCAAATGGGAAAGAAAGCTGTCATAGAATAAGTGGAAAGGCTGAAAAATGCGCAGGTGCAGGAGTGCCCTATCTAACATGGTCGGTATACACTGAACATCAGGGAATATTTAAAAGCTCAGTGCTTTAGTATCAGGTTTTATTTAGCTTCCACTCAACTAATTACAGTTCACCTTGGACATTCTATAAAAATTTAAAAGACAACTAGTTGCTTGGTTTAAACATAGGCAGGCACTGGATTTTCTACCAGAAAAATTTTGAACTGATTAATTCTTAGTGCTCTCTCATAAAATGACATAGACTCACTTTTCTGTTGAGGAAACATGGGGTATGACATAGATTTGTAATTTTTGGTTAAAATGTCATTTGTATCATGCTAAAAACTATTTTTCTTTGCTCTCATCTTTTTTTTCCTTCATATCCTTCTCTTTCTATAGAAAACATTAAGTAACTTATGAATTGAATAGTAAAAATGGAAAAATACAGAGAGGTAGATTTTTTTATAAGAAATTCTTTCTGATGTGTTGGCTGACCTGGGACTGAAAGGTGCTTGCCTGGTAAGCTTGAATCAGTTTTTGTGTTAATGTGATTTGAAAACAGGTTGTGAGGACAGGAGGTGTGAGGGCCAAAGGTACTGTGATGTTCTCTATCTTGGCTCCTTCCAGAAGAAGAAGAAGAGAAGTTATCTCAGTCTCTGGGAACCTTATATTCTAGAGTTCCCTTTCCTCCTGGATGGTAATATTCCCATACAGAAGATTCCAGCAATTGAACTACAACTCACCTTGATACATATTGCCATATTTGACACTCACAAGAACTCTGTGAGAAGATACACAGATTACACATGGTTGATCAGATGTTTTTTAGTGGAAGAACCCATGCCTCCAGATAGTTCCTTTAAAAAGGTATTTTCAGTTGTTATAAATATAGGATCAGAGAAATGTAGATATATACAGCATAGAATCCTACAAACTATTAAAACATAAATTTAATTTTGAACTTCCTGGGACCAAAGCAAATTGAGGCCAAGTCAATGACATGGTTCATATTTGTAAGGACCAAGAACGATGAAACTTCAGTGAACCAAAACTTTAAGAACATAAATTTGATATTTCCTGATGGGTCATCACAAATGGGGCAACTTATGCTGGCCTTAACAATATCCTTACAATAATCATCTTAAAGAGGAGGGGGAAAGTTTAGCATAACATAATGTTATGATTTGGATGTGTTTGTTCCTGCCAAAACTCATGTTGAAATTTAATTGCCAATGTACCAGTGGTGGGAGGAGGTGCCTTTAGGAGGTGATTAGGATGTTAAAATAGATTAATGCCTTTCTCTTGATACTGCGTTAGTTCTCCGGAAATGGATTGGTCTCTGAGTGAATGGGCTATTCTAAAGAAAGATGTCCTCTCATATTTACCCCTTTTCAAACACACTCGCTTTCCCTTTTGTTTCTCCGCCACACTGTGACACAGTATGAGGCTCTCACCAGAAGCCAACCAGATGCCAGCATCATGGTTCTTGACGTTCCCAGCCTCTAGAGTCATAAACCCAATAAAACTCTTTTCTTTAAATTACCCAGTCTCAGGTATTCAATAAATTACCCAGTCTCAACCATTATAGCAACACAAAATGGACTAAGATATACAACTTTCTTTCCTCCGTGTATAGAGAATACTTTAAAAAATTGAGCATGATAGATTCTCCTCAGTGCAAATCACCACCAGAGAGTAGGTCAGGCCCTTACGAGAAGGCCTAACTGGGTTCTAGGTGACTCTAATTCACTTTCGAAGTAACAATCAGCTTGCTTATCAAGGAACAGAGCCCCCTTCTTCATTCTTGCAAAAACATGGCACTAAACTAAAAAGAGTTAAAAGTTTGTTTTTTAATTTAGTATTTACGTGTCATATGTCAAGAACTTTGCTAAATATTGTACATGTCCTAGAACATTTGATCTTCCCAATTGCTGTATTACAGATGAAGATATTGAAACACAGAATGATTAAATGGTTATTTCTGCCCAAGACAACAAAAGTGCAAAAGAACAACTGGGATTTGAACCCAGATCATTTAATTTCTGATGCCAGGCTCCTTCCGCCATGCTGATTAATGTTTCTCTAAAGCAATCATTATCAAAGAAAGACTGATAAGAGAGAATATAATACATTATCATTTACAACAAAACATAGATTTCAAGGCACAAGAACGCCACGTATATCCTAAAATAATAAAAGAAAAAAATCTTGTACGACTCATCTTGGAAGCTTGAATGCATGCACCCTGCATCCTTTTTCTACATGTAGGAAGGATGCCATTTCAGAAAATATAGATTCCACTGAAATGTGAAAGAGGTAAAGTCATCCAACAACAGTCCTAAGTTGTAACTGAAGAGCCATCAGCAAGCAGGCTCAGCAACCCTAACATTCTAAAGCTAGACCTCCTGTTTATTAGGCTATGTGGTCTAGCGGAAATGCAAAGATTTTAGAGACAGATGGGAGTGTAAGGCCACTACTGGCATTAACTAGCTGTGTGACCTCATTTAATCTCTCTAATTCTTTCTTTTCAGTCCTCCCTTTCTTTTTCACCAAAGGGAATATGCATCTTCTTGTGGAGGTTTGAGATGGTGTATCAAAAATGCATGGGTTAGTAGATGCTCACAAAATTATTATTATTGTTGTTATGGTGATTATGTGGATGCCAAGGAGAAAGACAGCCTGTATGATTAATGACAATTTTTTTTTGTTTGAGCTCATGGCGTTCAATGAAACTTTAATACCAAATTATATCTAATATACTGGCATGCATTGTGGGGAAACAAGATGGATAAACACCAAGTCTCTGCCGTCAGGAACTTTACAACCCATAAATAAAATAATGATATAGAGAGTTTGGAAGCAGTTCAGTTTGTTGGCGGAAAGGGCTCAAATAAAACAATAATGGAGATAAGGTCATAAACGTCACTTGAGGCCTGTTGCAGGTCTTGAATGCCAGGAGACAGAGTTCATTCTCAACTTGGCAAAATTCTGTGAGCAGAAAAGCAATTAAAAAATCCTAATTTTTATTTAGGTAGCTTTATCAAGTGAAGAAAGTGGTGGCAAAGAGTCTGACTAATGATGTGGTCCAGTGTGAGAAGAGCATGAAGTAGGAATTGTTTTTCCAAGATTGGTGGAAGAATTGAGCTGGTTCTCTGCTTCCCCTCTTGGAGTCTTTCTGGGACCCCAAAAGGAAGTAGAAGGTAGTTGGCTGAGGTTGAAGGTGGTTTGTATGGAACAGGGCAAAACTGACTGACTCCCTGGAAGTCACCACTCAGTGGCATCAGACTGCCCGACCAGGGTCTGTAAAACTTCCTTGGGTCCAGGTCCCATCATGTTGCCCAAACGGCAAAGAAAAATAGTTCTCATTAGATTCCAGATTCCTAGTCTTTCAGGCCAAAAAAAAAAAAACAAAAAAAAAAACCCTGGTACTCCAAAATTGCATTTTGATGAAATATCTAATTAAATGCCTATGCCTAATAATGGTTTAGTAATGCGATATAACTCCAATTATTTTTCTTTAATGATGTTCTACTTAGAATGTTATTAGCATTTTCAGGATTTATTTTAATCATTAATCTTTAACATACAGGATAGGAAATGAAAATAGCAATCCTATTGAATGCTAATCAGTAATTTGAAAAGATTTCCTGTGACTAAGTTAAAAAACATCTTATTAATGTATTATATAATTTGTTACAGAACTGCACATCCTTCAGTGAGTAGAGCATGATTTTGAACACTGGGGAGGTGATTCAGTAAATAAGCGGAGGAAAAATATAACAGCGGTAAGTAATGTATTTAAGGTTGTTCATCAAAGTGTCTGACATATAGTAAGTGCCCCGAATAACAGGTGTTATTATTTTGAAATCCATTTGAATACACTTTCTTCTCCAATTTGTATTTGCCAAATTAGTTCATACTTTGAACATAAAACTATTTCTGCTAAAATAAGCTAAGTGTATTTTAAGTCTGTAGAAATGAGTCATCTAAGTTCATTACACCAAAGAAAAAACTTTATCATCTACAGGACAATATATACAATGATACTAGCTTTTCAGCAAGATGAAACCCTGATTCACTAGCTTCAGTTACATTCACGATACTGTATTTATTAAAGGATGAGGTGTGCAGAAAAGTACACTTACCTATTTTTGGAAAGTTCCCAGCAACCAGGTTAAAATAGGTTTCTTCTTAAACTCATTAAAATAACTAGAAAACTGTCTTTCCTAAGCATCATGATTAATCAAGGCTTAACTAGACTTGAAGATTTTTTTTTTTTTTTTTTTTTGAGACAAAGCCTTACTCTGTTGCCCAGGCTGGGGTGCAGTGGTGTGATCTCAGCTCACTGCAACCTCCGCCTTCCAGGTTCAAGCGATTCTCCTCCCTTAGCCTCCCAAGTAGCTGGGATTACAGGCGCCTGCTACCACGATCAGCTAATTTTTGTATTTTTAGTAGAGACAGGGTTTCACCATGTTGGTCAGGCTGGTCTTGAACTCTTGACCTCAAGTGATCTGCTGGCCTCAGCCTCCCAAAGTGCTGGGATTACAGGCATGAGCCACCAAGCCTGGCCTAGACTTGATTTCTTTCTTGTTTTTTTTTTTTTTTTTTTTTTTTCGAGACAGAGTCTCGCTCTGTCACCCAGGCTGGAGCGCAGTGGTGTGATCTTGGCCCACTGCAACCTTCTGCCTCCTGGGTTCAAGTGATTCTCCTGCCTCAGCCTCCTGAGTAGCTGGGATTACGGGCATGTGCCACCACGCCCAGCTAATTTTTGTATTTTCAGTAGAGATGGGGTTTCACCATATTAGTCAGGCTGGTCTCGAACTCCTGACCTTGTGATCTGCCTGCCTCGGCCTCCCAAAGTGCTGGGATTACAGGTGTGAGCCACTGCACCCAGGCAGATTTCTTTCATGGCTTGTGATTCTTCAAAACATATCTTAAATTCCTTTGACTGGTAGGGGCAAAGAGTAAGAAGATAGGAAAAATTTAAAAGTAGGTCATCCTAAAATGTTTTGGAGTTTCCTAGGGCTCTAAAATAAAACAATGCCCATTCCTCTTAATTCTCTTAAATATATGTGTGTATTTGTGTACATACACTTAAATAGACATAGATATAATAGGATATAAAGTCTAACTGCAGAAAATTGCAATGTGAGTGGAACACTTGACATATTAAAAGGAGGACTCTCGAGATTGAATTAAGAGTGGTTAACAGGCCTCGCTGAGTTAATTTGCATACATTTTCTAATTTAGCAAACTGAAGAGAAATCATCTTCATAGGTTTCTTGTCCATGTCATGTAGGTGGTTTTGCTTGGATGACAGCAAATCAGTCATTTGATTCCATCAAATCAGGCAAGATATCGAACAGGTTAGTAAAAAGAAAAATAATTAGGAAAAGAAAAAAGGGCAGGGTGTTTCAGTTGATCAACTCACACAACTGTCCCCAACAGACTCCAGTATAGATTTGCTGAAGCATATATTGTAAATTCAGTTCTTCATTTTTTAATAATCTTTGTATGTTTCATACTTATCGTTCTTTTTATAATCTTATAATTTGTATCCAATTATACAATTTATTATTATTTGTAAGGGCTCAACAGGGTAGAGACAAATGACACTTTGAGGCATTACCTAGGGTACAAATACCATTTTTAAAAAGGAATGGAAGCTTTCCAGAGACAATATACCTTCTGTGACAGACATTAGTGAACTCATCAGCTTTTCCTGTTCTCTCCCCTCCAGCTACGTGGTGATGCTACTCTTCCTGACTCCCTCGAAGTTAGGAGTGTCCATGTGACTAATTCTGAATACTGGGTTGTGGCCAACCAGACATGTATCACTACTGGCTGGAGCTAGTATGAAACTCTCCAGCTCCCCTTCTCCTTATTGTGGTGACCACAGATATCTCAGATGGTTGAGGCCCTGTCAGCAGGTCCCTGGGTGTGGATGATAGGAGCAGGGCGCCCTGCCAAACTGGGGTGGGCCTGGAGCAAGAGTGAGGAATAACCTGTATTATGTGAAGCCGCTGAAGGGTGAGGGTTGTCAGCACTGCATAATCTAGCCTGTCCTAACTAATATACGTCCCTTGCTTGGAAAATGCAGAGTCCAGGTCATGAGTTTTAACAAAGATACAGAAACGAAATATGCTGGGTGGCACAGTGAAATTTATTTGTCTTTATGATTTACACATAATAATTAAACACACAAAAGAAAAAACACTGTCAAGATGGCCATATGTAGCTTAGGAAATGACTGGTCCCAATGCAATCATATAAATGTTCATTCAGCGTAAAAATGAGTTTCTTTTTAATGGTTTTAATCTTTTTTTTTTCAGTCCCCAAGGCTTGTACCACTCAGTACAAATGTTTTTGCTACTGGGTTATCATCAGGAACATGATGTTTACCAATTCCCAGGAAATGAATAAAATCAACAGAAACATCCTGTGACAACAGAGCACATTTTCATAGAAATGAAATTGATGAGCTTATTACAGTTTGAATCAGTTCAGCTATTAGATCTACACATAAAACATGAAACAATATTAACAAATTACATTTGTATTAAGTTTTTATTTAAAAATATTTATCACACTTTTTTGTGCAAGGGTTCCATTGATTTCTTTGGTTTTAAACACGATAGATCTATTTTACCTAAATATATATAGTTCTATTTGTACCAAACATCAAAAATCAAAAAAACAAAATTTCAAAGGGTAAAAATGGAATTATTGCTTCAATATAAAAAAGGCCTAGCCCATTTGAGAACTACTGCCATTATTGCTTTCCTATTTGAAAAACTATCCTGGAAATCAAGGAATGTACCCCATAGCTCCCTGCAGAAAGTATAAATTGGTTGCACATTATCATCATATTAATATGACCCTACCTTCACCAAAGCTATCCTGATCTTGTCCTTAAAAAATGAAACAAAGCAAAATAGCATAAATAAATAAGTTTACCTAAGGGGATACAATAAATAGCCTAGTATACTAGATAGGAATAAAGAATATTGTAACATAAAGCCCTTCAGTGCTGTACAATGCAACAATAGCTTTGGATTTTCAAGGTTTAGAGACCTTGAAAATCCATTTCATAACAGTTTTATTACTGGTATGCAGCTGACAGAACAAGAGAATACACTTCTTTTGTTCTCCTCATCTTAGAGTGAATGCACAGCAGATACAACTGTCAATTCTGCCTTTTGGGAATTTACCTGGGCATGTACCATTGTCACTTTTTGACCTCTGCCTAATTGTAGGGCAAAATCTTAGGATTAAAAATATCCAAATATTCCTTCAATTCCTAGTGGTTTCTTGGTCTCCAGAATAGTTAAAAACAGAGAGGAAATTAGACTCAAAAGTTTTGCTGCCTTCTTTTCTTTGCATCCATCGCATCCAGAATGGGCTGTCTTTTCGCAGTGTATCTCTGACGAAGTTCTTCTATCTCCCGTTCCATCATGGGGTCCAGTGCTTTTAACCGCATCTGTAGTTCTTCTAAACTTAGATTTTTCAACTAGATACAGAAAGAAAGATACCAATACAATGAAATTATCCACATTATCCACAATCAATACAATGAAATTAGACTTTAATGTCTAATGAGTTTTAACATAAATATTTCAGCAAATTCTTTACATCATCTTTGAAGTATAGTTCAACAATTAAAACAGGAATTTCTTCCTTGAAGAACTCAGAGGTCATATCTTGCAAGAACCTCCAGTAATCTGCAATGAAGCAATCCGATCCTCTGCCTTTAATAAAGGGCAAATGAGAAAAATACGCTGATGGAATTTGTAAAAAGGTACAAAGACAAATCCACCACTGCCAACAAACAGATTTTCAGAATATGTTCCAGGTATATTCACTCTAACTTTTTACATCTTTGCCAGCTACTGAGTGCTACAATAATCATGAACACTTGCAGAGATCACTCAAGAATGTGACAAGACTGAATAAAGGTTAAATTAACCATTCTATCCTCCATTTTACTAAATGCTTAATAAAGAAGATGACTGTGGTAGGGGGCGGGAAGTAAGGCTGAATAGGCCTGGTGGGGCCCCAAAAGCAGGAAGCCATGATCAATTCTGGAGTAGGACAGTTATGTAAGAGTAATCCAGATTTGGTTTTCTTTTCTTCTTCTTCTTCTTCTTATTTTTTTTGACACAAGGTCTCAAACTTCTGGGCTCAAGAGATCCTCCTGCCTTGACCTCCTCAGTAGCTGGGATGTGCCACTGCACCCAGCTCAGGCTTGGTTTTAAAATGATAAAACTTGCAACTTACTTTTTGTTTTAAGAAGATAATTGCCTTTGGTTATTTTATGAGTCAAGCTAGGAAAAATACTCATTACTTATAGTCATCCAAAGTAGCATTTCTCAGCAGATCCTTTTACTCGCCATCCCTGGCCCTATCGTGACTTCTGCTTCCAAAAACCAAATTCACTCTTAGCTGAAAAAGACTCTGAGGATACTGAAAAGAATGAGTCATAGACTCTCTGAAGGAAATTCAAAAAAGGAGTTCCAAAAATATTTTGAGAAATGACAGTGTTATGGAGAAGAGTATGCAGGCTTCCATGATGATGACTTTGAAGGTGAATGCCACTCACTTCGGTGCATAAGAAGTTCTGGTATGTATATTAATAATCAGCCCTGTTATTTTGTAGTCATATGTCATGAAAGAACCTAGCTTTTAATATTATGCCATAAAACATACATTTATATATCATATGTAGTATTATACACTTTCTTCATTGATTTTTAATCCAAGTAGTGATCTTGCATCTGTTACATGCTCAGTGCTGTTCAAATCACTGTGGAGATACAGAATAAGACAAACAGGGAAACTCCAAACTTTGAACTGTACACATCGGTAATGGCCACATTGAAAGGCCAATGTATACCACACAACCACATTTCCCAAGAAAGACATGCCCAACTATGTCTATGTAGGATCCAGTTCCACTTCTGTGTTCTTCAACATCATCTCTATTTCAGCCCATGTTAATCTTTCCCATTTCTAAATTTCTATGTAACACTCATAATTTAAACAACACAATTTAGTATTTGATTCTAAATCATGTACTATTTTATAATTGATTTTTATGCATGAGTTTCATGTCCCTAGATATTCCAAAAAATACTTAGACTTTAGAGACTGTACATACACCAAGAAACTATCCTACTATACTGCAAATAACATGACGTAAACGTAGATAGATAAATATGAATAAGAATATATGACCCAAAGGAGTGGGTTACTCTAAGATCAGAAGAACTAACATATTATATAAAGCAAACAATTATCATTACTTTAATTCTGAATTAAGATATTCCTGTAAATATCTTGTACTACTTTTACTGGGGCAAACTGCCAATAGGTTTATAAATATTGTATTGCAGTAATAGACTGAACTCAGAAAAAGAAGCTACTTAGAAGAAAAATTTTCTTCCTTTAACAGATTTTTATATTATCAATGCGTAAAATTTGTGAAAAACAGGTCTGTGATATTAGAGAAACATTATCTAACATTATTAAGGAATTAGGTGTTCATGTAAGTAAATTAATGAAGTACCTAAATCTTAGTTCTTTAAGTGATAAAACTTTGTCTCAATATCACATACACACACATATACACACACACACACACACACATGTGCACACACACATGTATTTACATATGCTCTTTTTTGGTTCTATGTGACTTTTAGGATTTTTTTCTAATTTTGTGAAAAATGATGTTGGTATTTTGATAGGAAATGCACTGAATCTGTAGACTGCTTTGGGCAGTAAGGTCTTTTTCATAATATTGATTCTTCCAATCCATGAGCATGGGATGTATTTCCATTTGTGTCATGCATGATTTCTTTCAACAGTGTTTTGTAGTTCTCCCTGTAGGGATCTTTTACCTTCTTGGCTAAGTATATTCCTAGGTAATTTATTGCTATTACTATTATTATTATTAATTATTTTACAGCTATTGTAAAAGGGGTTGAGTTCTTGATTTGATTCTCAGCTTGGTCACTGTTGGTATATAATAGTGCTACTGATTTGTACCACTGATTTTGTAACCTAAGACTTTACTGATATGGTTTGGCTGTGTCCCCACCCAAATCTCATCATGAATTGTAATCCTCATAATCCCCATGTGTCTAGGGAGACACCTGGTGGGAGGTGATTGGATCATGGGGGCAGTTTCCCTCCATGCTGTTCTAGTGATAGTGAGTGAGTTCTCACAATATCTGATGGTTTTATAAGGGGCCCTTCCTTCTTCAATCTCACTCTGCTCTCCCCTCTCACCACGTGAGAAGGTCCAGGCTTGCTTCACCTTCACCTTCCACCATGATTGTAAATTTCCTGAGGCCTCCCCAGTCACATGGAACTGTGAATCAATACACCTCTTTCCTTTGTAAATTACCCAGTCTTGGGTATTTCTTTATAGTAGTGTGAAAATGGACTAACACAGTTAACTGGCACTGAGGTAGTGGGGCGCTGCTATAAAGATACTTGAAATGTGGAAGCAACTTTGGAACTGGGTAATGGGCAGAGGTTGGAATAGTTTGGAGGGCTCAGAAGAAGTTAAGAAGATGTGGGAAAGTTTGGAACTTCCTAGAGACTTGTTGAATGGTTTTGGCCAAAATGCTGTTAGTGATATGGACAATGAAGCCGTGGCTGAAGTGGTCTCAGACGAACATGAGAAACTCACTGGCAACTGGAGCAAAGATCACTCTTGCTATGCTTTAGCAAAGGGACTGGTGGCATTTTGCCCCTGCCCTAGAGATCTGTGAAACTTTGAACTTGAAAGAGATGATAGGGTATCTGGGGGAATAAATTTCTAAGCAGCAAAGTGTTCAAGATGTGACATGGGTGCTCTTAAAAGCATTCAGTTTTATGGATTCACAAATAGATGGTTTGAAATTGGAACTTATGTTTAAAAGGGAAGCAGAGCATAAAAGTTTGGAAAATTTGCAGCCTGATGATGTGATGGAAAAGAAAAACCTGTTTTCTGGGGGAGAAATTCGAGCCTGCAGCAGAAATCTGCGTTAAGTAATAAGGAGCCGAGACAATGGGGAAAATGTCTCCAGGGCATGTCAGAGATCTTGCCAGCAGCCCCATTTCATCACAGGCATGGAGGCCTAGGAGGAAAATTAGTTTCATGGGCCAGGCCCAGGGGCCCTGCTACTCTGTGCAGCCTTGAGACATGGCACCCTGCATCCCAGCCATTTCAGTTCCAGTCATGGCTAAAAGGGGCCAAGGTACAGCTCGGGCCATGGCTTCAGCTCAAGCCTTGGTGGCTTCCACATGGTGTTGGGCCTGCGAGTGCACAGAAGTCAAGAATTGAGGCTTGGGAACCTCTACCTAGACTTCAGAGGATGTAATGGAAATGACTGGATGTCCAGTCAGAAGTTTGCTGCAGGAGCAGAGCCCTCAAAGAGAACTTCTGGTAGGGCAGTGTGGAAGGGAAATGTGGGGTTGGAGACCCCATAAAGAGTCCCCACTGGGGTGCTCCCTAGTGGAGCTGTGAGAAGACAGCCACTCTCCTCCAGAACACAGAATGGTAGATCCATTGACAGCTTGCACCATATGCCTGGAAAAGCTGCAGACACTCAATACCAGCCTGTGAAAGCAGCTGAGAGGAGGGCTGTAACCTGCAAAGCCACAGGGGTAGTGCTACCCAAGACCATGGGAGCCCACCTCTTGCATCAATGTGACCCGGATGTGAGACATGGAGTCAAAGGAGATCATTTTGGAACTTTAAAATTTAATGGCTACCCTGCTGGGTTTCAGATTTGCATGGGGCCTTTAGCCCCTTTGTTTTGGCCAATTTCTCCCATTTGGAATAAGAGCATTTATCCAATGCCTGTACCCCCATTGTGTCTTGGAAGTCACTAACTTGCTTTTGATTTTATAGGCTCTTAGGTGGAAGGGACTTGCCTTGTCTCAGATTAGACTTTGGACTTGGACTTTTGGGTTAATGCTGGAATGAGTTAACACGTTGGGGAACTATTGAAAAGGCATGATTGTATTTTGAAACGTAAGGACATGAGATTTGGGAGGAGCCAGGGGCAGAATGATATGGTTTGGCTGTGTCCCCACTCAAATCTCATCTTGAAGTGTAATCTCCATAATCTTGGTTTGTAATCCCCATGTGTCTAGAGAGAGACCTGGTGGGAGGTGACTGGATCATGGGGGCAGTTTCCTCCATGCTGTTCTCATGATAATGAGTGAATTCTCACAAGATCTGATGGGTTTATGAGGGGCTCTTTCTCCTTCACTCTCTACTCTCTCCTGCCACCATGTAAGAAGGTCCAAGCTTGCTTCACCTTCACCATCTGCCATGATTATAAGTTTCCTGAGGCCTCCCCAGGCACGCAGAACTATGAATCAACTCGATTTTTAAAAACATATTGAGACTTGTTTTAGGCCTATCATATGGTTTATCTTGGAGAATGTTTAATTTTGGATAAGAAGAATGTATATTCTGCAATTCTTGGGTAGAATGTTCTGTAAATATTTGTTATGTCCATTTGTTCTACAGTGAAGTTTAAGTCCTGTCTTCATTGACTTTCTGCCTCGATGATCTGTCTAGTGCTGCCAGTGGAGTGGTGAAGTCCCCCACTATTACTGGGTTGCACCTATCTCTTTTCTTAGATTTAAGAGTAATTGTTTTATGAATCTCAGAGCTCAAGAGTTAGGTGCATATTTATTTAGGACTATATCTTCTTGTTGGATTGATCCTTTTATCATTACATAATGTCATTCTTTGTCTTTTTTTTTTACTGATGTTGCTTTAAATTCTGTTTTATCTGAAATAAGAATAGCTACCCCTGCTCACTTTTACTTTCCATTTGCATAGAATATCTTCTTCTACCCCTTTGAGTCTATACAAATCCTTATGTGTTGGGTAAGTCTCTTGAAGACAGCAGATATGTGGTTTGTAATTTTTTATCAATTCTGCCAACCAGTATCTTTTAAGTGGAGCATTTAGACCATTTACATTCAACATTAATACTGAAATGTGAGGTACTGTTCCAGTCATCACGTTGGTTGTTTTCTAGATACTCTGTTTTCTTCATTGTGTTATTGTATTACAGGCCTTGTGAGTTTTACGCTTTCAAGAGGTTCTATTCTGGTGCATATCTACCTTTCGTTTCATGATTCAGAACTCCTTTTAGCATTTCTCGTAGGGATGCTCTGGTAGTGACAAATTCTCTCAGCATTTGCTTGTCTGAAAAAGAATTTATTTCTCCTTCATTTATGGAACAGTTTTGCTGGATACAAAATTCTTAGTTAACGGTTTTCTGTTTAAGGAGGTTAAAGATAGGACCCCAGTCCCTTCTGGCTTGTAAGGTTTGTGCTGAGAAATCTGCTGTTAGTCTGATAGGTTTTCCTTTACAGGTTACATAACGCTTTTGTCTCACTGCTCTTGGTGACATCTTTTTTGCAACGAATCTCCTAGAAGTTCTTTTTTAATTAAAACACTTTTTTTTTTTGTGGGTGCATACCGGGTACCTGAAATGTTTTGATACTGGCATGCAATTGTGAAATAAGCACCTCATTGAGAATGGGGTATCCATCCCCTCAAGCATTTATCCTTTGAATACGATCCAATAACACTCTTCAAGTTATTTTAAAATGTACAATTAAGTTATTATTAACTATAGTAACCCTGTTGTGCTATCAAATAGTAGGTCTTATTCATTCTTTTTATTTTTTATTTTTTTTGACAGAGTCTACTCTGTCACGCAAGCTGGAGTGCAGTGGTGTGATCTCGGCTCACCGCAACTGATGAGAAAGCAAAAAATGTCCATCAAAATATGAATGGATAAAGAAAATATGGTACATATACACAATGGAGTACATTCGTGTGCCATATCTGTTTCTACTCATGCTGTTTTCCTTCTCTATCCTATTTCCCATTTTATCATCTTACTCATCCTTCAGTGAGTTAGCTGTGCATGGGCCTATCTTGCCAGCTAGATTGCAATCTTGTTGTGGGAGATAGAGTGTTTTACTCATCTCCGAACCTACTATGCTGTATTTATTTTAAAAATATCTGATTTCAGTTTTGTGGTTGTATGAGGTTGAGTTTACAGGAAATCTGACTTCTGCATAAGCTACATATATCGCTAGGTCTTCAGGTGGGCTGTCAGAGAACTTCAAAGTACTCACTGACATATTTATTGAGATTTTTCTATGGACCAAGCATAGTAGAATGAATTTTCATTCACATCTTGAATAGTTTTTCAAACTTCTTTATGTTGTTTTTCACCTTTCTCTCGTATCTCCTTTGGTAGCTTAATAATCAACCTTTTGAATTCTTTATAAAAAGATATTTCAAAGATTTCATCTTGGTTTAGATCAATTGCTGGAGAGCTAATGTGATCTTTTCAGGGGTGTTATAGAACCCTGTTATGTCATATTGCCAGAATTGTTTTTCTGGTTCCTTCTCATTTAGGTAGAAATATATGGAATGCTTCACGAATTTGCATGTGAGCCTTGCACAGGGGCCATGCTAATCTTCACTGTATCATTCCAATTTTAGTATATGTGCTGCTGAAGTGAGCACCGTCTCAATTGTTTTGAACAGAAAATCTTTATAAAGTGTTCCACAGAATATACTGCCTTCTAAGCAGAGGACATAGAACCTAAAACAGTTTCCTTGATATGAGTTATCATTATTTTTATTATGGATGGATGAATATTGTTTTTAGTTAAATTAAAAAGTCAAAACTACTTTTTAATATGAGTCAACACTTTGTTTGTAAATTGATATGGTTTGGTACATGAGTGACAGCTTAAATAAGAAATTCATTTTGTTAGTGATAGCCCTTGATAATTACATTTCATTCAGGAGATGAAAGATCAATATACAAAACTATGACATTTCTCAGTATTTCTAAAAAAAAAACCAAGTAAAAGATACGCAAATTAATAACTCAGTTACTAGCTCTTGTATAAAACAGGAGCATAAAAAACTCAGTGATATGAGAAGTTAGGGTGGAAAATAAGATTAAATCAATTCACTGATAATTCTGACATTTCAAACCTTTAATAATTAGAATTATTTCTGAACTCTACAAGAAGTATTGAAAGTCTGCTTATTACTGATCAGAAAGAGTTGTCAGTAAAATTAGAACTTCCTTTAAGTTTACATATCTAGTCTACTATAAAAACCTAAAATATCACAGTCAAGTGATAAAACTTACTTCATAAAATAATTCATCTTAAAATCTCTGGGGAAAAACACTAAGATTTCTATATAATTTTGTTTTGTCAAAAATAGTCGTAATTACATGAGCGATTTTTAAGAAGTCAAATCTCAAATAGCAGAAACGGGAATATGAAGGTTTTGAATACATCAATGTAATAACATTTCAAGACCTAATGATTCTATGAGTTGCTGGAACAATCAGTCTGTCAAAATAAATGAGACACTACTACAATGAAGCAAATGGTCTTACATGTTAATGTTAACACATTTAGTCAAACAGTCAATCAAGAGAATCCTAAGGTTTGCTGTGTTTACTGGGAAAACAAACTCTTCCTAGCAACTGTTTAAATAAATCTTGCAGATGCTACAGACCTTATTAGTGGCCTTTGATTAAAAAAATATGGGTTGCTAATACTGTATCCTGACTCATCTATTTTCCCATCTGCTAGCAATTCTAACAATATGAACTATCAACAGAATGGCTAACAACAAGAATTTTCTATGGCAGTTTTGATGCTGAATTGCCTATAGCATTTTTAAGATTTACCAGTGCATGTCTCAGACTGTTTTGAGTTTCTTGTGGCCTGGAGCAACATACTCTTTTTTCCCTTAATATTCCATTTTAGCTGAAATTTTTACTGTGTTGAACAGAATCTTGTTTGGTTTTAGAAAACACTGTTGATGGAGGCTGCCACACATTTAACTAACAATGAGAACAGGAAACACAACAAAGCACTAGTAAAAATCCAGTCAGGTCCACTGATTGGTTTAGATATACATAAACAGGCAAGGGGCCTTTTGCCCATAAGGCTGAGCCACAGGGATAACAGGTAGTACTTAAAGTTAAAAAAAAAAAAAAAAAAAAAAAAGAAAGAAAGAAAGAAAAAAAAAGAAAAGAAAACATTCATATATTAAGGCATTTTCCTGATTTAATTCCTGGCACTGAGAAGCATACAAAAAAGGAGCATTCTAGTCAATCCAAACTACTATGAAGCCTGTTTAAAGAAAACCCTACATATACATTTAAAATATGCATTTACAAAAATAAGATAGTGATAATTTCAGGCACTTGATAACACTATAGAAGAAAAGCTGAATTCCTCACTGTAAAAATGTGATCTTAAAAGCTGCATTAACATCAAATCTACTGGCAGACCCCCCTTCCCCAAACAGACATTATTTATCCTGTTCTGAGCTGAGAGGCCCAGGTCTTCAGCTGACTGAATAACTAAAAATATTCTGGGATTACAATTGGAAACTACCATGAATCATTCTGTTTTGGCTGTTTAACTTCAGAGCACCTAGAAGAAACTTAGGATTCTAGATTTTCATTCCCAAAGAAAAGGAAGAATACGGTTTCTCATGAATATCAATGAAGGAGTAGGAGAAAGTGCCAATTACTGATTATTTACAATGTGCTGAATACTATCCTAAGGTCCTGTACACTAAGTCATTGAAGCCTAGCAATCACCTTAGGGGGCAGATATTACCAACCCCGTTTGACAGGTGAGGATGCTTAGAGAGATCAAATGATCCACCCTAGGTCTCTCAGCTAGAGGTGCTTATGTAGGCCCTCAAAGGCAACATCTAACCCACATAAATTTGAACTGCAGTCTACTGATAGCTGTTTCATGGGTTTCCCATGAACTACAAAAGCACTACAAAATCCAATGATCATGTGAAACAGTTTTTTCACAAATTGTTTATAGGTTAAAAATAGAAAAAATTACTTAAAAATCCCAACTTTCCTGTCAGATTGTACCTGGTGAAGCATTTTACTTATAAGCTATTCATGTATTTTAGCCATCACTGGCCATATGAAATAAGTGCATATGTGTTAATTAAGCATTTTTCTATTTAACCAGCTCTTTAGCCAAAGAAACACATTTCTACATAGCCCTTTGGGATAGATTTCCTAATGTTATCAATAAATGTAACAGAGATACCCTGACAAAACCAATAAAACATGTCTCCTTCACATTCCAGTGAGACTTTGCCTATGTCTGTTCAGACTGTTCCACAGTTGGTTTGGTGCTGTGTTTACCTTGAATCTAGTGCAGGAGTTACAAACTGATGAGCATTACTATAATTATCTTGTCTTAGAGAAATCTCGGCCACCCATTTAAAAAAGGAATGATGAAATTTTCGTTGCATTCCTCAATGGCAGCTGAGCACCCATTTCTTATGTGCATTTTCCGTTTCTGGTAAGTAGCTTTGCTTATTAAAAATATCAGGAAATACTTAATTTGGGCACACTTCTGATATATTGTAAGCAGCTCTAACATTCTAGGCCCAGGACAACAAAATTTAAGTAACTCAAAAGCAACCAGTAATTAAATCTTTCTGGATCTATTAAGGGCAGATGAAAAATTGTATTACCTTTGATTTCTTATCTCAGCGATTCTGATTAGCACTTTGAATAGTTTAAAACACCAATGAAGCCGTAAATAAGAGGTTAACAAATTAAGTGATTAATTTTCTTTTTATACTTCAATTTAAGAAAAACATTATATGAGAAATATTTGTTATGGAAGATCACAAACATTACAAAAACAACAGTGGTTAAAGTATATCTGTAACTAGCTTACTGGGTAGTCAAACCTCTGTGGAGCAATAATATAAACTTAAAGTAATTTAATTTTTCTCCAATTACACTCTTTCGGCTATGCAAAGTCAAATTTCCTTGACATATCCCACAGTAAATCTTGGGATGATTTCACTGATTTCTGGTCACTTTTACTTATTAAAAGTCCAGACCAAATATAAACTTCAATCTCTTATTAAGTGCAAATTTTGTCCCTTCCCTTAGCATGAGCTTGCACCAATTTACAGTGGGGAAGGATGATGTCTATATCTAGAACCTTCTCGCCGTCTCTTTCTAAGGTCTGGTTCCTCTAGTGCTGGGAGCAGGAAGGAGACCGGATGTTATTATGTAAATGGTGACTTGTCAGTGAGGTATGTTTCCCTGGTCTTGCTCTGGTTTGTTTGATTACTAGTGGTTTGTGCACAGAAAGCGTGTGTATGTATTTCCTGATGTTGTGGTTAGTATTATCCTAGTGCCCACCCCTTTTATAGAGGGGCTGCCCAACATCTTTTCTGAGTTAGATATTGTCTCCTCTGACCTGAAAGCCACCTGGGCAGCATTATGACTTCTGACCTCCTCTTTTGGAGTAAAGAGATCATGGAAGTTCTCTACACTCTCCAGGGACTAGTGGGACCCAAGGAAGGTAAGGGTCACTACTCCAATGGCCCTTAGTTATCCCGCAGGCCTCGGCTCTACCTACAGAAGTCTCCTACCTACAAAAATCTTTGGGAGAGAAGCAGATATCAGTGTCTATGCTAATATACCTTCCAAACTTCCAGGAACTAAAGGCTCTGCCTTTAGTGGCACACCAGTGGGTCTACAGATTCAGCTAGCTCAGTAAGCACCTTGCTGGGGTACCAGGTAACCGTATCCCTTTCCTGCAGGCACCACCATTCTCTGTGAATGGATCTCTGGAAGGCTCCTTATTTGACTTTAGGTAAGGAGAGAACTATTTTCTTCCCCTCCCACCAGGTTATAAATTCCATTTGGATAGGGCCTTTGTCTAGTAAACAGCTACATCTCTAGTGCCTAGAACACTGCTTGAAACATAGTAGGTGCTTAATCAATATTTATTGAATGAATGAAAAATGGTGGGTCTCTTAGTAATCGCTGGAGGGAGGCGGCTGGCTTCAGTTGTTGGTGGCATGCTTTAGAATATCGGGTACTTAACACCTGCTGTTTTCAGCTGTGGACTCTACTAACAATTTTGTGGTAACAGAAAGTCCCTTTTGATGTCATAGTACACATCTATTAACTCTATTTAAAAAATGTGTGTGTGTGTGTGTGTGTGTGTGTGGCATCAAGTTGGTAAATTTGCAGTTGAAGTAAAGCAAAAAGAGTATCTGTGAAGATGAGGGTATTTTTTCAGCATGTTTAATTAATATTACTACAGGATAGTTTCATGCTCCACTACATGTTTATTCTGCATGTCTGATGATACATTTATTTCAATAATAAGGGGCTCATCCTTTTCTTAGAATAATGGCTTCTCTCAAAAAATTCTCCAAAACAATAATAAATACCATAGTTGACTCTTTGAGGAAACATGCATGGAGTGAAGTGTGCTGGAAGAGCATCATTCTTACTAATGTCACAATTTTCTGCTTCACTGACATCACAATACTTAGTCTAACAATTTAAATTATACTATCTTCATATCATAAAAATGTAAATATTTGTTTCTTGAAAATCTATAAAGTAGTTTTAAAATGAAAGAGGTTAGCTAAAACCCACAAATCATGCAATTTAGATTGTAATAGATAATTTTTAATAGTGAAGCAACATCTAGAAATAAACAAGAGTCTCATATTTTAGTTTCGAAGCATCTAAATCCACAGTTCATTTAAAACAGTTCAGAATAAGAATCGTGGTCTGTTAACTATTTTTAAAACAATAAAACTCAAAATATGCCAAAATGTTTCTAAAACACTTCAAAAGAAAAAATAAATTCGATCATAGTTCTGCATTCTCACTTGCCACATGGGCCTTAGAAGATAAAATGTACCAAAAAGGAAACATTTTAGCATTCTCAATTTTAGAATGGCATGGTTTGTGGCTGAAACAATATTTAATTTTCCCAGCTACTGACAGACAAATGTACAAATTAAACTAAAACACCCATGAAGAGATTCAGATATTTGTAAGGACACAAGAAAAAAGGATAGGAGGCTCTTATGAAAATGTTTAAAAAGCAAAATTGATTTTGTCTACCTTAATAATAAATAAGCTGTCTTGTGCAAACTTAAAAGCAAAATCGTCGCCTGAATGAAACTGAGATTCTATTGTTTTTTCATTAATATTTGTTTTAAAATATGCTCACAAATGCTATGAATTTAAGGTAAAAGAAGGTAGAGAATGAGAATAAATGAACATAAGTCCTGCTAGTTATTAACTTAGATGTGTCTCATGGGGGAAGAATCAACTTTCAAATGTAAATGTTTCAAATCTTCAACTTTCTGAATTGGGGAAAGGACAACAGTGTTTGTGGGTTATGTCAGCATTTTAGACTGCGCAACTAATATGCAGAAATCACAGAAAATAAAGATGAGAGCCGGGCATGGTGGCTAACGCCTGTAATCCCAGCACTTTGGGAGGCTGAGGCAGGCGGATCACGAGGTCAAGAGATCGAGACCATCCTGGACAACATGGTGAAACCCTGTCTCTACTAAAAATACAAAAATTAGCTGGGCGAGGTGGCGGGTGCCTGTAGTCCCAGCTACTCGGGAGGCTGAGGCAGCAGAATCGCTTGAACCTGGGAGGCGGGGGTTGCAGTGAGCTAGGATCGTGCCACTGCACTTCAGCCTGGTGACAGAGTGAGACTCCATCTTTAAAAAAAAAAAGAAAGAAAAGAAAGATGAGAAAGTAATATGCCACCATTACTTCCAAAAGGCTGAGTAAACATTGATTACAAACTAAAATTTTCACACTTAGATGATTATAATACACGAATGGTCCAAAAAGGCTTTTCTTTGCGGGGGCGGGGGGGCGGTCTGAGAATGGCGCCAAATTAGATTTTTAGAAACTGTTTTTCGGTATCAACTAATTTAATAGAGAACATGGCATCAAAATTTTATCTCTAATAATACCTTGCAAAATGAGTGTGTTCCCAAATGTTCCTGCAAGTCTTCAGCGCTGGGGCTGGACCAAGCTGCACCTCTTGCAAAGGCAGCAAGGCTTTGGTTTTATCCTCCCTTGAGCCAGACACCTGCCTTCTGAGTGGCCTCACTACTAATGTGGACATGGAAGCAGAGGCAGAGAACTGAGGTTGGGGGACAGCACAAAGAATGGCTGATCTTACTTTACATCTACTGGGAAGCCGGGAGACTGTGGTCATGAGTGGAAATTTGGGGATCAGAATTTCAGCTCTGGTTTGAATAATATACATTAATATGGAGTAGTTTTGCTAGTAAATCTTCACATTTTTATTTTACAAGATGAAATTTCAGTTCAGTCTTAAAAAGTCCATTTTAATAAGGATAAAAGGAAAAATGCATCTTTAATTATTGACCATATGAAAGACATATTGTTGGTTTACCTCCTGTGGAAAAAGTAATAACACAGCTATGTGGCTGCTGAATTCAATGTGCTCTTGAGGAACTTTCCAAAAAATATTAGTAACTGACTGACATACACTGTTATTCAAGGAAGAGCTTATCCACTGGATAATTATTCTGAAACTGGTTTATATTCACATACAATATATGTAACTCTCAATCTGAAATAAATGACCCAGCAGACCTAGTGCTGAGCTGCTAGTACCTGGTACTAACAGATCCTAGAATTCTCCAAAGCATTCTTAGACAAGAACACCGTGAGTGAACTTTCCATTATTAGAGTCAGAGTAGCGGTGCAATACCAGAAATGATCAACTAATTTTGAAAAATACCACATGCAAAGAAATTACCTTCAAACTGCCAAAAACACTGCAAGCTGGTCCACACAACACTGCCCATTTCTGGATACCCATGATTTACCTAAGTTCTTCTAGCCTATTTTCAGTTAGGAATGCCCATTTGAATGAACCTCCTCCTGCTACAGTTCTCTTAACCACAGTGCATGATCTTGTGACTCTGTCAGGTCCACCCTAGCCCTGCCACCGCCAACCCACAGATCTCTTCTAATTACCCCAGTTGTGAGAGACAGTCATAGTCTTAATCATTTTCTTTTCACAGGGGTGTTCACTGCCTCATCTCACCCGTACTCAGTACAAGGCCTTTTAAGTAGGCCACCCTCACTCTCACAGTTGTTTCTATAGTCAGAATAGTCAGCTGTGCTGGACCAAGCTGTCAAAAGAAGGGAGAGATAACTCTTAAATACTGAGGAAATTGCAGATTCTGCTAGCTATTTTTTAATTTTTCAATGACCAGAAACTGTCTTTCATTGGTCTTTAGTGAGTGTCATCCTTAATTATATCAACTAATTTTAAAGATGACATTTTTCCTAGACAATTTTGCTAGGGTGACAGCATAAGCTTCCCCAACCCTTGGTAAATCTCTGCTCTAAGTATAAAAAACAAGACACTGTTTACTGACTCTTAAGAGGTGTGGGTTTTTAATCTTGCAGGGTGACCAAGTGTTGAATATTTGGTAACAATTTCGTAAAATCTTTTATATCCCACTTAGAAATTAACTGATAGAACACCTGAGGGAGAGTGGTAAAAGTGGAAGCAGTACAACAGAATAAAATTAAATGATCCTAAATCAACTGCAATGTACCAAAGCCTTCTGAATAGGCAGGTGGCTTCTGAAAAGGGTAAGGGTGAATGAAGTTACAGCTTGACTGGCTCAGAGAGTTTATAGGTTTGTAGAGGATGAGTGGCTTACAGCTCGATCACTGGCTCCTGAAAAGTTAGGAAGCTGGGCCACTATCAGATCAATGGTATCGGAAACTGAGAAACATGAAGTCACTGAGCTCTACAGATATGAATAGTGGCATCCACTGAACCCGCTCATAAGGGCAAGATTTCAACCTCTAAGAGAGGGCTAAGTCGCTGGCTATACAGTACCCTCTGGTGGCCAGATTTGACACTGCAGATTTTTCTGCCTTTTAAGAAAAGAGGCCTGGTTTTTTTCCTTTTCTTTTTTTTTTTTTTTTAATGCATAGACTTACCATTGGGTTACGTCTTGATAAAGCCATCATAAACTAAAAATATCTGCATTTAGTACAGCTAACCTACCAAACATCATGGCTTAACCTAGCCTACCTTAAACATGCTCAGAATAATTAACATTAGCCTTCAGTTGGGCAAAATCATCTAACGCAAAGCCTATTTTATAATAAAGTGTTGAATATTTCATGTAATTTATTGAATACTGTACTGAACGTGAAAAAGAGTGGCTATACGACTACTCCAAGTACCGTTTCTACTGAATGTGTATCACTTTCATATCACCAAAAAACTTTAAGTGGAACCATCATATACCTGGGACTGTCTGTAATTCAAAATCTTTCTAGACAAGGAAGGAATCACCAGTAGCACTGCTGGGCTATGGGTAGGTGGGCAACTACCTACTAGGTGTAAATCTGTCAACCAAAAAAGTAAATTATGGTGGCTTTAAGGGAGAAAATGTTCCTCTGAATGTGTTTAAAATCCCATGGGTGTAGCTACTTAAATGAAGAAATCTGGTGAGTACTTAGCTATTTAAAATTTAATTCTTTGCAGGTACTTACTTTACAAGAAGTATTCTTATATAGAGAGATTCATATTGCTATAAATATGTACATAATAGCTAACATGCGCTTACCACTGGCAGACACTATGCTGTTATTTAATAGGCAATAATCCTATGAATTAGTATTATTAGTATCACCATTTTTCAGAATTTAAGTTTTCAGAGGCACCAAGAGTTTGAACTTTAAGACATTTAGCTAATAAAAAAATGTGGCCAGGATTTGAATCCAAGGGAACTGAATTTTGGAGCTGGCACTCTTAAACACTATACAATGCAGTTAAATATATGTAGTTTACTGCCCATAATAAATTTTTCCAAAAAAGAGATGGCTTCTTAAAAATTTTAAATTAGATTCAGATTAGTATAGACACTTGCAAGTCAATGATGCTTAAAAACTAAACTAAAACCCTATGCCAGTTGAGTGTTTATTTCCTGGAATGTTTACTCACATACACCTTATGGTGGAGAGGGGAGTTTATAATTGGCCACAGAGCCTGAGACCTAATATTTTTGAAATCATAATATATTTTACAGTACTTCACAATTTACAAAGCATATTTACATACATTGTATCACATGAACCTCAAAATAATGCTGTGAAATGGGGCAGATAATTCTGTAAACAGGCATTATTCTTAACTTTATAGATGATTAATGAGGCTTACAATGATAAGTCATTTCCTTAAATAACACAATTCTCTCAAAATCTAAGATGTTCCAAATGACTGAATGCATTATGAATTAGCCTATCATAGGCTTTATCATCTGTCACATAACATTTAAAAAAAGATTTCTCACAATAAACCAAAATAAAATTTTACTTTATTTTATTTCTGCTTTATCTACAATAAATATTATAATTCAACAGTAATTACTATTGTTGAACTAGCAAAACCCACATAACAAAATAAAAATCAGAACATGAAAAGCTATAGTAAGGAGAATGAGAACAAGTATGGATCATAAAATCCAGAATTAGGAGCGAAATGGTCCAAAAATTATGAGATTAAGATCAATGATTACATAAAGCACTCAGCATTTTTGTAATTACTTAAATTTGTAAAGTGCCTTCAAAAATTTGTTACTCTTTTATAATCCCTAAGAGATCACTGAGAGACAATAATAGCCTTTACACAGCAGATGAAGAACATTTTGAAAGTACTATGAAATTCAGTTATTATTTTTGTTTAAAAGAAAACATCTTGTGATTCTAAATCACAAGAGCCCGAAATTCTTTCTGAATATAAGCAATGCCATTTACAAACATTCCTGCTGCACCCATCTTCTACACCCCCTGTTGTAATGAATTCGCATACCTGCCTCCGATTACAGGCTGGATTGCCCCAAAGTAGTCTTCTCAGAAACCTATCTACACAGTTAGCTTCTTTCTCTTGTGCATCTTCAAACTCTCTTTGTCTTTAGCATCAACATGATATACTTTCTGATATTTCCCATCTTAAACTTTTATTGTTTTTTCTTATCTCAAGAAAACCCTGCCTTGACTCACGGCCATTCCTCCAGTTGTCACAATTCCATCCCTCTTCTCCTTTAGAAAGTCAAACTTCTCAAAGTATGGAGAAAACAATAACCATATTTTAAATTGGCAATCAAACTTCAACTTGCTCCATACTGGCTTCTGATCCCCTAATGCTCTCCAAATTCCTCTTGTTAGGTCGCCAAAGTTAAATGAATTCTTTTTAGTTTCTATCTTATTTGGCCCCTCCAGCTGTACTTGATACTTTGTCCACACCTTTCCTTCTTGAAACCTCCCTCTCTTGGCTCCTACAACACCATGCTCTCTTTTCTCCTAAATTTATGGCCATTTCTCAATCTCCTTTATTGGCTTCTTCTCAACTACTAAATGTTAGAACTACTCAGGACTCTGGGCTTTTACTATATACTCCATTTCCTAGGCAGTCTCATACATGCCCTGGGCTTTAAATACCATCTATCTGATAGTATCTCTAATATAGATCTGTCTTCTGAGTTCCAGAACTTAGCAATTCTATTAGATGTCTCCTGGGTATTGCAATACTCAGTAAGTTCATATCTGACAGAGACCTTCTAAACTGTTTATCTTTTAACCTTTCCTATTTCACTAAATGGCTCTTCCACCATCCAACTAGTTGCAAATGCTAAGAACCTACCATATTCAAATGTTGCCATGCCTTGTGGTGTTCATACTACTTACCAAGATATGTCAAATCGATGTCCTCCTCTTCATCTGCTGTCATCTCCCCAGTCAAAGCCCTCTTATCTTGAGCACACTGTTTCAATAGCTTCCTAACTAGTTTCCTTCTATCTTTGCTCCCCTCCAATTCACTCTCCATACAGCAGCCAGAATTATTGTTTAAAAATGTATACTGGGTCATGTCCTGCCCCTAAGATACGGAAATGGCTCTTTCTTGCATATGAAATCCAAATGCGGCCTTGCCTGAATCTAATCCTGCCTAGGTCTGCAGCTTCAGCTTGTGCTACTCTAGCCATTACTCCTATGTTTCCATCATGACTGATTCTCTTTCAGTTTCTCAGATTCACCAAGCTCTTTGCATGTGAATTGGGAGTAAAATCGTCCAAAAATTAAGAGGTTAGGATTAAATGATTACATGCCTTTCCTTTGCTTAGAATGTTGTTCCACACTCCCCACTTTGGCTTCAAGACTTTGTTAACACAGTTCTGTCTACTGAGAGTGTCCTTTCCCTCATCTCTGCCTGATGAAGTTCTATTCATCTTTAGGACTGATCTTAAATGTCATCTTCATAAAGTCTTCCTGGTCAAATTTTCCCTGTAAGCATACTGAGTTACTTTTTTCTCCATATACCTAAAGATAATTTTGCATATGTCTCTGTTATAACATTTATCACCGTACTGCAATCATTTTTTAAATTTCTGCCACATTAGAACTGTACAATATGAGATACGTGAATATAGGACTGGGCCTTCTTTAGATCCCCAAATTTAGCAGGTGCCTAACATCATCCAATCTGTCACCCATTAATATTGCTTTAAGAATAAGAGCCATCTTACATGGCAACAACCACTAGTGAAGATTGTATTTATTAACTTGTTAGTGTTTGTCATCACGGTGACATACACATATTCAGAAAAATGAGTCAATATTAATAATTAAAGACGTTACTGTGATGAAGTTTCCTGAAATCTGAGCTCATCTGTATACCCATATCCAATGACTTGAATGTCTCAATCAATTCATTGGCTAGCACAATTCTCAAGCCTTATTAGGGACCATAATTTCTATGGTTGACATCTTAATGCTGAGTAGGAGCCGGAAGCTTTGTGGACTCTCAGGTTCATGCACCTGAAAGTCCTGTGCTTAAGTGTGTGCATGATCTTGCTCAGAAGCACCAAGAACAGGGGTGAGAAGAGAGAATGTAGAACATCCATTGTTATACAAGAGGCAGTGACAACAGAGATGGCCTATTTAACTTACTTCAAAAGCCTTTAATTCTCAAGCACCAGGAAAACAATTTTAGAGCTGACTACAATAGATCTTTTGCTAGACTGTTCTGAAGACTAGTTTTTTAGAAAGTAAAACCATATTACCAGAATATTAATCCACAATAAGGTTGAATACAATTTGTTAAAGAACAGACTCCATGTACTATTACAAAAATGAGGTCTGACCTGAAACACCATCCATTTGAAATATTTAAAAATAAAAATAGACAACTCTCTTAAGGAGGTTTTTTAAAGCATCATCTGATATCTACGCTATGATAAAAGTCAGCATCAAGTTTAAAGAAGTGAAACAAAACACTGTCACCATGCCCCTATGAGCTAAAACTTTGAGAATTATAAATGGCGGATTTAACAATGATAACCTTTCCATTCTTTTGCCAGACGCGAAACAAATTATGCTAGTTCCTCCTCTAGAATTTCTTGCTTTTTCTGCCTATGACCTTCTCAGCTCACCCACAAGCAGCACCATTCATTGACTGAACTGTTATTTGACAGTTTGTCATAATCAAATACGGTAAGCAGAGTATCACGATGTTCTAGTTCACTTTAAAGCAAACTATTTAGGACTATAAATTCCATCTAGGCCTTAGATACACTTCAAGGCAAAGGTAGGGATACTGGGCAGAGAAAACACCAAGATTTGACTTTTACTCCAACATGTACCTAAGTGTAGACTGGAAGTTTGTATTCAAAACATTGGGGGAGAAAAGTTTAATGTTACCTGTGTATTCAACATATAATATCCTCTGTTTTATCCAGATAATTCATCAAAATCAGAGGCATGCAAGGAAGGTGAGAATCAGGCTGTGATTTGCTTACAGATATGAAATCTTGGGAGCAACTCAGTCCAGTGAAGAGACTTTTATTGCCCCACAAACTCTAATATTGGGCAGACTTGGGTTTTTACTGGTTAGGTGATGAAAAGTCCAAGGTAATTATCAGGACTAATTAGAATTACAAAGGACACTGACACGGGGTCACTGTAATAAAGTTATACTTTATATTTACCAGCAGTCTTAGACGGCTATGGGTAAATGTTCTGGCTCTGCGGCCCCCTGAAAAGCAGGATTTTCATTCCAACAGAAAAAGGAAAAAAACTGATTCCAGGTGGAACCAATGTTGCTTCCCCACCCTTTTTTCAGTTCAGAGTTGACAATCATGTTATAAAATGAAAAAGGCAAATGCATGAACAGATTTTAGTGTTGCATAAAACAAAACTTACCACAAAACTAATGTGGCTTTGTTAATGATATGAATAATAGATTCTGGGTAAATGGTAATTATTCATAATTAATTTCATTTCAAAAACAGCCATAGCCAAAATTATTTTTACACAGTCAACTCAAAATGTTTCCAAATTCTCTAACATCTATAAATTAAATCACTCTTGATGATTTCCACTACAACCATGCAAGGCTTAATACTTTTACAACAAAGGAATTTAGAATATGTCACCCCAAAATACATTACTCTGGCATACTGACTATTTTGAGTAAAAGGTACTTGAAAAACAGCAACTGCAAGAACTCTCTGACCTTTCTTCTTCATAAAAGCAGGAAATGAAATTCCCGTGTGAAAGACAGCCTCCCTCTACCAGAAGGAAAGCATCATTCTTATCATCAAGGACGGGAAGCTGAGACCGAGGAAAATCTGTACAAACAAACCTTGTTAAGCTAACCCTTATCTTCCTCGTTACTTCTCTGCCCAATTACCTACTCTGCCCAAGCTCCTCTGCCTTGTCACAGTTTCACAATTTACTACTCTTTCGCCAAAAGAGTAGTAAATTCAGTATATAAGTTTTCAATTCTAACTGCATCTGTGGGTCTTCATTTCCTTACAAAGGCTCCTTGCCATGTAAAATTCATAAGAAATAAATTTCTATGTTTTTCTCCTGTTGATCTATCTATGTCAATCTAATTCTTAGGCCTAGCTGAAATACCCCAAAAACTGGTAAAGGTACAATTTCACCTCACCTACAACACATACATATCCTTTAAAAACATCTTTCTCAACCCCAACTCCCTAGCAGCCATGGTGCACCCTCAATGTCCGTGTTTGAGAATTAAGGGTTCCTGAGCTTTTCTCCTCTGCAAATCCCACTCATGGGTCCTTCACCAAATGTCCATTAGCAATTCATTCAGCCATTTCCTATCTCAGTCTCCACCAGAAAGGGCCACCCCTGCAGCTCTGAAATGCTTGAGGGGCTTGGGAAGCTGAAATTCTGTGGTATAAGGTTTCAATGGCTAGCCTCGCATAATCATCACACTTGGCGGGGGGGGGGGGGGTGGGCGGGGGGGGGCCCTAATGAAGGCAAGGGAGAGGGAAGGGAAAGGACACAGAGAAAAGCCTTCAGGAGTCTGTTTCAGGGCATCTCAGTCTTGGCACTAATGAACGTTTGGTGGGGTCAGGGGTAATTCTTGGTTGTGAGGGGCTGTCCTGTGCTTTGTAGGATGTTTAGCAGCATCCCCAGCGTCTATTCACAAGATGCCAGTAGCTTTCCCCAAGTTTGGACAACCCAAATAAATCACCCCTGGTTGAGAACCAGCAGTCTACTCTAGAGTCTTGAGCATAGAGAGGTATAGGAAGAAAATTAAACAGAGGAAAGAACCTGAATTCAGACAGACCCCTGGGCTATGTGTAGAAGAAGCAAGTGGCTCTTGGTCACATGCTGCTCTTTGTGAACATGACTCAATGTAGCGGAAATTTGAGAGTGAGCACAAGGACAAGAGGAATGGAAGTCAGGAAATGAGAGGAATCTGTAAGGAAGAATTCCAACCCAAATACTCTGCCCCTCACTCACAAGGTGATCCCTATGTATCTACTGAAGAGTACTCAAACTCTTTTTCTTAAGGCGCTGGTTTATAAAGGCCATCAGGAAGCAGACTGAGATTTGGGGGTGGGGTGGAAGAAGGGGAGTTGGGAGGTAGAGAAGGGTTTCCCCTACCTAAACTAAGCTTGGGCTTAAGATCCATCGAGTTCGCCTCCCGAGCAGAGCAAAGAACTGAAACATGCGAGAGGGTTGCTGTGAAGCATTTTAGCCAACTTTTCCAAGCCAGATGCCTGGAGTTCTCACTGAGGAAGCTGGCAGAACCTAGAAAAATCCTTATTACTCCCTCAAATTTGCAGAGGGACTTCAGATGACTAAAACTAGCTGCAGGAAAGAAAAAAGACATTTTCTTTTCTGCCTAGCCATTTATAAAGTTTTTTAACTTGCAGAAAATCACTGAAGTTCTTTCAGTTTCGGAGCCTCTAAAATAAAGTGGAAATACTATAAACACATGTCACAGAGATGTTCTGAAGATTACATGAGACCACAGATGTTAAAGGGCCTAGCACAAAGGTGGCATAGGTGGCTCCCTACCCTCTGTCTCTCCTTCATTTTTAGTTTTCTTTGGGCTCATGCACCACATGCCCACATCTGTGCCACCAGAGCTTTCTCTATCTGCTCTTATACACTATATTTACGAGCTTCTGTCGTTATCTTGTTCTGCGATTTTCCTCTCTCCCTATGTTCCTGATGAGGTGGCAGTGGTACTTGCTGCTAAATACATCTAAGTCCTTTCATCACTGGTGACAAGAGTTCATGTGAGAGGTAGCAGTGGAGAAGATGCAGGAAAAAGAATGCCATAGTGAGGATGACATACTTCATCACTGTTTTACCCTTGGCAGCTCTCACTCCACCTGCATGAAGACATGAAAAAATCTCTTTCTGCGTGATAGTGCAGGTGTGTAGTTTAGCAGGAAACTTGACAGGCAGTTAAAAGACAAAGAAGCGGCCGGGTGCGGTGGCTCACACCTGCAATCCCAGCACTTTGGGAGGCCAAGGTGGGGCGGATCATGAGGTCAGGAGTTAGAGACCAGCCTGGCCAACATGGTGAAACCCTGTCTCTACTAAAAATACAAAAATTAGCTGGGTGTGGCAGTGGGTGCCTGTAATCCCAGTGACTCGGGAGGCTGAGGCAGCAGAATTGCTTGAGTCCGGGAGGTGGAGGTTGCCGTGAGCCAAGATCCTGCCACTGCACTCCAGCCTGGGTGACAGAGCAACACTCCGTCTCGGGGGGGGGGGGGGGGCGGGAAAGGTGAAGAAGCATATCAGGAGTTCAGCTTTTGCTAGGTCAGAGAAAGTTCTTAACAGACTAACTCTTTTGCAGATAATAAACTGTGGACAAAACACAAAAACCAACTACTGAAGTCTCTAAAGAATGAACAAAAACACATTCTTCCCCCTCCACAAGAAAACATTTACAATGTCTGGGATGTAATCCAAAATTACTTGACATATGAAGAATCTGGAAAATGCAATCCACCCCCAATGGAAAAGACAATCAACAGAAGCCAACCTTGATACGACCCAGATATCAGAAATAACAAGACTTTAAAGCAGCTATAATTACTGCTGAGGTAAGAGAAGACATGCTCATTATGGATGAAAAGAATGGGAAATCTCAGCAGAGAAACTAGAAATATAACAACAACAAAAACAAATAGGAGCTTTAAAACTTGAAAAATTCAATATCTGAAATAAAAAGCTTACTGGATAGGCTTAATAGCAGAATGAAGATGACAAAAAATTGATTGGAAAAAGGTCAGTGAAAATTACCCAATCTGAAGAGGAGAGAGAAAAAAATTTAAAAAGAAAGTGTTTCAGGACCCTCTGAAGTCCCAGAAGGTGGGGAATGAGAGAAAGTGGTGGGAAAAAACATCAGCATAAATTATAGCTAAAAACAGTCCTAAATTTGGCAAGAGATAAATTTATAAATTCAAGAAGCTCATGAACTGTAAAGAAGATTAAAAACAACATCAATCACAAAAATAAATGCCTAGGTTGATAGAAACCAAAAATAAAAAAGTTGTGAAAGGAGACAGAGAGAAAAAAACATATACAGGGCAACAATTGGAATCATCGGACTTCTCTTTAGAAAATATGAAGTCCAGAAGACACCTGGAACAATATTTTAAACTTTCTGAGATAGGAGAAGCACACTTCACTTTAAATATAAAGGCACAGACAGGTTAAAGTAAATGGATGTAAAAAGAGCATGCAAACAGTGAATGATTATCGTACTAATATTGGAGGGGGAAGCATATCACCTGCCTAGCTGCCACAGTATGATTTCAAAAAAAACAAGAACATTCACCAAGAACAAACAAAAAAACCTCTTCAAATAGACCATGGAACTGAATTCAAACTTGTATCTGATAACAGCGATGACAATATCTCTCTATAACAATCCTGACCAGCATATATCACAATTACTACAGAGGCTACTGACAAGAAATCCAACCTTGGTATGCTGTACACGACTGTCCTCCCACCCTCCCAGTGAAATCAAACAAAATTAATAATAGTCTACTACATCAGAGGGACTCCATTTGGGGGAAAGTTTCAGGCTATGCTCTTGCCTCAAAATTGGTGGGGAAAACACATAGACATATACATACACACAAAGCAAATACAGCAAAATGTTCAAAATTGTTGAATCTAAGTAGTAAATGTTAAGTGTTTATTGTACTATTTTTCAGCTTTTTGAATATATTAAAATTTTTTATACTGAAAAAAGAGAAAAATTAGCCAGAAGAGCTTTATTCAAAATACCTTCCCCTCTCTTTCCTTCACATTTTGATATATTCTTGTTGGGGAGGTGTATCAGGATATTAACTGTATCTTTTGATACGAAAAAAAGTCACATGATTCTGGTATATTTCAACCACTGCTAGAAAATCCACATGGATAAATGCTAGAATGAGGGCTAGGACTTTTTCTAGTTTGTCCATTACTGCATCTAGTATATTTTCAAGGAAAAAATGTTCAATGAATAAATGAAAAATAGCTACCCTAGATGTTTAATAAAAAAGACATCTGCACTTGTATGTTTACTGTGGCACAATTCACAGTCGCAAAGATATGGAATTAACCTAAGTGCTCATCTACAGATGAGTGGATAAAGAAAATGTGTTATATCTATATCATGGAATACTACTCAGCCATAAAAAGTAACATCTTTTGTAGCAACTTGGATGGAACTGGAGGCCATTATCCTAAGTGAAGTAACTCAGGAAAGGAAAACCAAATACTGCATGTTTTTACTTATAAGTGGGAGCTAAGCTACGGATATGCAAAGGCATGCAGAGTGGTATAATGGACATTGGAGACTCAGAATGGGGATGTGGGACTGAAAAAATCACCTACTGGGTACACTATTCGGGTGATGGGTACACTAGCAGCCCAGCTTCACTATTATACAACTTGCCCATGCAACCAAAAACCACTAGTATCCCTAAAGCTATTGAAAAAAAAAAAAAAAACTTAGTAAGCCTCCTAGACTTTATAATCTCAAGACACGACTTTTTAACATAAATTCTGAACATTATCTGGAAAAACTGTTGACTGGAATACGTTTGTTTGGTATTTTTTCAAGGATAGAATGATGTTTTGATAATCAGACTTCTCCTTTACTTGTCACTTAGTAACCTTCTATACTAAAAAAATTTAGTCATTGAAGTGTAACATGTATTCAACTGAAGCTAGTTGAATTCTCACGTTTCTCACACTCCCCTTGAGCTGGCATCAAAGATTAACTTAAAAGGTCATGAAGGAATTCAAATTCAAGGAATTCAAATTTCCAGCATGCCCATCTTGACACTTTGAAATAAATATAAACACATCCTGATGTCACTTCATTACAGCATTCCCTTCCCAAGGAGCTCTAAAAAGAAAATAACCTGCAGGTGAATTTTTGACATGCAAGTCTTGAAGATAAAACAATATAGCATTCTTCCAGATCAGTTATATGCTTTAAAAGCATTATTTCTCCCTGAATAAAAATGAATCCAAAGGCTGTGATTCCTAAGAACAACTGAAGTTAAAGCTAAATGTTCTCAAAACAATTTTACATAGCTCATTCTAAATGTTCTTTACCAACTTTTAAATAAGAATGACAAATAAGAGACAGTCAAATGTTTTTATGGATCTTCTGAATAAACTACGTAAAGATAAAAAATACATGTAAGTATAAAATACAATTTGTAAATGAGGGCCGGGATTAGCAATGCCAGGATGGATAAAGACATGTTTTCTCGCATTTAGGTAACTTTGTCCCCTATGAGATGACCCTCAGAAGTTGTCTCGACGTTTGCTCAGCAGTGATTTGATTCAATGACCAATATTCAAACAGCACTCCCTTAGAGACTCTACGCATGACCTCTGACTGCTTGGTGCCTAACTCTCCACATATGTCAAACAGAGGGAAGAATAATTGCTAGCTACCTCCCAGCAATTCTAGAAGATTTAATGAGGCAGGGAGCCAGACCTCCATGGTGAGTCAATTATTCCCTGGGTAGAAGTTATGTTATTTGTGAGGTGCCGTATTTCTAAGGATAACAGAGTATTGTACAAGCATTACAAATAGGTATTTCTCGATTCCTCAAAGTGTTGACATTAAATCTTTCAGAATAATATACTCACCTAGTAACAAATAGTCTAATATTTTATAAAACAGTTTGAATTTGATGGAATGAAAGCATACGGATTTTATAATGTTGTTTCTTTTCTGATTATTAGTGAGAGAGAACAATCTTTTAGGACAAATGGGTTTAAAGGAATAGACAGATAAGGGAGAAGCTCTCTAACTGAATCCAGACCTATTAAAATGGCGACCAGGTACCATGACCTATGTATTTCATTGAGCTGGGGCCAAGTCCAGAGTCCACTAATTTCAGCTTGCTCAAGTCAAGGCTAGGATGCTGCCGTGATAGAAAAGATATGGAACTGCTGAAGAAATGTAATTCAATTCTTATAAAGAAATGGGGCCCAATATTAACTTACATGATTAATATAACACACATAAATAAAGGCAGTAACAAACACTTAATTTTGGATTAGTGATGTCACAGGATCTTTAAATAGTTCATACAGGATGGTCATGCTCTCATAAGTTAAAATGGAGAAAATTGATTTTTTACACCAGATTAGCCACACAATATTAATCATATAAAATGTTTCCCTGAAAGTCTTGGCATAAAAATGGGCCAATGTGCTCTGTTTTGCCTTTTTCCCCAAAGTAAATTTAGATGGGGGTGAGGAGGGAAAACTTTAGAAAGCAATCACAAATTTCAAAATCAATAAATTCAAATTGTTTTTAAGGCAGTAAATACATAGTCCTGCCAAATGCTGCAGGAAATTGATGTACAATCTGTCTGGCAGTTGGACCATGTGAAAAAATTTTAAAAAGACCTTAAAATAACCAAGATTCTGAAGGCTCAACAAACTTTGTTTTAGTAAGACAATTTTCCTGGTCCATAAAAAAGATAAGGAAGTAAAAGGTGGGATAACCAATTTAACTTAGGGTGTGGTGAATTATCTTGGGTATCTTAAATTGGTACTTAATTTGGTCTGGGCTCAGAAGAAATGGTTTACCATGGTGATTAAGACCAGCTGCTAGGTGTCATAGATTTAAATTATACAACAGAACACAGGAGTGTGTTTGAACACAGACGGGTAGGACAGTCTCCAAAAAGCTAAGAGTGCCACCTCTGTTCAGTGAAAATTAAGTCAGTTTTTTACTACCCTTTAAGAGCTGCCTCCACTGATTTGGCCTTGAACATAGACTGAATGAGAAGATTTAGTTTCCCAACACATGTGCCACCATGACTTAAAGACTTAATACTAAGTCTTTAAGTATTAAAGACTTAATACTAAGTCCACTAAGTAGACTTAGACTAAAGTCCACTTTAGTCTAAGTCCCACAATTTTTCAGAAAGACCAGGAGGCCATTTAAACAAAGAAAATAATTTCTTTCCTACAAAAATCAGGGGAAATACTAACCTTTGTCATTCAAAATAGTTTTAGTTTGATACCAAAGTATCCTTATTAACACTTTGAGCAGGGACACCAACATATTTTATTTTATTGTTCACTTAGAAGTTATAAAAGTAGTCTACATTAAATGAAAAAATTCAAACAATACCAATATAAAAATGTACTAAATAGTGTAAGTTCACTTTTGACTCTGAACCCCCAGCTACCAAACTCACCAGGGAAAACTACTGTGATTTGTTGAAGTGAAGGGAGCGAAGAGTCCACATTAAATTAGAATATAACAGTACAAGTTTATGGACTTTTTACATCAATATATGTACTTTCAATGTGACTAAACGATTTCACCATTTACTATGCTTTTTCTTTTTCAAAGTAACTATAAAGACAGGTACCTTTGGGGAAGAAAAAAGAAAAGAAAAAAAGTAAATATAAAGAAAACACTGGAACTAGATTTTCAATGGTGCAGTTAATAAGGATTAGAAAATACTATATATAATAGAAAATATAAGATTTAAAATTTTAAGATCTTCTTGTTATGACAAATAATATCTATATGCATAATACACATATGTACATGTGTATACATACATATACACAAACTACATATTACAGCATACAAAATACTGAGTAACACAATGAATATGATCTTTTTGGATATTCTTGAAAAAAGTAAACTTCATCATTTGATTTATCTAGAAGAATTTTATTGGCCGGGTACGGTGGCTCACGCCTGTAATCTCAGCACTTTGGGAGGCTGAGGTGGGCCGATCACCTGAGATCAGGAGTTCAAGATCAGCCTAGCCAACATGGTGAAACCCCATCTCTACTAAAAATACAAAAAATTAGCCAGGCGTGGTGGCACACACCTATAATCCCAGCCACTTGGGAGGCTGAGGCAGGAGAATCACTTGAACCCAGGAGGCAGAGGTTGCAGTGAGCCGAGATTGTGCCATTGCACTCCAGCCTGGGCAAAATGAGGGAAACTGCGTCTCAAAAAAAAAAAATGTATTTATAAATCTAATGCTTTAGTGGCAGACCAGGAGACAACCCACATACAAGTGGTCAATTTGAATTTTATCTAGAACCATTACTGTTGCCCTGAAAGCCAGATTCACTTTAGTCAGCTAAATTTTATGGAGTGTGTTTTATAAACAAAGCATTGTATGAAGCTCTAGAAAATAGTCAGCAGAAGACAGTCCTTCTTCTCAAAGGCTTTCCAACACATTATCAAGAACATACACAGTCACAAGCAATTACAATTTGAAAGTAGCACACAGATAAAGAAATTAATTACCACTGGTGGGGCTGGAGACCGTTTAACAGAACAGATAGGTTTAAGCTGGGTAAGATTTCAACTAGCAACACAGGAATGAAGGGTGCTTGAAAACAGCACAGAAAGGCACAAGGAAATAGTACAGACAATTGTACAAGTAAAGACAAAGAAGTAGGAGGCTGCCATGTACATGTGAAGGATAATGAAGTGGCAGGGCAAGACTAGAGTTCGGGGGCACAGAGAAGGCAGGAATAGAAGATGAGCCTGGAGAAGTAGATGGGGGCAGATTTTGGAGCCTATTAGCTATAAACCAAAAAATTTAGCATTTATATTACAGAAGTAGGGGGCCATGAAAGTCTCAAAGTGAATGACATGATCAGAATAATGATGCATGAGTTAAAATGGAAAAGAACAGTTAGGCAGAGTACGACCCATGACAAAGCTCCAAAGAAGAGGTAATGTTGCGTAGATTAAGGACAGTAGCAATGAAAACTGGATAAAGGAAACAGACCGAAAGACACATTCTGAAGGCAAGTTGACATAAGGAAAAGATCTTAGGCCCCAGGCTAAAGATTTGAATTCTGGCTCCTCCAACTATTTGCCTTTTGGCGTTGGGCATGTTTCTTAGCTCCTTTAACATATAGTTTCCTTATCTATAAAACAGGAATAATGCACTTGCCTGTGTGTGGGGGAAAAAAAACTGTGAGAAAAATACAGAAAGTTGTCTAGATAATTCATGTCAACACACTTATTTATTCAACATCATATAATGATAAAAAGAATAAAACGTAGCCCCAATCTGGTTGGGGAAACAGACATACAAACAACTAAAGTGACAATGATCTGATGTAACTGGACCTATATTAGGAGTAAGATCCAACAGAAACACAGAGGATAAGGTGTGTGTAAAGCCACTAAAGACCGTGTAAAAGTGCTGAAAAGGTTCAATGAAGTTCCACAGAGGTGATGTGTGAACCAGGCTACTCACAACTTTTAATGTTTCTTATTTTCACATCAAATCACCAGGTCCTTCACCACATAAATTATAGTACACAACCCCCTAGGACCCAGTGGTATCATTTGAATTCTGGAGTGTGAAAGTCCAAAGGAAATGGTGGAGGAAAAAAGGGGAGGTGAGGGGAGAGGAAGAAAGATTAGAGGAGTATGAATGAATTTTAGGCAAATAACTTCTCAGGAAACAATACTTGAAAGAAAGCCAGATAATACTTAGATTCTCAGTGTGATACAATATTAAGGCAGCAAAACTCAAATGAAAGAATGTAATGAGTTCCAGGTGTCGTTTAGTAGATTTTTTTCAGTAGGTGAAGTTGAGTTGAGGTGGCTACTGTCAGTGTCAATGCCCTGTCTGAACAAGTTTTAATTTAACTTCAAGCAATACATAGGCTTTTGTTTAGACTGTTTGCATATATTTGTCTACTGCTGCTAAGAGGCAAAATAACCTCTTTCTCGAGAAAGTGAGATAAAACTATGATTGCAAAAATGTTTATTTTTTAATCTTTTCATGAATCAAGTAATTTTATCTAATTTATTCAACAAATATTTATTGAATAGTTACTGTGCATAAGGCCCAGTGGGGAATATGAGAGAATATAATATGATATAGATTTTATCACCAAGAAGGTCTGAGTCTCATAAGTTCACTATAAAGTAGAAGGTAATAAATTCAATGAGAAGTATACAGATAAAGTGCCACACAGTATAAAGGAAGGAGATTACTTTGAGCTGGGAGGATAAGGATTTGGCACTGGCACTAGGACAGAGGGGACTATGTTGTGTTACTCATGCAACAAACATTTACTGAGCACATACAATGTGCATGCACTTACCTAAATGCAATGAGACTTTGAGGTGATTTAGTCCAATTCCTTCACTTAATTCACTAGAAAATGAAAACTCGGAAACCTAAATAGCTAATTCAAGGCCAAGATACAATTTGAATTGATATCTCCAGTCTGCAAGTCCAATAATTTCTACTACTTACCCTGTCACCTCCAAAACTCAGTCTAAATTTTTTGTCAGGTACAATCATTATTTCAAAAGGCATTCCATTCCACTTATAAATTAATTTGTTATAAAATGTGTTTTCTAACATTTAGTTAAAAGTTGCCTTCATTTTTAACTAAAAATGAAGTGGCTCTAGTGGCTCCCCCTGTAGTTACACAGAACAAATAGAATCCTGTGGCCATGTGATCATCCTTCACATATATGAAGACAATCCTCACGTCCCCCACTCTAGTAGGCACTCAGTAATCACTATAGTTGGGGAATAAGCTCCGGAATTAGATGGGCCTGGATGTGAATCTCAGCTTCAACATTCACTTGGTGTGTGATCATGAGCCAAGTTACTTAATTTAGATAATCTGTGTGTTTATTTAGACAATGGGAATGTTTATGTCCTTCATGCCTTCCATTCAACGTAATGGCCAATAACTATGATCAAGAATTGGCACAACTTTTGGTGTAACTGTCAGAACACTAGAGTTTCTCTATACACATTAAGCTGGCACTGAATCATAAGAGGAAAAGTTGCAAAACTGAAAAAGATGGCAGCACCTGTCTTTCTCTCCCACTTCTCTTCCTCTCTGGCATAACTAGTCTGTGAGTGACAGCTGTGAAATACTAAAGACTGGGCGACATGGCTTTTCCAGATAACCTGTGAAGAATGGTGAAGCATGGCTTCATCAAATGACCTGTGCTAATAGAGCTGCTGGCAAAAGTGCAGTCATTTTATTGAGATAAAACATTGAAAATAATTTTCATAAAATAAGGCACAGATGCTTTAATTAGAAAAAAATGTCCTTGAGGGTGGGATTCAGATGCAGTTTTATAACTTGTACGGTGCCTTAAATGCATTAAAAGATAGACAATGGTACAAGGACTATTCTCCCTAGTGGTAACAAAACTGTTTCCTAGTTACTAGGGTAGGGTAGGGAGGAAATGAAAGGAAGAAGAGAAAATCTAGAGTTTATTCTTTTCCTGCTTCTAATGTTATAAGCCAATGCTAATGTTTAGTAGTCACAACCTCGTCTGCTAGGCACTGCAACTAATTTCCCGTATTTGGGTAGAAAAAAATGCATCATGTCTCAAAGAATGAACTACTGACAGAAATTTAGTGACTGATACTAAAGGTAGATACGTAGCTGCAGGGTATGAGAAAGAGGAGACACAGTCCTAAAAATAACAGCAAAACTAAGATGAAAATGCAGAGAAGTGGTATGGTACATTGGTAGCTATCCCCTAATATCTATTCTACCTTTCTTCCATAGAAATATCGTTTTAGCCAGGCATACAGTCATTCGGAATAAAAGCAACACTTTCGGTCTCTATTGCAACTACATGTAGCCCTATGACCAAGTACTGACCCGCATTATATGGACGTTTCTGGGCACCTTTCTCAAAAGATGGCTGGGGCATGCCCATTTCACCCCTTTCTCCAACCAGCTGCCTGAAGTGGAGATGCCTCCACCTTTGACCATGAAACTGAGAGCCTCACCCTAGGCATGGTGAGTGGTGAGCTGGAAGGAGTGGGGCTCTCGATGCAGAAACTGATTTTTCCATTTTTGTTAAACAATGCTGTCAAAAAGGCCCTAAAAACTATCTTTTGCACATATCTATTTCCTTAGATTACATTCCTAGAAGTGAGTGAGAGGATATGAAAACATAATCTGTCATGGAACTAGAGTTAAAAAAAAAAAGAATATGAAAACATTCTAAAGCTCCCAACACATATGGTGAAATTGTTCTTCTGAAAGTTTAAATTTACATGTTCTCTACATGCCTTCCCAGCCCAATGTCAGGAGTTAATTTTATCATTAATTGGTAAGAGCTCTCTTATATTAAGGGTGTGAATACCATGTTATAAATACCTCTTCCCAATTAATTTACCTTTCAATTTAGTTACTATTTTTGTTGTTGTGCAGTAACTTAAAATCTTTATGTAATAAACCTTTTTAAAAAGTGGTTTCTGCCCTTACTATTATATAGTAAAAAGTCTTCCCACGTATCAAGATTATGTACATATCCACCTATATTTTTTCTATTACCTTTTTGCTTTCACTTAACCTTTAATCCACATGAAATTTATTTTTCCACACATTTAGCCGATTGTACCAACACCAAGATTCCACACATTCAATAATAGATGCTATTGAATATAACTATTCCTAATAACTGAAAATTCCACTTTTATTTATTCTGATATCTTGAATTAGTATTATTAGACTGTTTTAATTATTGTGGCTTTAGAAAAAAATTTTATACTCACTTATGCAATTAATTCACATTATTTCTTTTTTTTACAAAAGTGTGTTTGGTTTACACCTCTAAGTGAACTTTAGAAACACATTGTCAGGTTTGGCAAAAAGAAAAAAACACCTGAAATTTTAACTGGAATTGTATTAATGATCAATAGAGAGCAATTGGGGTAGGGAATGCATAACTTTAAAACATTAACTCTCCCCATTATTCCCACAAATATGAGATGTTTCCCCATTTCTTAAACTGTTTTTATGTCCCTTATGTTCTATAGTTTATTTCTTATAGTTAGTCGTAGAGTTTACTTGCTTAAACTTGAGGCAAGTTTCCTTAGTTACAGATCTTTTATTTATATTTGTGCTATTATAAGTAGGATCTTTAAACACATACTTGTCTGTGCTGGTATAGAGGAAACACTAATTTCTGAATTTATTTTGTAATTGACCATCATCTTACTGGTATGTTTTTAATAATGCTCATAAGTGTTAGTTGATTATCTTGGGTTTTCTAGTTAGATAACTGTATTTTCAATTTCAAATAATGATGACACTTCTCACTTCCTTTGCAATATTTAAACTTCATTTTCTTGTCTTATTGCATTAGACAAAACTTTCAAAACAATATTAAATAATAGAGGTAATAGCTGACACTCTTTTTTCCACCCCTGACTTTACTTCTTAGGACATTTTCCTATTTTAACCCATAAAACAGCTGCATCGTATCAGTCTTTCATCTGTTTTTACACTGGTCCCAACCCCCAATCCCTAACTATACTGTAAGTTCCTTGAAGGCAAAAACTGTGTTTTGCTAATTTTTTAAATCACTGTAGCATCCAGCACAGTGTCTGGCACAGAGAAAATAAATCATTAAACGGATGGTTCTCAAAACTGGTGAGTCACTGGAATTACATGGGAGCCTTTGAAAAAAACCAACTGCAAGTTTCACAAACCATTTACAAGTCAGAAATTCCCTGTTCGTGGGGGTGCGAATCTAGACGTGTCAAAAGCTTCTTAGATGATTTCTGACGGCCCACAGGTTTGAGAACCACTAGTCTAGTATTTTTATCACTCCCGGAGATTCTGTTTCAGAGTCAGGGGCCTGATTTTTAGTAAATCTTCCTGAGATGATTCAGATAGAAGCAGGTTTGGAAACTACTGGGTTAGACAGTAATTCAAAGAAGGGATCAGAGTTTTATTTTTTTCCTTTATGTTGTCTGTATATTTTTCACATACAAAAGTGGAAAAGATAGCAAGATATATAAAGAAAAGGCCAATCTCTCCTACCTCTATCTTCTAAAAGTAGCCATTTATTACTGTGTAGTGGCATCCTTCCATCCCTCTTTTCTTGCTTACACAAAATAAACACGAGAGAGAGAGAGAGAGAGAGAGAGAGAGAGAGAGAGACAGAGAGAGAGAGAGAAGTACTCTTTCTGTTTTTATTAAAACAATCAGACACTTATTTTGTAATTTGGTAGTATTTAAAAAAATGTTATTTCAAATAAATGATGATGAAACCAATATCTGTTCTCTTGTCTATATAGATTTAAATTTAGCGATGAGTATAAAAACATTTTCATTTCATTTTTAATTCTTTAGCAGGTATAGGAACAATTTGGGAAGATTCACCTAGGAAATTTTTTTTTTTTTTGCGGGGGTGGGGCAGGGACGAAGTCTCACTCTGTAGCCCAAGTTAGAGTGCAGTGGCACGATCTCAGCTCACTGCAACCTCCACCTCCCGGGTTCAAGCAATTCTCCTGCCTCAGCCTCCTGAGTAGCTGGAATTACAAGCGTGTGCCACTGCACCCGGCTAATTTTTATAGTAGAGATGGGGTTTCACCATGTTGGCCAGGCTGGTCTTGAACGCCCAACCTCATCACCTAGGAAATTCTAAAACTATCAGTTAATATACTAAAGGATATGGGTTCATAGGTCAAACAGCATCTTAAAAACCAGGAGGACAGTATTAATACAGGAAGGCTAAAAATGGCATATAAAGCCTTCTTTTCTATACTTATAATAAAGTAATTAAAAGCTACAAAAAGAAAACCTTTTATGTTACTTATGCTTAGCTATTACTCATTTTTTAGATAAAAGATATTTTTAATACAAAAGCAAAACTAAGGCACAACTGATCTCCACTTACATGCTTTAACAAAACATAAAAGGCAGCACTCAAATGTACACCAGAAATAAAAATTCTAAAATAGAACTACTAATAAAAGGAATGTAAATTACTGGCTAAGACAGAAACATCATATTTTAGAAGACTAAGCCATGATTTTGGTGAAATCAGTACATCATTCGTTTGTTATTATTAAATTTTCATAAAGCATCTCCAAAAAGCTCAATGACACACACTAATAATTGTTAAATAATGCAAATGAATACTTCTAAATTCTCCAGTACTGTAAATTAGCAGACAGTGTGGGAGTTGCAGAGAACAATGAGAGAGAGAAGTAAAAACAAAGCAAGCAGTAATATGATATCTTAAATTAAGTTGCAATTTCTGATTTACTCCAAAAGGATCTTTCTGGGCAGGCAGGATTTAAAGAGTTTTAAGAAATGATGTCTTTCTGCCTGTCAGGAGTGTGTTAGAAGTATATTTAATTCTGTGAAGTTGGAATAGGAAAGAGAACATGGGGGAGAACTAAGTTAATCTAGAAGAGGTGTGAAATTGGAGAAAGGCCTAAAAATCAAATGCAAATATGCTGAAGATAGTAATAATTTTAAAAAGGAAATAGTTTAAAGAAAGGGAACAACATTCAGTGTGGTAAAGAAGTGGTATTAAAAATAGTGTTTTGTATTTTTTTTTGGCAGGAATGGAATGGATTTTATGGTTAGATAAATCAAGAAGACCTACAATGGCAGTTAAGATTTGAAATTGCTAGATATTTGGCAAGAGAACTGATAAAAAGAGAGGGGAGTAATTATCAGGTGTCACCCACACCCTGAAGGCTGCACCCACTCTTATCCTCTAATTCCTTTGACCCAGAGTAACACTTCTCCCTCTTCCTGTCCAGATGTGGTTTCTCTACTAGTGCTCTAGGTCCCATCCCCTCCTCTTTCCTTAGGAACTTCATTCCATTGACTATCTTCAGTCAATCCTCCAATTCCTGCCATTAGCTCTTTCAGCATATAAAAATCATCAAGTATGCCAGGCATGGTGGCTCACACCTGTAATCCCAGCACTTTGGGAGGCCAAGGCGGGAGGATTGCCTGAGCCCAGGAGTTTGAGACCGGCCTGGGTAACATAGTGAGACCCAACTCTACATTTTTTTTTTTTTAATTTGCCAGGCATGGTAGTGTGCACCTGTAGTCCCAGCTACTTGGGAGGATGAGGCAGGAGAATTGCTTGAGCCCAGGAGGTCGAAGCTGCAGTGAACTGTGTCTGTGCCACTGCATTTCCATCCTGGGCAATAGAGCAAGACCCTGTCTCAAAAAAAAAAAAAAAAATCATCAAGCGTTTCATATCTAAAAGCAATATAAAATAAAATAAAAAGTTTCTTTAATCTTATGTTCTCCTTTAACTATTATATCTCTTCTTTTCACAAGCAACTTCTAGGAAGAAGTCTACTTCTTCCCTCCTTGATTCACTTCCCGCTCTGAAGCAGTCTGGCTTTAGGCGTCACCATCTCATGGAGGCTGCTTCACTTAAAAGCAACATTGATCTCCTTAACACCTTATCCAATCTTCGGGTTTTAGCTCTCCTATGATTCGATCTTGCTGAAGCTTTTTACACATTCATTTCCTCTTTCTTGAAATGTTCTCCTCCCTCAGTATCTAAGATGTCACATTCCTTTCTCTGTTGTTGCTCCACAGGGACCCATCTCAGTCTAATATTATTCTCCCTCTATACTGATGACTTGAACTATACCAATTAAAAGATGACTCACAATCCAGAAATCTCTAGCCCAGATCTCTGTGGAACTCCAATTCTGGTTATGTCTAAGAAGCATCTCTTTCTGAATGTCTGATGGTACTTATATAACCAAAATGAATTCATCATATTCCACCTTAAAAAGTCACTATTCCTTAAATTGAATGGATCCACCAACCCCTCTTCTCTCCTTCACCTAGTTATTCAGGTAATCTGGGACTTATCTGAGATCTTCCTTTTCTCTTACTTCCCAGATCTAATCACTAAGGACTAGAGATTCTCTCAAAACTGTCCCCTAATATCAATTTCATTGCTTTTGTTCATTTCTCATTTGGACTATGTCATATTGCAACAATCCCCTTAATGATTTCTCTACTTCCAATCTCAATTTTTTGCAATTCTGTTTCAAGAGGTCAGCTTGCTGTAATTTTTCAATGGCTTTCAGTTATCCATAAGCCCAACTCCCAACCTCCTTGTAAGGTATAAACGCTGCTGCCTACTCTCCAGCCTCATTTCTACCACTTTCCAACTCAATTTCATGCTCTAGCAACACTGAACATGCTTTCTTATGGCTAGTCCTTCTGTAAATACTGCAGCACCATTTTTTCCACTTGTCTATCTGGTACATTCTTACTCATTCTTAGGTATCTGTTTAAATGCTAACTTCTCTAACAGCATCCCTTTTCTCTCAGGTGAACTTTGGTGTTCCTTATATATTCCTAACTGTAGTTTTGAAGACTCTTCCATTAAACAATGATCTTATTGCATTATAATTGTTTGCATGGGCATCTTAACTTCTTAACTGGCTTAGATTAGGGAATTAAAATAGACATTGGCTGGGCACAGTGGCTCACACCTGTAATCCCAGCACTTTGGGAGGCTAAGGTGGGTGGATCACTTAAGACCAGGAGTTCAAGGCTGCAGTGAGCTATAATGGTGCCACTGCACACTAGTCTAGGTGACAGAGTGAGACCCTGTCTCAAAAAAAAAAAAAAAAAAAAAAAAAAGAGAGAGAGAGATTATGAAAACATTTACTGGGAGACCTAACCCATTTTTTGCTTCAGGAAACCAATCTTAAACAGTGCCAAGAAAGGCAAGCCAAAGACAGTGGATGAAGACAGTGGTGGTGATGCTGGAAAAGCCCAGGCAAACTGAAGCACAGCTACTGTGGAAGAGAGAACAGCAGGAAAAAACTGGAGAGACACCAGGAGCCCAACTGTGAAGGGACTGCTAAGAGAAGGTTCAGCTTTGTGCTTCCAGTCACTGATTCAAACTTTCTTCATGAATCCAACCACTAAATTAAACACCAGCTTTCTAAAAGCTGCACATTCTCATACTATAAAAGAAAATATATTTCAAATAAAATACTTTCCAGGCTTTCCAGAAGAAAAAATCCATCCCATGTCACCCACTGTGACTAAGCACGGAGGAAACAGATTAAATTAGGGATATTTTGCCCGTACATCTCCAGGCTGCATGAAATGAAAACAAATGAGAGTCAGGACTCTCAAAAGTTTCACAGTTCTAACCATCAACGCAATGTGCCAAGCAACATAGTAAATGTTCACGTTTCAAACAGGAGGAATACATTTTACCTTTTCTATCTGGGATAGAAGATTAGATTCTAATCTTTTTTGGTTTTCCACTCAGATGAGCACCTTAAGTGGGATCATATTTCTATATTACAGGTACTTTTTTTTTTCCTGAAAGTCTGTGAATACTTAATTCAAAGGCCATGGACAGCAACCTAGAGGAGCTCTGACCATGAAAAATGTTTTATAAATAGTTCCATGTGCACTGTTCATCTGGAGTCTCACTAGAGATGGATAATGACCTTGTATTTTGTACTCATTTACTCTGAATTAGCCAAACCTTCTGTTTTTAATTACATACTTAATTCACCTAGCATGGTCTAATTACATAAAACAAAACATCATTTAAACAAAAGGTGGCCTTGAACTTAATCTATCAAAACACCAGTTAGTTTTTAAAGTTTTTAGTTCTTAACAAACTGCCAAGACATGCAATAGCAATTTTCCAAATGTGATCATATGCTTTTATAGCAACAGATTTACTACATAATCAAACATCTGTATATACTTTTGTCTCACTATTAATGCAAATATGCTTAAGTTTTGATAGACTTAAAAATCTTAAAGCTGAAGTTCATACTACACAATAATTTTTAAATATCCATAGTCATTTTGGCCTTGAAATGACAAGTTATCATAACCATGGCTACTTATTTACAAAATGGTCCAGAACTTTGTAAAAACTCATGTTCAGAATTTTCCTTAATTCTTCACAGTGTAAATTAGTAGCCCTTCTCTGTGTTATCATAGCACCTTATATATTTTCAATCACAGTATTTATAATGCTGAATAGTTATTGGTTTAAAGATCTGACCCCCAACTAGATTGCAAACTTCATGAAAGCAGAGTTTATGCCTTTTATCTCTATCTTGCCAACATGGAGCACAGTGCCTAGCACAGAGCAGGTCCTCAATATATATTTGCTGAATTAATGTATTAAAATACAATGTTGTAAAACTATCTCAATTTATGAATATGATCTTATATGTAGAAAATCATAAGGAATTCACCAAAAAATTATTAGAACTAATAAACAAGTTCCAAAAGGTTGCAGGATACAAGATCAATATATAAATATCAATTGTATTTCTATGCAGCAGCAATGAGCAAACAAAAATGAAATTAAGAAAACCAATTCCATTTACAATCAAAACCGTTAAAATATTTTGTAATAAATTTAACAAAAGAAATATACAACCTATACTCTGAAAACCATAATCCTCAAATTGATCTACAGAATCTAGAGATCCAATGCAATCCCTATGGAATCCCAGCTGACTTCTTTGCAGAAATTGACAAGCTAAACCTAAAATTCATATGGAAATTAAAGGAATTCAAAATAGTAAAAGCATATAATGGAATCCTATTCGGCCTTAAAAAAGGAACAAAATTTGTCACACTACAATATTGATGAACCTTGAGGATATTATGCTAAGTAGAATAAACCAGTCACAAAAGATAATACTGTATTACTCCATTTATATGAGGTATCTAAAATGGTTAAATTCATAGAAACAGAAAGTATAATGGTGGTTGCCAGGGGCTGATGGGAAAGGGGAGCTGTTATTTAGTGGGTTTAAAGTTTCAGATTTGTAAGATGAAAAAGTTCTGGAGATCTGTCTCATAACAATGTGAATATACTTACTATTTAACTGTACACTTAAAAATGATGAAAATGGCAAATTTTATGGTTTTTTTTAACCAAAATAAAAAAAATTTTTAAAGCCAAAACAGTCTTGAAAAAGAACAAAGTTGGTGGACACACACTTTTCAACTTCAAAACTTACTACGGAGCTACAGCAATCAAGACAGTGTGGTAGTGGCATGAAGATAGACATATAGATCAGTGGAACACAATTGAGGGTCCAAAAATAAATCTTCATATTTAGAGTCAATTGATTTTCTAGCAGGGTACCAAGATAACTCAATGAGGGAAAGAATAATCTTCAACAAATGGTGTTGGAACAACTGAATATTGACATGCAACAGAACAAAGTTACTTCTATCTAACACCATATACAAATATTAACTCAAAATAGATCAAAGACCTATATGTAACAGCTAAAACTATAAGACTCTTGGACGAACATGTAAGTGTAAAGCTTTGTGACCTGGAGCTACACAATAATTTTCTTAGCTATGATACCAAAAGCACTAGTAAAAAAAAAGAAAAAAGGAAACTGGACTTTATCAAAATTTAAAAATGTGCTTCAAAGGACACCATCAAGACAGTGAAAATACAGCCCACAGAATGGGAGAAAATAGTTGCAAATAAAATATCTGATAAGGAACTTGTATGTAGAGTATATACAGAGCTCTTACAACTCAATAATAAAAAGACTAATAACCAATTTAAAAATGAGCAAAGGGTCTGAATAGACATTTCTCCAAAGACAATGTGCAAATGGACAATAAGCACACAAAAAGATGCTCAACATCATCAGCTATTAGGTAAATGCAAATCAAAACCAGAACGAGATACCACTTCATACTCACTAGGATGACTATAATCAAGAAGATAGACAATAGCAAGTGTTGCGAGGATGTAGAGAAATTGGAACCCTCATACACTGCTGACAGGAATGTAAAATGGTGCAGTCACTTTGAAAAACAACCTGACAGTTCCTCAACAGAGCATTTCCATATTATTCAGCAATTCTTCTCCTAGGTATACTCAAGAAAAAGGAAAACGATGTCCACACAAAAACTTGTACAAAATTGTTCACAACAGCATTATTCATAATAGTGAAAGGAATAAAGTGTTATCTGCACTTCATCCTTACACGGCCTCATAGTATTCCATATTATGTATGAACACACCACATTTTGTTTATCTGTTCATCAATTGATGGATATCTGGGTTGTTTCTACCTTTTTTTTTTTAAAAGCTATTATGAATAATGCTGCAAACTTTTCTGTCTTTAAATCCTGACATGAAGATCTGGGCTGAGGCAGGGGTAGAGGGGTAGAGAAAATGCCTATCATCAAGTTCTTCCCTATGTCTATGGCCTAGATGGGGTGGGTGTCGGATGGTGCTGAGGCAGGAAGAGGAGAGGAGAACTCTCAGTAAGTTGCTAATGAGAAGAGATCCCAGAAGCTAGTTCCTGTGTTCCATTCTGCAGTAACATGTCCTCTCTACCATGAGTGATACAATAGGAGAATGGGTGAACACTCCCACTGTGGTAGATCCTAAGCAAAGCATGACATGGCCCTGCCCTCCAAGAAATTTTGTCCATAAGATAAGTCACTATTTCATGTTACTGTAATAATTTTTGTCATTATCTGGAGCAAAAAGGAGGATCTTTTGCAACAAAAGAGTTTATGAACCTAAATTGCTCTTGTCAAGATCACCAATGACCTCCTTGTTGCTAAATATCCAATAGTAAATTATAAGTCCTCATCTTTCTTGGGCATTAACAAAATCTGAACCAGCTGATCCCTCTTTTTAGAACACTTTCTTCTCTTGGCTTCCAGAATATCACACTCTACTAGTTATTTTCCTACTTCGCTGATTTGTTCCTTATCTGTCCCCTTTGCTGATTCCTCGTCTTCTCCCCAATCTCTCAATGTTAGAGTGCCCTGGGGATCAGTCCTTAAACCATGCAGTGAGCTGAATAATGGTCCCTTGAGATACCATGTCCTAATCCCTAGAATCTCTGAATGTTACCTCATATGGCAAAGACTTTGCAAATGTGATTAAATTAAGTCTCTTATGATCCTAAGAATGGGGAGATAATTCTGAATAACTTGGATGGGCCCTAAATGCAATCATAAATGTTCTTTTAAGAGGGCAGGATAGGAATTCAAACAGAAAAAGACAACCTTGGAAGCAGAATCAGAGGGAAAAGATGCTACACTGCTGGCTTTGAAAATGGAGAAAAGGGCTATGAACCAAGGAATGCAAGGAATACAGATCTAGATACTAAAAAGGGCAAGAAACTCTAGATTCTCCCTTAACAGTCTCCAGAGCAAGTGTGGCCCTGCTGAAACCCTGATTTAGCCCCATAAGACTTAGTTTGGATTTCTGGTCCACATAACTATAAAAGAATAAATTTCTGTTGTTTTAAGCCACCAAGTAAGTCTGTCATAATTTGTTATAGCAGCCATAGGAAACTAATACAGATTTTGGAGCCTGGAAGTGGGGTGGTACAAAAACAAAAACCTAAAACTATGAAAGTGGCTTTGGACTTGACAGTAGGCAGAGGCTAGAAGGAGTGGGAGGTGCATGATAGAAAATACTCAGATTGCCTAAAACAGATTTTTGGTAGAAATTTGAACATTAAAGGCACTGCTGGTAACAGCTCAGAAGAAAGTGAGGAGCATGGTAGAGAAATCCTAATTCATCTTGGAGAACACATATATCATCATAAGCAGAATGTTGGTAGAAATATAAACACAGTAAAGATGGTACTGGTGAGGGCTCAGAAGGAGATGAGCAACATTTTATTAGAAACTGTAGGAAAGGAGATTTGTCATATAGTGGCAGAAAGCTTAGCTGATGTGTGTCCTACAATTATATACAATGATGAACTTAGATTTAGATGATTTGGATGAGATCTTGGACTTTTGAGCTGATTATATTTAGGTGAGATTTTGGGTTGAAACTGAAATGGGTTGAGGCTTCTGGAGATACTGGGATGGGGTGAATATTTTGCATGTGAGATAGATGTAAATCCTTGGAGACAAGAGGGCAGACTGTGGTAAGCTCCTCAAGATATTCATGCCCTGATGCCTGGAACCTGAAAATGCTACCTCATATGGCAAAGACTTTGCAAGTGTGATTAACTTAAGCATCTTGAGATATGGAGATTATCTTGGATTATCTCAGTGGGCCCTCAATACAGTCACAAGTGTCCTTAGAAGAGGGGAGGCAGAGAGGTTTTACACAAAAGAAAAAGGTCATGTGACCAAAAAAAAAGAAAACAAAAAGAAACAGATAAGAGAGAAAAGATGCTATATCACTGGCTTTGAAAATGGAAAAAGAAGGCTGGTGTGGTGGCTTTTACCTGTAATCCCAGCACTTTGGGAGGCCGAGGCAGGTGGATCATCCGAGGTCAGGGGTTTGAGACCAGCCTGGCCAACTTGGTGAAACCCCATCTCTACTATTTTTTTTATACTTTAAGTTCTAGGGTACATGTGCACAACGTGCAGGTTTGTTACATAGGTATACATGTGCCATGTTGGTTTGCTGCTCCCATTAACTTGTCATTTACATTAGGTATTTCTCCTAATGCTATCTCTACCCCTGCCCCCTACCCCATGACAGGCCCCCATGTGTGATGTTCCCCGCCCTGTGTCCAAGTGTTCTCACTGTTCAATTCCAACCTATGGTGGTTTTTGTTGCCACTGCTTTTGGTGCTTTAGTCATAACCTATGAGTGAGAACATGTGGTGTTTGATTTTCCGTCCTTGTGACAGTTTGCTCAGAATGATGGTTTCCAGCTTCATCCATGTCCCTACAAAGGACATGAACTCATCCCTTTTTTATGGCTGCATAGTATTCCATGGTGTATACGTGCCACATCTTTGTAATCCAGTCTATCAGTGATGGACGTTTGGGTTGGTTCCAAGCTTTTGCTATTGTGAATAGTGCCACAATAAACATACGTGTACATGTGTCTTTATAGTAGCATGATTTATAATCCTTTGGGTATATATCCAGTAATGGGATCTCTGGGTCAAATGGTATTTCTAGTTCTAGATCCTTGAGGAATCGCCACACTGTCTTCCACAATGGTTGAACTAGTTTACACTCCCAGCAACAGTGTAAAAGCGTTCCTATTTCTCTACATCCTCTCCAGCATCTGTTGTTTCCTGACTTTTTAATGATCGCCATTCTAACCGGCATGAGATGGTATCTCATTGTGGCTTTGATTTGCGTTTCTCTAATGACCAGCAATGATGAGTATTTTTTCATGTGTCTGCTGGCTGCATAAATGTCTTCTTTTGAGAAGTGTCTGTTCATATCCTTTGCCCACTTTTTGATGGTTTTTTTTTTCTTGTCAATTTGTTTAAGTTCTTTGCAGATTCTGGGTATCAGCCCTTTGTCAGATGGGTAGATTGTAAAAATTTTCTTCCACTCTGTAGATTGCCTGTTCACTCTGATAGTATTTTCTTTTGCTGTGCAGAAGCTCTTTAATTTAATTAGATCCCATTTGTCTATTTTGGTTTTTGTTGCCATTGCTTTTGGTGTTTTAGTCATAAAGTTCTTGCCCATGCCTATGTCCTGAATGGTATTGCCTAGGTTTTCTTCTAGGGTTTTTATGGTTTTAGGTCTAACATTTAAGTCTTTAATCCATCTTGAATTAACTTTTGTATAAGGTGTAAGGAAGGGATCCAGTTTCAGCTTTCTACATATGGCTAGCCAGTTTTCCTAGCACCATTTATTAAATAGGGAATCCTTTCCCGATTTCTTGTTTTCATCAGGTTTGCCAAAGATCAGATGGTTGTAGATGTGTGTTGTTATTTCTGAGGCCTCTGTTCTGTTCCATTGGTCTATTTCTCTGTTTTGGTACTGGTACCATGCTGTTTCAGTTACTGTAGCCTTGTAGTATAGTTTGAAGTCAGGTAGCGTGATGCCTCCAGCTTTGTTCTTTTTGCTTAGGATTGTATTGCCTATGCAGGCTTTTTTTTGGTTCCATATGAACCTTAAGGTAGTTTTTTCCAATTCTGTGAAGAAAGGCATTGGTAGCTTGACGGCGATGGCATTGAATCTATAAATTACTTTGAGCAGTATGGCCATTTTCACAATATTGATGCCTCCTATCCATGAGCAAGGAATGTTCTTCCATTTGTTTGTGTCCTCTTTTATTTCGTTGAGCAGTGGTTTGTAATTCTCCTTGAAAAGGTCCTTCATATCCCTTGTAAGTTGGATTCCTAGGTATTTTATTCTCTTAGTAGCAATTGTGAATGGGAGTTCACTCATGATTTGGCTCTCTGTTTGTCTGTTATTGGTGTATAGGAATGCTTGTGATTTTTGCACATTGATTTTGTATCCTGAGATTTTGCTGAAGTTGCTTATCAGCTTAAGGAGATTTTGGGCTGAGACAATGGGGTTTTCTAAATATACAATCATGTCGTCTGCAAACAGGGACAATTTGACTTCCTCTTTTCCTACTTGAATACCCTTTATTTCTTTCTCTTGCCTGATTGCCCTGACCAGAACTTCCAACACTATGTTGAATAGGAGTGGTAAGAGAGGGCATCCCTGTCTTGTGCAAGTTTTCAAAGGGAATGCTTCCAGTTTTTGCCCATTCAGTATGATATTGGCTGTAGGTTTGTCATAAATAGCTTATTATTTTGAGATACGTCCCATCAATACCTAGTTTATTGAGAGTTTTTAGCATGAAGCGCTGTTGAACTTTGTCAAACGCCTTTTCTGCATCTATTGAGATAATCATGTGGTTTTTGTCATTGATTCTGTTTATATACTGGATTACGTTTATTGATTTGCATATGTTGAACCAGCCTTGCATCCCAGGGATGAAGCTGACTTGATCATGGTGGATAAGCTTTTTGATGTGTTGCTGGATTCGGTTTCCCAGTATTTTATTGAGAATTTTCGCATTGATGTTCATAAGGAATATTGGTCTAAAATTCTCTTTTTTTGTGTGTCTCTGCCAGGCTTTGGTATCAGGATGATGCTGGCCTCATAAAATTAGTTACGGAGAATTCCCTCTTTTTCTATTGATTACAATAGTTTCAGAAGGAATGGTACCAGCTCTTCTTTGTACCTCTGGTAGAATTAGGCTGTGAATCTGTCTGGTCCTGGACTTTTTTTGGTTGGTAGGCTATTAATTATTGCCTCAATTTCAGAGCGTGTTATTGGTCTATTCAGAGATTCAACTTCTTCCTGGTTTTTTGGTCTTGGGAGCATGTATGTGTCCAGTAATTTATCCATTTCTTCTAGATTTTCTAGTTTGTTTGCGTAGAGGTGTTTATAGTATTCTCTGATGGTAGTTTGTATTTCTATGGGATCGGTGGTGATATCTCCTTTATCATTTTTTTACTGAGTCTATTTGTTTCTTCTTTTTCTTCTTTACTAGTCTTGCTAGCAGTCTATTTTATTGATCTTTTCAGAAAAACCAGCTTGGGGATTCACTGATTTTTTGAAGGGTTTTTTGTGTCTCTATCTCCTTCAGTTCTGCTCTCATCTTAGTTATTTCTTGCCTTCTGCTAGCTTTTGAATTTGTTTGCTCTTGCTTCTCTAGTTCTTTTAATTGTGATGTTAGGGTGTTGATTTTAGATCGTTCCTGCTTTCTCTTGTGGGCATTTAGTGCTATAAATTTCCCTCTACAAACTGCTTTAAATGTGCCCCAGAGAATCTGGTACGTTGTGTCTTTGTTCTCATTGGTTTCAAAGAACATCTTTATTTCTGCCTTCATTTCGTTATGTACCCAGTACTCATTCAGGAGCAGGTTGTTCCGTTTCTGTGTAGTTGTGCAGTTTTGAGTGAGTTTCTTAATCCTGAGTTCTAGTCTGATTGCACTGTGGTCTGAGAGACAGTTTGTTGTGATTTCTGTTCTTTTACATTTGCTGAGGAATGGTTTACTTCCAACTATGTGGTCAATTTTGGAATAAGTGTGATGTGGTGCTGAGAAGAATGTATATTCTGTTGATTTGGGATGGAGAGTTCTGTAGATGTCTATTAGGTCTGCTTGGTGCAGAGCTGAGTTCAAGTCCTGGATATCCTGTCTTGTTGATCTAATATTGACAGTGGGGTGCTAAAGTCTCCCATTATTACTGTGTGGGAGTCTAAGTCTCTTTGTAGGTCTCTAAGGACTTGCTTTATGAATCTAGGTGCCCCTGCATTGGGTGGTACATACATATTTAGGATAGTTAGCTCTTCTTGTTGAATTGATCCCTTTACCATTATGTAATGGCCTTCTTTGTCTCTTTTGATCTTTGTTGGTTTAAAGTCTGTTTTATCAGAGACTAGGATTGCAACCCCTGCTTTTTTTTGCTTTCCATTTGCTTGGTAGATCTTCCTCCATCCTTTTATTTTGAGCCTATGTGTGTCTCTGCATGTGAGATGGGTCTCCTGAATACAGCACATTGATGGGTCTTGACGCTTTATCCAATTTGCTAGTCTGTGTCTTTTAATTGGGGCATTTAGCCCATTTACATTTAAGGTTACTATTGTTACGTGTGAATTTGATCCTGTCATTATGATGTTAGCTGGTCATTTTGCCCGTTAGTTGATGCAGTTTCTTCCTAGCATTGACAGTCTTTACAATTTGGCATGTTTTTGCAGTGGCTGGTACCAGTTGTTCCTTTCCATGTTTAGTGCTTTCTTTAGGAGCTCTTGTAAGGCAGGCCTGGTGGTGACAAAATCTCTCAGCATTTGCTTGTTTGTAATGGATTTTATTTCTCCTTCACTTATGAAGCTTAGTTTGGCTAGATAGGAAATTCTGGGTTGAAAATTCATTTCTTTAAGAATGTTGAATACTGGCCCCCACTGTCTACTGGCTTGTAGAGTTTCTGCCCAGAGTTCCACTGTTGGTCTGATGGGCTTCCCTTTGTGGGTAACTCGATCTTTCTCTCTGGCTGCCCTGAATATTTTTTCCTTCATTTCAACCTTGGTGAATCTGACAATTATGTGTCTTGGGGTTGCTCCTCTTGAGGAATATCTTTGTGGTGTTCTCTATATTTCCTGAATTTGAATGTTGGTCCACCTTGCTAGGTTGGGGAAGTTCTCCTGGATAATATCCTGAAAAGTGTTTTCCAATTTGGTTCCATTCTCCCCATCACTTTCAGGCACACCAATCAAATGTAGATTTGGTCTTTTCACATAGTCCCATGTTTCTTGGAGGTTTTGTTCATTTATTTTTACTCTTTTTTCTCTAACCTTGTCCTCTCACTTTATTTCATTAATTTGATCTTCAGTCACTGATACCCTTTCTTCCACTTGATCGAATAGGCTATTGAAGCTTGTGCATGTGTCACGTAGTTCTCCTGCCATGGTTTTCAGTTCCATCAGGTCATTTAAGGTCTTCTCTACATGTTTATTCTAGTTAGCCATTAGTCTAATCTTTTTTCAACGCTTTTAGCTTCCTTGCAATGGGTTCGAACATCCTCCTTTAGCTCAGAGAAGTTTGTTATTACCAACCTTCTGAAGCCTACTTCTGTCAGCTCATCAAAGTCATTCTCTGTCCAGTTTTGTTCCATTGCTGGTGAGGAGCTGCCATCCTTTTGGGGAGAAGAGGTGCTCTTGTTTTTAGGATTTTCAGCTTTCTGCTCTGGTTTCTCCTTATCTTTGTGGTTTTTATCTACCTTTTGTCTTTGATGCTGGTGACCTACCGATGGGGTTTTGGTGTAGATGACCTTTATGTTGATGTTGATGCTATTCCTTTCTGTTTGTTAGTTTTCCTTCTAAGAATCAGGTCCCTCAGCTGCAGGTCTGTTGGAGTCTGCTGGAGGACCACTCCAGACTCTGTTTGCCTGGGTATCACCAGTGGAGGCTGCAGAACAGCAAATATTGCTGCCTGATCCTTCCTCTAGAAGCTTCATCCCAGAGGGGCATCTGGCTGTGTGAGGTGTCAGTTGGCCCCTACTGGGAGGTGTCTCCCAGTTAGGCTACACAGGGGTCAGGGACCCACTTGAGGAGGCAGTCTGTCTGTTCTCAGAGCTCGAACACCATGCTGGGAGAACCACTACTCTCTTCAGAGCTGTCAGACAAGGACGTTTAAGTCTGCAGAAGTTTCTGCTGCCTTTTGTTCAGCTATGCCCTGCCCCCAGAGGTGGGGTCTATAGAGTCAGCAGGCCTTGCAGAGCTGCAGTGGGCTCCACCCAGTTTGAGCTTCCCAGGCTGCTTTGTTTACCTACTCAAGCCTCAGCAATGGCGGATGCCCCTCCCCCTGCCAGGTTGCTGCCTTGCAGGTTGATCTCAGACTGCTGCACTAGCAGTGAGCAAGGCTCCGTGGGCATGAGACCCGCCAAGCCAGGCATGGGATATAATCTCCTGGTGTGCCTTCTGCTAAGACCACTGGAAAATCACAGTATTTAGGTGGAGGCATCCCGTTTTTCCAGGTACAGTCTGTCACGGCTTCCCTTGGCTAGGAAAGGGAAATCCCCTGACCCCTTGTGCTTCCTGGGTGAGGTGATGCCCTGCCCTGCTTCAGCTTGCCCTCCGTGGGCTGCACCCACTGTCCAACCAGTCCCAGTGAGATGAACCAGGTACCTCAATTGGAAATGCAGAAATCACCGTCTTCTGCGTCAATCACACTGGGAGCTGCAGACCGGAGCTGTTCCTATTTGGCCATCTTGGAATGGAATCCATGTCTCTACTAATAATAAAATTAGCCAGGTGAAGTGGCAGATGCCCATAATCCCAGCTACTTGGGAGGCTGAGGCAAGAGAACTGCTTGAACCCAGGAGGCAGAGGTTGCAGTGAGCTGAGATTGCACCACACTGCACTCCAGCCTAGGCGACAGAGCAAGACTCCATCAAAAGAAAAAAAAAAGAAAGAAAATGGAGAAAGAACCAAAGACTCAACGAATGCAGCTCCAGATACTGAAAAGTAAAAGAGATTCTCTGCTAGAGTATTTGGAGGGATTGTAGCCCTGCTGATAGCATGATTTAGCCTCATAACACTTAGTTCAAATTTCCCCAGAGAAGGTGTGGCCCTGCTACAACTCAGGTTTAGCCCCGTTAAGATTTAGTTTGGATTCCTGGCTCCAGAACTGTAAAACAACACATTTCTACTGTTTTAAGCCACTCAATTTGTGGTAATTTGTTACAGCAGCCATGGGAAATGAATACAGACCCCTTCCCTTCTCTACATATACTCATTTCTTTGTTACAGCAGCCATGGGAAATGAATACAGACCCCTTTTCTTCTCTATATATACTCATTTCTTTGGAGAGTCCTTTGAAGATCCCATTCAGTCTCATGGTTTTAAATACCATCTATATACTGATTACCACAAATTCCAGCCTAGAACTCTCCCTTGAACTCCCAATTTGGACACACAATCGTATATTTGGTATGCCCACCTGGATGCAGAAGAACTTCCCAGCCAACAAGTTCCACCCACAGTCTTCCCCAGTTCAGTTATAGGCAACACCATCCTGGCTGTTCAAACAAAAAACCTTGGAATTATCCCGGATCTTTCATTCTCATATTCAGTCAGTTATACAATTTTGTTGCCTATATATTAAAAAGTTATCAGGAACCTGACCAGTTCTTACTGTCTCTGGTGCTCTTTGCCCGGATGACTGCTTCTACCCTTGCCCCACTCAATCAATTCTGAAATGTGGTCAGAGTAAACTTTTTAAAGTCAGTCAGTTAGAGATCAAGTTATTTCTCTATGGCTACATATTTCTTTTAGAACAAATGCCCAAATCTTTACAATACCTTCAGAAGCCTACCATCTGGTGCACCCTACCACTTCCCTATCCTGCTCTCCAACTTCATCTTCTTATGTTCTGGCCCTCACTCATTCAGCTGCCCAAAATCAATGTATCACTTTAGTGTTCCCCCAACACACCAAAGGAAGCTTCCACTTCAGAGTCTTTGCTGGTCCCTCTACTTGGAATGTTCTTCCTTCAGATATCCGGATGGCTCACTCCCTGCTTGGTCCTTTACCTCCTTCAAGTCTTTATTCAATTGTCACTTTCTCAATGAAGCCTTCTCCAACCATTCTACTCAATATTGCAAGCCCTTTACCCCAACACCGGCCTCATTACCTTACGTGGTTCTTTTTTCTCTCCAAAGTACTTATCGTCTTTTAGCAAACTGTATACTTTACTAATTTATTATGGTTATTGACTGTTTTCTCCATTACAGTATATGCTTTGTGAAGGTAGAGATTTTTGTCTGGTTTATTTGTTGCTATATCATGAATATCTAGAACAGTGCCAGGCATGTATTACATATAACTGATTTCTAGTATATAGGAAGTAGACTGCACTACCCTAGTATTTAAGGTCCTGATGAATCCATTACAAATATTTTATTTCAGACTTCAAGTTTTTATCTATACTGCTTCAGGAAACACTTTATGTTAACTATTATCATAGGTGGCAAATTCCTAAGTTACAGCAATATTACAGTCACCCTGCTGTAATAATCACCTATCTACTAGAAAGGTAGAAGGAATAGTTGTGGCTCATATTGTATGATTCTACTTACACAAAATGTCAAGACAGGCAAATCCACAGAGACAAGAAGTAGACCAGTGGCTGCCTAGGACTAGAAAAAGAAAAGGGTGTTGGGAGGAAATGGGAAGTGACTACTAGTGGGTACAGGGTTTCTTTTTGGGATAATGATGAAAATATTCTGAAATGGATTATAGTGCCAGCTACAAAACTGTATATGTACTAAACAACCATTGAATTACATACTTTAAATGGGTGAGTTATATGGTGTGTGAATTATATCTCAATAAAGTTTTTATTAAAAATTTTTATGTGGCTGTGGCTGGTTATGTTTTGGATTGCTTAAGAAATAAAACAATTTTGGGGAAAATTATGGGAAAACAAATTTAAAATAAAGTTCTTAACAATTTAGGACTAACAATTACTATCACAATTTGACAGTAATTAATTAAAGTAAGCAAAATTATTAGGATTCTAAAAACTTTCAAATAAATATTTTAACTGCATAGCCTTGTTCTATTTAATGACACAAAAGATTTAGGAAAGGTCAAGGTAAGAACTAATGATGTATTCTTACATACCTTATAAATTGAGTAAACAAAAACTCAGGGAAACTCATCTAAAAAAATAAAAAGGTTTTCAAAACTCGACCCACATTTGCCCAATCAGGTACTAACTAGTCTTTCCCCAACCATCTTTTTTTTTCATCTGAAAAGTTTAATGATCTAACCTGCTAGAGATTCAGCATATGATGAAAGGGAGCTTGCAGAAGGCAAAATAATTATACGAACAAAATATCTTTCCTTTTCTTAACTTGGACAAAATATATTTAGACAGAATTAAATGGCAGTTTCTTGGGTGGTTCTTTAAAGTTTTCCTAGGCACTCTTAAGATTGGTATAACAATATAAATTTTATTATATCTTTAAGCATCTCAGAAATTACACTTATAATTTATGCTCATAATTATAAATAGATGTGTCTATGTAAAATGTACAGTGTACTCATTTAAAAATCTAGATTCACAGCATTAAAATACTTAGGCTGTTTTATATAAACTACAAACAAAAATACAAGTTTTACTTAGATGACTATTGTGCAGATTATTAAGAGACTGGTAAGTTTAATGAAAACATCCTAATGGAATTATTTTATTAAGGAGAATTACTTTGACATTTAAATTTTTACTTGAAAGAATCCTACCTAGTAATCGAATAGCTTTTTAAGAACAGTGTATAAAATAAACTATACCATAAACTTAAGCCTAGAGTTCATCACAGATTAAAACTTTTAAACTTTAAACTAATCATAAATTAAAGTATACACTGAGGAATAAGACATATACAGAAAGAGAAGTACTATGGCCAACAGCTTTTTAACAAGACTGTAAATAAACCTTATTTTACCAATATTAAAGGATTCACCTACCATATTCTATTAAAAATTCTATTTTTCTACTCATAAGTTACCTCAATAACAAAGATGTGAAAATCTAATACTTTTCTAAAACTTACTAACATTTTATTTAAAGTATAATATCTAATGCTTATTGACATTTATTCAAATCACTTCTTTTTAAATAAAAACAAGTTCTCTATTTTGAAATTTTGTAGGACTCAATATCAGGTATTTTGTTAAATGGTAACTTAGAATAAATTCAAAAGAAAGGTTTAAAAAAGAAAAGTTCTAAGCTTTTAAATGATCCTATCAATATTGGTGTCCGGGTTACACACAACTATAAATCAAAGCAGAAACTGGCAAAATAAAAGAATGATGTTGACATACATTATTCTAATACGTAATGGATTTCTGTAAAGAAGAATTACTAGAGACAATAGATGCCCCTTTTGTTATGCTGCTATTAAGTATTATTGAACAGTCACATTTAGTTTAATGCCTAATCCAGAGGCATGCCACAAATATGCAAGTCCTATTTTTGTCTATGTCTGAAGACGGTTATGTGTGTTCTTTTTCTCCTTCCAATTTCCTAATCAGTTTTGCAAATAGTTACAAAATTTTTACCAGGCCAAACAGCCCCCTGCTCCCTACCCTCACCCATATATTTGCCTTCATTTTCAGCCCCTGTAACATCAGAGGGTTTTTTTTTAAAACTGTAAATAAATCCTGACTAATTATGATTTATTCACAGCTGCTCTCAATGATATTATGAACTAGTATCCTTTTCCACTATTAATAATTTCTATAAAATATTTAAATGCAGTTTTTTTTTACAACTAGAATTCTCATTTGAACAAACAAGAAAATGTCATACTGAAGGTAAATACATCAATTTAAAAATTTCTCTTATAAATAAGTATGTTTTAAGTTTAATAAAGTAGCTAGCACAGCTGGGAACAGGAAAAATGCTGTTTGCTTCAATTTTGCAAGCATTTGATTTGATTGGATGGCAAAATCAGCTTGACTGTGTTAGACCTTAAAGCCTAACGGTGACATAAAATAGGTAAAATAGGATACCCTGTGAGTAAGGTGGGTGAAGTAATTGATAATACAGAGATATTTTGCAAGTGGCTCCCTTGACTGCATTACTTTCTAAAGGGAGGTGAAAGGCACATAGAAGTCACTGAAAATACTTTTGTTGAACAAACGAACATTAAAAACTAAAAAGGAGTTTTGTTAGTGTGTTATTCTAGAAAAAAATATAAAATTAGAACATTAAATATTAATTTATACTTAAACCAAGTAATCCTAAATCGGTCTCAAAAAATATGAATAATAACATATTCTAACCTCAATGTGTATACCTTATTAATATTTTCTCATGTTCTGGAAAATTAATTAAAACAAAAGTGGTTCTTATTAAATAAATGAATAAAATCTATTGAGACAAATGCTTATTCATATTTTTTGAATTTGAATCACTTCAAATGGAATATCTAATAATTCAGTATTTACATATCCCATAACTTTAAAAATATAACAATGTAAGATACTGAATCTTAAACATACAAGTAGCTACTACATGTTTTGCACACCTATAATTTGCATCTATTAAGGATTAAAAATATTAAATTTCTTTTTATTCTAAAATTCAAAAAAAGACTATATTTTAAATATAGTCATACCTAAGTATTTTAGAACATTTTCGCTTAAAGGAGAGCTAATTGATGCTACCCTAAATACAAGAAGCTAAATATATTAAGTACATCAATATGAAATGGAGTATGAACTGGTATGTTTCCTGAATGCCTTCTCTTACATTGTTACTAATTCATTTTATAATTTACCATGAATTAAAATAATAGTTTCCTAAAAATGACTCATGGAAATATATGGGTGTATAAATACCATCCACTTTCTCCTGGAAATGTATTATCAATCTGAACACAGAACACAGAACCTGAAGAGAGAAGCTCAAGTGTTTTAAAAATATTTCGCCTCTCCTCAGCAGCTGATTTTTCCATGCTTGTTTTAAATATTAATATAAAACAGGTTTTCCTTAAATTACAAAATAAAGGTAACTTTAAAGAAATATTCATTTAAGTTAGAGGTTATGTATTAAATTGTTGCCAGTGATACTGTTTTAATGTTTTAGTTACGAAACAGAAACTGAAGTGAAAAAAATCCCACTTGCATAATTTTTTTTTTAAATTTTTTAATTATTATTACACTTTAAGTTTTAGGGTACATGTGCACAATGTGCAGGTTTGTTACATATGTATACATGTGTCATGTTGGTGTGCTGCACCCATTAACTCGTCATTTAACATTAGGTATATCTCCTAATGCTATCCCTCCCTCCTCCCCCCACCACACAACAGGCTCCGGATTGTGATGTTCCCCCTCCTGTGTCCATGTGTTCTCATTGTTCAATTCCCACCTATGAGTGAGAACATTGCATAATGTTTTAAAACAACCTTTAGCTTGTAATCTAGATGTAATTTGTTTTTAACTTTCAGAACAATAAAACAATAAATAGAGACTATAGTAATTGATTGGTCTGAATTGTTCTAAGTTCCTTAGTATGAATTCTGTTTCACAGTTAAGCCTTAGACTCAACTTGTTTAAGGCAAATAGACAAAGTATAAAATATTACTTTGGAGATACAAGATAAGTATAATTTTTGAAGAAGTCTCAGTTTAGAATTTTAGATGACATAAAGAATTAATACATAAACAATATGTGCCACATGTGAGCAGTATGCACTTAATAAAATATTTGTATGAAGCTAAAAATTTCTTACCAAAAAGTTAGTAAAAATAGACATTATTATTATTCCTTCCTTGAAAAAACCTAAAACTAAATCTTTAAGTAAATGATCTATAAGAATTCTTAGTCTGGTCCATGTGATTACATGGTCCTATGTACCCAGGGCCACTGGAAATTCTGTAAGCTTAGATAGCATGAATTCTGAATGTTAGACATTGCTGTTCAATAAAAAATAACTTGTATTAAAATTTCGTATTTTCACTTTCATGGTTTTATTTCCAAGTCTGGTTATTTTCACTACAACCTGATTTTCCAGATCAGTGGTGTCTGGTCAATTTATCTATGGGTAAAATAATTAAGTGTTCATATGTCTATACCCAAATGCTCCTCCAGAGCAGCAATTTGCTTAAGTTGGCAGTGCCTACCGCTTGGCATGCAACAAGGCTGTCACAAAAAAATGTTTACTGAATAAATGATGAATGAAGGAAAAAATAAACTAAAATATTTCTGTAGAGAAAGAAACATGAAATGCTCTAAAATGTCAGTCATGTCAGTAATGTTTATTTTTACAGAAGAATGCTGACTGAAAGTGTTTAACTGTCCCCTGAATTGTGAGACTAAGGCTCACAACAAAGACAAAAATAATGTACAAGCACCACCTATCTTGAAGACAGCCACCAACCAAATGGGGCCAAATCGCCAACCTTGAGTTTACTCAGAGGTTGAATGAGCCCCACCACTCCCAAATCATCACCCAGCCTACATAAGAGGGCAAGGGTACATCAGGAGCACTGGGGTGCAGTTTTTGTCATAGGAGCTTCCTCACTCAAGCCAAGTTGCACAGCACCAAGATATTACATCAAAGACACGTTGTGGTTTCCTGCAAGAAGAGGAGACTGGCATCTCACTTTCCAGCTGGACTGAATACTGAATAAAGAACCTGCAAACTTGCCCTGGTGCTGCCAGTGGAGTAGAATTTAGCCTGCTGAAGTGTTCATAGATGACCTGGCATATGTCCCTAGAAGTTGGGGAAAATATATTGGCCTAGAAACTTGTCTACTTCTTATCTAGAGATTTCTGAAGATGGGAGGCTTGGGTAGAGCAGCCTGCAGCAGCAGACCTAATAGGGCCACAGAAATAGTATACCTGGGTGGGGCGGGGGAGAAGTGGAGAGTACCTCTCACATTTCCCCTATCTACCCACTAATTCTCTGAGACCCTAGAAAAAGAACACCACTGACTCCCATGGCTCATATGAGAGAACCAGGACTGGGGAAGAAGCAAGGGCTGCTGGTCAAACACATCAATGCCCCATCTAGAGAGAGGGGAGGAGTTTGAACTTATGAAACAGAAAGGAGATATAGCTACCCATCTCTGAGGAAGAGCTCAGTGATAAAGGAAGCCAAGATAAAGCTATCATCCCAAGAAAACCACATATTCCAACCACATGAACATCATATTGTCAGAGACATTTTGCAGCACTTAGAACCAGATTATGCCAGAGTGAGACCCACTATCTTCAGATAACCACGTTCACTCAGATGATGACCTCTGCCTCTCTTGTCCTTCCTCCATGCTGCCTCCTTCCCCTCTCTCTCCAAGAATTAGACCTAGGAGGGGAGAAAGCATGCCAACAGTCTTAGGCCACTTAGGTGGTCTTCTCTAAGATGTAGGGTGGGGAAGGATCAAGTGAGACTTAAATCAAATTTGAGATTAAAATCTTAAACTACCCAGACTTTTACTAAATGAAAGTGACCAAAAAGTTGTAGCATTTGTCCAAAGGCATAGTTAAGAGTCAGAAAAGGGAGATTAGAAAGAGCATGCTTCAAAGTATGTTTTTTAAAAAAAGTAATTTCAGATATATTGCCAATGAGTTGTAACTGTTTAAAAGTTATTTACACCCTGTGGTAGGATGAATGCTCAAAAAACTGCTAACAAAAAACTTGATAGCTAAAACTATTCTTTAAGTTCAAGCATAGACTGATACCTGCCCCCACACTCCCCCTACCTCCCCACAAAAAAAAAAAACAGTGAAATCCTACTCATGGTAAATTCTCAGGTGACAGCTGTAATCGGCCTACATTTAAGCTTGGTTCAATATATCCATGGGTAGATAGAGCCAGCCTCTGCTCACTGTTCCTGCCCCACTCACCTTACATTTGGGATACCCTAGAAATCCATTTTTGGTAATCATCTCTCTTCAAGGGTCTCTCTGGTTGATCTCATATACTTTTTTCCATGCCAAATAGTCCCAAATTCATGGTTCCATTCTGTACTTTCAACTATCTAATAGATTTATATGTCCTCCAGACACTGAAAACTCTATACATCCATAACATATCTTGTTAGCTTATCCTCCACACACACCCAGTCTCTAAAATCTGTTCTTCCCTTTTTCTATTCTTTATCTCAAACAATAGCAAAACCATCAATCTAATTATCTAAATCAGAAACCTTCTTCTTCACCCTAATCCTCTATATAAAACTGATGATCAGATCCAGATGATTCTAAATGATCTAATCTAGATGATTTCTTGAATGTAGACTCTCTTCTCTAATTCCACTATCTTTGCCTTAATCCACTTTTAACAATTTCAACAGTCTTTAATCCAGTTATCCTAGGTCTCCAGGGTCTCCAGTTCCTCTCTATGCTTCACTTTGACACCAAAAAACAAGTTTGATAAGAGTTTTCCCCTCATAAAAATTTTTTATTAGCTATCCATTACTCATAGGATTACGGCTAAACCTAGAAGCCTCAGCTTGGCAGTTAAAGCCTTTACCACCTAGGTTACTACTGCATCATATCCAATACTAGTCTGTTCAGCAGACATGGTTGCCTTTAGGACCTGTTCTCTGACCCAGCTGAAATGTGCAAAAAAGCATTCTGTGTTGCTGGCTAAGCCAACTCAGTCTGCACCCCGCACCTCGGCCTGCTCCATGTCTGTATTCCTACTTTATTCGAATGGGCTTCAGTTTTGCTACTACCCAGAGTTTGGATTCAGTGCTATGATTTATGCATCTCCTCTTTCTCTTGACTGATGGCTTTACTTCTGGCTCAGGCTAACCTCTTCACTAAAGGCTTAGTGATAGTATCATTGTTAAATAGTACAAAGTAAACTCTTAAGTCAGATTTCCTGGGTTCAAATTTTTGCTCTACCACCTACAAGCTATGAGATTTTGACCACTGAACTTAATCTCTCCAGGCATTAGTTTCTTCAGTTTTTTTTTTTATTCTTGCAGCTTTTATGAAAGTTTTCTTTTTTAAAATTTTATTATTATTATACTTTAAGTTTTAGGGTACATGTGCACAATGTGCAGGTTTGTTACATATGTATACATGTGCCATGTTTAAAGGATAATAATAGTACCTTCTGTAAAGGATCTCCTGCATTGTCAGGAAAGTGCTTTAAAAAGTACTCACTACATACTAAGATCTCAATATGTGTCAGCTGCTGTTTTTCCCAATACTTATTAGTTTATTAGCCAAAACAAAAGGACAGGACACCCTCTGAGCCATAAAATTATATATGTAGATAAACTTCACACACCATTTTCAATATAAAGACTGGCTACTTAGAAAAACAATTTCAGATGCTGAAGTTTCCAACTTAAAACAGCCTCCTATCATGAGTCATAGCAAAATGTGGCATAGTTGCCCAAATTAATAGAAGCCTAATAGTTTAAATATGGCGTCAAGAGGAAAAAAAAGTATAAATGACCATAGACAAGGAAGAAATTCTTACAGGTGAGAGTAACTGATATACAATATGGAAAGACACCACAGGTTGACTAATTCTGGAAAATTCTTTAAAAAATGACAACAAAAAAGATGAATTTCCACATATCGAAAGAGCTGCTACTAAATGATGACTACTAGACACCCAAGGGTTACAGATACTTAATAATCTTCTTCAGTTATTTGAAGAATATTTTTTCTAGAAGAATATACCTCTAATTTTATAATAAAAGATGGAAGATAGAATTTATTTGCAGACTTGAGCTATAATTCACTGTTCCACAAAGCAAGGGGAAATTATCTGCACTTTATTTCTATTGTGCCTTATACAGATATGCTAAGGGGAAAGTATTTTAATGTTCATAATCAAAACAAAAATGATTAAATGGTCAAAACCAAAAGCAACGCAATTTCAGGAATTCTGTACTATCACTGAAGTTCTAATGAATTAGTATATTTCTTTTCATCAAAGAATATAGGCATTAAAATGACAATTTTAGATCTTTCATTAGCAAAGATAATCCAGAACTCGCTAGTCGTTCCACTGGACTAGTTAGTACAAGAATATGGCCGATAATTAACTTTTTATATATTTATATATTTGTAGCCTTGGCTATTAGGTAGTTTCATTTGCATTCTCAAATTAAGATAGAGAGTTAAAAACTAAACTGAAGGTCTGTGAGAATGAAACTTGATACTCTAACCCAGGTTACTGAGCCTTTTATAAGATGCCTTAATAATTAATAATACTATACTGCATATCAAATTTCAACATGCACCATTACTGAATTCATGAAGAAAAAAAGGTCTGTTGAGAACCATGTAAATGTGTCTTCAAAATAAATCAGTAAGGTATCTTTTTTCCAAAATACTTTCATCTGCTATGAGAAACAACATTAGTTTGAATGCCCCTATCACTCATTTATCTCCTTAAGGTCTGTCTATCGTTCTGGAAAGGTGTTTCAACAACTGATGAACACAATTACAAAACAAGACTACTTTGGTTTTGAATCAAGACAACTAGATTCTGGATTTTTAAAAAAAGTCTATTATTTACTGAAAAGTCTTCCAACATGAAGAAACCAACCTAATGAGGGCTTTCTATTTTTATGAATGAGAGGTACTATGGAAAAGGCTACCAACCTAATGGCAGGAAGGAGGAAAAGGTGTCAGCATTAATTCAAGTAGGCCAACAAATATGATAGGCCCCCAAACAATGATGTGCATACTTCTAACTGTGGAAGATAGACATGAGAAGTATGATGGAAGTCAGTTATAGAAAGATTTCTGATAGTGAACTACTATGCATACTCAGAAAACCTGAATTAAGTATAAAATTACAAAAATAATTTTAGATTTAAAGAAATTTCATGACAGTTCAAGTACAAAACTATTCCATCATCAAAACACAACCTGATATATGCATTACTAGTTTCCTCAATCAATTTTTAAAACTTTTTTGAAATCGAATGCTTTATTTATTTCAAAAGGTAAACACTGTTGGGCTATCAGTCTTAAATTAGAAGATCATAAATTACATTGTCCACTCTTTGATCCTAAATTCCACTATTGGTTAACATCTCTTTTGATGTAATCACCCCAATAGTCCCCAGTGCTTACTGACTAAACATCCAAAATTGGGTTATGAATAGAAAGCCCACATAGTCAAAATAACTTCCTTAGACATCAACATTAGCCACAACATATGCTTGGAGTACAATATCTTGTTTTAAAATGTAGAGTAGTCAATTTTTCAATGTAATCTTCTAAATAAATGACATTTTAAAAAGAGCAAACTACTATGAGGAGAGTTTGTGCTTCTTGGAGCTCTTTTTGTAAGTCATTTTTCTTTTGCCATGTGCTTTAAACATCTTAATAAATTATAACATGTTGACAAGAAACCACATACTGCACCTGTGCTTTCTATCTTAATTAATCCAATAAGTACAGGCCTGCTCACTTAAATTTGTAAGGGAAATGATGATATAATGAGTTTTAACTTAAGGTATTAATTACCTAAATAAGCAGAATTAGCTTAATGTTTCAGTAGACTTTGCCTAGACACAACCACCAAATAAAAATTTCAGAAATTATGGAAGCCTTAAACAGCACCATTAGGAATAAGAAAGTGAAACGCTCATTCTACCTCAGATAGCCAAGTGGATTAAATTCTACTAAAGAAAAAAATTTTAAAAACCAGTGCAGCAGTTCAGAGACACTAAAATCTTTGTTGCTTTTACCGAAGAATCAATTAAATCTAGTTTAGCTGCCCAGTGACTAAATTATTATTTTCTACTTGTACATAAACACTTTTCTTTGAAGCAGGTCACTTTCCTTTCAAAACAAAGGTTATGACTATCTTAAATGCCTCAGCAGACGGATGGTCAAAACCTCATAAAAATTCTACATGGACCTAGACAATCACATGACACAACTGTGCACACGCCACACCATCTGTTGGATATGACTGCCAGCACAGATTTCGTGAGCTGGCAAAGGACTGAAATAGTCAAGAATTCTGCAACTATTTCAAAGTGCAGGCTTCTCATTAATTTTAATTTCCTGTTGGCTCTACAAGGAATGACTGAGTAGTGAAAGCACAATATGCCACATACACTTGAGTTCATGCCACATGTACACCTGTAATCATAAACTCTTATCCAAAGCTATCCACTGGAACATTTGGGATTTTGTGTGTTTATTTCTTCTTTACCCTAGAAGAAATAAATCTGAAATATCTATAGTTGTCTTTTCATACTTTGTTAATACTCTTGCAAACATCTGGAAATACTTGACAATAATCATTTAATTAATGCAAAGGTAATCGATGACAATATGCTTAAATACTTCACTCAACTGAAGTGGTTTCCTCAGTCCACAGAACTAAGGACTGTAGAGAACAAGCAGTTCTTTGACTAAGGAGTACACTACAAGGAAAACTATAGCCAATATCTCTTTTAAAACCAGAAACATTACCTGCATTTAAACAAAGCAGATAACATGCTGCTATACTGGTAAAACAAACAAACAAACAAACAAACAAAAAACTGGTAGATGCTGCTGGCTTAAGTTTTTACCTTAAGCTGTCTACAGGGTCTGTGTTGCTGAGGGCTTACTAAAGGGGTGGCCCTGCTCCTCTTTTTCGGGGCTACTCTAGTTTCTTTATCACTCCTTCACAGTTGCTGGCTATAGAGGAGGGTGAAAAGACCCTGAGAAAGAAACATTTCTCCAGAACAAGTGAAGATTCCTAAAATGTCCATGGGCAGCTCCAGCAGCAGGGTTGGTACTTTCTCTGCCAACCCTTTACTGTTTTCTGCATTTTGCAACAGTGACTTTTGTTTTGTTTCCCTGTAATCATACTCACTTGCTAATGCAGGCAACAAAGGTAGGACTGCGGAAAAACTAGGAAAGCCCCAGGCAACTTTATACTTGGGGAGCAAAGTTAGTTTTTTTCCCTTCTCTGCCACAATTTTTGGGACTTTTTCTTCAGTGTGGCCCTGGAGGATTCTTGTGTCCCTTAGCTCAAAAGAACACCACCAACTGAATAAATATTTAAGAATCAGAGTAATTAAGAAATGTTAACTTACTATTCAGTATGAGTCACAACCAAAAATGGTTGATTTACCTAATTTCTCTTATACTAGTAATTACTGTCAATCCAATTTCTTTCTTTTTTAAAATTTGGAACCAATGTAGTGGGTTAACAGATGGCTTTTGAAGTTTTTGTTCTTATTCCAAAATCTTTACATTACCCAAAATATATCTATTTAAATATGATACTGTAATTTCTGCAAAACATTATCTACATGCTCTCTATTTAACACTAAACAATCTGGATGTTAAGGCTGTTTGGAAATAATTCTAACAAAAACTGAAACATTAGACTAGTGCTATAATAAACAGACTTGCCTTTTACATTTGTTTTAGAAATCTTCATAAGCACATCCTAAACATAACTTTTTTCCGGTAGGGTTAAAAATAATTCAATTAGCCCAAATATATTTTATCTCCTATCTTTTTATGATAATCCCCAATTTGGTGACATCATAAATTCTTTTATCATCTCCTTACATTCAGGAACATAACATAAGAAAATCCATAGAAAATCCCAAAGACAAATGCTAACGATTTAAAAGGAAGTACACAAATTCTATTGCATACAGGCTTTAAGACAAGGAATGCTTCCTACCCTGCACATCTGTCTAGCAGGTGCCTTTCCGAATAAGTTTTGTCCTTTAGGAATCTGCTCTGAGTACCTCAAAAGACAATAAAGTGTTCTCTTTCATTTTTTTTTCTTAGAACCCATTTTCCTCAAGGCAGAAGGATGAAGCCTTCTCTGTCCTGAAAATATGGTCAAAACAACTTTGGCTTATTTTAAGCAACTTCTATCAAATAGACTTAGGAATTATATAAAATACAGTTCTCTTCTAGAAGGCGGCCTCGAGATGCATCATGAAGAGGGAAGATAAACACATAAACCTTAGTATGCTTTATACTTTAATGAGTCATATTTTTTAACATTCTGTAACTAATAGATGAGGGAATGAATAAGACCAGATTTCCCTCATTAACAGCTGGTATCTTTGCTTTTAGTCCACTTCCCCATTTTGTGAGCAAAGCAGTCCACCAAATCACTTACGCTGTGCTCCACCTATGCTTCTTCTTTTAACCATTCTCTCTTTGCCCCTCTTACACCCTTTTCCTTGTCTTTTGCCATACTCACTACTACTCTTGGCAATTATTTGTTCATCTTCTGGCAATGCTTCCTTTATTCATCTCTTATTTATTTCCATTTCCATTCCGCTCAGTGGCGATTACAAACATTTTCCACTTTCCTCAAAGTGATGAGAGGGTTGAGCAGTTCCAGTTGACAGGTGTAATAAATGTTGAGAAAGGAAGAACTGTTCTAGTCACTCCGTCCCTCCTGCAATTCCCTTTTTAAGGCTATCTGCCCTATATAAGTCAAAAATAAATAACTCTGCAAAAATTGGATCCAGTCATATGATCTCTTGATATCCCTTTCCAACTGTGAGAACATCTTCCTTTATTATTTTTTTTTGGTACTGTCACCATTTATCATTTGGTTCCTCACCTTAACTAATCAAAATAGTACTCTTCAATCTAGTATTTCAGCTATTTCTGTTAATCTTTCCTCCTCATTCTTGTTTTTCTTTTCAATTTTATTCCTATATTATTTTAAGCTTGTGCCACATAACCGATTTCCCCTACCCTGAGTCTCTTCCTATCAATCCTTCATGCTATCTTCAATATTAATATTCTTAAGATACTTTTCATCATGTCATCCTCCAACTTAAAACCTTCAGTGGCTTTCCACTGTCTATTAAATAAATATTCAGACTCTGTAACCTTGCAAGCTTTCACCCTCTGATCTGGATCTACTTTTCCATTTTATCTCTCGTATTTTTCCAGATTAACTACCACAGACTTGAAGGTCTCTATTTCATTGCCACCCAACACAGATTATGCTTTCCTACTGCTAAGCTTTTTATTACACATCATTCCTTGTAGTTCCTGCCTTCTCTCTTTCTGCTATCCATTTATCAATGCTTAGACAAAGTCCTCTTCCACATTATAATTTCATATACAACTCCAGCCTTCATCAAATCTCCCTCTTATTCAAAACCACATGGCAATGTCTGAGTTATTGTTCTGGATTACAATTTACCACTTCATTAACTCATACCTTGTCCTCTTAATAAATCAGTATAATTTATTTTTACCCACAGTGCCTAGCACAATCCAAAGTAAAATATTTGTTAAATTAGCTTAATGTTTTCTAACAAATTTTGGAATTTCCAGATAGAATGACTACAAAATCTATGAGGGGCTAAAAATGTTTCCAAAAGTTACTTTCAGGAGTTAGCCATTGGAAAAATAGATTCACAAAACTAAAATGAGTCTAAGACAGACAGTAGAAGGCTACATGTCAAAAATTGTGTGTATGTGAAAAATCTGAAAGTAGAGTACTGCAATGGTCATTATCAAAATCATTAATGAACTCTGATTTCCTAAATTCAACATTCTAATTTCTGTTGAATTTTAATTAACACCCTTTCTATTAGATTGTCTGCAAAGTATACTGTAATAATTCCTTCCATCTCATAGCACCCTTTGCCATGTAACTTTGCTGTTCCTTCCATCATGAGGTGAAATTTATTTCCATATCTTATGAATTAGGACTAGACTTCTGACATATTTTGACAACAGACTATGACAACAGTGACACTGTGCAAATTCTTTCCCCTCTTCTCTTATGCATTTTTTATGCAAAAAAATGCATAACACAAAATTAACCATTTTCAAGTGTTCAGTTAAGTGGCATTATTTACATTCACACTCTCATACAAGCATCACTACCATCCACTTCTGGAACGTTTTTCATCTTGCAAAACGGAAACTCTGTACCCATCAAACAATAACTCCCTATTTCTCACCCGTGAGAACCAACATTTTATTTTCCATCTCGATGAATTTGACTATTATAGGTAACTCATATAAGTAGAATCATATAGCATTTGTCCTTTTGTGACCTGGCTTATTTCACTTAGCATAATGTCTTCAGTGCTTATCCATGTTGTAGCATATTGCACAATTTCTTTCCTAAGGCTGAACAATATTCCATTTTATGTATTACAACATTTTTTTAATCCATTCATCCATCAATGGACACTTGGGTTGCTTCTACCTTTTTGTCATTGTGAATAATGCTGCCATGAAAAAGGGTGTACAACTACCTCTTTGAGACCCTGCTTTCACTTCTTTGGTACATACCCAGAGGTAGAATTGCTGGATTATATGATAATGCTATGTTAGTTTTTTTGAGGAACCACCATACTGCTTCCCATAGTGACTACAACATACTTCCACCAGCAGGTGCACAAGGAAAGGTTCCAATTTCTCTACGTCTTCAGAAACACTTGTTATTTTATGTGTTTGTGTTTTGATAATAGTCATTTGAATGGGTGTGTAGTATCTTATTGTAGTTTTGATATGCATTTCTCTAATGATTAATGATAATTATTGAATCTTTTCATGTGTTTATTAGCCATGCTTATCTTCTTTGGAGGAATATCTATTTAAGTCCTTTGCCCTTTTTTTTTTTTTTTTTGAGACAGAGTCTCGCTCTGTCACCCAGGCTGGAGTGCAATGGCACGATCTCGGCTCACTGCAACCTCCATCTCCTGGGTTCAAGTGATTCTCCTGCCTCAGCCTCCCAAGTAGCTGGAATTACAAGCATGCACCACCACACCCCAGCTAATTTTGTATTTTTAGTACAGGTGGGGTTTCGCCTTGTTGGTCAGGCTGGTCTCAAACTCCTGACCTCAGGTGATCCACCCGCCTCAGCCTCCCAAAGTGCTGGGATTACAGGCATGAGCCACCATGCCCAGCCCCTTTGCCCATTTCTGAAATGGACTGTTTGGGTTTTTTTTTTGTTGCTGTTGAGTTGTAGGAGTTCATTATACATTATGAATATTAACCTCTTATCAGATATATGATTTACAAATGTTTTCTCTCATTCCATTGGTTGCCCTCCACTCTGTTGATAGTGTCTTGTGATGCACACAAGTTTTCCATTTTGATGTAGTCCAATTTATCTATTTTTTGTTACTTGTTTTTAGTGTCATAGCCTAGAAATCACTGCTAAATCCAATGTCACGAAGTTTTTCTCATATGTATTTCCTACTAATTTTTTAGTTTTATTTCTTACTGTAAGATCTTTGGCCCATTTTGAATTAATTTTTGTATATGGTGTAAAGTAAGACTCCAACTTCATTCTTTTGCATGTGGATATCCAGTTTTCCCAGCACGATTTGCTGAAATGCCTCTTCTTTGCCCCCACTGAATGGTCTTGGCATCCTTGCCGAAAATCATTTGACCATAGATGTGAAAAGTTTACTTCTCAGCTCTCTATTCCATTGGTCTACATGTCTGTCTTTCTGACAGTACCACACTGTTTTGATTTCAGTAGCTTGGTAGTAAGTTTTGAAATCAGGAAACATGAGATCTTCAATTTTGTTTTTCTTTTTCAAGATTGTTTTGACTAATTAGGGTCCCTTGAGAATCCATATGAATTTTAGGATGAGTTTTTTTCTAGTTTTGTAAAAAATATCATTAGGATTTTGACAGAGATGACAATGACTCTGTAGATTGCTTTAGGCAATATTAACATCCTAACAATATTAAAGCTTATAATCTATGAATATGTCTTTTCATGTATTGATATCTAATTTCTTTCACCCATATTTTTGCAGTTTTCAGTGTACAAGTCTTTTACCTACTTGGTTAAGATTATTCCTAAGTATCTCATTCTTTTTGATGCTATTATCAATGGACACTGTGCAGATCCTACGCTGATGTCAAGAGGCCTTACAACCTTGTTTTCACCTTCTTGGAAGGCTACTACTGCCACATACAAACTCCAGGCTTGCCTGATGAGATCATATGACCTAGCCAATAGTTAGCACAATTGCCAACACATTTGGGAAGTAATTTTAGAGAGAGTGTTCAGCCCCATTCAAGTCAGCAGATGACTGCAGTCACTTAAGAAACCCCAGGTAAGCCCAGCAGAAGAAACACTTAGATAAACCTAGACAAACTATTAACCTACAAAATTGTGGTTTTGATGAAAGTAAAATAGTTGTTATTTTAAGCCATTAAATTTTGGGGTGGTAGAAAGATTAACTGAAGCAAAGTTAAATCATTTTATTTGCCATTTCTTAACCATGATAATTTATTCATTACTTTGTAGCTCATTTCAAAGTGTTTCTCAGAGCCCATTAAGATGTATTCCATACTACTCAGCCATAAAAAAGAATAAAATCTTATCTTTTGAAGCAACATGGATGGAACTGGTAGCTATTATCTTAAGTGAAACAACTCAGAAACAGCAAAGTCAAATACTGCATGTTCTCACGTATAAGTAGGAGCTAAACAATGTGTACACACGGACACAGAGTGCGGAATAATAGACTATGGAAACTTGGAAGGGTGAGAGGGGAAGAAGGGAGTCAGGGATGAGAAATTACCTAAAGGGTACAATGCACATTATTTGGGTAATGGTTATACTAAAAGTCCAGACTTCACCATGATGCAATATATCCATGTAAATTTAAAAAACAGCAATCGTACCCTTAAATTTATGCCAAAAAAAAAAAAAAGATTTATTCCAACTGACACAAGACAACTCTTTGAGGCTAAATACTCTACATTATTCATTATATTCATGAATAATTTAAAGCTTAAATGTCAGCATTCTAAATAATTTATAATTTTAAAAAAGTAGATAGGTTAAAATGAAATCTTATTAGGACTAAAGATGTATTGATTTTATTTTTCTAACTGCTTACTACAATATTGAAAAAATATTAAGTAGACATTGCAATGATGTTTGCAAGCTAACCTGTGAATTATACTGCTAATATTTGCTAGCAATTAGTACTAAATTTATTGGGGATAGATTTTGAAACTTTATTATCTGATTATTTAAAAACTCAATCACAATATTGAGGAAAAAAGTACTTAAAATATTTATAATTGCAAAGCATTTAGAGTCATGTTGTCTAAGCAAAATGGTTTATTATTACTTAAAAATTCTTAAATTTAAAAAATGTACATATTTATATTTATCTAAAATTGTATTTACTTATCCATACGTTTATTAATAAATAAAACTATAAAGGATTATAAAGTTATTTTGTTTGGGAAAAAAAATCTTCCAGAACAATATGCAAAAGTAACATTATTATTTAAAATGTGGTTAAGTAAAAATTTACTCCATAAAATTTTCACTCCATTAAATAACTCATTTTGAGAATTTACTCTCTCAAGTTCTGGAAACAGTTACTTTAAAATAGTTCATCTGTATTTTATGTATTCTTTAAAAGAAGTAAGAAGAACCAGGGTAGAAGAAATAATGAGAAAATGTAACAAAATAGGTGATAAGGCAGTTTTATACTGAAGTTTATATGCTCCTAGGTACAGAATAGGACTATTATTTCTGAGAAACCAAGTGGAATTAACACTTACTCAAATAGAAACCAACTCATATACTTTAAAAATTGAAGCAAATTCTCAAACTCTATGTCATAAATACCTTTGCTTCATTAATTTTGGCAACTGAGTTTACTGAATGTCAGAAGTATCTCATATTTGCATTATTGAAAACATCTTTTAAAATAGTTGTCATTTTAGTTTTAAGGAGTCCTGAATATTTATTTAAATTTGAGCTATGATTTATTTAACTATAAAAAAGTATTTCTCTGCAAGTACATTTCTATAAGCAAGCTACAGTTTCACAATTTCTCTAACCATGTATATGGCTGTATAATGAATATTAACATATGGTCTATAATTGTATATACATACACACAGTTCATATACATATGAACTATGCTTCTCAATTTGATGATAAAATATAGAAGGAGAAAACATAAATTGAAGAATTAAAATGTACTTACAAAGTCAAAGTCTCCATCTTGAGGAACTTTCCAGTTATCAGGAAAAACGTTTTTGGACATAGGGAAGGGTTCATGCATGTTCTGATTACAGTTTTCGTGACTCTTATTCTTGAAGTCTTGCTTATCAAAGTAGTCCATGAAAGATGGTCTTTGTACTTGTGGTGAGGTTGCATTTCCTTAGGTAAACAAAGAACATAAGGAAGGTATAAGTTCTTACATTTAAGGAAGTATTTTCTTTGAAGTATGATTTTTTTATGAAGCCATATAATAAATTTGCACTGGTCAGATTCAAGGCCAACATAATTAATTTCATAAAGAACAAAGTGAAATAAAATAAGAATTAAAAAATACCCAGACCAAATAAAAATTAAGCTGATGATTAGGCAAAGGTCTGGAATGTTTAGATTGTAGAAACATTTCAGAAGTTTAGTAAAATCATTATCAGAATTTTATTAAAAATCATTTCAGCTTTATTTCAAATTTCTCAAAGAAAGTAAATTTTAAAAACTCAGGTGTTTTTGGTGGGCTTTTTTTCTTTGCATTTAAGCCTGCATTGCTATTGTTATTGTACATTTTCAGCTGTAAGAAATTATGAGGACTTGGCTAGGCATGGTGGCCTGTAACCTCAGAACTTTGGGAGGCTAAGGTGGAAGGGATGCTTGAGCCCAGGAGTTCAAGACCAGCCTAAGCAACATAGTGAAACTCTGTCTCTATAAAAAATACAAAAAATTAGCCAGGTGTGGTGGCACCTATCTGTAGTCCCAGCTACTTTGGGGACAGAGGCGGGAGGATCACTTGAGCCTGGGAGGTCAAGGCTGCAGTGAGCTATGATTGTGCCACTGCACTCCAGCCTGGGCAACAGAGCAAGACCCTGTTCAAATTAAAAAATATATATATATGAAATACATAAACTTTAAAAAAATTAAAAAAAATCATAAGAACTTACTCAGTTTCCTCTTATATTTATCAAACTGCTTCCTCAGTCTTTCTGATTCCCTCTGTCCCTGGACTTCCATGGCTTCGCCTGCCACACTTACATCCATGTCTCCCAACACTACTTCTCTAGCCCAGACTTTGCGCCTAAGTTCCATAACTAACTTTGCTAGCTATTAGACAACTTAATCTGAGGTGAGTTGCCAATTAATTTACCAGTTCTAAAACTAAATTCAAGATCTTTCCCTTCAAACCTACAGCTCCCCCGACATATTCTATCTCCACTAAAGTCAACCTTATTTACTCAATCCCCAAAATAATAAAGTTGAGAATTAATTCAGACTCCTCCCTTCCCACCATAGCAAACTGATTATTAGGTCTTTTAATTCTACTTCTCAGTACAGTTAACTATAACCCCTTTTCTCTACTTATCATTGCAACTGTCTTAGTTTAGCTTCTAATCACTTCTTGCTTAGGCCATTGTAGCAGCCTCCAAACTAGTCTCCTTGCTTCCAATATCACAGTTTTGATTTTAATTTCCATATTGTCAAAGTGGTGACCTTTCTAAATACAAACCAAAAGATGTCATTCTGCTCAGAATCTTTCAATGGCTCTTCATTTTTTATACTGAATGACTAAATAGGAAATAAATATTTGGAATAACTAGATTTTTAATCTGGCTATATTGGTCTTGATCAGTGGTTTTCAAATTGGATCCTTAAAGCCCCAGGGCTCCAAATAAATGTCCCAGAGACCACCAAGAAGGCATTTCCCATATAATTCTCCAAATAGAAAGTAAGCTACTTTCCTTTTTCTTTTCTTTTTTTTTGAGATGGAGTTTCGCTCTTGTTGTGCAGGCTGGAGTGCAATGGCACGAACTCAGCTCATTGCAACCTCCGCCTCCTGAGTTCAAGCAATTCTCCTGCCTCAGCCTCCCAAGTAGCTGGGATTACAGGCATGCGCCACCATGCCCGGCTAATTTTGTATTTTTAGTAGAGATGGGGTTTCTCCATGTTGGTCAGGCAGTAAGCTACTTTCTTAAGAATTTTTTGTGGGGAGTACACCTCCCCACAAGGGACCCTGATGGGCAACTGTAAGTTACAAAAAGTATTTTTAAAACGTAAAATTGAAATCTTTCCTTCCGTAATTTACACTCATGTTCCAAATAAATTACTCTTTCGTATAATTGTCCCTCAAATATCTGAAGACAGAGGTAATGGCTCCTGTCTTGGCTGTCTATTTTTAATATAAAACATCCCCAGTTCCTTTCATAGGATATATGTTTCAGATTCATCATCAACTTGTTTACTTGCCTATGGAGACATTCTAGTCTACTGTTCCTCTAAAAAGAAACATAATATTCATAACAGTTATCTGACCAACCTAGATTGCATTTGTAATAGTCCTAGCACAGTTGAAAACTACAGTTACTACTATGACAACTAAGTAACAATGTTAGTTGGGACGAGCTTTAAGGTCATTTTGGTCAAAAGAAAGCATGTTAAGACTTATTTTTAGTCTTTAAAAATATGAGGGAAGCCTAAATCGATGCCTACTTTATGTGGCAAATCAGAGAGTCCGGAATTCTTAATCAAACTTCAAAAAACAAAAGGGGGGGGGACGGAGATTGAACTGACAGGTAAACGTCCTATCTCCTCTTTCCTTTCTCCCTACTTTTGGATCTCTATGTGTGTTATTTGACAGATTGGAAGCCTAGGTGAGGCGGCTTAGGTGAGGTTATAAGAGAGAGTGGTAATGGTGATATTTATTCATCAAAAGAATTCTGTCTCATTGCCTTAAAATAAAATGGTTTGCCATATCAAAACAGAGGTTTTATTGACTTCACCTTATGTGTTTTAAAAAAATTTTTATAAGATAAAATTTACCATCTTACTTCTGGGTATATATCCGGAACTGAAAGCCAGGTCTTGAAGAGATAACTGTAACCCCATGTCTATTGCAGCATTATTCATAACAGCTAAAACATGGAAGCAAGCCAAGTGCCCATTAGCAAAATGTGAGGAAGGAAATTCTGACACATGCTACAACATGGATGAACCTTGAGGACATTATGCTATGTGAAATAAGCTAGTAACAAAAGAACAAAATACTGTATGATTCCACTTATGTCAGGTATTTAGAGTAGTCAACATCATAGAGACAGAAAACAGAATGGTGGTTGCTAGGGACTAAGAGGAGTGGGAAATGGGGAGTCGGCGTTTAACAGGTACAGCAGTTGAGTTTTACAAGATGAAAAGAGTTATGGAAATTGATGGTGGTGATGGCTGCACAACTTTATGGAAGTGCTTAAGATTAATACTATTGAACTAGATACAGGCATATTTCGCAGTTATTGCAGGTTTGGTTCCAGACCACTGCAATAATGAGAATATCGCAATAATGTAAGTCACATAAATTTTTTGGTTTCCCAGTGCACATAAAAGTTATGTTTGTTTGTTTGCCTTCACAACGTCAATTTTCTTAAAAATTTCTTTTTAACTTTTAAGGTCAGGGGTACATGTGCAGATTTGTTACATAGGTAAACTTGTGTCATGGGGGTTTGTTTTACAGATTATTTCATCACCCACGTATTAAGCCTAGTACCCATTTGTTTTTTCTGATCCTCTCCCTCCTCCCAGCCTCCACTCTCTGAAAAGTCCCAGTGTGTGTTGTTCCCCAGATGTGGCCATGTATTCTCATCATTTAGCTTCCACTTGTAAGTGAGAACATGCGGTATTTGGTTTTCTAAAAGTTATGTTTAGGAGTGACATCAGAAAGATGGCTGACAAGAGAGGCCTGGTGCTAGTCCACTCTCAACAAAAAAAGACCGAGGCAACAGATAAATAGCTAAGATTTGACTGGAGTGTCAGTGGGAGAACCCTGGAGAATAACGAGAGAGTGCAGAGGCACCTGTGCTGCTTAGAAGTCCAGTTTGGGGTGGCTGTAGTGTTTCTTAAATAATACCGCAGTGAAGTTTGCTGTATCAGTTAACTCTTCCTTTCACAAAATGTTTCTCTGTAGCATGAGATGCTGTTTCGTAACATTTTACCCACAGCACAGTGTCTCTCAAAATTGTAGTCAATCCTCTCAAACTCTACCACTGCTTTATCAACTGAGTTTATGGAAAATTCTAAGTCCTTTGTTGTCATTTCAACAATGTTCACAGCATCTTCACAAGGAGTAGATTCCATCGCAAGAAACCACTTTCTTTGCTCATCCATAAGAAGCAACTCTTCATCTGTTCAAGTTTAATCATGAGATTGCAGCAATGCAGGCACATCTTCAGGCTGTACTTCCAAGTCTAGTTCTTTCGCTATTACCATCACACTTGCAGTTACTTCCTCCACTGAAGTCTTTAACCCCTTAAAGTCATCCATGAGGGTTGGAATGGACTTCTTCCAACCTCCTGTTAATGCTGATCTTTTTACTTCCTCCTATGAATCACAAATGTTCTTAATAACATGAAGAATGATGAATCCTTTCCAGAAGGTTTTCAACTTACTTGATCCAGATCCATCAAAGCAATCATTATTTATGGCAGATATTGCCTTATAAAATGTATTTCTTAATAATAAGACTTGAAAGTCTAAAATACTCATGGATCTATGGGCTACAAAATGGATGTTGTGTTAGCAGGCATGAAAACAACATTAATTTCCTTGCATATTTCCATCAGACCCCTTGGGTGACCAGGTGCATTCTCACTGAGCAGTAACAGTCCAAAGATAATCTTTTTTTCTCAGCAGTAGGTCTCAACAGTGGGCTTAAAATATTCAGCAAACCATAGTGCAAACAAATGTGCTGCCATCCAGGCTTCATTATTCCATTTATAGAGCACAGGCAGAGCAGAATGAGCATAATTTTTAAGGGCCCTAGGATTTTCAAAACAGTAAATGAACATTGGCTTCAACTTAGTCACCACCACCAGCCTGTCCTTTGAAGCTCTGAAGCCAGGCATTGACTTCTCCTCTGTAGCTAGGAAAGTCTTAGATGACATCTTCCAATAGAAGACTTGTTTATTCTATATTGAAATTCTGTTGTTTAGGGTAGCCACCTTCATCAATTATCTTAGCTACATCTTCTGGATAACTTGCTGCAGCTTCTCCATCAGTACTTGCTGCTTCACTTTGTACTTGTATGGTCTGGAGATAGCTTCTTTCCTTAAACGTCATGAACCAACCTATGCTAGCTTCAAACTTTTCTTCTGCAGCTTCCTTACCTCTTTCAGCCTTCCAGAATTAAACAGAGTTAGAGCCTTGCTCTGGGTTAGACTTTGGCTTAAGGAAATGTTGTGACTGGTTTAATCTTCTATCCACACCACTCAAACTTTCTCCATATCAGAAAGAGAAAGGCTGTTTCACTTTCTTATCATTCATGTGTTCACTGGAGTAGAACTTTTAATTTCCTTTAAGAAGTTTTTCTTTGCATTCACAACTTGGCTGTTTGGTGCAAGAGGCCTAGCTTTCACCCAGTCTCAGCTTTCAATATGCCTTCCTCACTAAGTTTAATCATTTCTAGCTTTTGATTTAAAGTGAGAGATGTGTGACTCTTCCTTTCACTTTAGCACATAGAGGCCATTGCAGGGTTATCAATGGGCCTAATTTCAATATTGTGATGTCTCAGAGAAAAGGGAGGCCTGAGGAGAGAGACAGAGACAAGGTAATGGCCTGCTGGTGGGGCAGTCAGAACACATACTACATTTATCAATTAAATTCGCCATCTTATATAGGCGCAGTTTGTTGTACCCCAAAACAATTACAATAGTAGCACCAAAGACCACTGATCACAGATCAGTGTAACAGACATAATAATGATGAAAAGGTTTGAAATATTGTGAAAAGTACCAAACTATGACACAGAAATACAAAGTGAGCACATAACATTGGAAAAACAGTGCCAATAGACTTGCTTGACACAAGGTTGCCACAAACCTTCAATCTGTAAAACACAGAATGTCTGTGAAGCACAAAAAAGCAAATTGCAATAATGAGGTATGCTTATGTTTAAAAATGGTTAAGATGGTGAATTTTAGGTTATATGTATTTTACCACAATAAAAAAAATTTTTTTAATTACCATCAAAAATGTGCCATTCAGTAGCATGAAGTATTGTGTGACCAATCTTCACCTTGCAAAATGGAGACTCTTGTACCCAATGAACAACTTGCCATTTTCCCCTACCTCTAGCAACCACCATTTTACTTCCTGTTTTTATGAATCTTACTACTCTGGATATGTCATATAAGTATAATCCATTAAAGTGGTATTTTTTTGTTTTTCTTTGTTTTTTTTATGACTGGCTTATTTCATTTAACATAATGACCTCAAGGTTCATTCATGTTGTGGCATGTGTCAGCATTTCCTTCCTTTTCAAGAATAAATAACATTCAACTCTATGTATATACTACATTTTGCTTATCCATTTGTCTGTCAATGAACACTTGGGTTTTTCTACTTTTGTTGAATAATGCTCCTATGAATATTGTTGAATAATGCTCCTATGAACATGAGTATAGAAATACATCTTAGAGATCCTGCTAATTATGTGGCTTTGTGTTATTTACTCTTTTTTAAATAAGTTTTTCTCTATGTGCAGATCTTTAGTTGCAAGTAATCTTATTTTTTAATATCTATCCAGAGGCCTTTTTTGCTTTCTAATGGGTGTTTTGATGGTTGAGCCTAATCTCTGATTAAATGAATGATTACAATACAATGTAAACATGTGAATAATATAATTATTGGTAAAAGTAATTTTTATTTTTACCCTATGAGTATGTTGTATGTATGTATGTATGGATGGATGGGTGGGTGGACTGACTGATTTGATTGCCTGACAGGGTCTCTCCTTCTGTCTCCCATGCTGGAGTGCAGTGGCATGATCTCCGCCCACTGAAGGCTTGACCTTCTGGGCTCAAGCGATTTTCCCATCTCAGCCTCCTGAGTAGCTAGGACTACAGGCATGCACCGCCACACTCGGTTAATTTTTGTTTACTTTTTGTAGAGATGAGGTCTTACTATGTTGCCCAGGCTGGTTTCAAACTCCTGGACTCAAGCAATCCTCCCATTTTGGCCTCCCAAAGTGCTGGCATCACAGGTGTGGGCCACCATACCTCGCTGAGTTATGTCTTTTAAATGTGTTTCCATCTTTACTTTTCATTAAACCGTAAGTTCCCTAATGTAGAATTCCAAATCCTTTACCTAAATAATTTCACAGATAACTCTATTAATTTGTGTTTTTGACTGTCTACCCAGATGTTGAATACCTATGAACAACAGCAGGAGCCATGGTTTTTCATCATTACTTTTGAATTAGTAGATGCTATATGTATTTCATTACTAGCATTGGTGCACTGCTGATAATGTATTTGAGAAAGTATTGTGACTACTACAATTATTATTAGGCTGGTGCAAGTAATAACAGAATGATCTATCCCAGTAGAGTCAGAAAGAACCTGATTTTCAGAATATACATGTATTAGTGGAAAAATAGAAAAAGACTCTCAACACAACTGTTTATCTAAGGACCAATCCTCTAATTACAGCTGTTCCAGCTTTAGATGGCTAGAAAATGTGACAAGACATCTGGGACCCAAATGGTACCCACTGTAAAGATATTGAGACATTCTATGAAATTTAAGATAGTATAAAACACCAATATTTGTGGTAAACCTTTAGAACTTAGAACACTCTCATATCTCACATTCAAAGCTCATGAAAAAGAAACTCCTTAGAGACAGTTCAGCATGAAAACAGCCAAAGCTGCCTTTAGATTTCCTGTCATAACAGACTTTACAAGTATGTTAAAAATGAACAAAATATATAGAAGAGAAGGTGTAATATTTCAACGATCAATAAATATGCTAAAAATAAAGATATGGTGTCTATGGTGTTCATCTTCAACTTTGTTCCCTGAAATCAACAACAAAAATAGAAATTGGTTAATTTGATGGGTTACATTACTGACATTTAGACAGGACACATACATTCCATTAACATTTTCAGCAGATTTTTAGTACCTTTGATTTGTCTCTAGGCTTCATCATTACAAGACGTATTTCTCTATATTCAGAATTGAAACTCGGTTCCCATGGTAACCTCTTATACTAAAATAGAGTCTAGGAATTTAACCTGTTATTCTCCATTTCTGCCCCATTTTGTAAGTTTAAAAAAATTACAAGTGTAGCTCAACTTACACATATTTTTTATAAACCAATTGAGTAAATCAAACCATAAAGCTGGGAGAAGGGGGATAATCCCTTAAAGAAATTCTTTGCTCAATATTCTTTTTGTTTCTTTTTCTTTTTAAAGGGAAGATTAATTCTGTAATAGAATTATATATTTAGTTGTAAGTTCTGTTTTCATCAAGAAGTCTTAAAATGTGTCACACACATAAATACATCTGAAAACTTTAACATTCAGTATTATATAATAAGGGTTATCAAGTTTGTCAAGGAAAGTCAGAATCAGGGAGGAGAGAAAAAATGGTTTCTTTAGAAACTAACTGCTGGAAAAGTAAGAAACTCCTAAACCACCATTATCAACTGCATTTGATAATGAAAAGAAAGGTTTCACTGAAGCGTATTTCTAGATAGCATTCTTTAAAAAGTAAATTTAGTATTTGTAGGTGCTTTGGTAAGAACAAAACAAAAACAATAGAAACTACAAAAAGCATGCATTGTAGCACTACTAATCCAGTGAAGACAACAGCACTCTGTGACCTATGTTCCTCCCCAGATCATCTTCCTCTCTCCACACCAAGCCAGGACCACATTGCTTTCATTAATTTTTTTTTTTTTTTTCATCCAGCACTGGCTTCACTGCTGAGGCTCTCGTTATGGTCTTGTTTTCTCCTCAACTGGGAGATAAGAAACTCTTCATCCCAGAATCTTTACAAACTCCCCAGTGCTGTAATAAACAGTCAGGGTTCTCTTGATATACCACTGACTCTTACTTTGGACCTCTATCTGAGAAAATTCACCCAAACCATTATTGGAGTAAATTAAAAACTAATCTTTTCCTACCAGAAACTAACATTTATAGAGCACCTATTCTAATATGACCTACATATTAAGAGTAGCAGCATACACTGGGAAGGAGAAGGAGAAAAATAAAATCTCAGAAGTTGCTTTTTTCACTACAAAGAACAGAGTGGGGGAAATTTTAATCTTCTATAAAAACCTTCAAAACAGAAAGATGGGCTGAGCAGGCATTTCCTTTAGAAATGAGGAGAGTAAGAAAAAGGCTGAAGGAAAGACAATGTTCTTTTCTGCAATGAGTCAGAGAAGAAACAGTTTGATTAGAGAGAAGTGGTAGCAACAGAAAGGGGAGAAGCAGACTACTCCTTGGTGTTGACTAAATAAAGAAAGGAAATTACTAGGAAATTTCATTCCAGGAATCTACTCTTCCAACCCCAACAGCCTTGTGCGTGCTCCTGACAACATCCCAATCAGGAGCTTCTAACTGAAGTCACATAAGCCACCACCAATGTTGTAGTGTCTCAAAGTGAAAAATTTGCCTCCCTAATATCTATAATCCCTAGCTTCCTGACTAGGGGTGAGAAAGTATCTATCTCATTGGAAAAAGTGGCCATGTAATACAATTCTGGCTAATGACACATAAAAATAAGGGTTTAGGCCAGGTATGGTGGCTCATACCTCTAATCCCAGCATTTTGGGAGGTTGAGGCAGGAGGATTGCTTGAGGCCAGGAGTTTGAAGCTGCAATAAGCTATGGGCTATGATCACAAACACCATATTCCAGTCTAGATGACAGAGTGAGACCCTTCTCTTAAAAAAAAATCAAGTAAGGTTTTCTAGGAAAGTTCTGTTTTCTTGATATAGGCACAATCCTTTCTGTTTTTTGCTCTTTTCTACTGCCTGGAATACAGACTTGATGGCTAGAGATCCTACATTTACTCTGCAGGCAGGAGAACAAGCATAATACCCTAAAAGATGGTGTCACAGAAATGATTTCTAATGACATCATGAACTCACTCTGCCAGTGCCGGATACTCTGCTTTTGGATTTCTCATCAAATGAGAAAAGAAATTAATCTTATTTTGTTTAAATCACTGTTATTTGGGTTTATTGGTACATACAGTCAAATTCAGTCCTTAACTGATACATTTCTATTCCCAAATGGAGGATGTAGGGAGAAGCAGAAGGAGCAGCAATCTGCAGTTTCACTGCAGAAACATCCCAATTTCAAACTTGAAGTCCACTATTATACAGAGTAGTTTAAATATCACTACGTCTCAGATACATTATAGTTTTAAAGGTTTTTTTACAGGCTGACCTAAAAAACCTATGGCAAAATGCCTTTTGGCTTCCATACTCAAAAATTTTAAAAATAACCCACTCCTAAGATAAAAATAAACATTCTTACAGAGTTAACAAAAGTTTTAAAAGCAACTTAAATAAAAGAAGGAGTCTATTCTGTCAGATTTTTCTTTTTGGATGATTTAATAACAAGATACTATTAACCAAGATATGTTTACACTTAATTTTTTATTCAAATGTATAATGTATGTGCTTATACTTCTAAATATTTTCCATTGCTTAATTTAAAACCTAGTATTAACATTTAGAGTATCTCTTTGTCATACACACAAAAAAAGATTAAAAAACAATTTTTAAAAAATTTTAAAGAGGAAAACAGGTTAGGTTTGTTTTAAAAGTTAATGGGAGGGGGCAGCTGCAATTGCCCAGTAATGTTTAACTACACAATATGAAACACATGCCACAATGCGCAGCTGAGTCTCCAGGGAGATACATGTTCACAGAAGTGGGACAGAGAGGATGATGTTTCTGACTTACAATTTATTAAAAAAAATACTAGGCTCTTCAATGAGAAAATAAAGCAGGAAATCTCAAGATAGTAACCACTGTCATATGTGATGTGGTTGCTATGGCAAATACTTTTTTTAAGCACAAAAAGAATAATCATATAAAATTGACATCAATTTCTCCAGCTGCAGCCGAATTCTGACCCCAGCTTACAAAAACATTTTATTTTAACAATAATTTTAACGTTCAGAATTACCTAGTTCCTCAATTTTGGCCCTAATTCCTTCAACTAGTTGCTCATGGAACTAAAAACCTATTAGCAATAAAGAATAAAGTAACTATCATTCATTCTCTTTGTGGATAAGAAATTTTAAAGAAAAAGGTTGCTTTTCATCTCCTTCATGCATCCCCAAAACATTTACAAGTAAACTAAATTGTGAGAAATATAATACCGTAGAAAATACGTCAGTCCACCCACAATTATTCATTAAGTTTCCTAATTTGCACATCTTCTAAACAAGTAAAAAGTCCTCATAAAAATTTAAATATATAAAGTAATTTTTAAAAATACTTTAACAAAATAATTTAATTTTTAACTTCTTAGCATGATTATGACAAAGATATTCAAGTTTAGAGAATAAAATAACAATCATAACTTTAGTAAAGTATGTGTCAACATCAAAAAGATTTATGAAGATTACCTAATTTGTTCTTCTAAAAATATTTTAAGATGTGGGTGGTTCCACCTCATTAATGGCCTTCGAAATGTGTCCTTTAATTTGCTGCCAAGAGTATAGTGAATACATATAAAAACCAGGATGTTAACACAGAAGCTACTGACATCAGTTTTTTCCTGAACTTCACCATACTGTATTTTAAAACAAAGAAGGATAAACATAACATGGAGAAGGTCCACAGACTATTCATAAAAGATTAAAAAGCTTAGAAAATAATACCTGCACAAAGGTTAAAGAGACTGAAATTATTCAGCCAAGAAAAGTCAAGTCTGAGAAAGAACTTAATAAGTATCCAAGTATTTATGAAGGGTTCTTTGCACAGAAAATAGTGACCAGCTGTTTTCAATCTCCAATGAAGTCAGAATAGAAGGAAACAAAAATTGAAGCCCAAAGATTTTAGTTAAATAAAAGGAAGGAGTTCCTGTGCGAGTAATGAATATTGTAATGGTCACTGTATCTATGAAAATGCTTTCTTCCAAGGCCTGTACAGGAAAGATATTTTCATTTTTACAGGGAAGACTAATATTTACATCCTTGTGTGTGTTTTGTGCTAATAAAAGAGGTATCCTACAACCAAAATGCATACACCAGCAGGTCTGAGCTGGGTTATACTTCGTTAAACGTCCCACGGACCAAGAGCACACAGAATAGTAGACTATACTCAGTGCCCACAGGGAACTCCAAACCACTGCAGCCACACCTTACCTGGATTCCTCGTACTTTTGTAAAGGAAAATGAATGATTTCTAATTGCCCAGAAATATGATGGGTATTTGCACCCAGCTGCAAGAGGGACCTGTAGTTTACTGCTGTCACCTTTATTGTCATATCCCGGGCAACATTAACCTCCTAAGTTAAAGAGGAATGGAACAGTTTTTCATAAAAGAATGGTAAGTGAGAAAGTAGTTCCCCTACACATTCTCCTACCCTTGCCAATTATTTCTTGGCATCTCAAATTCCATCCTTAGTGATTTACTCCTTTGGCTCAAGGCTGTACGATTCTGGGAGAAAATGTATTTCATGAGCATTAAACATTATTAGGCATTTTATTCCTGTGTATCTGGTCTCTTTCCAAAACAGATTTTGGGGGAAAAAAGGGAGGAAGGAAAGGATATGAGAACCGAGAGAAAGATATTACTAAGCAAAGAATACGGCATGGAAGTAGATGCTCAGAACAAAACAAATTGCCTCATACTTCACGATTTTGTCTAGGAACAATGGATGAACCAGGGAGTAGAGTCAGTCTTCTCTTCTTGGTATCTCTCCTCAACTGACACTAATATCTAGTATCGTTTCCAGAGTAACTCCTAAAAAGCTAAAGCAGAACTTCATTTGCTTTCTCTTACTAATTAAGTAAAACTGCATATATGTGCTGTCCAAAATAAACTCTGAAATTTTCAAAATCAACAAATACTATATGCATATACAGGTAAGACATTTTTAAAATGTATATTTAGTAAATATTATTTAACCCAGTATTTAAGAAATGATAAACATTTATGAAAGGTTAATATAAGTAAATAATATACAACCTAAACATAACCGGTTATTTCTCCACCCATTCTTTTTTGTTTTTCTGAGATAGAGTCTTGCTCTGTCGCCCAGGCTGGAGTGCTGTTGCGGGATCTCAGCTCACTGCAGCCTCTGCCTCCTGGGTTCCAGCGATTCTCCTGCCTCAGCCTCCTGGGTAGCTGGGATTACAGGTGCATGCCACCATGCCCAGCTAATTTTTGTATTTTTAGTAGAGACGGGGTTTCACCGTGTTGGCCAGGCTGGTCTCGAACTCCTGACCTTAGGTGATCCCCCTGCCTTGGCTTCCCAAAGTGCTGGGATTACAGGCGTGAGCCACTGCGCCCGGCCTCTCCACCCATTCTTAATACAACATGGTCTCCACCTACATCGCCATCCAGCTGCCTCTCTGTTCAATGTGCTCCAGTGTATCTCCAGCCTTCTTAAATACTCCAGGTAAGTTCTAAACACAATACTCCAGGTGAGTTCTGGCTCCTGAGAGCAGAGGGAAGCTGTTTATTTCCTTGTTCTAAAAAGTGGTTATCTGTCCTAGCTGCACCTCAGAAGCACTTGTAGAGTTTTTAAATTTTAAAAAACGTATTTTAAAAGCAGAGATGCCCAAGCCCTGCTCTAGTCTTCAGACCAGCATCTCTGAAGAGCGACTGTTACAATACATACTTGTGAGGCTGGTTATTTGGACCCAAAAGCAGGGTTTATCTTGTAAATCAAGCCCACTGCTCCAGCCTGTGGTGATCTTTTAGGATCCTCGTTCTATCCTATAACATATTTTTATTTTGTTCCACTTCATGTTATTTGCAATTCTGATGGACCTTCACCTTATAGCTTCATCCAAGTTTCTATGAAAAATTTTGAGCTAGCCAGGGCTGGAGGCCGAGGTCCTGTATCACAAAATGAGAAATCTTCCGGTAAACAATTTATTATTTAACATTGTAGTCGACTGAAATTTAGCAACCACTGCCGTGTGCCCCTGGTGAGCCTTTGTATCATAGAGGCTAGAGAGCTGAACACCACATTTCTCAGAATTCCTTGCAACTAGAGTTCTGGGTAAGTGCACTCTTTCGCAACTGGGGTGGTGGGGGCGGTGGGGGGAAGCAAACAGAAGCTATATGCCTGCTAGTTTAGTTATTTCCTTCTTACAAGCCCTGTCATAGAGGCTTGATTATTTACAGCAGCATTCTAGCATCTAGTCACCAGTTTCACAGGTACTGAGGAGTGGTTGCAGTAATATTTAGTAGCTTTCTAATCCCTAAATAGCAGTGAGGGTTGATTTCAATCTGTATTACTGAACTCAGCGGCGCCAGCGGTAGCCTCTGGATTGCTATTCCTCGTTGTGGCAGTAGTAGTTGTTCCTTATATGCTCACTTTTGTGGTGTTGTGGGAGTCACTCTTGAAGCCTATGCTACACAGCCTTCTCCTCTAGGCTTTCCATTGATTTTCTTAACTTCTACATCTTTAATATGGCTTGGCTCTATGCCCCCACCTAAATCTCACGTTGAATTTTAATTCCCAGTGCTGGAGGGGGGACTGGTGGGAGATGATTGGATCACGGGGGTAGTTTCTAACGGTTTAGCACCATCCCCCTAGTGCTGTCTCGTGGCTGAGTTCTCACAGGATCTGGTTGTTTAAAAGTGTATAGCCCCACCCGCTTTGCTCTTTCTCCCGTTCAGCCATGTAGGACGTGCCAGCTTCCCCGTCCCCTTCCACCATGATTGCAGGTTTCCTGAGGCCTCCCTAGCCATGCTTCCTGTACAGCCTGCAGAACCATAAGCAAATTATACCCCTTTTCTTTATATATTACCCAGTCTCACATAGTTCTTTATAGCAATATGAGAACACATTAATACAATCTCTGACTTAAATTGCTTTGTGTGTGGAATACCTGGAGTAGATTCTGTTTCCTCCAATAAACTCTCACTGATATAAGCACATTTGAGTATAACTGTTGCACTCTCATAACAGGACCACCAGCTAGGTCACACTACATAGTGTCTACAAGGGTATCATGAAAGACCTTGTCAAATACTTTCCTAATATCCTAAGATACAATATTCAAACTCTGCATTTTCTCTGACCTTGAAGTTTAGCAATGCTGTCAAAAAAGGAAATTATATTATTCTGATACGATTTCTTCTCAGTAATCTATGCTGACTTATAACGATCCTGATCTTTCCTAAAGGACTCTTAAATGTTCTAGAATCCTGCCCAAGAGGGACATTGAGCTCACTGGCCCCAGAGTAGTGATGTGATTCTAGTGTCAACCCTGTGTCTATATACTGGTTTCATCACTTACTTGCTAGGAAATCTTGAACAGCATTCCCAAGTCTCAGTTTCCTTAGTGCTAAATGGTAGTGAAATGCTATTTTATAGGATCCTTGTGAGGAGTAAATAAGATAACATATACAAAATCCTAAGCACAGTGTTTGGCCTGTAGTAGGAGCTCAATTAGTAACAGCTATAACCTGAGAAATTCACCTTTTTCTCCATTTCCAAAAATAAAATAAAATAAAATGTAAATGTACTTTTATACTTCCATGACACTCTCCTCATTTTCTCAAAGAGATGTCAAATTTCACAAACAGTGGAAAACAGTTCTCTCATCTCAAGTCGTATCAATAGATATTATCAAACACACTCTCGGTCAGGAGATGCCAAGTGCGCTGAGTACTTCTCTAGCATTTGCTCATCTTGCCATTCAAACCCCTCTTATTCATGTTGATGCTACTCAGTTCATTTTGGAGATCATCATTCTCTATAGAAGCCCCTTTGACTAGCTTACTAAAAAAAAGAGAGATGGAGCAAGGTCTTGGAGGAGGCAGGGAAAGGTGGAGGCAAGAATTTGCCGTGGGAAGAACAGAGTTGCTCGATAGCTCAGCATCTCTGGTCCCAGGAAGATATGATTTTTATCACCGCATGGGAAGCAGGGCTGACAATGCCCAGGGCTTCCCGGATGCTCCCTCTTATCAAGTTGTTGGAAGGATAAATTAATAGGGTGGACAGATGAATATTATCCTTTATTGATTATCAACTATATTTAAAACACTGCTAGGCATGTTTTGAATTTACCTAATACACACACCTGCACATATACACACAACAGAGAGACAAATATTTATCACTGAAACTCAGACAGAATTAAGCAACACAATTACTAAATGATTTGGCTTCACATCCCATGCTCTTCACTATACCACATCATTTGTTCAGAAAACATTTCATGAACTCTTACCAAGTGCTAGGTATTGTATTAGGTATCAAAAATACAGTGGGAAATAAACAAAAGCACACGCTCACAATAAAGCATGACAGTGCTGTAAGAGTGAAAGCTTGGGGTGAGATGGGAGCCTATTAGAGGGGCACTTATTCCTAACCTGGGGTTGATAGAGGAAGCAACCTCTTAACTGAGCCTGAGTGAATGAATATGATTTAGCAAAAGAAGCATAAATCCCACAGGAGGATTTAGGCATTGCAAGTGGCCAAAGGTAAAAAAGCTCTGTAAGAGCTGAGAAGCTGGAAGAAGGATGAAGAGGGAATAGAAAGGTAAGTAGGAACCAGAGCATATACTGCTTCTTAACTGGTGTTGAGCTTTAGCCTATAAGCAATTGGTAGTCACTGGGAGGGCATAAGCAGAAGAGAAATGTGCTGAAATCTGTATGGTGGGGAGGGAATGAAGATTGGAGGCAGAGGATCAGTTTAGAAGCCTCACAAGTGAGAAACTATGAGGACTTGCACTAAAGAAATGCAAGCAGAGATCATGAGAAGAGAATAGGGATATTTAGGGGGCAGAACTGATGAGATGTTACTTCCATGAAGGGTGAAGGAAGAAACGGAAATTAAGAATGACTCAATTTTTCAACCTTATTCCAAAGACCACATTTAAAACACCTATACAGCTTCTCTAGGTACTTGCATGATAACATTTCACTTTTTTTCTGTAAAGTAGGGAGCAACGTCATCTACTGAAACTGAGATGGGAGGCAGGAAGAAGAGATCTAGTGAAGATCTAAACTAGCCACTCTGTAGAATGAGGAATTGCTGAACAGAGAAACACAGGCCTCCAGGAAAGTTGAGGGCCCAAATGGGGGAGAAGGTCTTGATCTGGCAGCCCTCATCTGTGCAGATGGAAGATTATCTCCAGCAGCACTCAATAGCCAGGGTAAAGATGCAGAGAAGATGAACACTGAGACTGGACCATATCAAAGTTTTCCAGGAGAGGCAGAAAAGACAAGACATTAGGGCAGTGGAGTTTAGAATATAAGAGAGTGGCAGAAGCAATGAAATATAGCCTCTAAGAGGAGTTTAGAACATAAGAGAGTGGCAGAAGCAATGAAATAATGAAATATAGCCTCTAAGAGGAGTTTAGAACATACGAGAGTGGCAGAAGCAACGAAATAATGAAATATAGCCTCTAAGCTGGATATAGAAGTGAAGGGAGGGTGTGCTAATAAAAAGAAAGCAGACTAGGAACTAGGGTCAGGGAACTAGAGGGCTCTCATGATAGCATTTCCCAAAATGTGTTTCTCAGATGCTTATTACACAGGATGTTAATCACTGATACGTTCCTCATTAAAAGCTTTTCATGGTCAAATAAGTGAAGGAAAGTTTGGGTAATGTAATTTTTAAACTGTTTCCTTCCTGTACTATTTGTATTTAATAAGTTAATAATATATACTGTAGTTCTCTAATAATTTATCTCTAGGATAAATATGCATTTCCCAAATAATTCTGATTACTGTATATTATTTATCTATATTTATCAGAGAATTTCACTGAATGGGTATCTTAAGGAACACATTTTCAGAGGGTCTGCTCTGTGAAATGAGAAGCAGGGATGGTAGAACACTTGAAAAGAAAGTATCTTACCAAGGCAGGAGGTTTACCTGAAAGTTCTCTTAGCTTCCAGAGCTATGTATCTTTAATTCTACTATAACACACACACACACACACACACACACACACACACACACACACACACAGCTTGACTCTGACTCTACTGTAATTAGTATTCATTCATGAAACCAATATTCCAAGAGCATGTACTATTATGTGGCAGAGGAGATTTATACAGCATTCTTACCAGGACAAACTTCGTGACTTATCTGGAGAAACAACAGATACACACATGAAAAATAAAAACCTGGCTGGAAAATATGGCTCTTCCTCAGATACCCATAAGACATAGTTTCCCTCCAGGGCAACTAGTGCTACCAATCTAGCCACAGCTCTGTAAGATCAGAAAGTTCCTCCATAAAAACAGAGCTAACTGAGTAGATCTGAGCTGAACAAACTAAAAAGCCCCAGTCTTTCTTTGCTGAAGCTACTACTCTCCCAGAGTCACCCATGATGAAATAATCTCTCCTACCCCATCAGTTTGATGACATAGATTCTTGACCTGGTCCTAATCTACTCCAGGATAATAAATCCTAAATTGATTTTCTTGAATGACAACCAACCTGCTTTTACCCAGTGTCAAGCATTCAGAATTCCAACTGGCACAGACTAGTATGGATAAAACATAATCCATAAGGAAGAAGTAGAGATCCACATGTAAATAATGGCTAGTGCCAGACTGTGAAGGATCTTGGTGACACAGCTGAAGCCTGGACATTCCATGGGGAATGAGGAGGCCTTAGGGATATCTGAATAGGAAGACTGGGAGCGGGAGGGTAAAAGTAATGCCATCATTGCTAAAAACAGGTTTAGAAAGTTATTCTTGGGACATGCCCATAGGGTCCACGTCCATTTTTTAAAAGGCAGATCAAATTTTAAAATACTTTTTGTCATTTTTCTCCACTTCCCTTCAAAGGGTCTGTGGGTAATTTTCCTTTCTAGAGGTAAGGAAAATAGGCCCATAATTTCTAGCTTCATGGTTAAAGGTATAAAAGAGTAAGTGTAAACATAATTTAAACTGACAAGGATGTTAAATCAGGCAACTCACTTGAAACTCCAATGGAAAAAGAGATGAAATTCTAAATCTTCAGTACACATTGTAGAGATTTTAGAAAACCAAAAATAATATACTGCTATCATCTTATTAGGGAACAAAAATGCTAAAGACACATTAGCAAATGTGGCTTTGACTGATGTGACATAAGCTGAGACCTCATACCAACTAATTTAAGAAGTTTTAAAGATTTAGATCACGAGAAAAACAAAACTACAATAATTATATGGTTTCAGAAAAAGTAAGTCTTCCCTCAATAACTTCTTCACATACTTTACTACTGCTATACTACAATATGACAATCCCTAGGGGTTATACTAACATCACTTGATTAGAATTTTGGAAACACTGAAGTCTCACATTACAGAATGATGTCTAACTTGTAAAAACAAAAAACACAGAAAGTTGGCTCATGGGATTTAAAATTTGCTGAGGTCCATAAAACAACTGCAGCTATAAAAACCACTTATCTGTTCAACTTCAAAATTGGTTTTCACTAAAATCTCTGTGACAAAAAGTCATACCTATACAATCAGTTATAACAAAATTATAACATGTATTGATTTTTGTGGATGTCAAATCTAAAAGTCACTATACAAAATGTCAGAAATCTGTGGTATAAAGTATGATGTCGGAAACATCATCATTAGTCTCTCTTCCTTGAAATATAATACACTGCAATCTAAATGAATTAGATTCTATAAAGACTCATTTTTCTTAACTATTATATATATGCTGATGTTCAACTATATGACTGCATGAAAAGTTGTTCATATAGTTTCATAAGGAGCTCAGTAACTCCCTAAAGACACAAAAAAGCACTCAATGATCTAATTGATCTGTTAAGAATCATAAAATTTGAGTTAAAAATTATATCAGCTTATGGAAAATTGATATTACATGTTGATGAAAAATGTGTTAACTGTTTTACCACAGAGTCTTTGTGATCCACTTGTACCCCAACACTAGCTGGTTCTGGAGGCCATAAGACCATCCTCTGCAGTGGAGTGAGGCACGTTATGGATGCAGAAAACTTACTCTAGTCAGATGCCCAGCTAGGAATTTCAGGAAATCCAAGATGTAGGCTGCTTTCCAGGAAAAAGGCACAGAAGACCCACCAATGGCAGGAGATAGAAAATTCATACTCCACCCCCAGGATTATGGCAATATAGCAATCTATTACATTTTGTGCTTCATGATCCTCTCTATCCAAAGTACATATGCAACCATAGTGGGCTACACAGAACTAGGGAATGTGAAGAAAGCAGCAGTACTGAGCCACGTGACTTGAAGTTATGGGTCAGACCTCATGGCGGAGTAGCAAAAAGAAAAGGGTGGGCAAAAAGGAAATGGAAGTATCTGAGAGAAAATTCTGGTATCCATTTTGCAGTACCAGCAAATCACTTGAATATTTACAATTTTCTAGGTTCTACAATGCTAGAAGTCATGTAATTCTGCTGTTCTGCCATGGAGAGGCAATACTCTTCAGTGGAAAGCAGCCTAGTGCTTGCTTAGACTTTGACACTAACCACACAGGACTAGGGTAGGAGCATGACAGGAAGAAAAAGGTCAGTTGGTGCTAAGAGAAAATTCATTTTTGCCTATAACTGTGAAATCACAATGACCTACGATGTTAACTGCAGTATCTTAAAAAACTGTTTTTAAAAAAGAGAAGTGCTAGTCTGTGAAAGCATTCCTATTGTCATCACTTTGTAAGCAACAGAGGTCAGAGAGAATGTTTGATCATCATTTTAGCCACTGCAGCACCCCCAGCACTGTGCCTCACATATGATAAGCAGCAGTAAATATTCATGCAACTGAATCTTCTGTATGAGCATCCCTGTCTCTTAATCCTTCTTTCTAGTGCTTCTTATTTTCCCACCTTATTTCTTCCCATAGCTCGCACTGCTCTTTGTGGTTTAACTGATAATTTGGACAACATAAAATAATAGTCTGTTGAATTTACTGGAAGATAATTTTAGGTTCACTTTTTTAATTGGGAAAGTAAATGTTAGGAACACTATCTTTTTCTCTCTAAAATACTTTGCAAATTAAGCCGTGGGTTAGCAACCTTCAACAGAAAAAAGTTCCATAACTCTAAGTTGAAGATGTGTTGTTTTCTGCTATATTAAAATACAATTTTAAAAAGGTGACTTGTGCCATACTCTTTTTTACTGTTACATAAATCTAAGAAACAAAATTTTCCACAGTTGGCTATAAAAAGTAACACAGAACTAGCCTGGTTCCTATAAAAGTATCCTTTCGAATTAGAAAACTAATATTTAATGTAAAAAAGCCACATACTTTTCATAGTTCCATCTTCTTCTTCCTCATCCTCACTGTTTATCACCATGGTCCCCAAGTCGGATTCCAACATCGTGCTATTATGTTCAATCATGGTCTGGGCCCCTTCACTCATCGTGCTTGTGGCCCGCATGGTGCCCACACTCTCCACACTAGTCTTCACCATGGTGTGGGAATCCAGCTCATCTTCATCCTGCAAGCAAAATACTGCAATGAGGGAAGACTTTTCTATGACAGCTGGATTTCTTAATTCTTAACAAGAGAATGAATATATTATAGTTTTAATACTTATTAAAAATACTATTAGTACTGATTTTAATATAAATACATACATACAAATGTTATTTTAAGAGTGAAAATTATTCAAAATAACCTAAAGCTTTAGGTAATTACAGATCAAGCAACAGAAACTGATGAAGTAGAAGGCTGCTAGTTGCTTTTAAAATAAGGATTAAGATAGGTAAACTATCAGCAAATGCATAACAAAGAATATGGTGACAAAACAACTAAATATATATGAGAGCACCTTTAAGACAGAACACATTGACACTTTGTATTATAATGGGCATAATGATGTCTATAACCTTGTAAAACAGCCATTAGCTTTTTCTTTTAAATTATGGCAAAATATACAAATACATATATATAAAATTCACCATTTTAGCAATTTTTAAGTGTATAACTCTGTAGCACTAAGTATATTTACAATGTTGTGCAACCACCACCATTATATGTTTACAGAACTCTTCATTCCCCCTTTCCCCAGCCCTGGCAACCTCTATTGTACTTACAAGAGGTATCTAGAATAGGCAAATTCATGAGTACTACTATTCATACCATAGTACTAATTCATAATTACTATTATACTTATGAATTTGCCTATTCTAGATACCTCATGTAAGTGGAATCATACAATATATTTTGCTGAGCCTAATGCATTCAAGATTCATGCATATTGTGGTAGAAAAATTTCATTCCTTTTTAAGGCTGAATGATATTCCATTGTATGAATACACCACATTTTGTTTCCCTATTTATCTGTTGATGGCCATTTGGATTGTTGACACCTTTGGCTACTGTGAATAGTGCTAATGTGAACACTGACCTACAAGTATCTGTTTGAATCCCTATTTTCAGTTTGGTTGGGTATCTACCTAGAAGTACAATTGCTGGATCACATGGTAACTTCATATTTAATTTTTTAAGTGCCCAAACTGTTTTCCACAGTGGCTATACCATTTTACACTCCCACCAGCAATGCACAGGATTCCAACTTCTCCACATCCTTGGCAACACTTGTTATTTTCCATTTTTAAAAAATAATAGCCATCCTAATGAACATGAAGTGTTATCACATTGTAGTTTGATCTGCATCTCCCTAATGACTACTGATGTTGAGCAATCTTTTCGCACGCTTATTAGCCATTTGTATATCTTCTTTGGAGAAATATCCATTTACCCATTTTAAAATGGGTTGTTTGGTTTTTCTGTTGTTATTACAAATTCTGGATATTAATTCCTTACCAGAGATATAATTTGCAAATATTTTCTCCCATTCTGTGTGCTTTTTACTTCATTTATAGCGTCTTTTGATGTAAGTTTTTAATTTTGATGAAGTCTGATTTATCAATTTTTTGCTTTTGTTGACAAATCTCAGCTTTTAAATGTTTCACAGAAGAATCAAGTCAGTAATAAAAGTACAAATTAAAAGTGCTCTTTAGAACATTCACCAAAGATATACTGGAATAGGGTCATAAAAATAAATTAACAAATCCTGTTTGAAAGACCAACTGATAATCACAGTGCTTTGGGAGGTCAGGGCAGAAGGCCAGGAGTTTGAGACCAGCCTAGGCAATGCAGCAAGACCTTGCCTCCACAAAAAATTTAAAAATTAGCTGAACACGGTGGTGTGCCTGTAGTCCTAGCTACTTGATGGGCTGAGGCTGGAAGACTGCCTGAGCTCAAGAGTTTGAGGCTACAGTGAGCTATGATGGTGCCACTGCTCTCCAGCCGGGGTGACAGAGCAAGACCCCATTTCAAAAAGAAAGAAAGGACCAAAGAATCTGCTATTTAGAAAAACTTGATTACGCACGGAAATTCATTTATATTTATTCCATTTTTAGTAGAAACATATAAGCAAAATCTAGTTCTGGCAGAGGTCAAAATGCAAATCTGAGAACATCAATGTTGAGTTTCAGCAACTTGGGTTGTATAATATAACAACAGTTGGACAGCTGTTTGATACCTTTCCTCTTCCTAAACCTACATGCTAAGCTTGGGCATTAGGTCTCAAAGTCGTTTGCACTTCTTTCATGATCCTTTCTCTTTTAGAAGACCTCTTCATTCTCATGCCTTCAACTATCTAATAAGTTGAGGAGTCTCAAATCCTGAAATCTTCCTATGTCTTTACTTATTACGTAAATACTTAAAGATGTCTAAAATTTGACAGTCCCAAATCAGATATTATTTCATTTATCTCTCCAGTCTCTCCTATCTGTCTCCATCCCCAACAACCACCACAAAGCATGGTAATCTTCACTTGCTACATAAAACTTCAATGTCTTCTTACATTTATTTTCTCTTTCATTCCCTATATATGCATCAGTCAACTAGTTCTTTAAATAATTCTCTCTTAGCTCCATCTCTTCTTTTCCATTCCCACTGCTACTGGGTATAATCCTCACTACATCATAGGTGGTTTACTGCAGCTAATGCTTCCTGACTGAGGACTCTCCCATCTAACTTTCTAGAGTCAGACAGACATTAGTTCAAATCCTGGCTCAAATCACTTATGAGGCATAGGATCCTTGTCTCCAAAGATTGATGATTAAATAAAAAGGTAAGCAAAATGCCTGCATGCTACCTGGAACAAGGTAGTTTCACACCTTCCTCAAAGTACACGGCATTATACTAACCTTTCTTGAATACTATTTCTATCATTCTAATGAAGAATCTACAATGGCTCCCAGTTCCTGCCTTCATTAAAGCTAAACATTTCTGCCTAAATTTCAATGTCTTCTATGGACCAATCCTATTTTCCCATTGTTCATATAACCTCCAATACAGGCAGGCTGGACTTTAACTGAATCTCTTTGCCATAACTCCATATGATGCTATGTTCATTAAAGACTTCCTTTGTGTACGTCTTATTCTCTATCCAGAAGGTCCTTCCCCTCTATCCATTTAACTAAATCATACCTAGTTTCAGATCAAGTATCTACTACTTCCATGGCTAATTCAGTCTTTGTTAATTATTCTCTTTTCTAAACTTCCATAGAATTTACAACCGGCATTAGACACTTCTGTATTCAATTTATGATCTCATATTGCAAGCAATTGTTTTGCAAAATCTTTTATAAATGTAAGTACCCTATGGACAAGAATGTCTTAGAGTACCTCTGAATCCACTAAAGTGCTTCATTCAGTATTCAAAACACAGTAAGGGTTTGTGAAAGTTGTCAGAATCAAAATGAAGTCATTTCTGTTTAAAACAACAAAAAAACAAACAAAAACCAACCCTGACAAATGGAGCAAGGGAAAGCCATAAAGAGATGGTCCTCATGCATAAATGCCTGATAGCGAAAGCTATCACAAAAGACTGCCAGAACCACTATCTTGCACAAAGGCCATTGCAATCTTACATGAAAAATACTGCGAGGACATCTACCCAGCAACTGCCTATCCAACCACAGACTGGCGCACAAGGATAAGCACTTCAAAACAATTAGGCAGTTCTCCCCATTTTTCCTTTAAAAACCTTTGTCTTCCTTTACCCCCCGAATATGCACATTGTTTTGTATAGCACCTTTACTCGCACTGCCCTATTCTAAAATAAATGTTACTTTCTTTTAGAGAGTCTTTGCTATTTAGGTTGACACGTTCAATACATATTGACTTTTTCATGGAATTATAAAATCAAGGACCTTTACAGTTAGAGAGAAACTAATTCAAACCATCATTTTATATCTGAAAACACTGAGGTCCACAGAAAATAAGAGACTTCCCTAAGGTCACACACCTACTTAAAAGTAGGTCTGGGACTAAGAAACAAGTTCTTTTATTTCTTAGCCCATTATTCTACTATATACATGTACCTGAATTATGTTTAAATTTTTCTCTACTCAAATGCTTAAGTTGGAGATGTAAGCTCACAATTTTTAAAAGCTTATATCACCACCTTCTATTCCCAGAGTCCCATATAAATTATTCCATCCATTCTAGTCCAAGCCACCATCTTCTCCCACTTGGAGCATGAAAATAGCCTACTGACTGTTCTTATTGTTTCCATTTTTGCCCCTTTTAGTCTCACTCACATAGGCAGATTGATCCCTTCAGAAGACAAATGACATGTTACTCTCCTGCTAAGAACTCTGCATTTGGCCTCCTATCACACTTAGAATAAGATCCAAAACCTTTATCATGTCCAAATGTGATCTGGCCTATCCCATCTAGTAATATCTGCCAATCCCATCTCCTATCACATTCCTTCTTGCTCACCAAGCTCTAACCAAGCTGACCTCCTTTGCTGTTTCTTGAGCATTCTAAACATGTTCTTCCTTTTGAGCCTTTAAATTGGCTGATCTCTCAGACTGGAATGCTCATCCATAAATCAGTTTGATAATTTATTTAACTCAGGTATCTATTTAGCTGTGACCTCTTCGGTGAAGCTTTTTCTGACCACCAATCTAAACTAAAGCCTCCATCATTTTCCATTCTTCTGTATTCTTCACAGTCTATATCTGGCCTTTACGACCACTAGAATGTAAGTCTGATGAAGACAAGAGACTGTTTTAACCTCTGAATCCTCATTATTAAAACACCTAGCATACAGTAGGTACTTGATAAATATTTATTTAATGAATAAATCAATTTATATTTTCACTTATTAATCATCCAACAAGCATTTATTGTACATCAAGTAGTACACCAGACATTGGAGATGAATAAGATAGTTTAATTCCATTTCAGTTTTTAGGGAGTTTGAGATCTAAGGGAAATCTACTACCATGTGAACAATAAGTTACAGGACAATCTATTAAGTGCTACAAGAAAAGTGTTGACAGTAAAATGGGAATACCAAGAGTAGAGCCTCTAACTCTGCCTTTAGAAAGTGAAGAAGGTCTCACAGAGGAGGCTGAACTTGAGTCAGCTCTTAAAAGATGAGTAGACTATATATTTAACATACAACAGATACATTTGGGTGGAGTGTTTTACAACTTTTTACATTAGAACTACACTCAGACACATTCCTTCTCAGCTCAGACACCCCAAGATTGAATTAGGTGTCATGCCTCTGTATTCCCATAGTACTCTGTGCTTATGCTGATTTTACAGTACTGTAATTGTCTATTCACTTACCTTGTCTAAATCCCCCATTAGACTCTCAAATCTATAAGGGCAGTAACCACATCTTGTTTACAGTTGTATTCCTGATGTCTGGTAAAAAGCAATGTTCTTATTATGTAATTTATTGAATGAATGTTAAATGCCTCATTATGAGGTAATGCCAAAACACAGAATGAAGGACAATTTTATGAGGTTCTAGTAACATGTTCTTATTATAAAACATAGAATAGCTATTAAAGATATTATACTTTGGGACAGGAAATAATGCCATTAACTACAATTATTCAGTTGATCATTTATTTAATAATGAAAAAACACTTATCAATGAGTTAGAAGCACTATGCTAAGGTCTTTTTAATTCTCTTTCGGCTGGGCATGGGGGCTCACGCCTTTAATCTCGACACTTTGGGAGGCCGAGGTGGTTGGATCACCTGATGGCAGGATTTCAAGACCAGCCTGGCCAACATAGTGAAACTCCATCTCTACTAAAAATACAAAAAATTAGCCAGGCATGGTGGCACGTTCCTGTAATCCCAGCTACTTAGAAGGCTGATGCAGGAGAATCATTTGAACCCGGGAGGCAGAGGTTGCAGTGAACCAAGATGGCACCTGGGAGACAGAGTGAGACTCCATCCCAAAGGGAAAAAAAAAAAAAGTCTCTTATTAACCCTCAGAGGTGCTATTATTCCTCTTAGGCAAAGGAACCTGAGGCTCAAATAGGTTTCATAATTTGTCCAAGGTCATACAACAAATAAGTAGAGAAGCAAGAATTCTAGGCAGGTCTAATTCTAAAGCCTAAGACCTACCTTCTAATTATGTAAGGCTTTTAAACTATCTACAGCATTTCTCAAGCCCCATTTAACTCATACTACAGGTTTGCAAGAACATGTTTCATTTTCCGAAGTAAAGAGATGAAGATGATTTTCTATCAGTTCCTTTTTTCAAATCTGCTGGTTGAATATCTTATTTTGTCACGGTTGCAACCAGTTTATTCCCAAAACACTAACTCTATTTTAACACGTGTGAGTCATTTTTCTCTTATCCTTGTGAGATTCAATGCTGTGACCATTAAACTTAACAAGAAACATAACATCTGATTGGTATAAAATAGTCCTTAGCCTCCCTATATTCTACATTAGAGTTGAATCTACAAAGGGACAATAAAGCCTGAACCTCTGGATTCACACAATTGGCTTAGATAAAATTGTAAAAACATTGAATTAAGTTTGGAAGGGATTGATCTTACTGCATATTATTTTTACTTACGTAGTCAATTTGCTAAAGAATGCTAATCTAATTTACAAATTGACAGTAAAAAATAGCAATAAAAATAGCATGAACACTCAATTCACTAATGAGAGGGTGACACACAAATAGAAATTAATAAAGTACAGATGGAATGATAACTAGTTAAACGAAATTAGAAAACTCACTTATAATTTGGTGATGGTGTTGAAAACTTTTAAGCCACAGCTTTTACTTTTTAAAATTCTTAACTTATTCTTGATATTTTAGATTAGTATTATAATTTCATTTGATACTTTTTATATTTTTATAATGAAACATTTATGTTTTTTCAAAATTATATTTCACTTACATATACTCTGTTATTCCTCACAAAAGAAAAGCAGAAGAAAAACATGTTGATACTTCATAGAAAAAGGTCTGCAGAACAGATGCTTCCCCACTGTAGAAAGCAGCCAATTCCAGTAAGGAATACAATAGCATTTTCAATCAGTGGCCATCATGTGCCAGGAATGCAAAACACAGTACTGATGATAATCCAGTTTATGAATCATAAAATCCACATGGAATACAAATATTTGAAAACATTATTAGGAAATCCTACTCCACTGCTAAGACATGCTTATGCTAAAACAGCCTGAGAAATAATCAGAGATTTTGCATTATCTACTAGTAGATATTTGTAATATCTACTACCTTAAAGCATTTTCTAAATACTCAGTAATTGACTGAATTAAGGATAAAAAGTATTTATCACTTGTGAGACTAATTTGTCATTAGTGTCACAAAAGACAAATACTTTAGAATATAAAATTGTTTCTATATTCTCAAAATGTTTAGAATATAAAAATAGAATATTTCTCAGTTAGGATACCTGTTTAGTGAGACAGTTAGACTACTCCTTAAACAGGTGTCCTAAACGGAAAATATTCTAATTTTATTTTTCTTCTTAAAATGACATTAAACACTTCTTTATTGCACATGCAATCACATAACAGCATAGTATCAGTATCAGAGCAGTGATCTTAATGGCTTTCATTCAACTGGACAATTCTAACGAGTATGCATTCTGCTATAGCATGAAAAAAATATTCTTCAGAAAAAAACGTGTAAAATATATACTTGAAACAATTATACAAAAAGTTGCATTATAGTGGTCTAAATATTTTTAAAACCTCTTAAAGGTGCTAATTAAACAGCAAACAATAAATGTAACAAACATACTACAAATACATAGCTGAGTTTTCAAGATAGTAAGGGCTCAAAACGGAGCTATGGTAATAAGCCAAATCTAACTTGAAGGCTTCTTTAGAGGCATGTGATGATGGGGGTGGGGGATTAGTGGTTAAATAAGGTTTATATTTTAACAGATAAAAGGGAAAAGGGAAGTATTTGGATTCTTTCCAAAGTAGAAATGAAACCTCCACTTAAAATTGGGAATTTTGAAAGTCTACATCCTCAGCAAAAGGATAGGCAAGAAACAATTTACCCAGTGGCAAAGGAGATGACAAGTCTTACCTGAGCTAGGTAAGGTAGGGGACAGGGATTGGGAAGCCTCCCTAAGGTAGGGGACAGGGATTGGGAAGCCTCCCTTTAGAATTTATAACCATGGTTTAGGCCTTCAATTTTACATCACTCACACGCTCTAGGGGAACCTCAAACTGAGAAGTTAACCAAATATAGCCCCAGTAAGGTAGCACCCCAGGTGCCTGATAGAAACAAATACAAATCCATATTACAGGGACGCATACTGAACCCTCAACTCACACCATTCTCAGAGATAAAATCTAGCCAAACGTGAACTCACTATCCCAAAGATAAATACATGAGTAAACAAGCCACTGAGAATGGGTAGAAAGAACAAACAACAGAATTAAGATGCCCTTGCTCCTTAGAATTAATTTAGTCCCCTTAGAAAGCTGGATCTTGGGGTAAAATTAGGGAAGAATAGACAGTGGCATTCTAAACTGCAGAAATAACCGAGAACAAAAGTAGAAATATTCCAGCTAGAATGGAAAGCAATGAGTAAGTTTGATTGAATTAGGGAATGTCCTACAGCTCATGGATGCTTTCAACACTGGGAGCCCAGCATAAGTTGCTTGGCAAAGGAGTGATAGGAACCTTGGGAACTAAAAGATGATTTGGAGAAGGGAAAGACTGGAGAAAGACTAGAATCAGACGGTTATTACTAGAATCCAGATTTGAGGATAATTAATTAGAGCCTGTACTAAAAAGGGTCATATAGTAACAGAAATGACAAGCTGAATCTGAAAGAAATCACCAAAGAGGAATTAACATTTTCTAGAAAGTTTCTAGGCAGTCAAATATAATGGATCAACAATAACTCCAATATTCAGAACCTAAAGAGATCAAACTGAATCTAAAGAGAAAGTTGAGAGAGATTTTAATTTGAATAAAATAGGTAACACCAGTTATTTGTAATCAAAAAATGACTTACTATACTTTGTCACTTGACCATATGATCAAGGAAATGAAATCTAATTATTCATTTTCCCATCAAGTAAGAAATCAACAAGGCATGTCCAATGCAACTGCAAGATGAGCACAAAACTGGGGAAAACTAGGGTAAGAATCTTTCACTTCTTTCCTCATGCATAACGGAATTCGGGGGCTGGTGACTGCTTGATGCTAACATGTTAACCTAGGTCGATAAATATATTTTAATCACTGAGTTAGAAAGGCAAAAATCAAAGGGTACTATCGTACATTTGCTTGTATGTCTCGAATCATGTAAGATTCCTACTAAACTAAAAACACTCTTTCCTATAGCAAGGTGAAACTACTGATGTGACCAACAGAGCATTACCTTGAAACTGTACTTCCAACTCTGGTAAAGGATAGCAGTTATCCCATTGTCCTTGTTATTAATACACAAGGTTGTACCTGTTTGTTGTTTCTGTGTTCCAAGTGAAATTGCCCACAGTAGATCAACTGGTAACTCTGATCCAACTGAGCTAAAAATTACTGAGAAAACATCAAAAATAGTCTCTTTCAAATAGCCGCCCTTAAGTGCCACTTCAATGTCTGACGGGCTGAAAAAAGTAACAAATTGGTATTCACCCATTAAAAACTAAGATTTACAGTATCTGAAAATCTATAAAAAGAATTAATTGTCTTCTCACTGCTGTAAGTAGGTGGTCTTTCCCTTTCACTACGAAATCAGCTTAATAGCTTATACAGCTGCTGTCTTTGACATACCTGTCTTTAGCAAACAGAAACTTCATGGATCCTAACTTTTTGCACATTCACAGGCATGTTTTAAAGTTACATCAAAGCTTTCAGGATCTCCAAACGTCATAAAAGACTTATTCATCAGTATAACAAGCCTAATTGGTGAAAAGGCATGTGGGCAGGACTTCAGAGGCTCCATGATGCAAGACTGTACAAGTTTTTGGCATTATAGGAGAAGTTTCCAAACAAAAGATTACCTTACATCTCCTGTGCACAATACTAATATACAATAGAGTAAATTAAAAGTAAAAGCAACCTTAACCGTGACATTTCTTTTTTCTTTCACAGCCAAAAGCATGTCAAAGGATTGACAAATATAAAGAAACTTATAAAATCAAATATTTTAAAATAAGAATGACACCTTTAAAAACTGTTGTGTTCTTACAAGCAGTTTATAAAACATCCACAAGAGGGAACCAAAGACAAAAGACTAAAATTCCACTATTTGGAGATTTACACAAATAGGTTTATAAAATAGGTTATTACATTAACTAACATACCATCAATAGCTTTCAGAAATAGGCTAATGGTTTCTTGATACATTTTTAAGCAGTGATATATTTAAAAATACTGTAACCACTGTCATGTTGATACCTTTATATAAGCAATGTTTATGTTCCTCAAGGACAACAAATGTCTTTCACATTCAGTAACCTCCACTTGCATATAATAGCATGAACTCAATGAACAGGTGGTGATTCCACAAAATTTATAGAAGTATACAAAAGTAAATAATGAATATTCATATTAATTTATCAAAACTTCATTCTAAATTGCTTTTATATGAAAAGATTTATGATTGTATATATCTTATGTTCTTAGAACAAATACAACTAAGGGCTAAAGGGTCTTTAAAAAGATTTTTTTCTTTTCTTCATTCTTTCTTTCTCTCATTCCTTTTCTCTTCCATTATGATAGTATTTTTAAGAGTTAGCAGAAATTTTGTTGTTGTTCTTTTTGGTTTGTTGGTAGTAAACAGAAATTTTAATACATAAATTGTATTTTTATTGTTTAAATTTTAACAACAGAAATATCACCTACATAAACTTAGATATAATTTTGTAAAATAATTTTAGAAAATTTCCAAAACATACAATTCAAAAGAAGACTACTTGAAACATGCTAAAGTAACAATATTGATTTTAACATACAGTTTACATCACTGAACTTCCTGATAAAAATGAAATTCTGGGGCAGAAAAATGTCAGGGCAACAAAAAACAATCTCCCCCACAACCCAAATATTTTTCACACATTTGACTTAAGCATTGCTGAAGAAATACTTCATGTGCAAGTATACACCTTATTAATTATTAAATGCAAATACATTCTGTGTTGATGATTTTGTGGCTGGCACTATCCTTAATGATGAGTAAAAGTCAGGCAAAACCTGTTTAAAACAGTTTTATACACGTGTTTCTTGATTTGATAAGTATTTACCAATTAAATATTTATGTAATAAATGTTTGCTGTGTGCCAGGCAAGTGTGTTAAGGTATAATCTTTTCCTTGAGAAATGTATAGTTTAATGGGGAGTTACAAAATAGACAAACACAGTGAGATAAATATTCTCAGAGCTAAACGCAGTATTCCATGGTGAACACAGAGGAGCACTTGCCAAACTGAAGCCTGGAGGAGCCCCATGAAAGGCTTCCTCTTTCCAGAGGAGGCAATGGCTAGGATGTCAAGACAAAAGCAGCAACCTACACTTTTCTTTAACCACTTTTTGAGCAATCCAATCTATGCTCATGGTTTAACTACCAACTGCGGAAAGCACTGATTTCCTAATTTGCCTGAGTTCTCCCTTGGGATTCAGACCGCTGTATCCAACTGCCTGCTACACAAAATGACTTAAATGACCTATGGACATCGCAAATTAAATAACTGCTAAAGTGATCTCATCTTACACAGAAATACGCCTTGGAGAGAATACTGCTGGAGAATACTTCAGCCACAGTGTAAGTGCAAAGTGAAAAAACAAAGGCTCTGACTATGCTATCAAGAAGTTTAGTTGTAAATAATTTGTTGTTTTTTCCCTTATTTTTTAAATGGTCAAAGGATAACTATATTTTGAATGAGGAAAAAGGGCCCAGAAGAAAGGGATAATGTAGCTGACTAAAGAAACAAGCAGAGAAGGGGCCTTTTGAGGGAAGTAAAAAGAAAACCAAGAGCAATAAAACAATTACTGTTCATGCATACCTCTATCACAGTACTTGCTACATTGCATTATGATCAGTTATCAGTTTATTTGTCTCACTCATTAGATTGCAATCTTCTTATAGGCAATTACCATGTCTTATTTTTCTTCCATATCCATATTTATAAATGGGAAAAATATATAACCTCTGAACCAGGGAGACAAGGAAACATAGTGAGGATACAGAAACATATTAAAGTTAAAAGAAAACTGAGGTCTAGTTAGTACAATAAGAAAAAAGTTATAAAGATTGGAAAGAAACTATCTATATTTGCAGATGACATCATTGTCTGTGTAGAAAATTTCACAGAATCTACAAAAAACTCCTAGAACTAATAAAAATTAGTGTGTGTGGCAACGTCACAGGATACAAGGGCAATACACAAAAGTCAATTGCTTTCTTACATACCAGCAATAAATGACTGAAATTTGAAATTAAAAAAAATTTCAACAGAAAAAAAACCCACTTAGGTCTAACATATTAAAACATGTACAGGATCTGTATACACTGATGCAAAAAATAAAAGATGATCTAAATAAATTGAGAAACACCCCATGTTCATGAATTTGAAGACTCAATACTGTTAAAATGCCATTTCTTCCTAACTTGATGTATAGATTTCATTCAATCCCAATAAGAATTCCAGGAAGTTAATTTAGAAATGTTGACAAAATGATCCTTTCTATGGAAATGCAAAAGGCCTAGAACAGCCAAGGCAATACTGAATCAGAAAAACAAAATTTGGCCAGGAGAAGAGGCTCACACCTGTAATCCCAGCACTTTAGGAGGCTGAAGTGGGTGGATTGCTTGAGCCCAGGAGTTTGAGACCGGCCTGGGCAACACAGCAAGACACCATCTCTATAAAAAATACAAAAATTAGCCACATGTGGCAGCATGCGCCTACAGTCCCAGCTACTTGGGAGGCTGATGTGAGAAAATCACTTGAGCCCAGGAGGTCAAGGCTGCAGTGAGCCGTGATTGCTGTCACTGTACTCCAACCTGGTTAACAAAGCAAGATGCCGTGTCCAAAAAAGAAAAGAAAAGGAAAAAGAAAATTGGAAGATTCAGTGTCCAATCTTAAAACTTCTATAACACTACAGTAATCAAAACAGCACAGTACTGGCAAAAGAATACACACATATATCAATGATGTATCATTGAAACAGAATAAAGAGCTCAGAAACAGACCTACACAAATATAGTCAACAGATTTTTGAAAATGACACAAAGGCAACTCATTGGAGAAAGAACAGTCTTTTAATCAAATGGTGCTAGAACAACCGGATATCCATACGGAAAAAAAAAAAAAGGACCCAGATATAGACCTTACAGCTTTCTCAAAAATTAACTCAAAATGCTTCAAAGACCCATATAACATGCAAAACCATAAAACCTATAGAAGAAAACTCAGGAGAAAATCTATGGGACCTTGAGTTTGGTAGTGAATTTATAGACACCAAAAGCATGATCCATGGAAAAAAGCTGGTATCATCATAATAAAACTAAACACTTCAGCTGGGCATGGTGGCTCATGCCTGGTAATCCCAGTACTTCAGGAGGCTGAGGCAGGAGGATTGTAGTTTGAGGCTACAGTGAGCTATGATCATCCACTGCACTCAGCTTGTGCGAAAGAATGAGACCCTGTCTCTAAAAAAACAAAAGGCAAAAACTAAAAACTAGAAATCTCTGCTCTGTGAAAGACACTATTAAAGAATGAAAAGGCAAATCAAAAATGGGAGAAAATATTTGTTAAATACTTACTTTATAAAGGACTCGTATCCAAAATACACAAACTCTTAAAAATTCACAATAAGAAAACAGACAACACAATTTAAAAATGGGGAAAAATATTGAACATACACTTTGCCAAAGATATATAAATGGCAAATAAGCATATAAAAAGATGCCCGACATCTTCATCACTAAGGAATTGCAAATTAAAACGAGATACCACTAAACACCTTTTAGAATGGTTAAAATGCAAAAACAAACAAACAAAAACCCTGACCATACAAACTACTGGTGCGCAGCAACAGAAACTCTCATTCCTTGGTTAGTAGGAATATAAAATGATACAACTTTGGAAAAGAGTTTGGCAGTTTCTTACTAAGCTGAACATACCATAAGATCCAGCAACTATGATCCTAGATACTTACTCAATGTACCTGAAAACTTATATCCATACAAAAGCCAGCATATGAATGTATACAGCAGCTTTATTTATTGATAACTGCCCCAAACTAATAAGTAACTATTGAAGATGGCCTTCAATAAGTTAATGGATAAATGAACTGTCATGTATCTCTGCAATGTAATACTATTCAGTGATAAAATGGGCTATTAAGCCACAAAAAAAACCATGGATGACTGTTACAAAAAACGTAGTGTTAAATGAAAAAAGCCAGTCTGAAAAGGCTACATAATATATGATTCCAATTATATGATATTCTGGAAAAGCCAAAACTATAAATGGTAAACAGATCAGCGGTTGAAAGGGGGTTGGGGGAGAGTTGATTATGTGAAGCACAATGGATTTTTTTTAAGGGTGATGAAACTGTTCTGTTTGACAGTACAGTGTATCATGTGTATCGTTTTGATGCCTAATACCATGCGTTTGTCAAAACTTTACATCATAAAGAGTGAACCTACTGAGGCAGGAGGATCCCTCGAGACCAGGAGTTCTAGACCAGCCTGAGCAATATAGTAAGACTCCCATCTCCACAAAAAATGAAAAAAAAAAAAAAAAAAAAAAAAAAAAGTCAGGCCTGGTGGTGCATGCCTGTAGTCCCAGCTACTTGGGAGGTTGAGGCAGGAGGATCGCTTCAGCCCAAAAGTTCAAGACAGTGAGCTATGTTTGTGCCACTGAACTGTAGCTTGGGTGAAAGAGAGAGACCCAGTCTCAAAAGCAACAACAACAACAATAACAAAAAGAGTGAACCCAATGTATGCAAAATTAAAAAAAAAAATTTAGGAGGTCAGGGGATCCCAGGGTGAAATGTAGAATGTGGCAAAAAAAAAAAAAGTAACTGTATTAAAAATATATTGAAACAAATTCACTGAAGGAGGTGAGAAGAAAAGGTACTAACCTAAGTAACTTTGGAGTAAGTGAACTGTGAATTCTGTTAGACTAAAGACAAAAGAAATGATACATAAGCAGTGTAACTGATAATGTTGTTTTCCATGTTTTCCACATGGGTTAAGAATTCTGAAACCACTATACATGTATACTGGAGTTGAGAAACTTAGTAAATGAATGATAGGAGCCAGGTTTCTCACCATTGGAGTTGTAGGTTATAAACAAGCAAGAGGACCCATCTAGAATAATAATGGATTAGAGTCAGACACAACAGTATAAATTAATGTTTAGTTTAATACAGATACAGATGTATACACATACATATATATACACACACACACGTGCCTACATATATAGTTATAAATGTGTATATACATAGGCTAGTATACACACATATATCTCCTTGCCTCATAAGCTGAGAGGGCACAGAAGCAACAACATCCCACAGTACAAAAAAGTCCCCCTGGAATCCAAACTTGATTTCCTACAGTTTTCCAGTAAAAGGAAGTAGGCTCCTTATTCTAGTACTGGAACAGGAAATATACAAGATGAGCCTAGAATATCTTATAGTGTCAGAGAGTAAGGAAGAGCTAAAAACAAAACAAAACCGCACAATGATGGGGATATGTCATAGGGACAAAGGAGTCAAAACAAAAGGTTCCCAATGGCCAAAGCTGGAACAATTTAAGCAAAATAAATAAATAAATAAACATAGTAGTATTGGATTATAATCCAAAATATAAACTAATAACCATGAGTCAATATTGATGCGAATGACTGAATAAATGGGGAGAAGAGACAAATCTCCTGTGTAGAAAAAATTCTAAATACTCCATCCTCAAGAAAGTGGAGAATAACCCCCCACTTCTTAAATGTGAGCTGTGTACTGTGACTTCCTTCCAAAGAGTACAGTATGAAAAGAAAGAAAGAATAATTTTACTGTAAAGAAACATGACATGCTACCTCAGTCATGTGATCCTGGTTAACATCAACAGTGGTAAGTCATGTTGACAGAATAATTTACTCTTGATGTGATGAGACTTATATTTATCTCTGGGTCTTTTCAAAAACCAATAAGCCTCGTCTCATCATTAGAAAAAAAAATCCCAATTGAAGGACATTCTACAAAATGTCTAACCATTATTACCCAAAACTCTCAAGGTCACCAAAAACAAGGACATTCCGAGAGGCTGCGACATCATGAACCCTTTCTGTGCCTGGCTTATATCATTTAACGTCCTCCAGGTAAATACGTGCTTGCCACAAATGACAAAATTTCATTCATTTTTATGGTATATACATACCATGTGAAATTAGCCAAGCACAGAAAGACTAAAGAAGCTGATCTCATGGAAGTAGAGAGTAGAAATGGTGGTTTCCAGAGGTAGGGGAGGCTTGTAGAGGCTAGGGGTGGTAGGGAGAGATTGGTCAATAAATACAAAATTACAGTTAGGAGGAATAAGTTCTGGTGTTCTGTTGCATAGTACAGTGACTGTGGTCAACAATACTGTATATTTCAAAATGGCAGAAGATTTTGAATGTTCTTACCACAAAGAAATGATAAATGCATGAGGTGATGGAAATGCTAAATATTCTGATTTGATTTTTACACAATGTATACATGTATCAAAATATCACACTTTACCCTGTAAATATGTATAATCGTTATATATCAATTTTTTTTAAAAAAGAGAAGCCTAAGGAGACATGATGACTAAATGTAATATGGTAACTTGATGGGTCCTAAAACACAAAAAGAACATTAGGTAAAAACTAAGTAAATCTGAAAAGAATAGGCACTTTAGTTTCAAATCTGTATTAATATTGGTTCATTATTTAGACAAATGTATCATACGAATATAAGATATTAATAACAGGGAAGACTGAATGTGGGTGGTATATGGAAACTCTCTAAACTATTTTTCTATTTCTTCTATAAACCTAAAACTATTCAAAAATAAAAAGTTAACTTAAAAAATTGAGAAAATCCTTTGCTTTTTAATTTGAGCAAATATTTATTATCTGTTTTATCACAAGGCCCAACACTACAACCCATAAGTCAGTGGTTCTCACCCAGGCCACACATTGGAATCTGTTAGGAAGGTTTTTAAAAAAATCCTGATGCCTAGGCCCTAGCCTACAAAAATTAAATGAGAAATTTCCCAGAATAAAAATCAAGCATTGTTTTTTGTTTGCTTTTTCCAAAAGCCACCACTACCACAAAGAGAAAGCTCAAATGATATAGCAATTTATTAAATATTTTACATACTATATCGAGTATCACAAATCCCAAAGAATCATGTTTCTATTAGAGGTAATAAAGCATATAAACTCTAAGTGATTAATGTCTACAATTTTTATATTGACAAGAACTCTGTATTCCATTACTTCACCAAAAACTTTTTGCAGTTTCTTTTCAGAGTATTTTTAAAATATTTTACAAATTTCAATATGTATATGCTTTTAAAAAATGCACTTAAGTACATTCTATTTTCAAAATAGCATCATTTATTCAATAATATATTTTAAACTTTCATATGGCAGAGACAATTCCCATAAATTTGCTTTATATCATACACAACACTACCGTAGAATGCTCCTTGGTAACAACAAAATGTTGCATTTTGAAGCTTTATTGCATAGAAAGACCAATTTTGTTAATACATACTCTTTAAAGGTGGACTTGCCATAAGCAATTCAAGTGTTTACAGTAAATATGAACAAACAGATATATTATTTAATCAACTCATGCTAAAGATTTGGGAATATCTTCCACTAATATCCAGAAAACGAATTCTTACTATGTAATACAGTTGACCCATCTCAACACCTAATTTACATCACATACTCAGAAATGCCAAAAGAAGATCTTTGTCATATTTAACAACACTTAAACTAACACAAAAACTTTGATATTGGATTAACCTTCTACAGAAATCTCTGTTTGCAATTTGTTTAATTTTAGAAATCTGTACAATTACCTCAGCACCTATCAAAACATGTCAATTTGTCAAGATACATTCTCATCAGACAAGCTTTTTCTATAATAGGTATAAAAATCAAATTCATAAGGCACTATTTCCAATCATGCTCCATACTTTTCTTGAATAAAAAATATTTTAAAAGATTTGTTTATAATAGTTACCCAGGGCACAGGTGTATGCACTAAAATTTTAAAAACCAACATATCTTGTAATGGTTATCATATACCATTTCCTTTTTAAAAGCCACATTATAAATTGATGAAAATGGCAATTTAATTTTAGGCCCCTAATTTTTCCCCAACTGCAATAAGCCAAACTAGATAGAAGTAAATTAAATTTGGAAATTTTTCTTTATATTGTTATAACCCATACATTTTCTGAAAATTATGTTAAGAATGCAGGATCCACACACAATAGACCCAAGTATCAATACTTGATGTGAAATATAAATCTCTCCCTTAATGTAGCAGCGAATTTCAGTTCTGAAATTCTGAAATCAGAGAAAAAATTTGATCTACATTATCTAAAAAGTTAGTTTTATGAAATTTTTCAATGGTCCAATGCTAAACTTGCTCTGTGTCATTATTTGCTCCACCACTGCTTAAGGACCAATCCAGAGTCTGGACTGGAAACAGCTACAGTAAAAGCTGCCAGAGAATACAGGTCCTCTGGGCTGAAAATAAATCAGAAGCAAAAGTTGGCAATACAGATCTCTCACCATGCTGAAAAGACCTTTCATCCATGAAATAATCAAAAAGGAGAAAAAAGAATGGAGAAAAATTTCACTGAAAACAACTGGGACACCAAAATATCCATCTAAAACTTTCCGCCATATCCTAAAAGAAAGTCAGTTCCCCAGTACCAAAACTAAGTAGGTAATGGCCAAATGAATCCCTCAAACTAAAGCAAAAGAAAAAAAGAAAAGAACCAGAAAGTTTCATGGGCCAAAGGTAACCAAGCTAAGCTGTGAACACAAACAAGAGGTTGCAATGCAACAACCTTGACTTAACAGATACACATGTTAAGTCAAGCACAGTATCAATTAGATAACAAGGGGTCCAAGCTTGTACTTTCGTTCCATAACCTAGACAAAATTATTGTAAAAGACACAGTGGTTAAGAAAAAGAAAAATATCATTTATGTCTATTCTTTTTGTTGTGTTGTTGAGACAGGGTCTAGCTCTGCAGTGGCGCAAAGTCGACTCAATGCAACCTTAGCCTCCTGGGCTCAAGCAATCCTTCCACCTCAGCCTCCTGAGTAGCTGGGACTACAGGTGAGCACCACCATGCCTGGCTAATTTTTGAATTTTTGGTAGAGATGGGGTTTTGCCATGTTGCTCAGGCTGGTCTTGAACTCCTGAGCTTAAGCTATCCACCTGCCTTGGCCTCTGAAAGTGCTAGGATTACAGGCATGAGCCACCGTGCCTGGACCATTTACTTCTATTCTAATCAACTATAAATTTGGATATGATTTGCTTTAATTGTCCTGATTCCTTGTAATGCTACCTTACAGAAGTTTTCCCTTCCCTGCTTGTCACTTTGACAACTTGTCTAAAACAAATCAGAATTGAACAAACTATGATTTTTTCTTTGAATTGTTCTAATTTATGGGCACTCAAGGAGTTTGTTAATCACTGAAATATACGGAGGGTTTTATAGATTTATAAAGAGATCATATTACAAACTCAATATCAAAAATTATAATTTTAGGCCAGGCACAGTGGCTCACACCTGTAATCCCAGCACTTTGGGAGGCCGAGACGGGCAAATCACTTGAGGTCAGGAGTTCAAGACCTGTCTGGCCAACATGGTGAAACTCTGTCACTACTAAGAGTACAAAAATTACCCAGGCATGGTGGCAGGCGCCTATAATCCCAGCTACTCGGGAGACTGAGGCAGGAAAACTGCTTGAACCCAGGAGGTGGAGGTTGCAGTGAGCTGAGATCACACCACTGCACTCCAGCCTGAGCAGCAGAGTGAGACTGTCTTAGATAGATGATAGATAGATAGATAGATAGATAGATAGATAGATAGATAGATAGATAGACTGATTTAAAAAATAAAATAAAAATTATAATTTTAGAACAGTCCAAGAAATTACAAATGGCAGGAGCTCCCATCAAAATGGAGATTAGAACACACAGGTTTACACCTATCCCTCTCAAAACCCTCTCAAAACTACAATAAAGCCACAGAAAAGGATAAACCCCAAAAGACAAACAGCACAGGAATTGAATAGATAACAGTATATGGGAGATGTCAAAAATGTGGAAGCTAGAAAAATGTTTGGAAGTTAGAAAACAGATAAATATGTAAGCAGCTAACTCAGCAGACCAAAAATAAGACTTAAGCTTGCAAAGAGAAAAGTCACAAGAAGCATGTGAATTCAGAGTAGTGAACCCTAACATCTTTTACAGCAAAATTTGCTGGTCAACTAGTTCCACTCTTACACACAGAGCTGCCAGAGGTAATTTTAGTGCTTCTCTCAAATATAATCCCCGTACATTTGAAGAAAGCCCATAAAGTGAAATGTCAGAGATCAAAACAAACACAAAAGAACAGACACAAGGCAGGGAGCAAAAGATAACTCAAAATAATAATAATGAAATAATAACGTAGAAGAGAAAGCTATCTTAGACATTAAATATCTGATATGAAAAAATAGCAAGTTTGGAAGATAAACTTGAGGCAATCTCAGAAGAATAAAAAGAGAAAAAGAGGGAAAAGGAAACAGAAAAGATAATTGAAAGACTAACCTAAAAGGTTCAACAACCAAATAAAAGGAGATCCAGAGACAGAGAGGAGAGACAGTGAAAATTACCAAGAAATAGCAAACATGAAATCACATAGAACTGAAGGGTGTTTCCAGATTTAAAAAGTCAAAAGACACTCCATACGATGAATGGGGAAAAGATGTATACCAAGGCACATTATTAGGAAAGTTTTAAATAACAGGGACAATGCAAAGATCCAAAAACTCCCACATTCAAACATTCAAAGAATCAGGTATCTGAATGGCATCTATCTTCTCATCAGCATTATTGCTGAGCAAGGAAAAAGAGCAAGGTCTTCAAAATTATAAAAGAAAGTTATTTTCAATCCAAAATTTTACACCCAATCAATCAATCAATCAATTAAGGGTAAATGTACAATAAAGACACGGTCAGATATGCAATGACTGAAAAAAACTGCTGCTGTCAGGAAGCTACTGGGAGATATGATACATAAAAATAAGGAAGTAAAACAAGAAAGACAGAAGACAGCATCAGGGATAAAGAGATTACAGAAGAAAAAAAAGAGGACATTCCACAGGTTGATGTTGAAAGGAAGTCTTAGGATGACAGCTGCTCAACACTCCTAAAGAGGAATTAGTTCCGATTAGTAAAGGACAGAAGACTATTGAAGGGATGAATCAATAAAAAAAAAAAAGTACGGCATTAATAAATTGTGTTTGAACATACACAGAGGAGCTCAGAGATCCAGCAGAGAGTTTGGGAATATAGCATTTGGGAACAAACTAGTGATTAGAAAACTGTAAAAACAACAACAGTAACAAAAACGGAGACAATTATTGGTTCTGAAAATCACAAAAAGAAATAACATGTAATGATAATATGATATAAGTGAACAGTATTTACACAGTTATAACTATATAAGAATTTGTTTTAATTGTGATTACATAGGAAAAATTAGACATAACAAGTAATCAATTCTTTTACAAGTTTTCAATTTGTGGTAAATAATTTTATCTGAAATATTTCTTATTAAATAAAATTTACTTTTTACCATGTAAAGGAATGAGAATAAGTAAATGTTCTTTACTGGTTTTCCTCAAAAAAAAAAAATATGTGTGTGTGTGTGTGTGTGTATGTATATTTATACACATTTTCAAATATATGTATACAAATATACATATCTATACTTATATTTAGGAAAACCAGTAAAGAACAAATACATATTACATATTAATAAAAATAAAAATATTAAAGAATATAAAAATATATATTGTAAAAATATAAATATATAATAAATATATAAATATATATATGTTTTTTCTTTTTAGACAGAGAGAGAGAGAGATAAAGAGAGTCTCACTTTGTCACCCAGGCTGGGGTGCAGTGGCATGATCATGGCTCACTGCAGCCTCAACTGCCCAGGCTCAAACCATCCTCCCACCTCAGGCTCCCAAATAGCTGGGACTACAGGCATGCATCACCAAGCCTAGCTAATTTTGTGTTTTTTAATTTTTTTTTTTGTAGAGACAGGGTTTCACTATGTTGCCCAGGCTGGTCTTGAACACCTGGGCTCAAGCAATCAGCCTGTCTTGGCCTCCCAAAGTGCTGGGATTACAGGCGTGAGCCACCGTGCCTGGCCCAAATATATTTATTTTTAATTTTAAAACTAGATTTAATATCTACCAACTCTTCCAAACATATTTGACCAGTTAAAATTTGTTTTAAAATGTTTTTTAAAAAATTGAATCTATATCAGTTCACACCAGATCAGTAATGTTATTTTGGTGGCCACAAGGTAGGGCAAAACCAGTAAGGGCAACCAGCAAAAAAAACCCGAAAACTAAACAAACAGAACAATAACAAAAACAAAAAACCTGGCCAAAATGTTACAACAGCAGTAGTGATGGTATAAGTAGTGGCATTAATAAAAACAAAAGCTAAACTTTATTGAGCATACTATGTGCAAAACATTGTTCTAGGTGTGTATATATGTAATTATATCCTCATAACAACTCTATTTGCAGATGGTAAAACTGAAGTAGAGAGGTTAAGTAACCTGCCCAAAGACATAAAGTTATTTGGGAACAGAACTAGAATTCACATCCAGATAGTATGATCTATTTTTAGATAATGCAACCTCCCTTTTACCAAGTAAGTACATTACAGGCTTCTGGACTGACTTGGGCTAATTCTCCTGCTGTTCTTTTCTTTACCTAATTCAAAAGGTTCTCAAAAGGTAGACTTTTGGCCAGAAACAGTGGCTCAGGCCTGTAATCCCAGCACTTTGAGAGGCCAAGGCGGGTGGATCACTTGAGGTCAGGAGTTCAAGACCAGCCTGGCCAACATGGCTAAACCTTGTCTCTACTAAAAATACAAAAATTAGCTGGGCATGGTGGCACACGCCTGTAACCCTAGCTACCTGGGAGGCTGAGGCAGGAGAATCGCTTGAACCCAGGAGGCAGAGGTTGCAGTAAGCCGGGGATCACGCCACTGCACTCCAGCCTGGGCGAGAGAGTGAGACTCCATCTCAAAGAAAAAAAGAAGGTAGACTTTTGAAGGTCCCTATTGAACAGGGGTAAGGGGAAAGAGGGGAAGGCGGGGGAAGTTTCTGTCTAAGAAATGCTCACCTGAAACTGTATCACCACCTGAGGGGAATGGGTTATTCAAAGCACCCTGGCATTTCTCCCCACACCCATGCTGAGAATTAATTGCTTTAGTGAAGCATGTTTAAAGAGAACATGACATTATTCAGACATTAAGGACCGCAACCTGAACAGCTCTGAGTTCAGACCATAAGAGGTCACCAGAAAGTCCTCATTTCTTTTCCAAGGATAGAAGCTCTAAGACATAGTCTAAGACCAATTAGACTTCTTTTCTTTGAGTCATTAATAAGTTAATATGAAGTCAAATAACACCTTTCTTCAGATAAAAGTAAAGGACCTGATACATGCATAAAAGTGAAAAGATTTCATTCAAGCTTAACATCAAAAAGTATCCCATTTTTTGCTCAACATTTCACTTAAAATTCTTCTACATCCATTTAACTCCTTGTATTTTACTTAACATTGTGATCCTTAAGAAACGTCTGAGCTCCAGTGACAAGCAATTCTTCTAAACTCCTTATCAGTCTTTTAAAGTGCTTTAAAAATAGCATGTCAATGCTACATTCTATGCCTTATCTTATAAATTCAATTAACATCATTCTGCTTTGAAAATCATCATCCAATGTACCACATGTAGAATATTTGCTTTGCTGTTTTACTTAAAAACAAGTACTCTTTTACTGTATAAATATTTAAAAACTCATTCAAGTACCTGTACAATATTCAATAAGCCATACCAGCAAACTTACAAATTAGTATTTTAAAAATCATCAACTAAGTTCAAGAAATACATAAGAATGAATACTGCTTGTTGTGTAACTACCAAATTACCAAACTGCATGCTTACATTTTGAATACTAGAGTTAAACTAGTACTAACTGCACAAATCCTGTATGCCTGCTTTTTATATACACAACCTAGATTAAACTTTGTGTTCATTTAGTCAAAAATGAATGTAAATTTTATAAAAAATATTTTACTTTTATGAAAAAGAGTATCACTTCAATGAAATAAATTGTCCTACTGAACATCAAGAGATGTGTAGTCTATGATAAATTAGCTGATTTAAAACTGTATATGTAATTCAATTTAAGCCAATTCACAAAAGAATCCCAAAGGAATAAATGATATAAACTATTTAAGATTCTGAGCCTTCAATGTGGATAAACTTTCCTGAGAAATTACATCTACTAATTTTAAAAGTTGCTAAAAATAAATGGCAATGTAGGATATACATTTACTGTAGAAAGACTTCAGATTCATTCTGCCTATCTCGTTCTTTTAAGTGCTTGTGAGAGTGTATGTGTGTACATATTGTATATTTTCTATGCAGGGCAACAACAGATAAAATAACCTCAAAATGGAAGCTACTGCCTGAAAAAATAATCTGAAGAAAGCATGTGAATATTGCTCAATGTGTGACTCTCCAAACTTTTTACTTTTTTCTTATAATTTCAGTAAAAAAGACTATAAGAGTTTTACCCAGAAACACTAAGCTTTGCCCCAGAGAATAAATGTTTATTCAGGAAAAAAAAATCATAAAAACCTGACATAATTTTTAAGTGCTCATAATATTTCCCCTCACCTTGAATATGGACAGGACCAAGTAACATATACCTAAAACGACTTGGTATCATTGGATTTGAAACTAAGCAGTGGGCAGAAGCTAGAAGCACTTTGAAGACAGTTTTAGTAAGAGCCTGAAGAGTCATTAAAAAACTGTCAGAAGCCTGACAGCCTTTAAGAAAGTTTCAGGAAGGTAAGGGAAATATTAGAAAGCTGGAGAAAAGGAGATTCTTATGTGGTGGCAGAAAATTTAGAAACTGTTGTATTAGTCCATTCTCACACTGCTATGAAGGAATACCTGGGTAATTTATAAAGAAAAGAGGTTTAATTGATTCACAGTTCCACATGGCTGGGGAGGCCTCAGAAAATTTACAATCATGGCAGAAAGCACCTCTTCACAGGGCAGCAGGAGAGAGAACTGCTGAGCAAAGTGGGGAAAGCCCCTTATAAAACCATCAGATCTCCTGAGAACTCATTCACTATCACAAGAACGGGGTGGTTGTTCCCTGATTCAGTTACCTCCCACCAGGTCCCTCCCATGACGCGTGAGGAATAAGGGAACTACAATTCAAGAGGAGATGTGGGTGGCAACACAGCCAAACCATATCATTCTGCCCCTGCCCCCTCCCAAATCTCATGTCCTCACATTTCAAAACACAATCATGCCTTTCCAACAGTCCCCCAAAGTCTTAGCTCATTCCAGCATTAACTCAAAAGTACAAGTCCAAAGTCTCATCTGAGACAAGGCAAGTCCTTTACAGCAGCACTCCACTACTTGGTACCAATTTACTGTATTAGTCCATTCTCACGCTGCTATAAATACCTGAGACTGGTTAATTTATAAAGAAAGGAGACTTAATTGACTCACAGTTTCACATGAAGCCTGAGGAGGCTTCAGGAAAATTATAATCACGGCACAAGGCAACTCTTCAAAGGGCAGCAGGAGAGAGAAGCGCCGAGCAAAGAGGGAAAAGCCCCTTATAAAACCATCAGACCTCATGATAACTCACTCATTATCATGAGAACAGCATGTGAGTAACTGCCCCCATGATTCAATTACCTCCTACCAGGTCCCTACCATGACACATGGGGATTATGGGAACTATAATTAAAGATGAAATTTGGGTAGGGCCACAGCCAAACCATATCAACTGTTGGCTATAGGAACCAGAAAAGTAACAGGAAAAGTAAAAAATGTACCTAATGAACTGGGTGGTCTAGCAAAGCATGTAAGATGTTGCCTGGTTTCTTCTTGCTGCTTATAATCAAACACAAAAGGAGAGAGATAAGCTTAAGAAACGACAATTAAACAAAAGAGGGACTGAGACTTGTCGATTTTGTAAATCTCCAGCCTCTATAGACAGCAAACCATGCTACAGTTATGAGACAGCTTGCAAGCAAACCTCAAATCCAGGCAATAGTCAGGAAATTATGGTCTAAATATCAAGCTGAAAAGGTGACTGTAAAATCCTTTGTTCAGATTTCTGACAGATCCATGCAGTTCCTCAACAGGGCTTCTAAGAAGCTTAAAGGCATTGTCCCTGCACAATCTCATCAAGAGGCCAAAATCAGGGAAACAATTATCTCAACAAAATGTATGAGTATAGATTATTCTAATGGAGTAAGCTGCAATGAGATTTATAGGAGACCCACAAAGTGTTTTTGGCAGAAACACTACCAGCATTGACTGCATAGCACAGAGATGCACGAAATGAAAAGAGGGCTTTGGACTCCAAAATTTCTAACCACAGGAAGCAGGCTGAGAAAACTATCTAGCTCAACACACAGGCTACCTTCCATGAAAAAGGAAGAACTCAGTGGGCAGAGCAAAAAACTCAGAGAACACAGAAAGGAGCCATGAAAAACTATCCTGAGGTAGGAATAGAACTTAGTTTTAATGAAGAAACTTCTAACATTTGCTTGGCTGGATTCCAAAACTGCTATGGAATAGTGACTCGTGCACTTCCTGTCTTCCTTTTTTTTTAAACAGAACTACCCATAATGATATAATTTTATGCCTGACCCACCATTGTACATTGGCTATTCGGGGTGGTGGGGGTGAGGTAAGAAACATCTCTTTTGTTTATAGGTCTTCAGATTGAAAGGAACTGGACCCAAGGAACATTATCTCTATCTGAATGTAATTTAGAAGATGACATTCTAGATTTTGAGCTGATATTGTAAAGAAATAATACTTGGGGTAGATGGGATAGTGCGTGTATTTTGCATGGGCAAGGAATGTAAATAAGGTGCGGCCAGAGGATAGTCTGAGCCAGTTTTAAAACATAACCATAAATTCTTTGGCAATTCTCCCCTCAAAAGGTGGAGCCTCATTCCTATTGCCTTGAGTGCAGGCCAGACCTAGTGACTTGTTTTTTTTTTTTTAATTGAGGTGAACTTCATATACAAAAAATTAACCATTTTAAAGTATACAAATCAGTGGCACTTAGTACATTCACAATGTGCAACCATCTCCTCTATCTAGTATCACAGCATTTTCATCACCTCAAAAGAAAACACTGTACCCATTAAGGAGTTGCTCTCCATCCTTCCTTCTTTCCCACACCCTGCACACCACAACTGGGCCCTGTCCTGGTCTCTGGTAACCAACAACAATTTGCCTATAATTCAATTGTAAGTTGTAAGAGTTCTCTATACAGTTTGCTTTTTTTTTTTTCTTTTAAACAGATGGGGTCTCATTATGTTGCCCAGGCTAGTCTTGAATTCCTGGGCTCGGGCGATCCACCCGTCTCAGCCTCCCAAAGTGCTGGTATTACAGGCATGAGCCACCGCACCCAGCTTCTATACATTTTGGATACTAGACCCTTATCAGAAGCATAATTTGTAAATATTTTCTCTCATTCTACAGGCTGTCTTTTCACTTCTTGATAATTTATTCTCTTATGCACAAAAATGTTTAATTTTGATGAAGTTCAGTTTATCTTTTTTGTTATTTCTGCTTTAGTATCATTCTCTAAGAATTCACTGACAAATCCAAAGTCATGAAGAATAACCCTATGTTTTTTTATAAGAGTTTTAAAGTTTTAGCTCTTACATGTAGGGTGTTGATCCAGCCAATCAGATCTTATACTAAAAGGCTGCTGTATTTGATAAAACATAGGGGTCTAACTTCATTCTTTTACATGTGGCTATCCAGCTATCCCAGTACCATTTGTTGAAGAGATTGTTCTTTTCCCATTAAATGGTCTTAGCAACTCTGTTAAAAATCAGTTGGCCATAGATTTATGGGTTTATTTCCAGACTTTCTATTCTATTCCCTTGGTCTACATACCTATCCTTATGCTAGTACTACACTGATTTGATCACTGCAGTTTCATATTAAGTTTTGAAAACAGAAGTGTGAGTCTTCTAACATGGTTCTTCTTTTTTGATATGTTTTGGCTATTTGGGGCCCCCTGCAATTACATATGAATTTGAGAACTGACTTTTCCTCTTCTGCAAAAAATGACCTGAAATTTGGAAATAGATCTTTAAAATCTGTGAATTGATTTGAGGAGTACTGCCATCTTCACAATATAATGTCTTCTAATCTCTGAACACAAGATGTCTTTCTATTGATTTAGGTCTTTTAGCAATGTTTTGTACTTTTCACTGTACAAGTTTTTTAACTCCACGGTTAAATTTATATTTTAGGTATTTCATTCTTTTGGATGCTATTATAAATGGCATTGTTTGCTTAATTTCCTTTTTACATTTTTCATTGCTGGTGCCTAGAAATACAACTGAGTTTTGTGGTTGATGCTGTACCCTGAAACTTTGCCAAATTTATTTACTAGCTCTAGCAGATTTAGATGGTTGACAGATAACAAACAGGAAGTTGCTCTAGCTCATGGGGGGCTGAAACAAAGGTATCTGCACCAGTCCCTCAGGGAACCACCAGACAGGTCAAAATGAAAACTACAATTTTTTTTCAGAACAAGGATCTTATTGTCCCCGTCCTGGCACCAGTGAGCTACACCGGGAATATGGGTTGCTGGCCCCATAGCTGCTGCTGAGCTAGAAAATAAAGGATATTAGGTATATAAGCAAAAATGTCATAATGCTTTCTTATCAAAATCTGGCACTCCCCTGGATGCTGTTAAGTTTTCTATCAGATTCCAGAGTTATGCAAAAGTTGATTTGTCAGTTTTTTCCAGTTTAACATAGTTGCTTCTGTGGAGGTAACTGATTCTTAGAGCTCCTTGCTCCACCACTCACTTGCTTTTAAAAACTGGGCCGGGCGCAGTGGCTCATGCCTGTAATCCCAGCACTTTGGGAGGCCGAGGTGGGTGGAACACCCAAAGTCAGGAGTTCAAGACTAGCCTGACCAATATGATGAAACCTGGTCTCTACTAAAAATACAAAAATTAGCCGGGTATAGTGGCATGAGTCTGCAGTCCCAGCTACTCAGGAGGCTGAGGCAGGAGAATTGCTTGAACCCAGGAGATGGAGGTTGCAGTAAGCCAAGATCATGCCACTGCAATCCAGCCTGGGCAACAGAACGAGACTCGGTCTCAAAAACAAAATAAAATAAAAATAAATAAATAGAATGTGGCAGAAGTGACAGTATTTAACTCCTGAGACTACAACATAAAAGACAGTGAGAGGTCCTCTTTGTTCTCTCTCTTGGACCACTCACTCTGAGAGCCCCTGAATGAGCCATCCTGGAAGTGAATCCTCCAGCCCTTGTCAAGCCTTCAGATGACTGCAGCTCTGATGAACACTTAGATTGCAATCTCATAAGAAACCCTGAGAATGAATCACGTAACTAAGACCCTCCTGAAATAGCAATCTACAAATACCATGATAATAAATGTGTGTTGTTTTAAGGTGCTATGTTTTGGGGGTACATGATATTTAAAGCTGAGACTCAAAAGAAAAGAACCTAGCCACTCCAAGAGTTCTAAGAAAAAGAGTGTTTCAAGTACCGGGTATAGCACATGCAAAGGCCCTGAGTAAGGAAAGATCTTAAGCATGTTAAAAAAAAAATTAAAAATCTGAAAGACTAGTGTGACTTAAGCTCAGCGAAGGAAAGAAAAATAGTGAAGAAAGAGACCCCCAAAGGGGCAGAAAGAAACCAAAATTACTATAACAAAGTCTTAAAAAGTAGTAAAAACTGATAATATATGATAAAGTGCCTTTGAAACCACAAGAAACAACTACAAAAATTTAACATTTAGAAACATTAACTGGAGAGAAATCTGAAACTAAATGTATCTATCATCACACAGGAATCCAGGGTAGGAAATATGAAACCCCCTGAGAGCAAGAACCAAGGGTCTTTACATCTCCCATATCACCTACTCATCTTTGTAGAATTAATGCACAATGACAAACCTGAAAAAAATACCTTTTGAAGACACTATTTAAAATTCTAAGTAATGAATTCATTGGTGAAAGATTTTAAGTCTAGAATACAGGCTTCAAGTATCTCCTCACTAGGTAGTCCATGACAACGGCCAAATAAATAACTCATGTAGCTGCATATCTAAAGAACATGATTATAAATCAGCTCTACAAAGATGCACATTTCTCCTTGTCCTGGGCTACCATGTGATAAAAGGTTTTATAATTGGTAAAAAGAGTAAAAGAATTTCAAAAGAATTCCCAACTGGATAACCAGTCTCTGAAATTAAAACTGAATTTAATTTAGCAAAATAATTCCATTTGTATACAGAAACTGTAAGATTTTTAAAATGAACTTTTATGGGAGAACATACTGTTACGAAATACATTTTCAATCAGTAAAACATAAAATAATACATGTGTTTTCAGATTTTATGACTATTTGAATACCAAGGGTTATTCTCCTCTATATCTTTATCCAGAAAAAAATATATAACTTGAAACACAAAGGCAAAAAATAATTAGCAAGGTATAGAAGCACTAGACACTACAAACCAGGTGCAGTGGCTCACACCTGTAATCCCAGCATTATGGGAAGTTGAGGTGGGTAGATTACTTGAGGTCAGGAGTTTGAGACCAGCCTGGCCAAAATGGTGAAACCCCATCTCTATTAAAAATACAAAAATTAGCCAGGCATGGTAGTGTGCGCCTGTAGTCCCAGATACTCATGAGGCTGAGGCAGGAGAATCGCTTGAACCCGGGAGGTGGAGGTTGCAGTGAGCCAAGATCGTGCCACTGTACTCCCGCCCAGGTAACACAGTGAGACTCTGTTTCAAAAAAAAAAGTATTAGACACTACAAAATGTGGTAAATAAATACAATTATTTTATTTCGTTATTTAAATGTAGTAACATCAATATAAAGTAAAAGGAATTAATAGCTAGTTTAATATGCTAGGCCTTTTTATGTCCCACCTGCAACTCCTGCTATGGTACGTTTTATCTACAGCATAGCTGGTGACCAGTTAAAAGAAAATTCCAGAAGATATGACACAAAACTGTATAAATTCAAGACAATATTTATTTAACAAACCCAGAGTTAGTATCAACTAGATACTAGGTACTGTGGAAGTTCATCCTATCAACATTACATTCCACTAATCACTAATTCTTAAGACATCAGAAAAAGATAGCAAACATATAAGGCAAACCAAATATATTTTGAGATTCAATGAAAAAACATATCTTACTTGTATAGTAAAACAGTAAGTGCTTTTAATATATTTTAACAGAATTACAGACAAATAACTCAGAAGAAAAAAATCAACTTTTTGAAGATAATTACAAACCGAATTTTCTTCTTCCTCTTCCAATTCTCGTTGCTGTTCCTCATGTCTTTTAGCTTTGATCTCCATAGCTTCTGTGATCAGGTCTCTTAATATTGATACAGGTTTGGCATTCTTGATAAAAGGATGCTAAAAAAGTAAAATTCAATGGTATAAATTCAAAAGATTTTTCCGAATTATAGCTAACAAATGTTAAAACAACATGTAAATGTTAACCAGGATCACAGGCTTCAATGATTGTTTTTTCATCTAGAATTAAATGTATAGGTTAAGAAAAGAGAGTATGGCCACTGCCTAGAAATAAAGAATTTGCTTTGGGGCTTGTTTAAAAAAAAAACTTAAAGCACACATGCAAAAATGCAACCCTGTTAATAAAACTATAATATCCTTAAAGATCTAATTGTCCAAAGGAAGTGTACATTAGGAGTAAAAAAGATTAAGTTAAAAATAGGATTACAGATTATATTACACATAGAAATAAACTTATTTTGGTACTGAGTTACGTAATTTAATTAATCTTAATAAGTTGACAGCCAAAATCAGTGGCCAAAAGGAGAGCAACTATTTTGTTACTTCTTTAACATATTTTCTATTTTATTGTATCTTAAGTAATTTAACCAAGACAAAAATATTTTTTCAGAAAATGAATGTTGCCTAATTTCTTTACTATATATAAAATAACTTGTCACTTTTTAAAAAATATCACCCTGATCTAGCTAAAATAGCTAAGCTCTCTATCATTCTGACAAAGAGAAGGAAAACTATCAGAATAGACCTAGGTTTTGAATTTCTTTTTATTGAGAAGGAGGGACATGAGAGAAAGTAGAGTGAAAGGTTATAATTTTGGATAGATAACCTAAATTTGGGGCAGCAATCAGTTTCAGTAATTTTCATAGTTACATGTCAGTAGATAGCATCAGGTAAAAGTGACCTGACTGAGTGAGTGAGTTATTTGTTTATTTGTTTGTTTGAGACAGGGGCTTGCTCTGTTGCCCAGATGCGAGCACAATGGTGCAATCATGGCTCACTATAGTCTTGACCTCCTGGGCTCAAGTGATCCTCCCACCTCAGCCTTCCTAAGTGCTGGGAATAGAGGCATGAGCCACTGCACCCAGCCCTGAGTTATTTTAATAAACTTCAAGAGAACACAAAAATATATTTAAAGACAAAAAAAATTGTGCTGAAGAAGAAATAGATACTTGAAAGAGGGTTTAAAATGGCAAACATATCATTTGGGACAACTATAAGAAAGAACTTTTTCAGAGTACAGAAATACTAAAATCAATTGTAAAGAACCAATAAATTATTTTAGAACAGTTATAGATTAATCTTACCAAACAAATTAAGTCCTATTAACATATCTGTGGTAGAGACTCCTGGTCATACACCAAAAATAGAGTTGTGGTTGGACCGACAATTGCCCAACTGGATCCTACGTTTCTCAACTTAACCCATTCAGGTGGTTATATGCGACTAAGTGAATGCGGGAGCAAATACTGTGTTCCACTTCCTGGCCTGGGCTATGGAGGGCTCCTTGTTACTAATGGATAAGGGTGAGAGGTCAGGTTCTCCCAGAGTCCTGTACTGGTACTGTGGGAAGTAGTCTCATTTTAGCTGATTGGCGATGAAAGTCCTGACCCTTCACCAGACTGCCTCTGACCCCACTCCAACAGGGAGGTTGTTGGGTTCTTATTCCTGCCTGGTAGGAGTATAAGTCTAGGCTCCCACATGGTCTTCACTGGCACTCCCCACTTAGGGAGGGAATACTTTCTACACTGCCTTGTGGAGATGAATGCCTTAGCATGACAGCCTTCTCTGACACCGCCTGAGAAGGACTGGACAGCCTCAAAAGGATAGAAGTCTAGGTTCTCCATTTAGCCTTTGCTGGTGACCGGGGTAGGCCATAGTTTTCTTGGTGGTGTTTGGCTAGAGTAGAACGGTTATCATCTGAAAGTTTTCAGTCTTACTAGGCTGTCCATTTCTCCGTCCTTCTGCTTGAAAGAGCAGGTTTTTATTTCTAGTTTGTGTCCAATGTTGTTTCTGGGTTGTTGGCTTCTCCACTACCCAGTGTGGGATAAATGAGGGAAAAAGAAACCCCAGGGAACTCACAGCTATGTCTTTCCTTGAGTCCCACCATCTCTAGCAGTCTATTGCCTTCTTTCCACCTTTTAGAGTCTTTTTATGCTTGTTTTATATACTTACAATGTCCATGGTTTTAGCTGTACTTTAATGAGGAAGTATAGAGAAAAATATGGTTACTCAATCTGTCCAGCGGCAGAAATGCCTTCTTCAACTCACTTTAAGCACTTGTTTTATCTGAAGTGTTTTTGTATAAATCATTAATTTTGAACACTATCAGTTTAGAAATTGATAATTCAGAACATGAACAAAATTTAAGAGGAAATATTTCAGATTTTAAAAGAATAAACTTTTCAAGCAGTCTCAATTTTTAAAATACATCATCAAGAATGTGATAGGTTGATCTGCAGTAATTTCTGTCTTCTCATTACTTTAGGTGGTTTAAGAATCCTCACCCTCTTTAATTTTTATTTTAGACACATTTAGAAATAGGAAAACTTTACTGCCTATTAGAATCTGGTACATTCATCTTTTTCTTGTTGAAATACTTTATAAAACCCTTCATATAATCAGCCCCTTGCCTGACATAAATATATATATATATTTTTTAGTTTCCGTTTTTTGCCATTCATGCATTTTTTAAGTTATATGTATTCAAATCATCCATTTTTCTTTTGCTTTATTGCACCGGAATGAATATATAAATATTCTCCTATATTAACCCCTAGTTCTTTCCTATTTCCATTTTTTGTTTTAGTTTTTTTAACATTTAAGACCTTAATCTATCTGGAAATTACTTTGGTGTTTCTGTGGTGAAGATCTAAGTTAATCCTCCCAACACCCCCTAAAGGCAGGCAGTTATCTCAGCACCATTTTTACTTTGTTTTTCCCTCACTGATTAGAAATGCTATCTTCATAATATGCTAGTTTCCTTTGTATATTATATACCATTTGTGGGCATTTAATTCTGCTTCATTATTCTATCTCATACTGGCGTTACATACTTTTCTAAGCATTTAACAAAAAGATGTAATTTGTTTATTAAACATAAAATTTGATTTTTCTATTAAATCAATCACTATATAATTCAGATGATGTTTATTTTTTGCCTATATGGTTACTCAGTGACTGAAAACGGAATATCAAAATATCCCAATTTATTTATTTAGAGCAACCTCTTATGTCTTTAATTTGTAACATACAATGCTATATTAATATATCAAGTTTATAACTATATCTTCCTTTATATTATGTTCTTTATCAATATTAAGTGACTCCATCCTCATTTACTGATTTCTGCTGTCAATTTTGCTTTTTTGATCATGTTATTCATACTATCTTTTTATATTTTATTAAAATTTCATTGCCTGTTTTTAACTTTTTTTTTTAAATAAAAACAGACAATTGAAACATTTTTATTAGGTTAATTTCACTTTTTACATTACTACAACAATAACAAAAATACCAATACCATTGAATACAATTAAGAAGTTTACTTAAATCATATTCCTCAAAATTTGGTGTGTATCATCACATGTGTTAGAATCATGGGAGCGAGGGCAGAGGGTTACTTCTAAATATTCAAATTCTCGGCCTCCCCTAGACAAACTGAATCAGAATTTCTAAGAATGTTGCCATAGAATCTGCATTTTAGCATTTCTTTCCAAGTGATTTTTATGCAAACCAAAATTAAAAATACTGCATTGACATTTTCCATCCCAGTCTTCTGAAGATTGAAAGTTAACAGCAGGGTTGGGGTGGGCTGGGGTGGGACAAGGTCATGGGAAATAGCAGCCCAGGAAGCATCAGCACTGTCATCCTCACTGTGGTTTGGATGAAGTACCTTTTCAATAAGCTCTTCTGTATCTCTTGATAAACAGTTACATGGTAATGAAACTTTTCAAGGTTATTTCCTTGAGAATACAGCTAAGGCAGCTTCTTGCGTCTTTCCAAGCAGAATATTCTGATATTATTATTAATCTTTATCTTGTCTTGTTCTGAAAACAATTTGAGCTATCTTATGAAATTCATAGTCTATATTAGTTTAAGAAGTAGATGAGAAAATAAGCTCAGGAAAATAAACCTATGGGTAAGAGAGAGAGTGTATGTGTGTGTGTGTGTGTGTGTGTGTGTGTAAGAGAGACAGAGAGAAGAAAGAGAGAGAAGGTAACTTAGAGATTAATAAATACTTCTTTTAAAAATAGGAGTTATTTGTATTTTAGTTTTTAATTCAACCTAAACCTTCTCTCTGTAGGGTTTCACAATTTTAAAAAAGTATGTCTTTTAATTTAACAAAATGCAAACATGTATCTCTGCTAGTGGAGAAGGTAGTGAAAATCTTTTTTTTTTTAAAGTTTTTTTTTCTTTTATTATTATACTTTAAGTTTTAGGGTACATGTGCACATTGTGCAGGTTAGTTACATATCTATACATGTGCCATGCTGGTGCGCTGCACCCACTAACTTGTCATCTAGCATTAGGTATATCTCCTAATGCTATCCCTCCCCCTTCCCCCCACCCCACAACAGTCCCCAGAGTGTGATGTTCCCCTTCCTGTGTCCATGTGATCTCATTGTTCAATTCCCACCTATGAGTGAGAATATACGGTGTTTGGTTTTTTGTTCTTGCGATAGTTTACTGAGAATGATGATTTCCAATTTCATCCATGTTCCTACAAAGGACATGAACTCATCATTTTTTATGGCTGCATAGTATTCCATGGCATATATGTGCCACATTTTCTTAATCCAGTCTATCATTTTTGGACATGTGGGTTGGTTCCAAGTCTTTGCTATTGTGAATAATGCCGCAATAAACATACGTGTGCATGTGTCTTTATAGCAGCATGATTTATAGTCCTTTGGGTATATACCCAGTAATGGGATGGCTGGGTCAAATGGTATTTCTAGTTCTAGATCCCTGAGGAATCGCCACACTGACTTCCACAATGGTTGAACTAGTTCACAGTCCCACCAACAGTGTAAAAGTGTTCCTATTTCTCCACATCCTCTCCAGCACCTGTTGTTTCCTGACTTTTTAATGATTGCCATTCTAACTGGTGTGAGATGGTATCTCATTGTGGTTTTGATTTGCATTTCTCTGATGGCCAGTGATGATGAGCATTTTTTCATGTGTTTTTTAGCTGCATAAATGTCTTCTTTTGAGAAGTGTCTGTTCATGTCCTTCGCCCACTTTTTGATGGGGTTGTTTTTTTCTTGTAAATTTGTTTGAGTTCATTGTAGATTCTGGATATTAGCCCTTTGTCAGATGAGTAGGTTGCGAAAATTTTCTCCCATTCTGTAGGTTGCCTGTTCACTCTGATGGTAGTTTCTTTTGCTGTGCAGAAGCTCTTTAGTTTAATTAGATCCCATTTGTCAATTTTGGCTTTTGTTGCCATTGCTTTTGGTGTTTTAGACATGAAGGCCTTGCCCATGCCTATGTCCTGAATGGTAATGCCTAGGTTTTCTTCTAGGGTTTTTATGGTTTTAGGTCTAACGTTTAAGTCTTTAATCCATCTTGAATTAATTTTTGTATAAGGTGTAAGGAAGGGATCCAGTTTCAGCCTTCTACATATGACTAGCCAATTTTCCCAGCACCATTTATTAAATAGGGAATCCTTTCCCCATTGCTTGTTTTTCTCAGGTTTGTCAAAGATCAGATAGTTGTAGATATGCGGCATTATTTCTAAGGGCTCTGTTCTGTTCCATTGATCTATATCTCTGTTTTGGTACCAGTACCATGCTGTTTTGGTTACTGTAGCCTTGTAGTATAGTTTGAAGTCAGGTAGTGTGATGCCTCCAGCTTTGTTCTTTTGGCTTAGGATTGACTTGGCGATGCGGGCTCTTTTTTGGTTCCATATGAACTTTAAAGTAGTTTTTTCCAATTCTGTGAAGAAAGTCATTGGTAGCTTGATGGGGATGGCATTGAATCTGTAAATTACCTTGGGCAGTATGGCCTTTTTCACGATATTGATTCTTCCTACCCATGAGCATGGAATGTTCTTCCATTTGTTTGTATCCTCTTCTATTTTCTTGAGCAGGGGTTTGTAGTTCTCCTTGAAGAGGTCCTTCACATCCCTTGTAAGTTGGATTCCTAGGTATTTTATTCTCTTTGAAGCAATTGTGAATGGGAGTTCACTCATGATTTGGCTCTCTGTTTGTCTGTTGTTGGTGTATAAGAATGCTTGTGATTTTTGCACATTGATTTTGTATCCTGAAACTTTGCTGAAGTTGCTTATCAGCTTAAGGAGATTTTGGGCTAAGACAATGGGGTTTTCTAGATATACAATCATGTCATCAGCAGACAGGGACAATTTGACTTCCTCTTTTTCTAATTGAATACCCTTGATTTACTTCTCCTGCCTGATTGCCCTGGCCAGAACTTCCAACACTATGTTGAATAGGAGTGGTGAGAGAGGGCATCCCTGTCTTGTGCCAGTTTTCAAAGGGAATGCTTCCAGTTTTTGCCCATTCAGTATGATATTGGCTGTGGGTTTGTCATAGATAGCTCTTATTATTTTGAAATATATCCCATCAATACCTAATTTATTGAGAGTTTTTAGCATGAAGGGTGGTTGAATTTTGTCAAAGGCCTTTTCTGCATCTAATGAGATAATCATGTGGTTTTTGTCTTTGGCTCTGTTTATATGCTGGATTACATTTATTGATTTGCATATATTGAACCAGCCTTGCATCCCAGGGATGAAGCCCACTTGATCATGGTGGATAAGCTTTTTGATGTGCTGCTGGATTCGGTTTGCCAGTATTTTATTGAGGATTTTTGCATCAATGTTCATCAAGGATATTGGTCTAAAATTCTCTTTTTTGGTTGTGTCTCTGCCCGGCTTTGGTATCAGAATGATGCTGGCCTCATAAAATGAGTTAGGGAGGATTCCCTCTTTTTCTATTGATTGGAATAGTTTCAGAAGGAATGGTACCAGTTCCTCCTTGTACCTCTGGTAGAATTAGGCTGTGAATCTGTCTGGTCCTGGACTCTTTTTGGTTGGTAAGCTATTGATTATTGCCACAATTTCAGATCCTGTTATTGGTCTATTCAGAGATTCAACTTCTTCCTGGTTTAGTCCTGGGAGAGTGTATGTGTCGAGGAATTTATCCATTTCTTCTAGATTTTCTAGTTTATTTGCGTAGAGGTGTTTGTAGTATTCTCGGATGGTAGTTTGTATTTCTGTGGGATCGGTGTTGATATCCCCTTTATCATTTTTTATTGCATCTATTTGATTCTTCTCTCTTTTTTTCTTTATTAGTCTTGCTAGCGGTCTATCAATTTTGTTGATCCTTTCAAAAAACCAGCTCCTGGATTCGTTAATTTTTTGAAGGGTTTTTTGTGTCTCTGTTTCCTTCAGTTCTGCTCTGATTTTAGTTATTTCTTGCCTTCTGCTAGCTTTTGAATGTGTTTGCTCTGGCTTTTCTAGTTCTTTTAATTGTGATGTTAGGGTGTCAATTTTGGATCTTTCCTGCTTTCTCTTGTGGGCATTTAGCGCTATAAATTTCCCTCTACACACTGCTTTGAATGCGTCCCAGAGATTCTGGTATGTTGTGTCTTTGTTCTCATTGGTTTCAAAGAACATCTTTATTTCTGCCTTCATTTCGTTATGTACCCAGTAGTCATTCAGGAGCAGGTTGTTCAGTTTCCATGTAGTTGAGTGGTTTTGAGTGAGATTCTTAATCCTGAGTTCTAGTTTGATTGCATTGTGGTCTGAGAGATAGTTTGTTATAATTTCTGTTCTTTTACATTTGCTGAGGAGAGATTTACTTCAAAGTATGTGGTCAATTTTGGAATAGGAGTGGTGTGGTGCTGAAAAAAATGTATATTCTGTTGATTTGGGATGGAGAGTTCTGTAGATGTCTATTAGTTCCGCTTGGTGCAGAGCTGAGTTCAATTCCTGGGTATCCTTGTTGACTTTCTGTCTCGTTGATCTGTCTAATGTTGACAGTGGGGTGTTAAAGTCTCCCATTATTAATGTGTGGGAGTCTAAGTCTCTTTGTAGGTCTCTAAGGACTTGCTTTATGAATCTGGGTGCTCCTGTGTTGGGTGCATATATATTTAGTATAGTTAGCTCTTCTTGTTGAATTGATCCCTTTACCATTATGTAATGGCCTTCTTTGTCTCTTTTGATCTTTGTTGGTTTAAAGTCTGTTTTATCAGAGACTAGGATTGCAACCCCTGCCTTTTTTTGTTTTCCATTTGCTTGGTAGATTTTCCTCCATCCTTGTATTTTTAGCCTATGTGTGTCTCTGCACGTGAGATGGGTTTCCTCAATACAGCACACTGATGGGTCTTGACTCTTTATCCAATTTGCCAGTCTGTGTGTTTTAATTGGAGCATTTGGTCCATTTACATTTAAAGTTAATATTGTTATGTGTGAATTTGATCCTGTCATGATGATGTTAGCTGGTTATTTTGCTCGTTAGTTGATGCAGTTTCTTCCTAGTCTCGATGGTCTTTACACTTTGGCATGATTTTGCAGCGGCTGGTGCCGGTTGTTCCTTTCCATTTTTAGCGCTTCCTTCAGGAGCTCTTTTAGGGCAGGCCTGGTGGTGACAAAATCTCTCAGCATTTGCTTGTCTGTAAAGGATTTTATTTCTCCTTCACTTATGAAGCTTAGTTTGGCTGGATATGAAATTCTGGGTTGAAAATTCTTTTCTTTAAGAATGTTGAATATTGGCCCCCACTCTCTTCTGGCTTGTAGGGTTTCTGCTGAGAGATCCGCTGTTAGTCTGATGGGCTTCCCTTTGAGGGTAACCCGACCTTTCTCTCTGGCTGCCCTTAACATTTTTTCCTTCATTTCAACTTTGGTGAATCTGACAATTATGTGTCTTGGAGTTGCTTTCTCGAGGAGTATCTTTATGGCGTTCTCTGTATTTCCTGAATCTGAACGTTGGCCTGCCTTGCTAGATTGGGGAAGTTCTCCTGGATAATATCCTGCAGAGTGTTTTCCAACTTGGTTCCATTCTCCCCATCACTTTCAGGTACACCAATTAGACGTAGATTTGGTCTTTTCACATAGTCCCATATTTCTTGGAGGCTTTGCTCATTTCCTTTTATTCTTTTTTCTCTAAACTTCCCTTCTCGCTTCATTTCACTCATTTCATCTTCCATTGCTGATACCCTTTCTTCCAGTTGATCGCATCGGCTCCTGAGGCTTCTGCATTCTTCACGTAGTTCTCGAGCCTTGGTTTTCAGCTCCATCAGCTCCTTTAAGCACTTCTCTGTATTGGTTATTCTAGTTATACATTCTTCTAAATTTTTTTCAAAGTTTTCAACTTCTTTGCCTTTGGTTTGAATGTCCTCCCATAGCTCAGAGTAATTTGATCGTCTGAAGCCTTCTTCTCTCAGCTCGTCAAAGTCATTCTCCATCCAGCTTTGTTCCGTTGCTGGTGAGGAACTGCATTCCTTTGGAGGAGGAGAGGCACTCTGCTTTTTAGAGTTTCCAGTTTTTCTGTTCTGTTTTTTCCCCATCTTTGTGGTTTTATCTACTTTTGGTCTTTGATGATGGTGATGAACAGATGGGTTTTTGGTGTGGATGTCCTTTCTGTTTGTTAGTTTTCCTTCTAACAGACAGGACCCTCAGTTGCAGGTCTGTTGGAGTAACCTGCCGTGTGAGGTGTCAGTGTGCCCCTGTTGGAGGGTGCCTCCCAGTTAGGCTGCCCGGGGGTCAGGGGTCATGCACCCACTTAAGGAGGCAGTCTGCCCCTTCTCAGATCTCCAGCTGCATACTGGGAGAACCACTGCTCTCTTCAAAGCTGTCAGACAGGGACATTTAAGTCTGCAGAGGTTACTGCTGTCTTTTTGTTTGTCTGTGCCCTGCCCCCAGAGGTGGAGCCTACAGATGCAGGCAGGCCTTCTTGAGCTGTGGTGGGCTCCACCCAGTTCGAGCTTCCTGGCTGCTTTGTCTACTTAAGCAAGCCTGGGCAATGGCGGGCGCCCCTCCCCCAGCCTAGCTGCTGCCTTGCAGTTTGATCTCAGACTGCTGTGCTAGCAATCAGCGAGACTCCGTGGGCATAGGACCCTCTGAGCCAGGTGCGGGATATAATCTCGTGGTGCACCATTTTTTAAGCCCGTCGGAAAAGTGCAGTATTAGGGTGGGAGTGGCCTGATTTTCCAGGTGCCGTCCGTCACTCCTTTCTTTGACTAGGAAAGGGAACCCCCTGACCCCTTGCACTTCCCGAGTGAGGCAATGCCTCGCCCTGCTTCGGCTCGCACACGGTGCACGCACCCACTGACCTGCGCCCACTGTCTGGCACTCCCTAGTGAGATGAACCGGGTACCTCAGATGGAAATGCAGAAATCACCTGTCTTCTGCGGCGCTCATGCTGGGAGCTGTAGACCGGAGCTGTTCCTATTCGGCCATCTTGGCTCCTCCGAAAATCTTCTCTTGAGAAAAGTGAATGGACAAATAAAGATTTCTCATTTCCGACAAAAGAAAATAACCAGCATTGATTTGCTATTTCTGTTGTTATGAGTGCTTCCAGGTGGTTGTCTTTGGATCTGCTCTGTTCCTGTGCACCTCTTCTTGGAATATAAATTTCTGAGCCTCAATGTGCCCTGATGCCGTTCCTTTCTTCCACCGTAAGAGTTACCGAAAGCTCGGCGTCCGTGATGGGGTAGAGGGCTTCCGAGGCGATCGGGCAGTGTCAGTCTTCAGCCGCTAAGCCGAGAAGATCTGGGAAGGAGTCAGAGAGCCTTGGGCCAGAGTTCCAGGGGCTCTGGGAGTGGCGGATTTGAAATTGGTGAGATGTATCTTGGGCTGGTCGGTCTGAGGACCTGAGGTCCTAGGTGGATCTTTCTCAAGGAGCAAAAAGCAGGAGGACGGGGGATTGATCTCCCAAGGGAGGCCCCCCGATCCAAGTCACAGCACCAAATTTCATGCACGTCCGTGTGAAGAGACCACTAAACAGCTGTTTTTAACTTTTAACCCAAATTCTTTTAAGTATGCCTCATGTAGAAACATGAGTTGGATTTTATGTAAGTTTGTAAGTTTATCTCATGTAGAAAGCATGGAGTTGCATTTATCTTATGAACTAAGTGAACCATTTAGTACTTAACTAAATATTATTTAAAAAAATTAACCACTTATGTTAGTATATAATTATATGCTAATGCCATTTTATCACAATTGTTTTACATTATGTAAAACATACATGTTTTATCATAATATTCTATCATAAATGTTTTACATTTGCCATCTTGTTTTTTCTGCATTCTTTTTTACGTTGCTTTGCAGTTTTAATTTTACCACCTGCTAATCTTAAAATGCCTTTAAAAATATACAGATAGTCCCTGACTTACAAAGGTTCAATTTAGGATTTTTCAACTTTACAATGCTGCAAAAGTGATATGCATTCAGTAGGAACCATACTTGGAATTCTGATATTTGATATTTTCCCAGGCTAGTAATATGTGGTACAATACTCTCTTCTGATGCTGAGCATGGAGGTATTAATAAGTCCCAGCTCCCAGTGAGCTATGCGATCATGAGGGTAATTAACCAATATTCTATAGTGTACTGTGTTGTCAGCATTTTTTGGATATTGTGTTTTGTGTTTTCACATTCAATTGCGTCTACAAAACACTCAACTACACTAATGTATGTGTTCTGGGCACGTTTTTGGTAGGCTAGGCTAAGCTAGGATAGGTGTATTTTAACACCTTTTTGACTTACAATATTTTAAACCTTCATTGGGGTTTATCAGGACCTAACTCCATTGTAAGTTAAGGAGCACTTGTACTTAAAAACTTGGCAATTTGTCTGATAAAACTTCTCTTCTGACTCAAGAATACTCAAATAATATGGTCTTGCTCTTCATGTACCCTTTTAACTTTATTAGCCAGTTCCTCTTTGTTGATCAAAACCATGTCTGCAGCAGTTATGTAGGGAAAGCATGAGTACAAATGAAATTGGACATACCGAGATTTTGAGATTAAGAATGTTAAGCTCTATAGACTAACTGTAGCATAACACTATAGTGAATTGACAATGAATTGCATAAAAGCAGGGTTGTGGTAAATTGGACGAACCAGATAAGTATATTGGCTTTTCTTAAAAATAACTGCAGCTTAGAAGGGTAGTTTATACATTCCCCTGAGAAGATAAAGTATAATGTAGTTTGAATTTTCTATACTTTGTTAAAGAAATATAATTCTACTGGTTTCTAGTTTCTGTAGTGTTGGTCTTCTCTCACTTCTGTTAATACATAATCAGTCACTAAATCCTTCTCATTCTTTCATCAGATTTACTATTTTCTATTTTGGCAACTATTTTTTTAAACTCAGGTCCTTAACAATTCACACCTGTATTATTACAGTGCCTCCTCATTCTATTTCTATACTTTGTTGCAATATTATGTTATCAAAGACATTCTTTTCTTACATTCTCTTGTTTACATATGTAAGTAAGGTGGCTCTCAGACAAAATTGAGGCATCTCATCCTAGGCATCAGAATACCCTTCTTGCTTCACTGTTGTCTGTATCTAAACTCAGACACCACTTCTCTAACTGGTGTTTCTATTCTGGCTAAGCAGATCTTACTGTGTTCTAAAATACATCTCCCATTTTTGTGTCTTTGTTCATATTGTTCATACCATTTCTCCTCCCTAAAATGATCTGCTTCTTCTGTATGAGGTATCTGTGATTACCATATCCATTCTTCTACTTTTACATTTCTTAATCATATAGGCTGTGCATCATGAATGTAACTTCTACATTGTATTATAATTTTTTAACATTTTTGTCTTTCATTTCTCAAAGAATATAACTTCAGTTTTTTGTGTGTTTTTGGGGTGTGTGTGTGACCTTTCTACTAGTTTGTCAAAAATGTTTAGAGTAGGACAGGAGTCTTTTCTTTCTTATTGCTCTACACTCCTCTAGGACACTGTCTTTGTCTTTACAGTTGTTTGAAGTTGTGTTGTAAGTACCTCTGTTTTCCAACTTGATAAAAAGGGAAGAGATCATGGAAGACTGCTCACTGACTTACTTTATTTATTTATTTATTTATTTATTTATTTATTTATTTATTTATTTTGAGACAGAGTCTCACTCTGTTGTCCAGGCTGGAGTGCAGTGGTGCGATCTTGGCTCATTGTAATCCCTGTCTCCCGGGTTCAAGTGATTCTCTTGCCTCAGCCTCCCAAATAGCTGGGACTACAGACGTGCACCACCATGTCTGGCTAATTTTTGTATTTTTCGTATAGACGGGGTTTCACTATGTTGGCCAGGCTGGTCTTGAACTCCTGATCTCAAGTGATCCACCTGCCTCGGCCTCCCAAAGTGCTGGGATTACAGGCGTGAGCCACGGTGCCTGGCCACTTACTGACTTTAGAATCTCGGCTGCCCACCAGCAGGTATAAGGATCATCTTCAGATCAGGAACTCCGGTGCTAATAGACTGAAACTGAACCTTGTCTTTTAACATCTCCAGGGTTTTAATTTATCTTTAAAAACTACTAAAATTTCAATTTAATAATCTCAAAGGATCCTTCCCTTCTATGATTTTTAAAAATGTATACAATAATCTATCTGTGTCATAGAAAATCAATCACTATTTTAAAAATCCATCAGGAATTTCTTTTTAAATATTGTTTCTTTGTTTACTGGAAATGAATATGGTATAATCTGTACACGTAAGCTATAGATATATGTCAACTAAAATTTGGTAATCAGATTGTCCACTGAGAGTTAAACTATGATTTAAATTAGGGGTCCCCAACCTCCAGCTGCAGACTGGTACCTGCCTTGGCCTGTTATGAACTGGGCTGCACAGCAGGAGGTGAGTGAGCATTACAGCCTGAACTCTGCCTACTGTCAGATCAGCAGTGGTATTAGATTCTAACAGGAGCACAAACCCTATTGTGACCTGCACATGTGAGGGATCCAAGTTGCATGCTCCTTATGAGAATCTAACTAATGCCTAATGATCTGAGGCAGGACAGTTTAATCCTGAAACAATCCCAACTCTGCTCACCATCCATGGAAAAACTGTCTTCCATGAAACCAGTCCCTGGTGCCAAAAAGGTTGGGGACAACTAATTTAAATCATAACAGATAAGACATACAAAACTCCTTGAAGAGACAGAATGGTTCCTAGGCTTCCTGCTAAATAAGACTCTAATGAGGCCAAAGATAATTATCCTACCCCCCCAAAAAAAAATTTAAATCAGAAGTTTGTTAGGTTAAATACACACATATTAACTTTAATATGTACAAGTACTGGATACTAGGAGTCCAAAGGTAGTACCCTTTGGACTACTTTAAAATACATATATATTTCAGCAGGGCGAGATAGCTCACGCCTATAATCCCAGGAATTTGGGAGGCCAAAGTGGGCAGATTACTTGAGCCCAGGAGTTCGAGACTAGCCTGGGTAACATGGCGAATCCTGTCTCTACGAAACAGACAAAAGTTAGCTGGATGTGGTGGCATGCATCTGTAGTCCCAGCTACTCAGGAGGCTGAGGTGGGAGGATAGGTGGAGCCCAGGAGGTAGAGGTTTCAGTGAGCGAGATCATGCCACTGCACTCCAGCGGGGGCAATACAGTGAGACCCTATCTCAAAAAATACATGGGCCGGGCACGGTGGCTCATGTCTGTAATCCCAGCACTTTGGGAGGCTGAGGCAGGCGGATCACTTGAGGTCAGGAGTTTGATACCAGCCTGATCAACATGGCGAAACTCTGTCTCTACTAATAATACAAAAATTAGCCAGGCATGGTGGCACACACCTGTAATCCCAGCTACTTGGGAGGCTAAGGCACGAGAATCACTTGAAACCAAGAGGCAGAGGTTGCAGTGAGCCAGGTGCCACTGCACTCTAGCCTGGGTGACAGAGTGAGATACCATCTCAAAAAAATAAAAAATAAAATAAAATATATACACACACATATAATATACATATATAACACATACATATATATTTCAAATGAATATTGACAATATTTCAAAATAAATGTTTTAATCAATTTTTGTGGAAAAATAAAATTTTACCATCTTAACCATTACTTTTTGAAAGGTAGTATTTGCACATAACCCAAATCGCAAAAGTCTCATAAACAGTTTTCATCAAAAAGCAAGTCTCCATCCCAGTCCTGCCCCATCCATAGTTAGTTACCTTTTCTGGAGGCCAGTTTCTTGCTTATTTTTCCAGAGATACTTCATTATAAGCATTAAGATATGTATATATGTTGTGTGTACATAGGTGTATTTTTCCAGTAACTCTTTTTCTTGTACTTTAAATTGTTTCCAACTTGTTGACAGACATTTAGGATCTTTCCAATCTTTTACAATTTCAATGTTCTACGAATATTTTTACACATGTTATTTCACACATGGTTAAATATTTCTGTAGAATAAATTCCTAGAAGTGCAACTGTTGGATCAAAGAATATATGGATTTTTATTTTAAATAGATATTGCTGTACTGGCATCTATGGAGATTGAGTACCAAGTTACACTTTCATAACAATAAACATTATACTTAAGAGCCTGTTTTCCATACCCCTCAATACATCCTTTTGGAAAAATGGGACTTTGGAAAGTTACTTTTTTTTTTTTTTCCTTTTTTCTTTTTTTGTTCTTTTAACCCAATGGTTCCTTTAGAGACAGGGAAGTCCCTTTTTACAAGAACCATGTTTTTCATCCTTTTGTCACTTAACAATAGAAATCATTTAGCAAATATCAAGTTTTGTTAATGTGAGACATACTTATTATTAGCTGAAAGTTCTAAGACTATTCTGTTGGGGAAATTAAGATTCACAAACACCTATTATAAATATTAAATTATTTCTATTTGCATTAAATTTTAAGGTAGATTTTAAAATCTACTGACATTCTGGATACAAAGTCTACTTACAATTATTCTATCAAAAAAAATTGAAACTCTGAAGCTCTTCATTTAGATAATCCTGTAACTGATATTTACAACGTGATAATCTCTTCAAGGAGTCCAGGGATCTTGTACTTACATATTTTATGGTGGAGCAAAAAGTCAAAGGATAAATGCTGAGTCAAGGAACAGAAGAAAAAAAAAACATGAGAAATAGTAACTATGAAGACAAAGATTCCTTTCTGAAAGGAGAATGCTTTGGAAATTTTGTTTTAAAATGACTCTGGGGGAAATGAGGGGACGAGAGGGGAGGAAAGAAAAGAAGGGAGCAAACAGGAGGGGAGGGGAGGTTTACATCTTTAGAAATCAGTTATGAAACACACAGCAATTCTGGCCAATGTCAGAAAGCTGAAAGGTATGAAGAAAATATCCTTCCCTTCGAGGCACAAGCACTGACCTGTAAAAGTTGTGTTGCAGTAGCTCTCTGCTCAGGATTCTTCACCAAACACTTTTTAACAAAATCGGTGAAATCATCGGACCAAAGTTCTGGCTTTCTGAATGTTGGTGGTGGATTTGTGGGAATCATAAAAATAGCCTAGTACAAATGAAATATCCAAAAGACAGTAAGAATCACACTAGCACAATCAAATAAACAAATCTCTTTATCTGTCTTTTTATCAGACTCTAAATTTGAAAAACAAATTTAAGCTGTTCTAGGATTTCTAGTAACACTGAAATTCAGGAAGCCAGTCCATCTGCTACTAATGTAATCATTTCCCATTAAATTTCCTCTATTTGAATTGTAGCTCATTGAGCACATCATTCTTTATTTTACCTATTACTTTTTTTTATCAGTCTCTAAAGAAGACTATATTTCTGACCCACTAAGGACTTTCCCTAAACATATATATTCCCAAATTTTGCTACTACATGCCAGATTTACTTCTTGTTTCAGTTTTATATAAGCATTGCTGCTTAAAATGGGTAGTAGGAGTCCAATTTGCTTTTGCAATCCAGAATATTTAAGTAAAATTACTGCTATAATTTGAAATAATACTTGACAGAGCCAAGACTTTTCTCTTTTTAAATATGAGTCAAAATTTCAAATGAAAAATTTCAAAGGTAATATACTACTTTAATTTATTACTAATGATTGAGTACTTATAATTTAGTGGTAATGATAATACATTCAGAAACCTCAAAAATCAAAAGCCATAAAAAGAGTCCATCTCATCTCTCGCCTCCTAGATAGTCACCCTGGCCTGTTTTTGCTTTTAATCTGAGTATGTTTATGACCCAAGAAGTAGATTAAAAAAACAAAAACAAAAACCTGAAGACATTCTAAATATGAAATACAAGTCAGTTAGGGGGTTAATGTAGATGTCCCAACATGAGTAATAAAATGTTCAAACTAGAATAGTATCTACAGGAATGAAATGGAAGAAATGAAGCATGAGATACTTCAAAGGAGGAACCAAGAGTACATGCTAATAATATTGTTTTGGAGAGGTGAAAAAAGGAAGCATGAAAAATTACTCCAGAATTCAAGAAATAAGAAATAGGTACCTTAAATTGCAAGGCACTCAGGTATTTTAATAATTGCCTATATCATTCTTTTGAATGCCCTCAGAATATGCAGCCATTTAATATAATGCATTATCATTGGTTTCTTACTTGGAAAGTGATCAAATGGACTTTCTGTGGACACAGCAGCAAAGACTCAATATCCAAGTCTGTTGATTATAGGTTAAGAGTCAATCTTTTTACCAGTATATGCATCTTCTTTCAAAAAACGTAAATTCTTTAATAGATTAGAATATTTTATATACCTCACGTCATGTTATACATATTACATCTATGATAGTCTTTCAAAAGCAGTGTAGCCAGTATTACAAAACAATAAACATCTTTCAATCAAACAAATATTTATAAAGCATTTCTGTGTGTTCAGAACAATGCTATAATTTAGAGGTATCAAAACAAAGGGCCACAGGCCAAATAGTGCCAGTGGACCTACTTCGTTCAGACAAAATCAATCTCACATTGCCACAAGATGAATCTGCTGTAATTAGACTAATTTAAACTAGGACATATGTTCTTCCTTTTGCGTGAGCTCTATCTAGCCTGGCTCAATTATCTACTTTATGTGATGGTCCCTTTAAATATCAGACCTTATAAACCCGGCTATTACAGTTTTTAAAATAGGATACATATCTCAGACCCCCAGAGCTCACAGTCAACTTGTGCAGAAAAAAAAAAAAACACATATGAAACGAATAGCAAACAACTGAGTGCCAGACAATGAAATTCTGCCTGCAAATAACCTAATTAATCTCAGACAGCTCCACAGTTGAGGCAGAACCTAATAAGGCTTTAAAAAATGAGTAAAATGGGGTTAAAAGCAGCTGCTGGAAAAGGCACACAAAACCACCTGCTACTTCCAACTAGAGAATAAAAATAAATTTGAACTCTCATCTCTGTGAAACAGTTCAAAGGACTTACATAAGCCCCTATATAGACTGACCTCAAACTGCAGGTAAATTATACTAGATTGTCTAGATAAATATTGTTCATCTGCACTTCTGTTGTAAACTGGTGGATAACACAATGATTTATGTCCTTGAAGCCAATGCTCTCCTTTGAACTTTGAGGCAATGAGTTGCAGTCTTATCTTGAGATAATCTTAACATATAAGGCTCACCTTAGCAGTAGCTATTAGAAACCCAAGGATAAAAAGCTTAACTCTAACTCTTATTTACCCAGTACTCTCATAAAGTGAACCTAAAATGTCACATTCTACCCTCAAATATGCATTGAACAAGCATGAACACCGAGCATACAGTCCAAACAAATAAGTCTTAGCGTATGATCTACACCAAAATGTCTCCAGGAAAACCACTATGCCATTTATTTCCATTTTTTAAGGTTAGCTCATCAATAATAGATTTTCTTGACAGCCTTACTGTACTAATTTAACTAATTTAACCTAATAATGAACCACAGAGGATCCTCTTAAGAATCTCTAGGTTTTATATGAGTTGATTAGGTATTAGGCCCCTTCTATAGAAAGTTTTGGCAATCAGTGGCTCACTTTAGACTAACAATTCATTCCCTTGCCACCAACCAAATCACAGGGACACACATTACAGCCATATAATTTATCTTATCTCTAACACCATTTTGATTGAAGAATGTTAGTAAAATAAATGACATGATTATCCTTGTGTTTGTTTCTACACAATGTGTTGCTTAACTACATACCAAACCTCTGATTATGTTTCTAAAAGAACTACTCTGATCACAAGCAGTTTAATAACGCAAGAAATCTAGGTGCTTCAAAACAACTAATTATCTTCATGCCTGAAATGTCATGCCTTAGACTGCAAGAGTACCCAGGAGATGTGGAAAGGGCTGAAAATGAGAATCAACAATGACTGAACTTTATAATCTCAGTGGAATGAGTCAACACATGTCTGACTCTACAGCAGCTGAGTCTGTGAATGTATAGAAGTGATGGGCATGCCAGAATAACAAAGAAATTCATGCTATTATTTAAGAACCTCAGATATATGAGCAAAAGGTTATCTTCACAACAAATAAATGAGATAAAGGATGAGAAAACACTATAAAACTATAAAGAAGTAAACAAATATAGCTGTTTCCTGATAGCAAACATAATACACAGGTAACAAGCTAAATAAAATTTTAAAATAATTTCTGGAAAGGAAATAAAGTAATTACACTAATTTATAAAAGACAGTACAAATAAAAGCAAACAGTACAATGTGATGAGGCCAATACTGGACATGAGTCAGAAAAACTGGCTTGAGTTCTAAATCACTACCTGACTGTGTGGCTTTAGTATCATTTTGTTTTTTTTTTCCAAGTAAGGAGGTTGAACTGGATGTTTATCAGGTCCCGTACTGGGTATAAAAAGACCCTGGCACTCTTTACCACGTATTAAAAAACCCTGGCACTCTAACTGCCTAGCAATTGAAGGGTAAAATTATACTAAACAAGTATTAAATTGCTAGTTAGGAAAGGGATGGAGAAGAGGAAAAAGAGGGAAGGACAGGAAAAGGCCTTTTAGATGTTAATATAAAAATGTGAATCTAGGCCAGGTGCAGTGACTCATGCCTGTAATCCCAACACTTTGAGGGGCTGAGGCAGGTGGATCACCTGAGGCCAGGAGTTCGAGACCAGCCTGGCCAATATGGTGAAACCCTGTCTCTCCCAAAAAACAAAAATTAGCCAGGCATGGTGGCAGGCACTTGTAATCCCAGCTACTAGGGTGGCTGAGGCAGAATTGCTTGAACCTGGGAGATGGAGGTTACAACGAGCCAAGATCACGCCATTGCACTACAGCCTGGGCAACAAGAGGGAAACTCCATCTAAAAAAGAAAAAAAATGTGAATCTAAATTTTTATCACCATTCCCTCAAAAGCAAATATGAAATATACAGAAATTTTGAAGAGAATAGTAAATCTAAAGTGAAACTTTCTCCTATAATAAAGTTTCCACAGTAAGCACAGAGTTAAAGTATTGGGAACATGAACTCACAATTCACTCCAGTTCCAGTAGCAATCATTAATCTGGCCAAGAAAGGCCAATGTGCCAGCCTGGAAACCAAATTAAGGGAGAGGGTGCAGCTGGTATTCTGGAAGTACAAAGCAAATAAGAGAACCAGCTCTAGATGGCACTGGGTACATAACAGCACCATTATTAGTAACTATCTGACCTATTTAACTACTCTATGCCTCTGTTCCCATATCTTAATATGGGAATGTTAGGGCTGTTCTGAATTTTAAATAGATTAATACATGTAAAACACTTAGAATAGTGCCTGGCACAATTGTAAATGCTCAATAATGTGAGCTATTATTAACCTAATTTTACGACTGAGGCTCACAAGAGTAAGCTAGCTTATTCAAGATCACACAGCTAGTAAAGTGAATGTCAAAATTAGAACAAGTTTGATTCCTTAGCATATGCTACCTCACATTACCACTGCTTCCATCAGATTTCTGCTGCACATAATTTTATTTTAAGATAAAGGCTCTGTTATATACATTCAGTCTCTAGAAAAAAGTGGAAAAGTATTTGTAACAAAGAAGATTATAGTTTTACTGTCTCTAACGGTGGAAAACTGAAGAAAAAAAAAGTCAAACAATTGAGGGTGCTAAGTAAACTATATATGAATAACATAAAGTAACATATTGCCATAAAAACTGACAAATGTGTGAATTACAAAACCACAAAGAAAAGTTCTTAAAAAGCAAAAATGAGGGAGTAAAACAGTAAAGACTGCTTTCACATAAAAATGACTAGTATGCAGCAATAAAAACTAAAAGATGGTATAGAATCTTAAAAATTTAAACTGTCAATTCATAGCAGCAATTATGTACAAGATTGTATAAGTGTCTTTAAAATTTATTTTTACTATGATGGTTTTTAAATTTTTTTTTACTTTTAAAAATTATACTTGCAGCTAGGCATAGTGGCTCATGCCTGTAGTCCCTGAGCTGAGAGGCTGAGGAAGGTGGATTGCTTGAGCCCAGGAGCTCAAGACAAGCCTAGGCAACACAATGAGATCCTGACTCTATTTAAATATATATACATATATTTAAAAGTATTTAAAAATTATACTCGCAATTGCAAAAGCTTCATTTGATACCACCCCTTAAGCTGTCACCTATTCCAGTCTGCCCCACAACCACCTCTTACTCATGCACTATTTAAATCCCAATACAATCAATTGTAAATCTTAACCATCTTTCAAGACTGAAATATAATATCCCTTTAATACAATCCAACAATATCATAAAACATGGCTGTAGAGAAAAGCAAAAGTGAACAAAAGCCAACACTTAAAGAACTTTATCACAAATTTCACTCTCTCAGATAGAAGTCCTATGATCAGTTCAACTGACTTTTGTAAGCACATAAATGTATCCATACCTGCAATATATTAACTTCTTCAAGAAATTTAGAGTCTAATGGAATATAAAAATGTATATCAGATCATTTTAATAAAATAGTGTAAGTGCTCAAATACATGTGAGCAATAGGTATTACAAAGGATGACTTAGCCCAAATAGGTATGTGAGCTAAATGGGTATGGGAAGATGAGATTTCAGCTGAGTCATAAAGAATGAGTGAGTCAGTGAAGCACAGAAAGGAGACCAGCATCTTCTCAGTTGTGAAGTTTGAAACCTCATGGAGCTGTGAGAGAAACTGACTTATTTCAGATGTAGGGCAGGGAAATTACGAGGTGAGCCAAAGGCATCTTGTTGCCCATAAAGAAAGAAATCACTCAAATACTAACTGGATCACATCAGAAGTTCAGCACTTGTAGAACTTAGTATCAGCCATAAAAGAGTCTGATTTAACTGATCTGGGGTGACGACAAGGCACAATATTTTCTTACATCTCCCAAGCAATTCCAATATGTGAGTAACATGGAGAACCACTATTCTAAAATATAAAATACAAGACAAGTGCTATCACTGTTTAATATCTCAACTTCAGAACTTTCCATATTTTAATATTGTACTCTGATTAGTTATAAACTCATTCTAAATGCCCTGGATAACATGAAAACTACCTGAAGGCAAGACAGTGTCTTCTATTGTCTGAATGTTTGTGTCTCTTGCAAAATTCTTATGTTCAAAGCAAATCACCAACGTGATGGTATTAGAAGGTGGGGCCTTTGGGAGGCGATTAGGTCATAAGGGCTCCACCTTTGTGAATGGAATTAATGCCCTCATAAACAAGTCCCCACAGAACCATCTAATCCCTTCTGCCAAATAAGGACACATAGAAGGTGCCTTCTATGAGGAACAAGCCCTAACTAGACACCAAATCTGCTAGCACCTAGATCTTGAACTTCCAAGCCTCCAGAACTGTGAGCAATACATATCTTTTGTACATAAATTACCCAGTCTAAGGTATTTTGTTATAGCAACCCAAACAGACTATACAATCACTTAAGTTTTATATGTCAACTGCATTAGGCATAGTACTTCTCCATAGTAAAACCTAAATTTATACTGAGAGTGTTGATATAAAGACATCCAGTTAAGTATGGTAACTGAACATACTGATTTACTTCAACTCCTTCCCCAAAATCCTGCTAAAGTACAGTAAGAATTTTAAAAAGGCTTAACCTCCAAAGAGAGAAGGGCAATAGAAAATAAGAGACAGCAATAAAATTTTGGAAATAGAAAGTAGATGAAAGAGTCATAACTGACTCAAAAGATCTGAGAAATCAGTAAGAAGCACATCAATTCCCTCCAAATAACTAAAAAAAAAAAAAAAGCCTAAGAACTTGGAAGTACCAAATATATCTAAAGATAGTGGACACCTGTAACAAGGAGCACACCTGGTACCAAGATCTTGGCTTCTAAAATGCCAATCCCCAGTAAAAGAAACCTATGCTCCTTGAGGAAATGACTAATTTCAAAGGTCAAAATAGGAAAATCACAAGGTTAGCTCTGGGTATCTTGCTAGGCCAGAAGGTAAGGAAACACTCAAAGATTAATGGTATTATGTCAAAAGGACATATAAATAACCAAATTTAGGATAATTTGAGCATCAAAATAATAATAGTAATAATGACTATAACTGATTATAACAAATTGAAAACAATTAGTCTACAGTGTTTTTTTTTTTTATTTTTGAGATGGAGTCTCGCTGTCACCCATCCAGGCTGGAGTGCAGTGACATGATCTAGGCTCACTGCAACTTCTACCTCCCAGGTTCAAGCGATTCTCATGCCTCAGCCTCCCAAGTAGCTGGGATTACAGGTGCCCGCCACCATGCCTGGCTATTTTTCACATTTTTAGTAGAGACAAGGTTTCACCATACTGGCCAGGCTAATCTCAAACTCCTGACCTCAAATGATCTGCCCACCTTGGCCTCCCAAAGTGCTGGGATTACAGGTGTGAGCCACCGCACCTGGCCTATGACAATATTTTTCAAAGAGTTTAAGAAAAGCTGTTCTTTATAGAAAAATTCTAAAAATACACAGTAACTGAAATACAGTATCAACATATTGCACCCTCAATGTAATTTAATGATCAATTCAGGCAAGGAACACCAATGGATACTTGAGTTTGGATATCTGTCCCCTCCAAATCTCATGTTGAAATGTGGTCCTCAATGCTGGAAGCGGGGCCTGGGAAGGAAGGGAAGAAGGAAAGGAAGGAAGAAGGAAAGGAAGAAGGGAAGGGAAGGAGGGAAAGATGATGTAGAGAGATAGAATGAATAATGCCCCCACCCCGCAAGATGTCTACGTTCTAATCCCCGGACTTGTGAATATGTTACTTTACATGGCAAAAAGGATTTTGAAGATAAGATTAAGTTAAAAGTCTTGAGGTGGACAGATTATCCTAAATTATCTAGGCAGGCCAAATGTAATCAGAAGGGTCCTAAAAAGTGGAAGAGGGAGCCAGGAGAGTCAGAGGGAGATGTGAGTTTGGAATAATGGTCTGCTTTGAAGCAGTCTTCAAATAATGCTGCTTTGAAGATAAAGGAAGAGGGCCATGAGCCAAAGAATGTGGGCAGCCTTTAGAAGCTTGAAAAAGCAAGGAAACAAATTCTCTCTGAGATACTCCAGGATAAAAAAGCTTCCCTGCCACCACTTCAGATGTAGCCTAGTGAGATATGTGTTAGACACTGTATTTTGGAAAGCTCCAAAATAATCTCCTTTGACTCCATGTCCCACATCCAGGGCACACTGATAAAAGGCGTGGGCTCCCAAAGCCTTCAGCCACTCCATCCCTATGGCCCTGCAGGGTTCAGCCCCTGAGGCTGCTCTCATGGGCTGGCATTGGGTGCCTATGGGTTTTCCAAGTGCATAGTGCCAGCTATTGGTAGCTCTATCTGGAGGGGTCTGGAGGATGGTGGCCCTCTTCTCACAGCTCCACCAGGCAGTACTCCAGTGAAGACTCTAACCCCATATTTCCCTCTTGCATTGCCCTAGTAGAGGTTCTCATGAAAGCTACAGCCCTACAGCAGACTTCTGCCTGGACATTCAGGCTTTTCCATATCTCCTCTAAAATCTAGGCTGGGGTTCCCAAGTCTCAACTGTTGCCTTCCTTTTAGTTATGAAAATGGCTGCAGCTGGCTTTTGCACCCTCAAATAAGTTTTTCTTTTCTACCACATGGCTGGGCTACAAAATTTTCAACTTTTATGTTCTGCTTCCCCTTTAAATACAAGTTTGAGTTTTACATCATTTCTTTGCTCATGCATATGGGCACAGGTTGTTAGAAGCAGCCAGGTCACCTCTTGAACACTTTACTGCTTAGAAATTTCTTCTGCCAGATACCCTAAATCATCAGTCTCAAGTTCAAAGATCCACAGATCCCCAGGGCAGGGGTAAAATGCCACTAGGTTCTTTGTTAATGCATAACAAAAGTGACATTTGCTCCAGTTCCCAGTAAGTTCCTCATCTCCATCCGAGACCTCATCAGCATGGATTTCATTGTCCATATCACTATCAACATTTTGGTCACAATTTAACAAGTCTCTAAGAAGTTCCAAACTTTCCCTCATTTTCCTGTCTTCTTATGAGCCCTCCATACTCTTCCAGCCTCTGCCTGTTACCCACTTTCAAAGCTGCTTCCACATTTTCAGGTATCTTTATAGCAATGCCCTACTCCTTGGCACTGATTTTCTGTATTGGTCTATTCTCACATTTCAATAAAGAAATATCTGAGACTGGGTAATTTATAAAGAAAAGAAGTTTAACTGGCTCATGGTTCTGCAGGCTGTATAGGAAGCATAGCAGCTTCTGTTTCAGGGAGACCTCAGGAAACTTACAATCATGGTGGAAGGTGAAGGGGAAGCAAGCACACCTTTTTTTTTTTTTTTTTTTTGAGGCAGAGTTTCACTCTTGTCACCCAAGCTGGAGTGCAGCGGCATGATCTCGGCTCACTGCAACATCCGCCTGCCCATTTATGGTGATAACAACTTCTTCCTCTCTTACTTCCTCCCTCTCTGTCTTCGCCCTGCCCCCAGCTATCCGTCTATACTAGTTTTCTATTTCTGCTGTAGTAAGTTATCACAAATGTAGTGGTTCATACAACACAAGTTTATTATCTTACAGCTCTTTAGGTTAGAAGTACAATATGGCTTGGCTCTGTGTCCCCGCTTAAATCTCCTGTCAAATTGTAATCCCCAATGTTAGCGGTGGGGCCTGATGGGAGGTGATTGGACCATGGGGGTGGAGTTGTCATGAATGGTTTATTATCATCCCCTTGGTGCTGTTCTCATGATAGTGAGTTATCATAAGATGTGGTTGTTAAAAGTGTGTAGCACCTTCCCCCTTTCTCTCTTCCTCCTGCTCTAGCCATGAAAGATATGTTTGTGGCCGGGTGCGGTAGCTCATGCCTGTAATCCCAGCGCTTTGAGAGGCTGAGGCAGTCGGATCACCTGAGGTCAGGAGTTTGAGACCAGCTTGGCCAACATGGCAAAACCCCATCTCTGCTAAAAATACAAAAATTAGCCAGGTGTGGTGGTGGGTGCCTGTAATCCCAGCTACTTGGGAGGCTGAGGCAAGAGAACTGCTTGAAGAAGCTGTTATCTCCATAAATGGGCAGTATCAGGCTAGTATGATACTGCTGTAGTGCCATCAGTATGTGGTCTCCACCTTCCAATTTACTTCATGGTTTAAGATGGGTGGTTGAACATTACCACACACTGACTCCAGAACTCAAAAAAAAGGGGAAGGGAATGGCAATATAGAGTATTAATCAGATCTCTTTACCCAGGCTCCCTGGAAGTCCAACACAACATTTCTCTTTTGCAGTGTTCTGAACACTTTTGAAGCTCTTTTCCAAGAGGCTGCAAAAGCCCATGGAATTTCCAGAGATATAAATGTCTTTGTTATGCTAAGGAGTTGACACATGCCAACTGAAGCCCCTAGATAGCTTCAGGATACAGGATGGTCAGCAGAAAGAATAAGCATGTAATTAGCAGGTTAGTATATTTAGCTGCCTGACCTCTGGTGAGTGGATACTAAAGACTGAGCTCAAACAAATGGCCAAAGGTTTAATCAATCATTACTACTTAATGAAACCCCAGTAAAAACTCTGTACATCTAGGCTTAGCAGAGCCTCCTGGTTGGCAAACACATTCACATGTCCTGATTCTACAAAAGGAAGTCACACAGGCTCTGTGTTCCCTCTCAGACAATCATATGGGTCTCTTCATTTGACTGGTCCTCCTGATTAGCATCCTTTATAATAAACCTGTCATTCTAAGTATAGTTCTTTCCTGAATTCTGCCAGTCATTCTAGCAAGTTATCAAACCTGAGGGGATCAAAGGAACTGCTGAATGTATAACCATTTAGTCAGAAGTATGGGTAACCTAGGGACAAATTAAGTGTAGCTGGTATCTGAAGAGTGGTCATGTTGGGGATCATGCCCTTGAACTTGTGGGGTCTGAGCTAACTCTGGATGGTTAGCAGTAGAACAGAACCACAGTACACTCAATTTGTGTTGAAATAGAATACTGTAATTCAGGTGGTATTCAAATGTATTTTCACTGTTTTTCAAACATAGCAAAATAGTGAAATTGATAAGCAACTGATATAAGAAGCACTTTTTAGACAAAGGTGAAAAATACTGTTTCTCTAACAGCTTTTCTCTACAGTTGTGGTTCTCGAGGTGTTCATGAACTCCTTCACTGGGCCCTTTCAGGGATCTACCAAGTCAAATCTTTTTTTCATAAAAACACTAAGCCATTCTTTTCCTTTTTCTCTCAATTGACATTTGCACTACAGGTACAAAAGCAATGACAGATAAAATTGCTGGCTCCCTAGCACCAATGAAGACAGTGGAACAAAACTGTAATCATTGTATTCTTCATTGTCATGCATTCACAATTTTTTTGAATCTGTGAATTCACAAAAAAGACACTTTTGATTAAGAAAATCCTTGATTTAAAAAATACTCTTTTTAGCAAATCTTTTTAGCATCTTTTTAGCATTTTGTAGTGAAATGAGAAATACGCATAAACTATACCTGCTACATAATGAAGTACAATGGTTGTCTCAAGGAAAATTATCTGTGATTAAATTGCATGTTGAACTACAGCTTTTTTCATGAATCATCTTTTTCATTTGAAAGAAAAACTGAGAGATAAACTTTGATTATTCAGATTTGGATACTCAACAGACATTTTCTCAAAAATGAATCAACTGAACCTATGACATCATGGAAACACAGATGGTTTTTGATAACAATTATAAAATTTAAGCTTTCAGTTGAAAAGTCAAATTTTCAAAAGCTTCTATCTGCCACCATGAACTTAACAGTTTCCTAGTATTTAGAAACTTTTCTGATTTTTCCAAATGACAAATACATGACATTACCCGTTCACATATGAATAAAGATCTATTCCAAGTACAAGATAGAGAAATAGATTTTAATGTAACAAAATAGAAAAACTCACTACTATGGTTTCAGATTCTAATACTGGAATTAATCTTTAGAAAATTATCACTGTTGAATTTTGGTGTAGTATGAAAGGAAGAATATCATAATTACCAGAAAACAAATGATTAGAATATTGCTCCATCTTAATCACATATCATATATGTGTTAGGCCAGATATTTTTCATACATTTCCATTGAAATAATGTGTTACAACACTCACAAATAAAAAAAAAAATTCAACCATCTTCTATTAAGCTATCCACTCATTATTTTTATGAAAATAGTAATTGATTCATATAAACAAAAGCTCTTGGGTCCTCAATTCTTTAAAGTGAAAAGGACTGCTCAGGCCAAAAAGCCTGAAAACCACTATTCTATAGTGAATGCAAACCAGGGAAACTAACAGGAATATTTTCTTCTGTTTGATGCATGTTCACCAGCAACAGTACCACAAACTTGTTTCATTTTATATTATGTCCTTCTAATTTGTTTACTTTTTTACATATTTGAAATTTTAACACAGATAAAATTTGGTATATAGTTTATTTTTTCTAAGTAACTGTATTTTAATATGCCTGAAAAAATAATGAAGAGACATGGTTCACAAGACATCAAAAGAGCATCCAGAAAAATGAAATTGGTAATGTGTCTCCATTCTGTCCAAGAGGATGCCCTGGACCACTAAAAAATATACCTGGTCCTTGCAATAGATAAATTCAAGTGGTAGACACGGATGAGCATAGCTTGATGCAGTAGTCAATAAGATCATCCAACTAATCACCTTATTCTAGTAACCATTTTCACCTGACAGCCTTCTGGTCAAAATTTGGATTCCCATGTAAAACTGACTTCAGAAGAGAATATGGTGATGAACATCTGATTACTTGAGGGTTAAATATCTATTTTTAAAGTAATAAATTGGAATTTTGATTTGTATATCAGTGAACTTGGTTAAGTCCATCCTATGAGACAGTTCTATATTTATTACATTGGCAGATCGGTCTTCGAATAATAAATGCTGCTCTGTGATCTTGTCTGGGTAGCCAACTGATCTTCCTTAGAAAATACACAACCACAACCCTTCCGCAAGCATTATGCTCATACTACATCACTGATTACCTAAATTCACACCCTGACAAAGAAGAGGGCTCTGCCAATAACAAAGCATATTAAGTTATATATTTCAGAATAACGGAATAAGAGTGAAACTTTACTAAGAATAGTGAATAAAATAATATTTTAAATGTTAAATAAGTTTTGAGATAAGGCCTTTTAATGTTTAATTTTAGAATAATTCTAGGCATTTTAACAGCATAATAACTCCTCAAAAAAAGAAGTGTATGGTTTGGATGTCACTTTAAGCCATGAAATTTTTATCTCAGCTATTTAAATAAAGTATCTCATCTGAAATATGGTACAATGTATACTTTACACTGCATTAGCTATAACAATAAATAATGGATCATAAACATTTACATATAAAAAGAACAAAATGAAAGGTAAGACTATGCGGAAAAAATACTAGAACAACCACTAGAAGTTTACAAAAAATAAGAAGACAGTACAAAAACATCAATAAAATAGATTGAAAAATAAAGCTGATGAACTAATTGCCTTGAATGTATCAGAAAACTTAAGGGAAGACAAAATATTAGAAATCAGTGGCCAGGCATGGTGGTTCCGCCTGTAATCCCAGCACTTTGGGAGGCTGACGCGGGTGGATCACGAGGTCAGGAGATCGAGACCATCCTGGCTAACACAGTGAAACCCCGTCTCTACTAAAAATACAAAAAATTAACTGGGCGTGGTGGCGGGCACCTGTAGTCCCAGCTACTCAGGAGGCTGAGGCAGGAGAATGGCATGAATCTGGGAGGTGGAGCTTGCAGTGAGCCGAGATCAGAGATCGCACCACCGCACTCCAGCCTGGGTGACACAGTGAGACTCCGTCTCAAAAAAAAAAAAAAAGAAATAATTGACATATATCAGATAAACTAATTGCATGTATTATCAAAACAATTTCAGAAGCATGATAAAATTAAGAATCTGGAAGAAAACTTTCATAGTAACTTATCTTAGTAATAAAACAGAAAATGAATCAGAGCTTCAAAAGCAAGAAAGAAGAACCAATACCCCCATCCAAAGGAACTATCTGGAATGTACCAAAATGTTTCAAAACAGAAAAAAAAAAACCATATGATTACAAAATGAGAAAAAAGGAAATAATGAACAAAAGATTCATGTAATGTAACTTAGTATAATTTGACCATAAGATTAGGGAAATAAATTAATACTAGTCATTAGCAGTTTTTGTATCATCTGGTAAAAGAGTTCCAAGGACAAGAAGTTCAACACCATGAAGTACTATTAGAAGATCAGAATATTATATGCAATACTGCCTAGCTTCATTTTACCAAAGTGCAACAATAATTCAATTCAATCCAAAGTAAATCAATAGCATCCATTGATTTTCTTTCTATTCTATTCCCACCTCTGACTCCTAAAACAGTGCGGCACACACGTCTTAGCTCTATCCCAGTGCCCCCACCACCATATGCCACCCTTGCAATAGCTGTGTCTTGTCCATCACTAGCCTGGTGCAGTCTGTCCTAATGAGGAAAAGCAGGGAAGATGCCCGCATAGGCTCAGGACCATTTAAATGGGGAATCCTGGGATCCTGGGTCTGCAGAGCATGATCTAGGAGGGAAAACTATGGGCTCTAGCACAGAGATGTAGCATGGCCCATGCAGGGCATAATCTTTGGGCAAAGGCTCCAGTTACCGGGCCTAGTGCCTATAATTGACATACTATCCTCAAAATTATCATTTAGCATAAAATCATCCTGATTCGAGTTAAAATATTATGTCACTTTACAACCAAAGTGCAAAGACTAAGTTGTTATAGAATCTGTGAAAGTTAATCAAGTAATCAAAACATAGTAAAATATAAAAATGCTCATTATAAAGAACACATCATTCAAAATCCAGTCATATCTAATAGAGACTACAAAACTTAAGCAGATGTTTACACAAAGGCCTATAAACTCAAACTGATACAAAGAACTGGGTTAAAGCTAAACAAGCAGAGGTCAGCACAGAGCTCCTGTGATTGAATCACAATAAAACAATACACTAGTCCTAAGATAGCAAGAATATGATGCAATAAGTGAGGCTCTGGTCCCAAAACAGTATAATGCCCAGTACAAATCAATTTCACAAAAATCTATAATAGAAGTCAATGTAAATTAGGATTAAGAAAATCAAAATTAACAACAAAAAATATATGAAGAACAAAAAAGAAACAACTGAAAATATGAAAAGTTTATAATTAAAAAAAGACACACAGACATATATACATACATCAAAGTCTACAATCAGAAAAAAACAATAGATCTCAGAAATTTAGTGTGAAATTTAAGAGTAAATAGTAAGTTTTAGAAAGAAAAGAAATCTGTCAACACAGCCCCTCATTTTCGTGCCTAGGGAAAATAAGGCTTAATCTACAGCCTTGGCCAAATATGATTGCCAGATAAATAAACCCTTAGATTCTACCATAAGTTAATTAAAATGATAAAAAAAAATTCATATATTAGTTTCTAACTCCAAATTTCTTTAAGAAAACCTTATGATTCACAAGCAACCAACCAATTCCAAACTCTATGCCAGTGGTTCTTAACACTGGCTACATATTAGAATCACCTGGGAAGCATTCTAAAATTGCTTATTCCCTGAACTCAACCCAAAGAATCTGGTGTTGTCTAGGCCTAGGTTGGTTGGTTTTTAAAAAAATGTCCTATATGAGTGTAAGGTGTATCAAGGGTCAAAGATCACTGCATGAATCAAACAGTATGGATCCAAATTCCCACTACATTTAGCACAAGTTTGGGGAATAAAAACTTACCATTTTTAGAGACAGAGTTCATAAATAGAATGGGAGAAACTAGGAAAACTAATTCAGGGGCCAACTCTAGGCAACAACAATCAAACTGTTCCCCTTGCTAAATAAATAAATACATATATAGTATATAAAATATATATAAATATACATATAATAGACATTTATATAAATATATATGTGTATGTATGTCACTATATTTTATATTTCATCTAAAATTCCATAAATTAGAAAGTCATTGCTGTTTAAAAACTATGTGTAACTTCTGCTTCTAGGAAGATAGAGTAGATGTACATTTTCCTATTTCTCTCGTTAAGTACAACCAAAAACCATGGACATTATGAATAAACAAGCATACGAAGATCCAGACTGGGCACAGTGGCTCATGCCTATAATCCCAGCCACTTGGGAAGCCGAGTGGGGAGGACTGCTTGAAACCAGGAATTCAAGACCAGTTCAAGACCACTGTTTCTAAACATATATATATATATACACACACACACATATGAATTCTATATATACATATATATCAATTCTATATATATATCAACCCATATATATAGAGAGATTCTAATATATATATATATATATGAAAGATGGAGAGAAGGCAGAACAGCTAGGGATCTTGGAACCCAAGGAACATAACTGATGACTTCCCTGGATCTTCTTTGTCCCTTATATATTCCACACTTGGGGCCAGATAAGCCAACAACCAGAAAAAGCTAACAGGTACAAACAAAAAAGCTCCGACAAAACCCTGCCCAAAAGATGAAGAGAAGAACACCATGGAAAGAAGAAAACTTTAGGCAAATTTCACTCTATGTCAGCCAAACACCACAGAAAAAACTGTAGTCCCACTCTAACCATGTCAGAAAGGCTTAGTGGACAGCCTAAAGTTCTATCCTCATGAGACTATAACAAGGTCCCACAATACTCCTGACATGGTGAGAAAAGAACAAGTAGGGAGCCAAGAATTTCACCCCTCTGGAAAGTAAAAGGACAGCCCCCCCTAGCAGTGTCAGTAGACAGCAAGTAGAACCTGTACTTCCTCTCCAAACTGGCAGCAATGAGGTGATCCTCCCACTACCCACTGAGGAGGACTAGAAAAAAGTTAAATTAAGACTTTCACTAACCAGTGGAAATTAGGTAAGCACCAATACAATAGAGACTACACACGGAGAGCTAGAATCACCACTCTGACTCAGCAATAATGAGGAGCCACTCCTGCTACTTGAGTAGGGCAACAGAGACTGAAAGGGGAATCTGGACTTCAACAAACTCTACCTGGCAGTGATGAGCTCCCTTCCCCTCTTAAAGTAATGTCATAAACATTCACCTAAAACAGAAGGTTTAAATAAGATCCAGTCTCAGAATATAATGGGGAAATAGGTCCTGTTTTCAACCAAAAATTACTCATCAGACCAAGAGTCAAAAAAATCACAAACTGACCAAAAAAACAAAAAAGATAAAAGTCAACACCAAAAAAAGACATGTCAGAAGTATCTGACAAATATTTTAAGAGTCTTTAAAAAAATGCTTCAATGAACAATCATGAAAATAACTGAAACAATGTAAAAATAGAAAGCCTCAGCTTTACCAGTACCTTGTGATAATTTATGTACATATAGAATAATACTAAAATAAACCACCAAAAAGTTTTGCATAGAAATATCCTCATAAACACTATAGATAAATCAAAAGAAAACTCTTAAAAAAAATCAAGTAACCCACAGGAAGTAAAAAAAAAGAAAACAGAAATTAAAAAAATGCAAAACTTTAGCCATAACATATTAATAATTACATTAAATGTAAATCGCCTAAATATGCCAATTAAAAGGCAAAAACTGAAAAGGTAGATTTTAAAATGCAACTCAATTATATGTAGTATATAAGAAACTAACTTATAATATAAAAATACAGGCATGTTGAAAGAAAAATGATGGAAGAAATATAACATGCAAACAATAATCAAACCAAAGCAGAAGTGGCTATATTAATAACAGATAAAGGAGACTTCAGCAAAGAAAATTACCAGAGACAGAGAGGGACATTACATAGTGATGAGACATAATTCACCAAGAAAATATAACAAGCACTAATGTATATGTACCAACCAACAAGCTATAAAATATATGAAGCAAAAACTAAAACTTGAAAGGAGAAATAGATAAATTCACCATTATCAGTAGAAATGTCAATATCCTCTAACAACAAGAGATAAAACAAATAGACAGAAAATCAGCAAGGATACAGAAGAAATCAACAACACCATCAACAAAATTTATAGAATACCCCACCTCAACAACAGCAGAGTACTTATTACTTTCAAGTAATCATGGACCATATACCAAGAGAGAACATATACTGAGGCATAAAACATACATCAACAAATTTTAAAGAACTGAACAGAGTAGAGTCTCCAAGCACAATGGAATCACATTAGAAATCAATAACAGAGACATAATAGGAAAATCAAGCACTTGAAAACTAAAGAACACGCTTTCAAATAATCTATGTGTCAAAGAAGATGTCTCGATCGGGGGAGGAGCCAAGATGGCCGAATAGGAACAGCTCCGGTCTACAGCTCCCAGCGAGAGCGATGCAGAAGATGGGTGATTTCTGCATTTCCATCTGAGGTACCGGGTTCATCTCACTAGGGAGTGCCAGACAGTGGGCGCAGGCCAGTGGGTGTGCGCACCGTGCGCGAGCCGAAGCAGGGCGAGGCATTGCCTCACCTGGGAAGCGCAAGGGGTCAGGGAGTTCCCTTTCCGAGTCAAAGAAAGGGGTGATGGATGCACCTGGAAAATCGGGTCACTCTCACCCGAATACTGCGCTTTTCAGACCGGCTTAAAAAACGGCGCACCACGAGACTATATCCCACACCTGGCTTGGAGGGTCCTACACCCACAGAATCTCGCTGATTGCTAGCACAAAGCAGTCTGAGATCAAACTGCAAGGCGGCAGCTAGGCTGGGGGAGGGGAGCCCGCCATTGCCCGGGCTTGCTTAGGTAAACAAAGCAGCCAGGAAGCTCCAACTGGGTGGAGCCCACCAGAGTTCAAGGAGGCCTGCCTGCCTCTGTAAGCTCCACGTCTAGGGGCAGGGCACAGACAAACAAAAAGACAGCAGTAACCTCTGCAGACTTAAATGTCCCTGTCTGACAGCTTTGAAGAGAGCAGTGGTTCTCCCAGCACGCAGCTGGAGATCTGAGAACGGGCAGACTACCTCCTCAAGTGGGTCCCTGACCCCTGACCCCCGAGCAGCCTAACTGGGAGGCACCCCCTAGCAGGGGCACACTGACACCTCACACGGCAGGGTATTCCAACAGACCTGCAGCTGAGGGTCCTGTCTGTTAGAAGGAAAACTAACAAACAGAAAGGACATCCACACCGAAAACCCATCTGTACATCACCATCATCAAAGACCAAAAGTAGATAAAACCACAAAGATGGGGAAAAAACAGAACAGAAAAACTGGAAACTCTAAAACACAGAGCGCCTCTCCTCCTCCAAAGGAACGCAGTTCCTCACCAGCAATGGAACAAAGCTGGATGGAGAATGACTTTGACGAGCTGAGAGAAGAAGGTTTCAGACGATCAAATTACTCTGAGCTACGGGAGGACATTCAAACCAAAGGCAAAGAAGTTGAAAACTTTGAAAAAAATTTAGAAGAATGTATAACTAGAATAACCAATACAGAGAAGTGCTTAAAGGAGCTGATGGAGCTGAAAACCAAGGCTCGAGAACTACGTGAAGAATGCAGAAGCCTCAGGAGCCGATGCGATCAACTGGAAGAAAGGGTATCAGCAATGGAAGATGAAATGAATGAAATGAAGCGAGAAGGGAAGTTTAGAGAAAAAAGAATAAAAAGAAATGAGCAAAGCCTCCAAGAAATATGGGACTATGTGAAAAGACCAAATCTACGTCTAATTGGTGTACCTGAAAGTGATGGGGAGAATGGAACCAAGTTGGAAAACACTCTGCAGGATATTATCCAGGAGAACTTCCCCAATCTAGCAAGGCAGGCCAACGTTCAGATTCAGGAAATACAGAGAATGCCACAAAGATACTCCTCGAGAAGAGCAACTCCAAGACACATAATTGTCAGATTCACCAAAGTTGAAATGAAGGAAAAAATGTTAAGGGCAGCCAGAGAGAAAGGTCGGGTTACCCTCAAAGGGAAGCCCATCAGACTAACAGCGGATCTCTCGGCAGAAACCCTACAAGCCAGAAGAGAGTGGGGGCCAATATTCAACATTCTTAAAGAAAAGAATTTTCAACCCAGAATTTCATATCCAGCCAAACTAAGCTTCATAAGTGAAGGAGAAATAAAATCCTTTACAGACAAGCAAATGCTGAAAGATTTTGTGACCACCAGGCCTGCCCTAAAAGAGCTCCTGAAGGAAGCGCTAAACATGGAAAGGAACAACCAGTACCAGCCGCTGCAAAATCATGCCAAAATGTAAAGACCATCGAGACTAGGAAGAAACTGCATCAACTAACGAGCAAAATAACCAGCTAACATCATCATGACAGGATCAAATTCACACATAACAATATTAACTTTAAATGTAAATGGACTAAATGCTCCAATTAAAAGACACAGACTGGCAAGTTGGATAAAGAGTCAAGACCCATCAGTGTGCTGTATTCAGGAAACCCATCTCACGTGCAGAGACACACATAGGCTCAAAATAAAAGGATGGAGGAAGATCTACCAAGCAAATGGAAAACAAAAAAAGGCAGGGGTTGCAATCCTAGTCTCTGATAAAACAGACGTTAAACCAACAAAGATCAAAAGAGACAAAGAAGGCCATTACATAATGGTAAAGGGATCAATTCAACAAGAAGAGCTAACTATACTAAATATATATGCACCCAATACAGGAGCACCCAGATTCATAAAGCAAGTCCTGAGTGACCTACAAAGAGACTTAGACTCCCACACATTAATAATGGGAGACTTTAACACCCCACTGTCAACATTAGACAGATCAACGAGACAGAAAGTCAACAAGGATACCCAGGAATTTAACTCATCTCCGCACCAAGCGGACCTAATAGACATCTACAGAACTCTCCATCCCAAATCAACAGAATATACGTTTTTTTCAGCACCACACCACACCTATTCCAAAATTGACCACATAGTTGGAAGTAAAGCTCTCCTCAGCAAATGTAAAAGAACAGAAATTATAACAAACTATCTCTCAGACCACAGTGCAATCAAACTAGAATTCAAGATTAAGAATCTCACTCAAAGCCGCTCAACTACATGGAAACTGAACAACCTGCTCCTGAATGACTACTGGGTACATAACGAAATGAAGGCAGAAATAAAGATGTTCTTTGAAACCAACGAGAACAAAGACACAACATACCAGAATCTCTGGGACGCATTCAAAGCAGTGTGTAGAGGGAAATTTATAGCACTAAATGCCCACAAGAGAAAGCAGGAAAGATCCAAAATTGACACCCTAACATCACAATTAAAAGAACTAGAAAAGCAAGAGCAAACACATTCAAAAGCTAGCAGAAGGCAAGAAATAACTAAAATCAGAGCAGAACTGAAGGAAATAGAGACACAAAAAACCCTTCAAAAAATCAATGAATCCAGGAGCTGGTTTTTTGAAAGGATCAACAAAATTGATAGACCGCTAGCAAGACTAACAAAGAAAAAAAGAGAGGAAAATCAAATCGACACAATAAAAAATGATAAAGGGGATATCACCACCGATCCCACAGAAATACAAACTACCATCAGAGAATACTACAAACACCTCTATGCAAATAAACTAGAAAATCTAGAAGAAATGGATACATTCCTTGACACATACACTCTCCCAAGACTAAACCAGGAAGAAGTTGAATCTCTGAATAGACCAATAACAGGAGCTGAAATTGTGGCAATAATCAATAGTTTACCAACGAAAAAGAGTCCAGGACCAGATGGATTCACAGCCGAATTCTACCAGAGGTACAAGGAGGAACTAGTACCATTCCTTCTGAAACTATTCCAATCAATAGAAAAAGAGGGAATCCTCCCTAACTCATTTTAGGAGGCCAGCATCATTCTGATACCAAAGCCGGGCAGAGACACAACCAAAAAGAAGAATTTTAGACCAATATCCTTGATGAACATTGATGCAAAAATCCTCAATAAAATACTGGCAAACCGAATCCAGCAGCACATCAAAAAGCTTATCCACCATGATCAAGTGGGCTTCATCCCTGGGATGCAAGGCTGGTTCAATATACAGAAATCAATAAATGTAATCCAGCATATAAACAGAGCCAAAGACAAAAACCACATGATTATCTCAATAGATGCAGAAAAAGCCTTTGACAAAATTCAACAACCCTTCATGCTAAAAACTCTCAATAAATTAGGTATTGATGGGACGTATTTCAAAATAATAAGAGCTATCTATGACAAACCCACAGCCAATATCATACTGAATGGGCAAAAACTGGAAGCATTCCCTTTGAAAACTGGCACAAGATAGGGATGCCCTCTCTCACTGCTGCTATTCAACATAGTGTTGGAAGTTCTGGCCAGGGCAATCAGGCAGGAGAAGGAAATAAAGGGTATTCAATTAGGAAAAGAGGAAGTCAAACTGTCCCTGTTTGCAGACGACATGATTGTTTATCTAGAAAACCCCATTGTCTCAGCCCAAAATCTCCTTAAGCTGATAAGCAACTTCAGCAAAGTCTCAGGATACAAAATCAATGTACAAAAATCACAAGCATTCTTATACACCAACAACAGACAAACAGAGAGCCAAATCATGAGTGAACTCCCATTCACAATTGCTTCAAAGAGAATAAAATACCTAGGAATCCAACTTACAAGGGATGTGAAGGACCTCTTCAAGGAGAACTACAAACCACTGCTCAAGGAAATAGAAGAGGATACAAACAAATGGAAGAACATTCCATGCTCATGGGTAGGAAGAATCAATATCGTGAAAAAGGCCATACTGCCCAAGGTAATTTACAGATTCAATGCCATCCCCATCAAGCTACCAATGACTTTCTTCACAGAATTGGAAAAAACTACTTTAAAGTTCATACGGAACCAAAAAAGAGCCCGCATCGCCAAGTCAATCCTAAGCCAAAAGAACAAAGCTGGAGGCATCACACTACCTGACTTCAAACTATACTACAAGGCTACAGTAACCAAAACAGCATGGTACTGGTACCAAAACAGAGATATAGATCAATGGAACAGAACAGAGCCCTCAGAAGTAACGCCGCATACCTACAACTATCTGATCTTTGACAAACCTGAGAAAAACAAGCAATGGGGAAAGGATTCCCTATTTAATAAATGGTGCTGGGAAAACTGGCTAGCCATATGTAGAAAGCTGAAACTGGATCCCTTCCTTACACCTTATACAAAAATCAATTCAAGATGGAGTAAAGATTTAAACGTTAGTCCTAAAACCATAAAAACCCTAGAAGAAAACCTAGGCATTACCATTCAGGACATAGGCGTGGGGAAGGACTTCATGTCCAAAACACCAAAAGCAATGGCAACAAAAGCCAAAATTGACAAATGGGATCTAATTAAACTAAAGAGCTTCTGCACAGCAAAAGAAACTACCATCAGAGTGAACAGGCAACCTACAACATGGGAGAAAATTTTCGCAACCTACTCATCTGACAAAGGGCTAATATCCAGAATCTACAATGAACTCAAACAAATTTACAAGAAAAAAACAAACAACCCCATCAAAAAGTGGGCGAAGGACATGAACAGACACTTCTCAAAAGAAGACATTTATGCAGCCAAAAAATACATGAAAAAATGCTCATCATCACTGGCCATCAGAGAAATGCAAATCAAAACCACAGTGAGATACCATCTCACACCAGTTAGAATGGCAATCATTAAAAAGTCAGGAAACAACAGGTGCTGGAGAGGATGTGGAGAAATAGGAACACTTTTACACTGTTGGTGGGACTGTAAACTAGTTCAACCATTGTGGAAGTCAGTGTGGCGATTCCTCAGGGATCTAGAACTAGAAATACCATTTGACCCAGCCATCCCATTACTGGGTATATACCCAAATGACTATAAATCATGCTGCTATAAAGACACATGCACAGGTATGTTTATTGCGGCATTATTCACAATAGCAAAGACTTGGAACCAACCCAAATGTCCAACAATGATAGACTGGATTAAGAAAATGTGGCACATATACACCATGGAATACTATGCAGCCATAAAAAATGATGAGTTCATGTCCTTTGTAGGGACATGGATGAAATTGGAAACCATCATTCTCAGTAAACTATCGCAAGAACAAAAAACCAAACACCGCATATTCTCACTCATAGGTGGGAATTGAACAATGAGATCACATGGTCACAGGAAGGGGAATATCACACTCTGGGGACTGTGGTGGGGTGAGGGGAGGGGGGAGGGGTAGCATTGGGAGATATACCTAATGCTAGATGACGAGTTAGTGGGTGCAGCACACCAGCATGGCACATGTATACATATGTAACTAACCTGCACAATGTGCACATGTACCCTAAAACTTAAAGTATAATAAAAAAAATAAATAAATAAATAAATAAATAAATAAAAAGGTCAACATCAAAAAAAAAAAGAAGATGTCTCAAGGGAAATTAAAAAAAATACACTAAACCGAATAAAAATGAAAATACAACAAATCCTGTTAAAATTTGTAGGACACATGCTGCTACTTGAAGAGCCTAGACAAAGAAGAACAAAAATAAATGCAAGACAAGAAGAAAGAAAATAATAAAGAGTAGAAATCAATACAATTTAAAATATGAAAAAAGTTAAAAATATCAATGTAACAAACAGCTATTTTAAAAAACACACACACAAGAAATTGACAAACCTCTTCCAAAATGACAAAAAAGACAAAAAGAGTAGTAAAGTTTCTAAATATATTTTTGTTTTTTAAGCAACTGTAAATGGTATTGCATTTTTAACTTCAATGTCCATGAATTCATTGTTAATGTACACAGAAAAACAACTGATTTTTTTTTTTTTTTTTTTTTTGAGACGGAGTCTCGCTCTGTCGCCCAGGCTGGAGTGCAGTGGCGGGATCTCGGCTCACTGCAAGCTCCGCTTCCCGGGTTCACGCCATTCTCCTGCCTCAGCCTCCCAAGTAGCTGGGACTACAGGCGCCCGCCACTACGCCCAGCTAATTTTTTGTATTTTTAGTAGAGACCGTTAGTATTTTTGTATTCACCGTTTTAGCCGGGATGGTCTCGATCTCCTGACCTCGTGATCCGCCCGCCTCGGCCTCCCAAAGTGCTGGGATTACAGGCATGAGCCACCGCGCCCGGCCAACAACTGATTTTTATATCTTGCATCTTGAAACCTTGTTGCGCTTACTCATTAATTCTATGAGTTTATTCATTGGTATTTTCTATGTAGAAAATCATATCATCTACAAAAGGAGATGGTTTCATTTCTACCTTTCCAATCTGTATGCCTTTTCCTTTCACTTCTTGCCTTTTTGAGCTGGCAAGAACTCCCAGTACTGTGCTGAATGAGTAGTGAGAGTGAACATCGTTCCTGTTCCCAACATTAGGGGAAAACATTCAGTCTTTTACCATTAATTATGATGTTAGCTGAAAGGTTTTTATAGGTATTCTTCATCAAATTGAAGAAGTTATCTTTATTCCTATTATTCTGAGATCATTCAATACCGTAAATGGGTGCTGAATTGCATCAAATTTTTTTTTCTACATTATGTGACTTTTCTTCTTTAGTCTGTTAATATGGTGCATTACATTGATTCAGCTGAATGGTACTCTCCCCACCCAACAACCCAGCTGTCTGTATGTTCTTAAGGTGGAAGCTCAGAGTGTTGTTTTTTTTAACACTATGACCCTGAATAAAGCAACATATCTATATAGCTAGTCCCAGAATCACTGGTAATTGCTTACATAAGAAGCTCCGTATGGCCAGATGATACAGATTGTGGACACATGAGAAAAACCTTCTTGTTGCAAGTAAAATATATCTGTGGCTGAGAAAAAAAGACCGTCAAATGAAAAATTCTACATACAAAAAAAAAAATCAGACATTGGGCACGGTGGCTAACGCCTGTAATCCCAGTACTTTGGGAGGCTGAGGCAGGCAGATCACTTGAGGTCAGGAGTTCAAGACCAGCTTGGCCAACATGGTAAAACCCTGTCTCTACTAAAAAAAAAAAAAAAAAAAAAAAATTAGCTGAGTGTGGTGGTGCATGCCTGTGTTCCCAGCTATTCGTGAGGCAGGAGAATCTCTTGAACCCAGGAGGCAGATGTTGCAGTGAGCTGAGATTGCGCCACTGCACTCCAGCCTGGGTGACAGTATGAGACTCCATCTCCAAAAAAAAAAAAATTGGATTTTTTTGGTTTACTTTCCCTGATTCTATTAATCACTGAATACAATAAACCAAATACTAAATAGGATTAGTTATGACTCATAAATAAACATAAGGATGTATATTACATTGCCATTCATTCATTGTATGTAAATTTCCTACAGCTAGACTATAATATACAGCTTCCCAAAGCAATCTAAAAGTAACAAACTTTAATGATATAGCACAACTGAAGTTTGGTATAGTAAGTGCAAATAAGTATTGCAATGACAATTCATCATGGTAAACTCAAGGGTCTGTAAAAAATCAAATTATCGAGGACCGAGTTCAAGAAGAACTATATTAATACATAGATTTCTGTAACTTGGCAGAGAATTCCCTACAATTGCTACATTTAAAGTAATCAACACATTTCTATATCTCAGAAGAAGACGGAAATTATGTGTTCGCCTATCCTAATGTATTAAACTTTTATTACAATAGTTTTAGTATATTTTTAGCTTAACATTAAGGTAGAAACATTCTATCAAACTAAGAAATAGAAATTGCTCTGAAATTGCAAAAACCTGTACTATTTCCCATTTTAAAATCAGAAGGATTACTTCTACAGCATTTAATTGTTACATCTTACAATAATAAATTACATGGGACTAATATGCATAATAGAACACAACGGTAGTAGTAATAATGATTGAGCAGTAGTATATTTACATACCGATAAAAGAAAACCCATGTAGAAGAAACTGAAGAAAATAAACGCTAGAGTGAACAAATGATGAGTAATGCTCCAAAATACAAGAAAAAGAAAGAATGGGATACAGAATAGAGGTTGAGAGATTGGACTTGAGCAGAGAAGGAACCCTCTTCCTCCACATGGAACATATTGTGAGGGAGGGAAGAATAAGATGAGAAGGAGGAGAAAAAGAAACGAAGAAAAAATAAAGGGAAGGAAGAAAGGAAGAAAGAGAGGGGGAAAAAAGACATAAAGGAAGGAAGGAAAAGTATAGATATTGACTGTTACGGACTGAATTGTGTCCTGTCCCCCCACCACCACCACTACCAAATTTTATGTCAAAGCCCTAATGCTCCATGTTACTGTATTTGCAGATTGGGCCTTTAAAGAGGTATTAAGGTTAAATGAGGTCATAAAGGTGGGGCTCTAATCCAATATGACTTGTGTCCTTATAAGAAGAAGAAGAGACATTAGGAATGTGTACATTCAAAACCAAAGGCCAGGGCTGGGCACAGTAGCTTATGCCTGTAATCCCAGCACTTTGGGAGGCCAAGGCAGGCAGATCACTGGAGCCCAGGAGTTTGAGAACAGCCTGGGCAACGTAGCGACAGCCCGTCTCTACAAAATATACAACAATTAGCCAGGCATGGTGGTGTGCACCTGTAGTCCCAGCTACTCAGGAGGCTGAGGTGGAAGGATCATTTGAGCTCAGGAGGTCGCGGCTGCAGTGAGCTGTGATCACACCATGACATTCCAGACTGGGAGACAGAGCAAGACCCTGCCTCAAACAAAAACAAAAACCCAAAGGCCATGTGAGAACACACAGAGAAGGCAGCCATCTGCAAGCCAGAGGGAGACCTCAGAAGAAACCAGACCTGCCAACACCTTGATCTTGGAAGTCCAGACTCCAGAACTGTAAGAAAATAAACTGTTGTTGTTTAAATCACCCAGTCTTTAGCATTTTGTTATAGCAGCAGGAACAGACTAATACATTAAGTTAGACGGAGGGACAGAAACAGTGAACTGCTAATAGTCTCCAGTTTTTCTTTGGACCAGAAAGCAAGTCTGACAAAACCAAGGAGAGATGGGGTAAAGAAATTTTGCAACAGACCCAGAAGAGAATGAGGTGGTAGGCGTAGGGGAACATGTGAAAGGATTGCCAACTGTCCATTTCAGATTAGAAATCAATCTTTTGGGGGCATCAGTCTTCACAGTTACATAATTGCAGTTAAGCAGCCTGGTTACGAGGAACACAGCAAAATGGGAAAGGTAAAAACCTTTGAGGTTTTTTAAGTCTGAGTGATAACCTAGCTCTATCAGTGTAGCTGTGTCTTGGGTTGTTATCTAGAGTTATAATAATGATAGTTACATAGAGTGTGCCAATAATAATATCTACTCCTTTTAGAGTTGTTTTAGAGTTATGTAAAACTTTATCATAGAGTTGGTCAGATAGTAGACAATAAATAATAGCTACTATACTTATTACTATGGGATTAGTGTAGTATTGGTACATTGTTAGGAAGATACAGCAAAAAAGAGAAGGAAAAAAAGGAATTAAAAGAAAGTGGTTCAGCCGGGTGCGGTAGTTCATGACTGTAATCCCAGCACTTTGGGAGACCAAGGCGGGTGGGATCACTTGAGGTCAGGAGTTCGAGACTAGCCTGGGCAACATGGTGAAACCCCATCTCTACTAAAAATACAAAAAATGAGCCGGGTATGGTGGCAGATACCTGTAATCCCAGCTACTCGGGAAGCTGAGGCAGGAGAATCACTTGAACCTGGGAGGTGGAGGTTGCAGTGAGTTGAGATCGTGCCACTGCACTCAAGCCTGGGCAAAAAGAGTGGAACTCTGTCTCAAAAAAGAAAAAAAAAAGAAAGTGGTTCAAGTGACAGAGTAGAGTCTTGGCTAGATAGAGGAGTAAAGTGAATGCCTGAGGATACTGACAAGCTGGAAAACAGGAGGAAAAATAAGTTAAATGGCCTGAGGATGAAGTCCAGTTGAATTTTAAACCCAAGAAAATGAGAAAGATCGAAAGATTGGTAATTAAAATAAAATCCTCCAGAGAAGACTGCTGAGTGTGAATCAGCAGCTACTTCTTATATGTAACACCACAGAGAAACATAACAAAAAAAGAAAGCCAGCTAAATGGTCGTGGCCTTGTCATTAGCTAGCAGTGTATCTTGAAAGAAGGCGCTTAAACTGTGAGCCTTACTGCTATTTGAGGATTACTGACAAATTACCTCTGGTTTCTCCTTTATTCCACTTCCACTGTACCCTCTCTCCGACAACACACACATACACACATACACACTCATCATTATAGTAAAGATCAAGAAAGGCAGTAAACAAGAGCAAAGATCTGGAAAGAAGGCACATTTTCAAAACTGACATTTGTCTTGTGCATCCTCCCACTTCCCTTTTCCCTCTCCCAGTCCCACCTCTACAAGCCCAAAAACCCCAGCTCTCACTGCTGGCTCTGCTCCCAGAAAAAGCCCAAAGTGCCATGTTTCTCTTTGACCTTTCTTCCCTCCCTCCCACCTATTAAAACTTCCACTGAGTCTATCTCAGTTTAACAAGGGAAAAGGCAAACTGATTATGCCTTTTCATAATGATGCCAGGATGAACAGTAACTCATCTGTGCTTAAACCTCCCAAGTGTGTTTGGCTTAAAAATTGAAACGAATCTATTTGGCAAAATTTCAGGCAGAATGGAAAGGGGATAATTTGGGGCAAGGAGATTTTCTTTCTTCCCTGTTTTAAAGTTGTGAGGAAGAAAAAGAAGTGTTTGTCGTAACTGACAACAGACAACCACCACAGAAAAAACATCCACAGCAGCTCAGAATGCTAGACTGCTACACTTAAGGGTACTTTTTAGGTGTACAGGCCTGCATAGGATGCTGAAGTGGGGGGCTTATGATAGCAAACATGAGGAAGCAATCTACCCTACTATAACCCTGAAAAAAGTGGTTCAGAACCATCTACCACGTCATGGTAATGACTCTCTTTTCTCTTCCCTTTATTACAGAGGCTGCCCCTCACCCTGCCCCCCAGATGCTCCCCTGATAAAAGGAGGTGGGGAAAAAGGAGGCAGCCATAAAGGCAGCAGCAGGAGTGAACTCTCCATCTTAGTTATTTCCTGTTAGAAGTGGGGAAAGAATCTGCAGCATAGAAGCCTTAACAGAAGCCTGAGTATAAAGCAAGAAAATAGCTGTAGATAGAATCACATGAAAAAGTGACTATACAGGAAAAGGTGCCATTCAATGAGAAAAGGGGGAAAAGTATCACTGAAGAAAAGAAACACTCTCTTCCCAAAAAAGGTAGAAATACAATCAAATGTTTCAGAGCAGGGATCAGAAAACTTCGGCCCACATGCCAAATCTAACCAGTCTCCTGTTTTGGTAAATAAAGTTTTATGGGAACACAGCCACACTCATTCATTTATGTGCTGTCTATATGGCTACTTTCACATTATAATGGAAGAGCTGAATGACTGCAGCAGAGACCATATAACTTGTAAAGACTAAAATATTTACTATCTGGCCCTTTACAGAAAAAAGGCCCTGCTTTAGGAGGTCAGGGGTAAGAAGGGGACTGAGATGAGGCCATCGGATTTGATAATAAGTGATCTCTGGCAAATATGAAGAAATAATTTAAAAGAAGTTTAAAAGAAACTAAATGTATTCTAATAAAGTAGAGACAATGAGGATAAGGTATTCTTTCAAACAGCCTCTAGGAACAAAGGAAGACTACATGCAAGTCTGCATGGGGAAATAAGAAATTTTCTTGATCTCACCAATCTTCCTCCTCTTGGAGTCACTCTCTTTAATCACCAACCAAACAGCTTCCCAAACTAGAAACTGCAGAATTTTGGTAAGTGATTCTAGCTCCACACTGCTTTCTGTATCCTCAGTTCCAGGTGCAATGCTTAGTATACAAAAGATAATGTTTGTTGAGTAAAACAATTTAAGAGTACAGAATGTAGAGAGAAAAGATTGAGAAGAGAGAAAAAAATTCTGTCCCCACTTCATACCTGGAAAAACATTCCATGCCACCTCTAATGGCTATGTGGCTTGGACTCAAGTCTTAAGAGTCATCATAGGCCAGGCGCAGTGGCTCATGCTTGTAATCTCAACACTTTGGGAGGCCAAGCCCAGCAGATCACTTGAACTCAGGGGTTCAAGACCAGCCTGGCCAACATGGTAAAACCCCGTCTCTACTAAAAATATAAAAATTAGCCGGGCACAGCAGTACATGCCTATAATCCCAGCACTTTGGGAGACTGAGACAGGTGTATCACTTGAGGTCAGGAGTTCAAGATCAGCCTGGCCAACATGGTGAAACCCTGTCTCTACTAAAAACATAAAAATTAGCCAAGCGTGGTGGCATGTGCCTGTAATCCCAGCTACTTGGGAGGCTGAGACAGGAAAATCGCTTGAACCCAGGAGGCAGAGGTTGCAGTGAGCCGAGATCGTGCCACTGCACTAAAAAAAGAAAAAAGAAAAAAAAAAAAAAAAAGGTCTGGTTATTTAAAAGAGCCTGAGACTCCTCCCCTTTCTTTTGCTCCTGCTATCACCATGTGACATACTCATGCCCCCACTGCCTCAGGAAGTAAAAGCTTCCTGAAGCCTCACCAGAAGCCAAGCAGATGCTGGCATCATGCTTGTATGACCTGTAGAACTGTAGGCCAATTAAACCTCTTTTATTTATAAATTACCCAGCTTCAGGTATTTATTTATAGCAATGCAAAAACAAGCTAACACACACACAGCAAAGCCTAAGATTTACATCTATGTTTACTACCAAAAATTTTATAGATTTAGCTGTTAAATTTAGGTCTTTGGTGCATTTTGAATTAACATTTTTACAGGGTATGAGGTTGGAGTCTAATTTCATTTTTGTACATGTGGGTATCTAATTGTGCCAGCACACTATGTTGTTTTAACATCAAATGAGAAAATATATAAGATAATTTGATACTACAAATATTTGTGGTTGTTAAAATTCAGGTACTAAGCAAACAGCTCAGTAGAATACTACAACAAACATGTAACCTAATTCTCCTGTCTCTAGTTTCTCCTTTAATATCTGTTTTATATCTGTGTAAAACACAGTCCAGTAATGCAACAACTCTACATAAAACTAAAGATACCTACTGCTGACAGAATTAGAATTTCTGGAAATTCTGAGACAGAACTTGCCCCTGATTTTTCCAGTTTATACAAGCTATCCACAATCCTTCGCTCATGGCCTCCTTCCTCTCTTTTCAATTTTCCAGGCTCATCTCTTACCATTGTTCCCAACCACTTGGTCTGGCTACACAATGTTACTAGACACATCTGATGTGAAGTACTCTTGAAAGACTCTGTAGATTACTCATGCTAGACTTTTGGCTTTCCTTAACCTGGGGGTTCCCTGAAGCAGAAAGAATTTTATTTATCCCTATATTCAAGAGTCCAGGAGAGTGCCCAACACAAAGCAGGTGTTTCATAAACACTTGCTAAGTTAAAGGAATACACAGGCAGGCATGGTGGCTCACACCTGTAATCCCAGCACTTTGGAAGGCAGAGGTGGGAGGATCACTTGAGGCCAAGAGTTAGAAACTAGCCTGGGCAAAATAGCGCAACCCTATCTCTACAAAAGTAAAATTTTAAAAATCAGCCAGTCCTAGTGGTATGTGCCTATGTTCCCAGCTACTCAGGAGGCTGAGGCAGAAGAACAGCTTGAGGCCAGGAGTTCAAGACAGCAGTGAGCTATGATCACACCACTGCACTCTATCCCAGGCAATAGAGGAATATCCTGTCTCCACTCCCCTCCACACTCCAAAAAAAAAAAAAAAAAAAAAAAGGAATGTGCCTATAAATGGAAGACAGTGACGAAGGTAAAGGAATAAAGTAGACGAAGGCAACAGGTTTGGAAAACATTAAATCATCTTGTTTGGCAGGAAAAATTGTCTATATAGGGGGATGTTGAGAGAAGCCTGGAAACCTGGATGGGACAGCAAGAGTAAAGGCCAAGTGAGGAATTTGTACAGTGATAGTTTTTTAGGGTAACTTGATGGATTTTTAGACACAGATTATACCAATTCTCTTTTCCCCCAATAAGAGATTTGTGACTTTGGCTAAATTATTTGACTCAGAAAAGACTCAAGTACTTCATACACAAAATTAGACTAATCTCTTTAGTATGATAGGCTCAGCTGGTAGGCCCATCACCCTAGACACAGAAGAAAAAAATAATCATGCTATAATAAGGAAGCTTGACAGTCATTTACGAGAGTTTACCAACTTTTGAGCAGTGAAATCTACTTTCCAAATAAACTCATACATGGAACCCTAGTACAGAAACCTTTTTTAAACCCACAATAATTGAAAGGGGCATGAAAAAAACTGGAGACCCCACACACCCACCTTCCTTCCTCTCACAAACATTGGTTCATATAATCAAGTGGACTTCAAATCAAATATGGGGAACCCTAAACACTACTTTAGAACATGGTCAAAAGTTTACTAATCTAGAGGGATCCAGGTAAAGTCATACAACCAAGATTCCCCTTTGTGGCTACTGATTCGAAAATAAATGCTAGGGAGGAAACAAAGATAAAAACTAAAGATGGAAAGGAAGGTCCTACTGTAATTTTCCTGACCAGACCAATGGAGGGCATAAACTAGGATGGTAGTATTAAAAAGACAGAAGCCAAGCAAATATAACATACAGAAACTGTTTTCACTTTGTTTTCCGTATTCTTGATGGGAACCATGCTGACCCAGGAGAGACTGCCCCTCCCAAGGCTAGCTACTTCTTAGACAGCAAACTACCCCTCCTTGAGTGCTTTTCGCATGCAAACCACTCAATCTAAAACTACCTCCCATCCATCCCCAGTATTCAGCTCTCACAGAACTCTTATATTCTGGGACTATTAGAATAGTCCCCTGTTCTAATAATCACGCCAGGGCCAGGTATCAAACAACTTGGGGGCTGCTCTTATATGTGACTATGCCGACATTATTAAAACCAGCCAATTCTAAGCCTCCTTACCCTGCCTCGCCTGTTCCTTCTCACTAAAATCATGATAAAGGCTCTCCCCCATGATTTCCCTAGCTATTTCTGCCTCCTAAACAACCCTGGTGCTTCCCTATGAGCACTATGTGGCGTGGCATATATGCCACCCTGTCTGATGTGCCATGCCCTCTCCACTTAGAAACTGTATCAATCTTTTCAATGGCAGTTGTCTCCTGACGTGTTAGTTTCACCATATTTGAATAATAATATAAACCACATTTTAAAAATAGTTCAGGACCAAGCACCAAACAAACAGCACGTACTTAGAGAATAAAATGTGAAGTATTAAGAATCAGTATTAAGGCTGGGCATGGTGGGTCATGCCTGTAATCCCAGCACTTTGGGAGGCTAAGGCGAGAGGACTGCTTGAGCCCACGTGTTCGAGACCAGCCTGGGCAACACAATGAGACCCCATCTCCACAAAAAAATTTTAAAAATTAGCAGGGGTGGTGGCACACGCCTGAAGTTGCAGCTACTTGGGAGGCCAAGGTGGGAGAATCACTTGAGCCTGGGAGGTCAGGGCTACTGTGAACCCTAATGGCACCAGTGTACTCCAGCCTGGGTGACAGAGAGGAACAGAAGAAGAAGGAGAAGGAGAAGGAGAAGGAGAAGGAGGAGAAGGAGGAGAAGGAGAAGAAGGAGGAGAAGGAGGAGAAGGAGGAGAAGGAGGAGAAGAAGGAGAAGAAGGATAAGGAGAAGGAGAAGAACAAGAAGAAGAAGAGGAAGAGGAAGAGGAAGAAGAGGAAGAGGAAGAAGAAGAAGAAGAAAGAAAGAAACAGTATAAAGATGAGATTTTCTAGTTATGAGAGATGCCAAAGCAGAATGTTTTAAGAGATAAACCTGACATATAGTAAACATTTCTTTTTTTTTATTAAAACACATTAACTATAAATATGTTTAACATCATTTCTTATCTTCATCATTCAAGATATCTGAGCCAAAAACCTAGGCCAAAAATCCTGACTCTCATTTACATTCCACATTTAGATAATCAGAAAATACAAATATCCAGAATCTGGCCACATCTCAACAACTTTACCTTTACTACCCTGGTTCAGGCCGCCATTATCTCTTACCTGGACTACTGAAGAAGTAACCTCCTCACTATTCACCTGGCTTCCATTCTTGTCCTGCTACAATCCCTTCTCAATGAAGAACGAGCCGTTTAAATCACACATCAGACCATACCATTCCTCTGCTCAAAACCCTGCAATGGTTTCCTGTTTCACTCAGGGTAAAAGCTAAAGGTCCTGCCGTGGTTTATGAAGGCTCTAAGTGATCTGGTTCCCTGCCATCCCTCTGATCTCATCTCCTACTTCTTTCACCATCTTATCCAGCTCCAGCCACTTAAACCTCCTTACTGTTTCTAAAACATCAAACACAGTCACACATCAGTTTACTCTGACTAGAACGTTCTTTCCCCAGAAATCTGCATTGCTCATTTACTTAGCTCCTTCACATCTCTACTATAAGTCACCTTATTAGACAGGCCTTTCTTGACCATCCTACATATAATATCACAAACATATCTGTCATTCTGTATCCCTCTTATCCTGCTTTTTCTTCATAGCTGTTATCAGTACCTGATATGCTATAGTTTTCGTTTTTTTGTGTGTTTTTTTCCCGAGACAGTGTCTCACTCTGTCTCCCAGGCTAGAGGGCAGTGGCACGACCTCGGCTCACTGCAACCTCCGCCTCCTGGGTTCAAGCAATTCTCCTGCCTCAGCCTCCAAAGTAGCTGGGACTACAGGCATACGCCACTATGCCCACCTACTTTTTGTATTTTTAATAGAAAATGCGTTTCACTATGTTGGTCAGGCTGGTCTTGAACTCCTGACTTTGGGTGATCCACCCGCCTCAGCCTCCCAAAGTGCTGGGATTACAGGCGTGGGCCACTGTGCCCAGCTTTTTGTGTGTAATTTACTGTCTTTCCCCACTACAAATAGGTACCTAAGAGATTGGAACTTTGTTTCATTCACTGTTATGTATGAGTGCCTAAAACAGTGTCTGAGCAGGCACTCAATAAATATGAAATAAATTAATATACCAAAGCCTTTCTGAGGGATTTACACTTGTACTGCTCAAAAATCCATAAACCTCGCAAAGAGACAAAACTGGATCACTAGTGGTAATATATAAAAATGTAAAAATAAAAATGTAGTCTTCTAAGAAAGATAGAAGGCTTGACAGTAAATGATTAACTACCAAAAGAATAAAGTATAAATGAGAGATTGGCGACCATGTGAACTCACCTCAAGAGAATAATAGATACCTACAAATGAACATGTGAAAAACTTTATAATAAAACTATATAATTAAGCACAGAGAATAAGACTATCTTGCCAAGATTTGCTAACTTGGCAAACATCCATATTAAACTCAGCTTCCCCAATTCCAGATACAAATGAAATTGTGAATTTGGCAATTCACTGGAGAGAAAGACTGCATTACAATCTAGGTTCACATTAAAGTTACCTCATTCTTCTCAACTTAGATCTGACGCAGAGGAAAATTTTTAACAGATTCTATTGGACATATGCCATACTATAGTCAGTAAAGTTCAACATTAACATTTTAGATGTTAACCTAAATGATTTGTTTTCCTAAAACTAAACTGCACTAAAAAAATATGCATTATGAGTATAAAATGAATTATTTTAAATAATATTTTGTCAAAGAAAAAGCAATTTATAACACCAGTCCTTCCCTCGTATTTTGATTTCATTCATGTAGTGCCTCACCCACAGCTGAACACATGGTAGCACTCAAGCTGTTCACTGATAAGAGAGAGAATATTCTTTCCTTCAAGGTTTATTAAATATAGATATGTCCACCTCAACCTTCCCAGTTATTAAAAAATGCAAATGAAAATTATGTACCCCAAATTTGTATATAAATGTATTAATCATTTATTTAATAATTAGTATGTCATAAAGCGTAGTATTAGATACTGAAGACACAAAATAAAAATTACACATGCTGCTATCAATAACTTCATAATGTGGTAGAGAAGTCATATAAACTATAACAGAAGATGATAACTTGTATGGTCTTGGGGCACACAAGATGCAAAGGAAGCCCAGAAGAAAAGTTCCCAAGATAGAATGTGTAGAAAAAAGATGGGAGAAAATGCAGGCATAAAGTAACACTTAGAAGAAGGCAGAGGTAAACCTAACACTACCTACAAATGATAGTATGGCTAAAGGAAAGGAAATATCACATGAATAAAGATGTATGCAGAGCCCAAGGTCTTACATGACACCCTTAAAAATTTGGCTATTAATGGGGAGGATCTTAAGTAAGACAGTAATATGAGTTGTGTTTCATTTAAGATGATCAATCTAGCAGCATCATGAAGTTTACTTTAGAGAGGAGATTGAGACTGCAGATTATTAAATCAGTTGGTACTGATCCAGAAGAAGGTAGAACGATGGCGGTGGCGTTGGCTTTGCCAGCTCAGGACTGAGTGCAAGTAACAGAGAATCAGCCAGATTCTCCAGAGGCTCTTCAGGTTCTCCTCTGTCTTTCAGTCAGCAGTCTCAGTCCATTTGCGGAGGAACATTGGTGTTACAGCAGTGGCGTTTAATAAGGAACTTGATCCTGTACAGAAACTCTTTATGTACAAGGTTAGAGAATACAAATCTAAGTGACAGACATCTGGAGGATCTGTTGATACTGATCCAGAGTACCAGCAAGAGCCAGAGAAGAAGCTTTTTAAGCTCAAGCAAGTGTATGGTAAAGCAGACATGAATACATTCCCTAACTTCAAATTTGAAGATCCCAAACTTGAAGTCATCAAAAAACCCCAGGCCTGAAGAAATAAAGTAAAATTAACCTGGTAAGTTGTCAAGGGTTAGCTGTACAACTAGCTAGAAGTTTCAGAATAAACATACATTCACAACTGTCAAATGTTCTTTTAATCTCGATTCCAAATAAATTAGTTGGTGATGTGGAGTATTAAAAAAATCTGGAAGGAAAAATAAAGATGTGGACGAAAAGAAGGGGATATTACTTGAGAGATATTAAGAAAGTTACAGAGATGGGAACTGGTGAATAATGAAAACTTGAATCAGCACAGTGGCAGTGGAGCTGGACAGGAAGGAGGGAAGGAAACATCAACAGGACCTGGTGACTGATTAAAGGCAGAAGATTGGGCCAGGCACAGTGGCCTGTAATGCCAGCACTTTGGGAGGCCAAGGCAGGCGGATCACTTGAGTCCAGGAGTTTGAGAACAGCCTGGGCAACATGGTGAAACCCTGTCTCTAAAAGAAAAAATATATATATATACAAAAATTAACCAGGGGTGGTGGTGCATGCCTGTAGTCCCAGCTACTCGGGAGGCTGAGGTGGGAGGATCACTTGAACCCAGGAAGCGGAGGTTCCAGTGAGCGGAGATCGTGCCACTGCACTCTAGTCTGGGTGACAGAGTGAGACCCTGTCTCAAAATAAAATAAAAAATAAAGGCGGAAGATTGGACAGAGGGAGGATACTCTTGGTTAATGGCACCACCATCTAACCAGTTGTTTCAAATACATAGTTGGTTCAAATATAAAGGGAGAAACAAGCCTGATGAAAAAACAGTGAAAACAACTTGGAGATATTGGATTTGAATTATCTCAAAATAGTAAAGAAAATTATATAAGCAGATTACTAGAAATATGTCTAGAATTCAAGACAGAGATAAAAGCTGGAGGAAAGCCAGGGAATGGAGACAGCAGTGTTCTCTACTGCTGTCTTAACCCTTTCTTTCAGAGCCACATATAAAAGCAGTTCACTGGCACCTCTGCTTCCTGGGTCCAAGTGATTCTCCCACCTCAGCCTCCCAAGTAGCTGGGACTACAGGCATGCGTTTTTATACTATTTTGAGAGAATTCAAATGCAATATCCCCAGGTTATTTTCACTGTTTTTTCATTCTCCCAAAGGAAAACTGTTTGTCTCCTAAATCAAGGAGCACGTGAGCCTGTAAAGTTCCATAGCAGAGAGGAAATAAGTGATGGGTAGGAGAAAAAAAAACAAGAAGAAAGAGGCATACCCTTCTATAATACTACAGCCAGAAAAGGGTAAAATGAGGCCCCAAAGTTCAGGCATATGTATATGGCCATTTAACTAGGACTTTTTAAGCAATAAGCATGCTGTGCTTAGGCTGTCTCAGCACTATTGTTAAATGCTTTAATTATGTAACTTTTGATACATTCATGTTATCATATGTTGTAATTATTGTTGTTACTATTACATTTTCTCTATATAGCACTTATTATGTATGGGGCAATGTACTAAGTAGCTTTACAAAAATTATTTCTTTTAATCCTCACCAAAACCCTATGAGGAAGTATTTCTCCATTTTATATATGAGAAAACTGAGGGATAGAAAGGTTAAATAACTTGCCCTCAAATACTCAGCAAATAAAGGACAGAGTTGAAAATGGAACCCAGGCAGTCTAGCTCCAAAGTCCATGATCTTAATCATCAAGTTATACTACCTCTTTTCAGGTGGATAAAGAATACTTTTGGTTACTAACTTAATCTGAAGACAACTATTTTCTAGTAGGAAATATTTCTAATTTTACAATACATGTAGGAGAAAATTGAGTTTACTGATCAGAAACTTGCTAGACTACATTATTAAGTAAAAAAACACACAGAATTAAAATATTATTTAAAACATCTGTACATTTTTAATCTGTATAAACATGTATATATAACAATAGTTCTCATCTATATAAATATGTACATATAATAATTGTTCTTAAATTTTACTATGCATCAGAATTTCTTGGTGGGCTTGTTAAATGCAGATTGCTGAACCCCTACTTCAAACCCCAATCTTTCCCCTATTACTTACGAAATAAAGTACAACTTCTTTTCAGCATGGCTTACCTTTGGCCATGAGGCATCGTCTAACCATCTTTCAATAAGTTTTTAGTACATTACCTATTTTTTTATGCTTTCCCTAATACAACCCTTCCTAATAAAGCCATACATTCCTTCTATGATTCCAAAGCACCTCTAAAATAGTAAAAAACAGAACAATGATAATAATATCAATTAACTCTGTGGGGCATTCCCAAGGAAACATGAATTACCTCATTCAATCCTCATAACAACTCCTCAGGATAAAGATTATAATTATTCTCACTGTACATATGGGAAAAAAGTGAGACATGGAGAGGTTAAATTGGGCATGGTAATACAATCAGCAAGTAGAAAAGCTAGGATTCTACCACTGCAATTATACTATATAAGCAATTACTAGATTGTTCAGTACTTGGATACTATTTAGATACTAGATTTTTCTAAGTACTAATGTAAATAATTTCCTTATTCATTTTTACACTTATTTAACTGACATTTACTGACTGCCTATCATATGCCAGGCATTGTGTTAGGCACGAAAGACTATCATGTTAAAATACAAGGGAAGACCCAGTACCTGCTCTCTTGAGACATGGAATCCAGTGGAAAAACCAAACATTAAATTAAAAATCAGAGAAATATTTCAAGAAATATGTGTTAAAGACAAAAAGTACAAGGCACTCCAAGATTATAATAGGAAGATCTAAGCTGTTTATAGTTATTGTACTGGCAGTGTCCTATTACAAGAGTATAAGTTACACAGAATTTGCATTTCAGGATGCCAAATAATTCCATTTCAAAATGACGCTTTCAAAATCAAATTAATTAATTATAAGACCAAAGTCATATAGTTAAAATTTAAAACATATTATTTAAAATGAAATTTAAATATGTCAGCTCTTTATTTTTCCCCTTAGCAAATGGAGCTATTACGCATCTGACACAGAATGTAATAAATATAAACTATCCAAAACTAATAAAATAGCATTTGAAAATGTCCTTGCAATATTGGTCATGATAAAGGTAAAATAATATGCCAAGTTCCTGACAATCCTAGTAGTGCATAAAGTACTTCCATTTTGGACAATGCTAACTTTCTTATGATTGAATTAGATCCATGACTTAATATACATCATTTGTAAGATTTTTTTTTTTTTTTTTTACAAAAAGCAGACTTCTTTCATAATAAATTTCAAAATGAAAACCAATGTTTTTTTACAGAGGAAAAATGCCTAAAAGTCCAAATACTGATCTTACAAAGAGACATGAAAGGTAAAATCAAGTATGAACCAGGCCTGGATTCCCACATCTTCAGTTTCTATTTATCAAACAGAAAAATCTTTCCAACTTTCTCCTTTCCTGTATAAGACCAAAACTATGCAATATTCTGTTTGTATTACAATTACACTAATTCAATGCAGGTCACTTGCTTTTTACTGAGTCCAGATGACATTCAGTAAACTAAACATGGGCCAATTAGTTTAAAAAAAAGAGGAAGAAAAGAAAAAAGGAAGAAACGAGTGAGTTCTGATTGCCTTTGGGTAGGTCATACAGTGGCTACAGAGCATCACAGCCTGAACTTCATTTTGGCTAACACCAACCATACGGCTAACATTAAGGACTAGCATTTTTTATTCCTTTCAGATTTCTCACATTTGGAAATTCCAATTTAAATAATTTTCTGGTGAAAGTGAGGACAGCACTCCTGCATAATATCAGTTTTCCCCTAATTCAACTCCAATGTCTTATTTTGGAGCTACTAAAATGGAATCTGCACAATGTCTAAAAAAGTATAATAATCCTTTTTAACCAATTTTTTTATGTATTACAGTTTTAAATGAGCAAATGAAACTGATAATTTAGCTGACACAAACCCACACAAAAAAAGATGGTCTAAAGCTATGAAGTTTCAACATCAATGTTTGTAATCTCAAATCAACCTGAACCACCATACAATTAGGTATATGACAAACTAAGTAATAGAAATATTCATAACTAAAAGCAATATTATTTTTAAATATCTTATTAGGTGTTGGCACCCAACATTTTCTTATAATCTATCATGTAAAGAAATCTGTTTTACTATTCCTTTTAAACTCTCTACTCATGCTACTTTAGGTGTGTTTCTAGAAATAAATACTAAACTCTCTGCTAATTTTTTTTGGCTAAGAAATTTTTTGAAAGTTATAATGTAACTAAGTTAAAATGTACATATAATCATAATTTGATATCAAGACTGCTTTCATACAAAAAACCTACATTAATTAATTCCTTAAGTAAATTTACACTTTATCAATTGTTGGTATTTTAAAAAGTACTCAAAAGAAACTCTTCATTCACCATTATTACAAAAATGGAAGTCTCCAAATATGTAAACTAGCTTGATTTTTAAATTTGTTACTTATTTAGCCTAATTTTTTTAAACTTGCCTAAATTTAACTGAAGAATATTATGTTCCTGCAAGTGTTCATGAATACAAAGATACAGTAATGAAGATGGAAATTATTTACTCTAACAATTCTGACTGCATGACTGTTAAATCACTTACATACGGCCAAATGATCTACAAGGAAGCAGGGAGGTCCTGAAATTGTGTACTCATATCCATTTTCAACTACTGCACAGGTGACACAACCAATCAAGGCATTACTGAAACAGAATGGGAATAGAAAGGACTTAGTGAATAAAAGTGACTTCTTTAGACAAAAATGTAGAGGTTAGCTTGTGACCAAGGTGGAAGAAACAGCAGCACCATTCCTCCCATTGCTTGTTCATATTAAGAGAAAACTGAGACCACTAAGAGGCAAAGGACAGAGGACAGCAACACCAGCAAAGAGACAGGCAGCAGTGGGGTCAGAGCATGAGAACAGTATTAAGAGTTAAACATAGAGCACAGAGGGGGTGGTTTAAAATGTCAGTTTTACTCAATTATTTATAGGACAGTTCTTGGAAATAATGTTACAATGAAATGTTGGTTATATAAAAATCTTATTTAATGTAGTAATTACTATTTAGACAAGGGCAAATATAGTAAATATTAAGTAAAAATTAACAATAATTAAAATGGGCTTATGGTCTGAAATAGACATATTATGGGAAAGGATTACTGTTCTAACAACTACGCATAAAGCTGTGAAAAGGCAATAGTTATACTAGTCTGTAGAAACAGTACTCTAAAAGTTACAATAAGGAGATACACTTTTTTTTTTTTTTTTTTGAGCAAGGTCTTATTCTGTCACCCACACTGGAACACAGTGGCATGATCACAGCTCACTGCAGTCTCAACCTCCTGGGCTCAACCGATCCTCTCACCTCAGGTTCCTGAGTAGCTGGGACTACAGGCGCATGCCACCACACCCAGCTAATTGTTTTTGTATGTTTTGTAGAGACAGGGTTTTGTCATGTTGCCCAGGCTGGTATGAAATTCCTGGGCTCAAGCAATCCACCCACCTCAGCCTCCCAAAGTGCTGGGATTATAGGCATGAGGCACCATGCCTGGTCCAATATGGATATTAATCCTCCTGAAATAGATGGGATTTTAAAATGCAATACTCAGTTTCAATGTTGAAATGTGCTCTTCTTTCACTGAAAATGACATGACACTGTGAAAGCTTTCTTCTAACACAGGAATTTTTAGACCTTCACACAAGTTTTCATAATGTTTAATACTTTCAATAAGCTTCATGACTATTAATGCTTTGGGGAAAACTTACTTTTTGTTTCTTTATTTGCTTTTCAAAACCAAAGGCATATAGTAATAATTCATTATGCTTTTACAATCAGGTTTCATCTGATGTCAATGTTACCTTTCATATCTTTTTAAGTGTTTTTCCATGTTAACGTGAAGGTGTGTTTCTTAACTTCACATAGCAAGAAACAAAGACACGCCTTTGTTCAATTTAAATATTTTGGTTCCTGGCCAGGCGCGGTGGCTCACGCCTGTAATCCCAGCACTTTGGAAGGCTTAGGCAGATGGATCACCTGAGGTCAGGAGTTCAAGACTAGCCTGGCCAACATGGTGAAACCCCATCTTTACTAAAAATACAAAAATTAGTTGGGAGTGGTGGTGTATGCCTGCAATCCCAGCTGCTTGAGAGGCTGTTATTTGTTATATGTTATTCCATATTCCCTATTCTATTCTATTCTATTCTACTCATTCAGAGACAGGATCTCACCCCATCACCCAGGCTGGAGTGCAGTGGCGCGATCACGGCTCACTGCAGTCTTGACCTCCTGGACTCAAGTGATTCTCCCACCTCAGTCTCCCAAGTAGCTGGGACTACAGGCACAAGCCACTATGCCAGGCTAATTTTTGTACTGTAGACACGGGGTTTCACCATGTTGTCCAGGCTGGTCTAGAACTCCTGAGCTCAAGTGATCTGCCTGCCTTGGCCTCCCAAAGTGCTGGGAATACAGGCTTGAGCAACTGTGCCTGACCTCCATATTCATTTTATTCAAAAGAATTTTATACACAAAATTGTGGCAAAACTTCAAGGAAGAATATATTCTTTTGTAGTTCTGTAATCTAGTGGAAAAATGTGATATAAAAAAACATAAAAGTTAATGATATACTAGTGAAGGGTTCCTAATATTCAATTAACTTTGATTTTATTCTCAATCTATTTTATACTACCATTCTTCTTATGAAAATATCTTCAACACTTTCATTGTACCAATAAACAACAATACAATAATTAACAATTTGCATTTATTATTAAAGTATTAAATTTAAAACTCCAAAGCACCTACTTGAAAGGAACATTCCAATATAATTTAATTATTCTTGGTCATTTGCTCATGTTTCCTTAAATATAAATACAGTATACCTAACAAATAATAAGCATAATTATAAATATTATCACATTTTACAATTTTTTATTCTAATAAAGAAAACATATGCTCAAATAATGGAATTTAACTATAAAATCTAATTTTTAGCTCATTGAAAAAACATAAAAAAGGATGATCAAACTATTTACCAGTCTTAAATATTTAAGAGTATAATATGTTTATACTACTATATTTATATGTTATAAATACAGACTATATATTAACACATTTATAACTATAGTAATATGTATTTATATAGTATAAAAATATACTACTATATATAATACTGGCTTTTTAAATACATTTCCTAATTTCCTTTATTTACTACTTTAACTTTGTAGTTTATAATTTACAAATTTCCCAGCACTATATCTTCCCCACAAGAAGATTTCCCTTTCTAGTGGCTACTAACATACAATGTTTAAGGATTAATTAATGATAGATTGGTTAATGAATCTGCAAAATATTTAGCTCTTTTATTTCCATTTTTCTCTCCTGCTAATTGACTTTTGACCATGTTAGTGTTTATTAAGCTCAAGATCCAAATTAGCTAAATTCTTGCCCTCCCAAACAGGAGGCAGTCTAAAGCAAAGGTGTTGGTTGACTGCAAGTTCTGGTGGAATTTACCTATTAATCAGTTCTACACCATTTTGTCAAATCTGAACCAATATAGTGCCAAAAGAACATTCTTAAATATTAAGACTTTTATCTTTGGCATACAGGATTCATTCATCCAACAAATACATACTGAGTAACTACTATGGGCCAAGCACTGTTCTAGTGCTTAACATATATTAGTGAACAAAAGAAATAAGAAATTCCTGCCCTCATGTTGCCAATTTACCAACCCTGTGCTGTGCTCCACACTAAAAATACAAAATTGAAGATACTACCCCTTACTTAAAGAAGATTTAATCTAATCAAAGGCAAGAAAAATGTCCTCAATGCAACTTATCATATAATGCTAAAATATGCATATGTAAATGGTAGCAGAAGCATATATAAAGTGCCATGAAGAGTAGAGGGGAAGAAGCCTCTGTGCAGATGTTACTGAGTACAACATCACAAGGAGTATAATTCTCTCTGCCTATAACAATCAAACACAGGCATTCCAACCTGAGAACAGATATGCCCAATACAGCTTTATATCTAACTCTATGTTGTCTTTCTTAGAGGTAAATCAAGGTGCTGCTTTACAGACCTTCATAATTAATGTCCCCTTAGCATCTTCAAGAGTTAATGGAAAAGGAGGGAAAATTCTAATCACTACATGTTGACACTTTTTAGTAGCCAAGAAAAGTTCTCAAAGAATGACAATTTAAAAAATTAACTTGTATACACTTTCTAGGTTAACCGTGGGCCTCAATAATCCCTACCATTCCAATACACAAATGTCACAAGTTCTCATTCATATGTGAGAGCTCAAACCAGTGGATCTCATGACATATGGAGTACACTTGCCATCACCAGAGGCCAGGAAGGGGAGCGGGGAGGGAGGAGTGAAATGGAGGGAAAAGGGAAATAAATGTATTTATTGGCACTGAGCTGTACACTTAACAATGGTAAAGATGGTTAATTTTTAAAATATTTTCAATAATAATATTAATAATTATCCTTACCATCCTTATCTCTTATTCACATGAAGACATTAGTTACCATTTATTAAGTGCCTCCAGCAGGAGAGGCACTGTGTACACCCTTTATATAACATTATTTCTAAGGCTTAAACCTTTAGAAGATTAGTATTTTTATTACCCAGTTTTTCACATGTGAAGACTGAGAGTGGGAGAGATTGTATAATTTGCCCAAGGTTGTACACCATTTGGCCTGGAATGTAAAAGAAATCCATACGAACACAAAGTCAAGGATCTTTTCACTCTACCTGATAGCTGCCCACTCCCATAAAGAATCTAATATTGAGGGATATTAATTCCTCTTCTATGATTATTTTTAACCATCCTATATGTAGATAAATATGTAAACTGATCTAAAACAGTTTACATCCTTGTTGAAAACAGGATCACATATGATTACCTAGCCTGCTAACCCAGACAGGCAGATGGATGGACAGGCAGATGGAAGAATGAACAAAATCTCAAGTATAATGACATCCAAACTGTTTAAATCTACTGCACAGTGTTCTTATAAATCTTCAATGGCAAGTCCATTTGACTGACACTATTTCTAAAAGAACAATTAGGCTAGGCACAGTGGCCCATGTCTGTAATCTCAGCATTTTGGGAGGGCAAGGCAGAAAGATCACTTGAGCCCAGGAGTTTGGGACCAGCTTGAGCAACATAGTGAGACCCTCACCTCTACAAAAATATTTAAAAATTAGCTGGGTGTGGTGGCACACACACCTGTCGTCTCAGCTACTCCAGAGGCTGAGGTGGAAGGATCACTTGAGCCTGGGAGATCAAGGCTGCAGTGAGACATGATTGCTCTCCACTGCCCTCCAGCCTGGGCGACAGAGAGCTCAAAAAATAAAATACAATAAATGAAAGCACAATTAAACAAAAAATAAACTTACCTTGAGATCTTTGTAACACCTTTATTATCCCTATTATTACCTCATCTTCTATTAATGTCCTTCTGGCTCACTCCAGCCACACTGGCCTCTGGTTAAGAATCAAAGAGCCAAGCATGTTCCCATCTCACACAGACTTTGTACTGTCTGTTCCCTCCAATCAAGGCAGTCTTACCCCAGATGGCTCACTCCCTTGTGTGCTTCAGTCTTTAGCTTAGATATCTCCTTCTTAACAAGGCATCCTTGACTACCATTTAAAAGTACAATCAGACCTTCATACTCCCTAATCACCATCCAATGATATATTTTATGTATGTGTTATATTTATTATGTCTAACCCAACCAGAATATAAACACAATGAAGGCAGGAATTTTTGTTTTACTCAAGGCTATATATCCTGCCCATAGAAAAGTGGCTGATGCACAACAAATATTTGTTGAATGAATAAATGAACTTTGTGACCAGGCACAGTGGCTCATGTGTATAATCTCAGCACTCTGGGAGGCCAAAGGAAGGATAGCTTGTGCCTAGAAGTTTGAGACCAGCCTGGGCAACATACTGAGACTTCACCTCTACAAAAAACTTAAAAATTAGCTGGGTGTGATGGCATGCACCTGTAGTCCCAGCTACTCAGGTCAATGTGGGCTGAAGTGGGAAAATCTCCTGAGCTCAGATATTTGAGGCTGTAGTTACTATGATCACACCACTGCACTCCAGCATAGGCAACAGACAAAGACCCCAACTCAACAATAATAATAACAACCACAATAATAATAATACTAAATGAACTTCATTATTTGGAACCTAAAGAGGAATTGTATAAGTTCAATTTCATCACTGATAAATAATTCAATTAAAGACTTCTTTTAAAGCCAAGTTTTATATTATTTAGCACTACTGAACTTCCCCTTCTTATAAAATGTTTGCCTCCTTACTCTGGCCAAAAATCTTCTTTTCATTGCTCTTTAGAAGTTTAACATGATGAAAATCAGTGTTTGACTTTAAAAGTCAAAGTATGAATGAAACCGAACTTGTATAGACACATCTTTTAGCTCTCATTTCAATAAACTGTTATTAAATCCATAATCTTTTGAGAGAGCAACTCACAGATTAAAAATTAAAATTAATATTTTATCTGATGCTTTACGGCATCCATTGTATTGAATGCATTTGTTTAATATTTCTAAGTCTTTAGAAAAGCTTCTGAGAAAATTGATTTCCTTATGTTGTTTACAGTCTGTGACCAAATATTTTTAGGACATTCACATGAATAAAGGGTCCCAAATGCAACAGAAATTATAATCACATCATAACTTAAGCTTTAAATTATTCATGTCTTTTATGTTTAACAAAAAAACTATTATCCAAAACTATTTATTATATTAAAATATTTTTACTCAACAATCTTTTTCTCCTAAGGTCAATGAAGGCATATGACTCCTCCCCAATTATATAACTTTTTATTATTTTAATTAAATTAACTGATACCAGCATGTTTTAATATCATCCCTACACATTTAGAAGAAGTAAATAACCTAGAGATCAAAATACACAGTAAACCCATACAAACAGCAGTTTTTCATTGCCATCTCTCTATATATAAACATTGAATGCAATTCTATGAAAGTATGGCTCCACGTATTCAGATGAGGAATATGTCTGTTTACATGTGTCTCTTTCCCGGTCCACATTACAGGGGGACCTGTGTGTGCCTCCGTGGTTAAGATTTACTGCATGTTCACATTAAAGTCTCATTTCCAACATTTAAACATGCAGCCACAAAGACCAATTAGAACAGTTATTAGTACAACCCTTGGTGTACCAAAGATTTGGGAGTTCATAAAGTTGAAATTGATTGTTTATGGACAATTACAGGTACCAAAATGATTTAAAACATTTCAATTTTTGCTCTGCTGAACGAGACTCATTTAAACAGCAGAACTAGAAGCAGAGACTTAAATATCAACTTGTAATCAAAAATCACCAGTAATGTCTTAGCAGCGTGTTCATCCTCCTACTCAGTAGAGTCCTTAAACATACAGGGACTCCAATATTAGCTTCAAAACATTTTCAGAATGTCTAGCAAAAATATGTCAAACCTGGATCTCTGACTTAAAGGAACACACAAGGCCTAAGAAATAATTGCTGTCTCAAATACTGTGGAGTTAATAAGGTTTTAAAGTATATAAAGTTGCTATAGGCTAAACGGCACATTTTATATTAGACACCCTTTCTTGCTAAACACTGTATTATATATTAAACTGTAGCAAAAGTGAATGAATCTATGAGGAAAATCAAAATGAAATTTTCAAGTACTCACATAATGACATACCTCTAAACTGTGAGGTACTTTATGACAGAGTGTGTGATTCATTCATCTTTTAATTCCTAGTGCTTGAATACAAAGTTGATATTCAGTAAACACTGATTGAATAGAAAAATGAGTAAATACAACTTGAAGAATAACTATGTAATGAGATTTCTGATTTTACAAAACACTTTCACTACTTTTCTAATTATATATATATACATATATAGATATAGATACAGATATAGATAGATATAGATACAGATATAGATATCGAGTAGAGACAGGGTTTTGCCATGTTGCTGGTCTAGAATTCCTGAGCTCAAGCAATCCACCCACCTCGAACTCCCAAAGTGTTGGGATTACAGGCGTGAGCTATCATGCCCAGTCGTGCTTCACCACTTTTCAATGTCAACTTCAAGAAAATGAAAATTGCACCTTTCTGAACAAACTTTAAGTCTACCCTAAACTGCTAAGAATCAACACTAAGAGCAGATGACATAATGTGTGGGAAAATAAAAAGTCAGCCAGCCAGCTGGACATCAGTCTCTTCTCTGACTGCTATGACTAAACTCTTCAAGGTTATAACTTTTCAAATGCTACCACTGTAATGAACTATTTCATTGCTAGTGTTACCTCCTTTCCTTGGTCTTCCCCTTTCTAGACAAGAATTCCTGTTATTATCTCATTCCCTTCTTGACTGCACTTTACACACTGGTTTCAATTTGTACTTGACCTAGTTCCCAGAAAACACCCAGTTTTCCTTTTCTCACTTAGTATCTTAATATTTGTAATATTAATAACCCACTTATCTATTCAATTGTTTAATTGTATTTTATCTATTATCTATTCAATTGTTTATTTCTATTTAATTGTAGTAACTCTATTCAGAGCTAGCCTATGCAAAAGAGAAGACAGCAGTCTTCAGATGTGACTTACTTAGTACAGAAAGATCCCAACCCTAATATATACAAACACATACACATGCAAACACACACACCTGCTATAAACCAAAATTAGAGATACATTTCTTTGTGTTAAACTCCTGCTTCTTGAGGTTCTTATTCTCCCTCTGTCCCTCTCAATTGTTCTGTCACTCTTTACCTCCTGCTTTTTTCTGTTTTACAGTAATTCTCTCCAGCTAACTTCACTCTTCTTTCTTCTACATACAACATCCAATGTGTCCAAAAAAATTCTGTGGGTTTTTGTTTCAAAATATATCCAAAACCTGATTAGGTCTTACCACCTCCACTGTTACCAACCTAACACATGCCACGATCATCTCTCACTTGGATTACTGCAGAGGCCTCCCAACTGGCCTCTTTCCTTCTATCTTTGCCCACCCCGCCCCCACAATCTGTTCTCAACAAAACCTAAGTAATCCTTTAAAAATGTAAATCAGATCTTATCACTCTGCTGCTCAAGGCCTGCCAGGGGTCTGTCTACAAGGCACTACTGATCTCACCTACCTCCATCACCTCCCTTACTTCCTGTCTTTCTCTGACATTATCTCCTACTTCTTTGTCCCTAGATCACTCTGCTCCCTTCTGCCTCTCCAAACACAAAAGGGCTTTCCATTGACCATTCCATCTGCCCAAAATGATCTCCCCAGGTATATGTGTGGTTTACTCCCACAATACCTGCAAGCCTCTACTCAAATATCACCTTCCCAAGGAGGCTCTGAACACCATATTTAAAATCACAAATTTGTCCACCAAAACTCCCTGTATCCTTCTTAGTGTACACTCTAGTTTTCTTTAATCATTTCCAAAACACTTATGGCTTTCTCATATTCTATATAAATTACTTATTATATATTGTTTTATATCTATTGCCTCCTTCTAGGATGTAATCTCTGATATATCCCAAATGCCTAGAAAGGTATCTGGCAGAGTAGACACCGAATAAAAATTTGAATACATGAAAATATACTAGACTATCTTAAAATACAATAAATATATAGTATGTTCTTTTTGTTTGTTTTTTGAGACAGGGTCTCATTCTGTTACTCAGGCTGGACTGCAGTGGCACGATCTCGGCTCACTGCAACCTCAGCCTCTCAGGGTCCACAGGCAGGTGCCACCACGCCCAGATAATTTCTGTATTTCTTTGTAGAGACACAGTATGCCATGTTTCCAAGGCTGGTGTTGAATTCCTTGATACAAGCAATCCTCCCACCTAGGCCTCCTGAGTAGCTGGGATTGTAGGCATGAGCCATTGCACCCAGCCTTGATGTCATTATCTAATGTCTCCTCCTTAATAAATTGTTAATAACCCTTAATAAATTGTGGCTAACATACCTTTTACAATACAACTCTAGACCATTAATGTGTCCCATAAATCCTGTGTGCATCAGGAGGTATCTTTTTTGCCTCAATGCCTTTTATTAATGCACTGTCAGTATTCTACTTGGGCTTTATTCAAATACAAGCCTATAAAACTACTGAATCTTTTTCCATCCCTCCTACTTTCCCATTCTTGATTTTTCCCCTACCTTTCTCTACAACTCCAGGTGACCAGCAATGACAACCTAATATGTATCACTCCATACCTTCTTCTCCATCCTTAAATAACCACGTACAAACATATGTAGAGATTTAAAATTCTATTTTGTTTCTTTGGGAATGAAGTTGTCCCCATATATGCTCCTTCACATCTTATTTTTCTCATCTCATAGCAAACAGTGGAATATAACTACATTAATTGGTATACACAGAACTCCATTCTTTTTAATGGCCGCATGTTACAAGGCCAAAATGTATCAAATGTATTCAACTTTTCCCACCTTGTTTCCAGTTTTTTACCACTAATAAAAATACTGCAAAAAGATCCTTGCTTTGAAAAATGCATATATCCTTACATATTTATGCTTTTATTTTTATGAGATAAATTCTAGGGGTAAAACTGCCAAAACTGCTTTCCAAGAAAAGAAGTAAATGTCACATTTCTACCACAAATGCCTTTTGCTCTAATTTGCCACCAATATTGAGTGGAGCCATAACATTTTTAATTTTGGATATATGATGATATCTCAGCCAGGCACAGTGGCTCAAGCCTGTAATCCCTGTACTTCGGGAAGCCAAGGCAGATGAATCACTTGAGATCAGGAGTTCAAGCCAGTCTGGCCAATATGGTGAAACCCCATCTCTACTAAAAATACAAAAATAAGCCGGCTGTGGTGGCACCCACCTGTAGTCCCAGCTACTCGGGAGGCTGAGGCAGGAGAATCACTTGAACCTGGAGGCGGAAGTTGCAGTGAGCCAAGATTGTGCCACAGCACTCCAGCCTGGGTGACAGAGCAAGACTCCGTCTCAAAAAAAAAAAAAAAATTAGCCCGGGCATGGTGGCGGGCACCTGTAATCCCAGCTACTTGGGAGGCTGAGGAAGGAAAATCACTTGAAGCCAGGAGGCAGATGTTGCAGTGAGCCAAGATTGTGCACTGCACTCCAGCCTGGGCAACAAGAGCAAGACTCTGTCTCAAAAAAAAAAAAAAAAACTCAATGTTACTTTAATCTGCATATCCTAAAGTACTATTAATCATCTTCCTATGTGTCATTAGTCTATTGGGATTTGCATTTCTGTCAACTATTCATCTCTCTCCCTGTTTTTTATACTGGATTGTCTTTTGACACTAATTTGTAGTTTTTTTTAATATCGTAGATATCAACCATTTATCTGTAATTTGAAGTATAAATATTTTTCCCAACCTACCGCTTATCTATTGAGTTTGCTGCCAATGAGATCCCACATATAAGTTACAAAAAAAATCATTATATGATTAGATTTATTTTTCTTTCATAGCTCCTGCATTTCCTATGTTGGTTAGAAACTTCTCCCAAGTTTCTAATTCATGCATATAGTCCAGAATTCATATTCTTCCATGTAAGTCTCTAGTATACTTAGAATTTATTTAGGTATTGTAAGAGACCAAAGATTCAATTTTCTTTCAGATGAACAGATAATTCCAAATGCATGATTATCATTTTCCCATTGAGCTCAAATTTTCACATTTATCATATTAAATTCCCAACAGACTATTGTAATTACAGTAGCTTTAGAATTTATTTTAATATCTGGTAAAGCTATTCATTTCTCACTTTTTTCTCCATAATTTTCTTAGTCAACAAGTATGAACATTATGTTACCCAATTCCAATGTAAACCATAAAGGAATTTTAACTAGAACTGCAATTAACTTTTAAACAATTTTTGGTAAAAGATTATTATGATATAGTTTTTGCATGGCAACACAATATTATAAGAATTGGGAACATATTTTTAAAGCCAGCATGCTCTTTCCTTCATTTCAATTCCAGTGTAATGTCTTTCAATTAGATTTTTACGAATTTCTTCCTACAGAAGTGTACTTCTTTTGTTAACTTTATTCCTAAGGATTTTCTAGTTTTTGAAACTACTTTTAATTGATTACTTTTTCCAATTTTTCTTTAATAACATTATTATCAGCACTGAGAAAGGCTACCAATTTCTGTGTATTTTATATACAACTATTCACCAAATTATGTTATTAAGTCTGATAATATTTTACTGGTACCTTTTGGATATCATAAGCATACAATCATATCAGCAAAATAAAATGTATTTTTCCTCTTCTTTTCTAATGTTCATACAGATTATTTCATTTTTTACCTCATTCAACATGCTAGAACAAAACTAAATAACGATAATGATAATAATGATAATAGAGGACATACTTGTTATTAGAAATAACATTAGCATTCCACTGTTTAAAATGTTTACTTTTGAAGAATGGCCCGGAGGGCAGCCAAGATGACCGAATAGGAACAACTCTGGTCTACAGCTCTCAGCGTGAGCGACACAGAAGATGGGTGATTTCTACATTTCCATCTGAGGTACCGGGTTCACCTCACTAGGGAGTGCCAGACAGTGGGCGCAGGACAGGGGGTGCAGCGCACCATGCGCGAGCCAAAGCAGGGAGAGGTATTGCCTCACTCGGGAAGCGCAAGGGGTCAGGGAGTCCCTTTCCTAGTCAAAGAAAGGGGTGACAGAGGGCACCTGGAAAAGCGGGTCACTCCCACCCTAATACTGTGCTTTTCCGACGGGCTTAAAAAACAGCGCACCAGGAGATTATATCCCGCCCATGGCTCGGAGGGTCCTACGCCCACGGAGTCTCGCTGATTGCTAGGACAGCAGTCTGAGATCAAACTGCAAGGTGGCAGCGAGGCTGGGGGAGGGGCGCCTGCCATTGCCCAGGCTTGCTTAGGTAAACAAAGCAGCCAGGAAGCTCCAACTGGGTAGCACCCACCACAGCTCAAGGAGGCCTGCCTGCCTCTGTAGGCTGCACCTCTGGAGGAAGGGCACAGACAAACAAAAAGACAGCAGTAACCTCTGCAGACTTAAATGTCCCTGTCTGAACAGCTTTGAAGACAGCAGTGGTTCTCCCAGCACGCAGCTGGAGATCTGAGAACGGGCAGACTGCCTCCTCAAGTGGGTCCCTGACCCCTGGCCCTGGAGCCGCCTAACTGGGAGGCACCCCCAAGTAGGGGCAGACTGACACCTCACACGGCCGGGTACTCCTCTGAGACAAAACTTCCAGAGGAACGATCAGACAGCAGCATTCGCGGTCACGAAAATCTGCTGTTCTGCAGCCACCGCTGCTGGTACCCAGGCAAACCGAGTCTGGAGTGGACCTCTAGCAAACTCCAACACACCTGCAGCTGAGGGTCCTGTCTGTAGGAAGGAAAACTAACAAACAGAAAGGACATCCACACCAAAAACCCATCTCTACATCACCATCATCAAAGACCAAAAGTAGATAAAACCACAAAGATGGGGGAAAACAGAGCAGAAAAACTGGAAACTCTAAAAAGCAGAGTGCCTATCCTCCTCCAAAGGAATGCAGCTCCTCACCAGCAACGGAACAAAGCTGGACGGAGAATGACTTTGACGAGTTGAGAGAAGAAGGCTTCAGACGATCAAACTACTCTGAGCTACAGGAGGAAATTCAAACCAAAGGCAAAGAAGTTGAAAACTTTCAAAAAAATTTAGACGAATGTATAACTAGAATAACCAATATAGAGAAGTGCTTAAAGGAGCTGATGGAGCTGAAAGCCAAGGCTCGAGAACTACGTGAAGAATGCAGAAGCCTCAGGAGCTGATGTGATCAACTGGAAGAAAGGGTATCAGTGATGGAAGATGAAATGAAGCGAGAAGGGAAGTTTAGAGAAAAAAGAATGAAAAGAAATGAACAAAGCCTCCAAGAAATATGGGACTATGTGAAAAGACCAGATCTACGTCTGATTGGTGTACCTGAAAGTGACAGGGAGAATGGAACCAAGTTGGAAAACACTCTGCAGGATATTATCCAGGAGAACTTCCCCAATCTAGCAAGGCAGGCCAACATTCAGATTCAGGAAATACAGAGAACGCCACAAAGATACTCCTCGAGAAGAGCAACTCCAAGACACATAATTGTCAGATTCACCAAAGTTGAAATGAAGGAAAAAATGTTAAGGGCAGCCAGAGAGAAAGGTCAAGTTACCCACAAAGGGAAGCCCCTCAGACCAACAGCGGATCTCTCGGCAAAACTCTACAAGCCAGAAGACAGTGGGGGCCAATATTCAAGATTATTAAAGAAAAGAATTTTCAAACCAGAATTTCATATCCAGCCAAACTAAGCTTCATAAGTGAAGGAGAAATAAAATCCTTTACAGAAAAGCAAATGCTGAGAGATTTTGTCACCACCAGGCCTGCCCTAAAAGAGCTCCTGAAGGAAGCACTAAACATGGAAAGGAACAACCGGTACCAGCCACTACAAAATCATGCCGAATTGTAAAGACCACCAATGCTAGGAAGAAACTGCATCAACTAACGAGCAAAATAACCAGCTAACATCATCATGACAGGATCAAATTCACACATAACAATATTAACTTTAAATGTAAATGGACTAAATGCTCCAATTAAAAGACACAGACTGGCAAATTGGATAAAGAGTCAAGACCCATCAGTGTGCTGTATTCAGGAAACCCATCTCACGTGCAGAGACACACATAGGCTCAAAATAAAAGGATGGAGGAAGATCTACCAAGCAAATGGAAAACAAAAAAAGGCAGGGGTTGCAATCCTAGTCTCTGATAAAACAGACTTTAAACCAACAAAGATTAAAAGAGACAAAGAAGGCCATTACATAATGGTAAAGGGATCAATTCAACAAGAAGAGCTAACTATCCTAAATATATATGCACCCAATACAGGAGCACCCAGATTCATAAAGCAAGTCCTGAGTGACCTACAAAGAGACTTAGACTCCCACACAATAATAATGGGAGACTTTAACACTCCACTGTCAACATTAGACAGATCAACCAGACAGAAAGTTAATAAGCATACCCAGGAACTGAACTCAGCTCTGCACCAAGCGGAACTAATAGACATCTACAGAACTCTCCACCCCAAATCAACAGAATATACATTTCTTTCAGCACCACACCACACCTATTCCAAAACTGACCACATAGCTGGAAGTAAAGCTCTCCTCAGCAAATGTAAAAGAACACAAATTATAACAAACTGTCTCTCAGACCACAGTGCAATCAAACTAGAACTCAGGATTAAGACACTCACTCAAAACCGCTCAACTACATGGAAACTGAACAACCTGCTCCTGAATGACTACTGGGTACATAACGAAATGAAGGCAGAAATAAAGACGTGCTTTGAAACCAATGAGAACAAAGACACAACATACCAGATTCTTTGGGACACATTCAAAGCAGTGTGTAGAGGGAAATTTATAGCACTAAATACCCAAAAGAGAAAGCAGGAAAGATCCAAAATTGACACCCTAATATCACAATTAAAAGAACTAGAAAAGCAAGAGCAAACACATTCAAAAGCTAGCAGAAGGGAAGAAATAACTAAAATCAGAGCAGAACTGAAGGAAATAGAGACACAAAAAACCCTTCAAAAAATTAATGAATTCAGGAGCTGGTTTTTTGAAAGGATCAACAAAATTGATAGACCACTAGCAAGACTAATAAAGAAGAAAAGAGAGAAGAATCAAATAGAAGCAATAAAAAATGATAAAGGGGATATCACGACCGATCCCACAGAAATACAAACTACCATCAGAGAATACTATAAACACCTCTGTGCAAATAAACTAGAAAATCTAGAAGAAATGGATAAATTCCTCGACACATACACCCTCCCAAGACTAAACCAGGAAGAAGTTGAATCTCTGAATAGAACAATAACAGGCTCTGAAATTGAGGCAATAATTAATAGCTTACCAACCAAAAAAACTCCAGGACCAGAAGGATTCACAGCCTAATTCTACCAGAGGTACAAGGAGGAACTGGTACCATTCCTTCTGAAACTATTCCAATCAATAGAAAAAGAGGGAATCCTCCCTAACTCATTTTATGAGGCCAGCATCATCCTGATACCAAAGCCTGACAGAGACACAACCAAAAAAGAGAATTTTAGACCAATATCCTTGATGAACATTGATGCAAAAATCCTCAATAAAATACTGACAAACCGCATCCAGCAGCACATCAAAAAGCTTATCCACCATGATCAAGTTGGATTCATCCCTGGGATGCAAGGCTGGTTCGATATACAGAAATCAATAAATGTAATCCAGCACAGAAACAGAACCAAAGACAAAAACCACATGATTATCTCAATAGATGCAGAAAAGGCCTTTGACAAAATTCAACAATCCTTCATGCTAAAAACTCTCAATAAGTTAGGTATTGATGGGACGTATGTCAAAATAATAAGAGCTATCTATGACAAACCCACAGCCAATATCATACTGAATGGGCAAAAACTGGAAGCATTCCCTTTGAAAACTGGCACAAGACAGGGATGCCCTCTCTCACCACTCCTATTCAACATAGTGTTGGAAGTTCTGGCCAGGGCAATTAGGCAGGAGAAGGAAATCAAGGGTATTCAATTAGGAAAAGAGGAAGGCAAATTGTCCCTGTTTGCAGATGACATGATTGGATATCTAGAAAACCCCATTGTGTTAGCCCAAAATCTCCTTAAGCTGATAAGCAACTTCAGCAAAGTCTCAGGATACAAAATCAATGTGCAAAAATCACAAGCATTCTTATACACCAATAACAGACAAACAGAGAGCCAAATCATGAGTGAACTCCCATTCACAATTGCTTCAAAGAGAATAAAATACCTAGGAATCCAAATTAAAAGGGACGTGAAGGACCTCTTCAAGGAGAACTACAAACCACTGCTCAATGAAATAAAAGAGGATACAAACAAATGCAAGAACATTCCATGCTCATGGGTAGGAAGAATCAATATCGTGAAAATGGCCATACTGCCCAAGGTAGTTTATAGATTCAATGCCATCCCCATCAAGCTACCAGTGACTTTCTTCACAGAATTGGAAAAAAGTACTTTAAAGTTCATATGGAAAAAAAAAAGAGCCCGCATTGCCAAGTCAATCCTAAGCCAAAAGAACAAAGCTGGAGGCATCACACTACCTGACTTCAAACTATACTACAAGGCTACAGTAACCAAAACAGCATGGTACTGGTACCAAAACAGAGATATAGATCAATGGAACAGAACAGAGCCCTCAGAAATAACGCCGCATACCTACAACTATCTGATCTTTGACAAACCTGACAAAAACAAGCAATGGGGAAAGGATCCCCTATTTAATAAACGGTGCTGGGAAAACTGGCTAGCGACATGTAGAAAGCTGAAACTGGATCCCTTCCTTACACCTTATACAAAAATTAATTCAAGATGGATTAAAGACTTACATGTTAGACCTAAAACCAGAAAAACCCTAGAAGAAAACCTAGGCATTACCATTCAGGACATAGGCATGGGCAAGGACTTCATGTCTAAAATGCCAAAAGCAATGGCAACGAAAGCCAAAATTGACAAATGGGATCTAATTAAACTAAAGAGCTTCTGCACAGCAAAAGAAACTACCATCAGAGTGAACAGGCAACCTACAACATGGGAGAAAATTTTCGCAACCTACTCATCTGACAAAGGGCTAATATCCAGAATCTATAATGAACTCAAACAAATTTACAAGAAAAAAACAAACAACCCCATCAAAAAGTGGGCGAAGGACATGAACAGACACTTCTCAAAAGAAGACATTTATGCAGCCAAAAAACACATGAAAAAATGCTCACCATCACTGGCCATCAGAGAAATGCAAATCAAAACCACAATGAGACACCATCTCACACCAGTTAGAATGGCGATCATTAAAAAGTCAGGAAACAACAGGTGCTGGAGAGGATGTGGAGAAATAGGAACACTTTTGCACTGTTGGTGGGAATGTAAATGAGTTCAACCATTGTGGAAGTCAGTGTGGCGATTCCTCAGGGATCTAGAACTAGAAATACCATTGACCCAGCTATCCCATTACTGGGTATATACCCAAAGGACTATAAATCATGTTGCTATAAAGACACATGCACACGTATGTTTATTGTGGCACTATTCACAATAGCAAAGACTTGGAACCAACCTAAATGTCCAACAATGATAGACTGGATTAAGAAAATGTGGCACATATACACCATGGAATGATATGCAGCCATAAAAAATGATGAGTTCATGTCCTTTGTAGGGACATGGATGAAATTGGAAATCATCATTCTCAGTAAACTATCGCAAGGACAAAAAACCAAACACTGCATGTTCTCACTCATAGGTGGGAATTGAACAATGAGAACACATGGACACAGGAAGGGGAACATCACACTCTGGGGACTGTTGTGGGGTGGGAGGTGGGGGGAGGGATAGCATTAGGAGATATACCTAATGCTAAATGACGAGTTAATGGGTGCAGCACACCAGCATGGCACGTGTATACATATGTAACTAACCTGCACATTGTGCACATGTACCCTAAAACTTAAAGTATAATAAAAAAAAAAGTTTCCTTTTTTATATACTTTATATTTATGTACTCAAGAAAGGCTGTTGAATTTTATTCAATTTTTTCAGCATCCATTATCATCATCTAATTTTCCTTCTTCAATTTGATACACCCTACTTGATATTCTTTAATTTATGCAGAATTATTTTCAGTTAAAGGCTATTAATTAGTGCGTCCTTTTTATTTCAAAAATTCTTATTTAGTATGCTTCCAGTCACTCTATCATTATCCATTGGGATTTGGTAATATATATAGAAAGATTTATTGTTTATAACTGTTTCTTCTTCATAATCTTTCAAGGCCTCAATTCTGATTCATTTGCTGTTTGGTTATAGTTAGTTCAAGTATTTTCCTCAAATGAAGCAAATGAGAGTTATATTCTGTCAATCTCTGAATATCTAAACATATCTTTACTCTGAAAGGTGGATGAAATACTGGTTGAGTCACTCATTCATTTATTATTTAATAAGAATTACTCTACGTAATACAGATGGATACAAAATGACAAAAAACTCCCTGCCTTTAAAGAATACATATATTCCAGCAGACAAAGACAGACAATAAGCACATAAATGAATCAATTAATTAAATATAAAATGGTTAGAAGAGCTAAGAAAAAATAAGGCAAGGAAAGGAAAATCTTCTATAATATATACATAACAGTCAAGACCGACCTCTGATTTTGACAATAATGGCCATTCACCCATATATAGTGCTTTCTAAGTGCCAGGTACTGTGGTAAGTACTGGACACACATCAAATCATTCAATCACAAACAACCCTTCGAGATAGTTACTATGAAAATAAAAATGCTATAACTGGTGAAACTGAGGCACAAACAAGTTGATTTACCAAAGGTAAAACAGCAAATAAGTAGTAGAACCAAGCTGTCCAGCTCTTAACCATTATGTTTTCTTGCTTCTCTGATAATATGCCATTTCAGTAGATAATGAAAGGAAATGAGGGCAGGAGAGAGACCCATAGGGTTATATGGAAGAATAGAATTCCTAGCGAAAAGAAAAGCCACCACAAATCTTATAAACGCCATGAAAAATAGATATAAATACATTAAAATATTTGTATTATAATCTTAGACTCAACCTTAAAATATGTGGCTGAAACAATTCCTCACATGTATAGAGAAATGTTTAGGTTATATTACCTTATCACTCAAGAATTGATCAGATAAAGTACTCAGGATTAAAATGCAAAAAAGCAAAAAAAAGAGTATTAAGAGTATCTTAATGTGATTTCTTAAAATTTATTTCTAAAACTAAATGCTAGAATTATATAAAGTGAAGAAACACAGACACATTCTCAATAAAAATGGAAATAAAACTAGAATAACAGTCTACCTACCACCCCTATGTACCAATACTGTAATGGATCCTTTACACACAATTTCTCATTTAGTCCTTACAATAAGCCTGTGATTCCAATAAATCTATTGTGTCCATTTAATATATAAAGAAAGTAAAATTTAGGAGAATCAGTATATTGCCCTAAAGTCACATAATAGGAAAAGTGGGAAGAAATAAAATACAAATTTGTAAAACATCACTGTATACCTTAAACATATAAAATCTTTATATGTCAGTATATCTCAATAAAGCTGCTGAACATATGAATTTGTATGATGGCATGAGCACAGACTATTAGATCCAAGAAAATCAATTGTCTATGGTAAATAAGTTCAGCAAAATTATAGGATATATGGTAAATCCAAAAAAGTAATTCCCTATTGAAGCTGGACTGTGCGGTAGAGAAAAAAAATGAGCTTTGGAGCAAAATATGCTTGATTCAGGTCAGGCAGAGAAGGCTATGGAGTTAACTGAAGAGGGAGTGCTGCTGAGATTAGTACCTGCAGGGTCATGCTTGCAATAACCCTAGTGGATGCACCAGTGACAAAGTTGCTCAGCAACAACAGCAAACTAAAGCAAACATATCTGTTCCTAGTTCTGAGAGATCAAAAGGCAACCAACCCAAACTATGTAAGAAGTTAAGAACCTTACTCCCTTTCAGCCCTCATTCTCTTCTCTTCTCAATACTACTACTTTTACCTCCTGTTAACTACCTCATTTTTCTTTCTTTCCTTGCTCTTTGACTCTTTCTTGCTGACGCTTCCCTTCTAGGTCTCTTTTTTCCTTTCAATCACCCCCTATTGAACTGCTTTCTTCCCTCTCACCACCAGTTTGGTTTCAAGAGGATTCTTAAATAACTTCATTACCTCCAAATACATTTTGATCTCAAAGGTCATAGCTCTTCTTCCAATATTAGTAATTTAAGAATTACTAATGAGACAAATCCACAGGTTAACATGAAACAATTCCACATGTCACAGAGTTAAAAAATGGGTCAAACACACTGACCTGTTTATGTTAAAATATTATATGGCTTTAGAAAAAAATTATGCCCTAAATACAACATGCGCTGCATTAACAACTGCATTAACAACATTTTAGTCCTTTAGATATGCAAATACTTATTGTGTTACAATTGCCTACAGTATTCAGTACAGTAACATGCTGTAAAGGTTTGTAATCTAGGAGCAATAGGCTATACCATATACCCTAGGTGTACAGACAGCTATATTATCTAGGTTTGTATAAGTTCACTCTATGATATTCTTCACAGATTTCTCAGAATGTATTTCCATCATTAAGCAATGCATGACTGTATTAAAAATTCTTTCATACAATTTTTCATTATTTTTGCAAAATTCAAGGAGTAATATATCACTTATTTAACAAATGTTAACAGGATATTTCAGAAGATTGGTGTCAAAAAGAAACTCAGTTATTGCTTTAATGTCTCTCAGCACCAAATTTCTTTTCCATTTGGACTTAATAACACCTTACATATACAAATGATTCACAAAAGACAAGTCCTCTACAGTTTACTATCATGAGACTCAGAAACCAGTATCACACAATGCTTTTAATTCTTATCATATTACTAAAATTTTATCAGAAACAGATGTCAGCAATACAATTTTGATGGAATTACTTAACTTTTTTTTTTTTTACTTTCATAACAAATTAAGCATTGCTCAGTTGAAAAGTTATAATGTCACAAGCCTTGAGGCAGCATTAGGTGCTATAATTTGAACCGATGCAGTGTAGAGTTTGCATGCTAGTAGAAAAGAATTTATTAGCTACATTGTTGATAATTATTTAACTAGCAAACTCCAAGTTTTCTTAAAAACACTTCCAATCAATTAAATATCTAAGAAAACTAATAAAATAACTCAAAGTTTTCTAGATGTATAATTAACATAGCAATACATAAGTTAGCAATATAGCTGCAAAACAGGTGGAAAATATAACCATTAAAATGACTTCCATCCTTTCGGTAGGAAGTAGCTTAAAAAAACAAATAAAAATAAAAACAAAAACAAAAAATAAAATGACTTCCAAAGAACAAACCAGGCAAATGGTTTATGTCCCTAAATAAGCTGAAGCCTAGAGATAAAGAAATTTAGTGGGTAAAAAGGAAAGATAATCTATACTAAAAACAAAACCAAAAAATGAACGAAGACGATGAATGGATAAACAAAACGTGGTATAAACATATAATTGAATATTATTTAGCCTTAAAAAGGAAGAAAATCACATGCTAAATACAGATGAAGCTTAAGGACATTATGCTAAGTGAAATAAGCCCATTGCAAAAAGAAAAATACTCTATGATTACACTTACAGGAAGTATCTAAAGTAGTTAAATTATCATAGAGACAGAAAGTAGAATGGTAGTTACCAAGGGCTGGAGGGAGGAAGCAATGGGGAGTGGTTACTTAATGGGTAAGAGTTGCAGTTGTGCTAGATGAAAAAATCCTGCAGATCTGCTGTACAACAATCTGAATACATTTAACGCTACTGAACTGTGCACTGAAAAACAGTTAAGATGGTAAATTTTTTTAACCACAATTAAAAATAAGAGCTTTTTAAAAGAATGTAAAGTAAAAATGGAAGATCTGTGCACAATTTTTCTTACGGGCAAAGAAATGGTACATCTTACAGGTAAAACATGTATGTTATGTGTTACAACTTTAGGGAAGCCAAAGGTTTTAATATCTGATGCCCCATGAATGTGATATAGCAGCTCTCTCCATATCAATTCTGACAAACACTATCAACTTTATTTCTTAAAACTGTCCCTTAGCCATATTCATTCACCCCTCTCCCACCAATGTTGTAGGATTCCAAGCCAAGACTTTCTGCTTTGAAGCCCTTTACCAATGCAATCAGTACCCAACATACAACTTTCCATCCAGTATTTGTCAGTCAAGATATCACATTAGGTTTTCCCTTCCCTCTTCTCTTCACTTTCCCATCATCACTGTAGAAGCCTCTGCTACCTGGGACTTCCTCTCCCTCCTCAAAAATGAAGAAGAAATTAAGACATTCCCAGATAAACAAAAACTGAGAGAATTCACTGCTAGCAGACCTGCCCTGCAAAAAACAAAAAGGAAGTTCTTCAGGTAGAAATGAAAGGACACTAGATACTAACTTAAATCCACACAATGAAATCAAGAGTACAGCAAAGGTAACTACAGAGGTAAATGTAAAAGACAGTATAAATGTATTTTTTTCTTTTCTTTGTAACTCTTTAGAGCACTCCTACCATAAGTATAAATTACAATTTTTAAAATGTCACGCTACAATTCAATAGGTAAATACTGAACCTGTTTTAAGAAGTACGTTTTATATTTCACTTCTAGAATAGAGATAACTAAAGGAAATACAGCCTCTTTGAAAATAAGGAAATGCTTCAAAACAAATCTGTGGTAGATGAACTATCCCTCACATGTCATAGGCATATAGTACTCTTATAACTTGATTATTTAGCTCAATGAAGTTTTAAAATACTAACCACATCTTATTTTACCTCTTTTATATCTCTGGGACCTGTCCCTTTTTCTCTATCACCGCAGCTAATACCTTAATCCAGGGTATCATCATTTCTCCCCTGGATTATTGGCAGCCTCCTAATGGGTATTCCTAATATTAGTCCTGCTCCACTTTAATCTGTTTCCTATACTGATGCCATTAGTGACATAACAACAACAACAAAAATCAGATCCCACCATTCTGCTCAAAATTTTCAAGTGGCCTCCCATAATCTTCGGGGAGGAAAAATTTAAATTCCCAAATAATATACAGGTCAGGACATGACCACTACCTCTGTCTCCAGTATTAGAATCACCACATACATAAATAATCTACACCCACATTCTCTGCTACAGCCCTTAAGAGTTATTTAGGATCCCAGAATACCACACATCTACTTTTATACATGCTTACCTTCTCTGATTAGAAAAACCTTACTTTGTCTACCCCCATCTCTACTTCTTTAGTCTTCAGGACTCAGTGCCTATACCTACCACCCACCCTAACTCCCAATAATGCTGAGTTATATCATCTCATAGATTCTAGTCACAATTACCACAGTACTTACCAAAATGTACTATAAACACCTGCTTGCTATGTATTTATCCCACAGACTGTAAGCTTCTTAAGCATAAAGATTGTTTCCTTACTCCTATTTTTTGTCCCTAGTATACGCAAAAAATGTCTGCCATGGAGTAAGTGTTTAATCAATGTTTGAAAAAAATGAATGAAAGGATGAAGCAGGTTGTACATTGAGAGACCCATGGAGAAGCTGTTCAATTTTTACTATCTATAACAAAGACAAACATCAAAATTAATAATCTGATAAAACTGAAATACCAAAATTAATCTTTACTTTGTAATCAGTAAAAATAAGTAAATCGATATACTAATGTAATTCTTAATTTTTGTAGTTCATTCTTCAAAATATTTTATTCAAGCAAGTGGGATCCAGCAAAAAAATGGAGACCCTCCCCAAAACTTTTACAACCAGAAAATGAGCTTCTTTCAAATTCTGATGTGGAATTCCCAAGTAATCTTGCAGCAAATTAAACAATATGATCTATGATCCATATGTAGGCCTTGACTATTAAACTTATTTTGTCTTATTAACAGTATTGGAGGGATTTTTTTAACACCATGGATTAAAAAGTGAAAATGAGTTTTTTAAAAGTAAAGCTTAAATAACACTCTATCTACTGTTTTGCAAATGTGTTATGAAGGCTTTGAAACCACAAAATTTCCAACAGACCTAAAAATGTATAATGTGCTATATGTCAAGCTGTATTTCTTTTTTTTTTTTTAAACTTTAAGTTTTAGGGTACATGTGCACAACGTGCAGGTTTGTTACATATGTATACATGTGCCACATTGTTGTGCTGCACCCATTAACTCGTCATTTAACATTAGGTATATCTCCTAATGCTATCCCTCACCCCTCCCCCAACCCCACAACAGGCCCCGGTGTGTGATGTTCCCCTTCCTGTTAATTCAAGATGGATTAAAGACTTAAATGTTAGACCTAAAACCATAAAAACCCTAGAAGAAAACCTAGGCAATACCATTCAGGACATAGGCATGGGCAAGGACTTCACGTCTAAAACACCAAAAGCAATGGCAACAAAAGCCAAAATTGATAAATGGGATCTAATTAAATTAAAGAGCTTCTGCACAGCAAAAGAAACTACCACCAGAGTGAAGAGGCAACCTACAGAACGGGAAAAATTTTTGCAATCTACTCATCTGACAAAGGGCTAATATCCAGAATCTACAATGAACTCAAATTCACAAGAAAAAAACAACCCCAACAAAAAGTGGGTGAAGGATATGAACAGACACTTCTCAAAAGAAGACATCTATGCAGCCAAAAGACACATGAAAAAATGCTCATCATCACTGGCCATCAGAGAAATGCAAATCAAAACCACAATGAGATACCATCTCACACCAGTTAGAATGGCAATCATTAAAAAGTCAGGAAACAACAGGTGCTAGAGAGGATGTGGAGAAATAGGAACACTTTTACAGTGTTGGTGGGACTGAAAACTAATTCAACCACTGTGGAAGTCAGTGTGGTGATTCCTCAGGGATCTAGAACTAGAAATACCATTTGACCCAGCCATCCCATTGCTGGGTATATACCCAAAAGATTATAAATCATGCTGCTATAAAGACACATGCACACGTATGTTTACTGCAGCACTATTCACAATAGCAAAGACTTGGAACCAACCCAAATGTCTAAAAATGATAGAGTGGATTAAGAAAATGTGGCACATATACACCATGGAATACTATGCAGCCATAAAAAATGATGAGTTCATGTCCTTTGTAGGGACATGGATGAAGCTGGAAACCATCATTCTCAGCAAACTATTGCAAGAAGAAAAAAGCAACCACCACATTTTCTCACTCATAGGTGGGAACTGAACAATGAGAACACAAGTTGTATTTCTAAGGTAGGAGAAAGGTTACATAGTCTTTAATACTTTCTCCTTTACAACAAACTTTTCCTTATATATAAAATACAGCAAAAATAGTACCTTTTGTTCAAAGGATTGTTGAGAAGACTAGAATTCACGTACCACACTTTTGCCTCATGCACAATAAAAACTTTTTACATGTTTAGGTGTTATTATTACTATAATTATTATGACATATCCAAGTCCCAAAAAGTTATCAGCAGTATACTCTGCAAAGGAAAAGAAAACACACCACTCAGATAAGTCTATATTCATTAATGAATATATCTACATACCAAACCTGCCCCCATTTCTTTCTACTGATTCCCATCTAATTGAAGAAAGATTTTAGTAGTATTCTGCTGTGGATTGACTCTTAAATCACTTCACTAATAAAGTCCTATGAAAATTTAACCACCACCAAAAAAAAGGGGATCAGCACTTAATCGCAATCCTGGATTGCAATATGAGTGATCAGATGCTACCCCGGTCTGGGTCTTCATTTCTTCATCTGTCCAATGGCAATCACAGTTCCTATCGGATCTCATAGGGTTAACTATCTGTGAGAATTTAAAGATTATAATTTATGTAGAATTGTTTGCTAAGCTTGAAAATACTTCATAAATACAGACTAATAATACTATTGCTGTACAATGCCAAATAATAAATATTCTACGTTTTAAGCAGATTGTCTTTGCTTCCTTCAGAACCAGGTCTTGACTCTTTAGCCCAACTTCGTTTGGTTTGGATATATAAAACGACATCTTATAAGGTGTTCCCTTCAAGGGTACTTTATATTACTATGCATAAGAAATGCTTTCCATATTAACTGAAAAGGAGATGAACTAATAAGTTCACCGAAAGCATAAATGACTAAGAGGAGAGAGAATGATCTCTGGCTTTGAGAATTCTCTTAGAAGTACTGCCTATAATCCCAGCTACTTGGGAGGCTGAGGCAGGAGAATTGCTTGAACCCGGGAGGCGGAGGTTGCAGTGAGCCAAGATCACACCATTGCACTCCAGCCTGGGCAACAAGAGCAAAACTCCGTCTCAATTAAAAAAAAAAAAAGTATCTAGGTATAGTAAGTAGTTTAACTAAAAACAGTCTTAGAAACATGGATCCCAATTCCTACCCTAAATTCCACTAGGACACAACATTCTTATAATTGTATGTACTGTTCTTTCTTGCCAAGGTACTCAGCACTAAGAAGGCAAATTCCCAGAAAGAATGAAAAGTGTAAGAATGTATGTGCACTAACTTTAACTTCCTACTGTGTGTCAAACACTATCTTTACCTACTTTCTCATTTAACTCTCAAAACAAACTTGAAAGGTATTACATCTTTTTTACAGATGATTACGTTACGTAATTCACAGAGATCGTATTAGAGAGAACAAAATGCTGAAACTAAAGGTCTGACTACAAAGGCAGTTCTTTCTATTTCACCACACTATTGATCCTATGAAGCAGAAGTCAAAATTTTAAAATGTCATCAGAGGGTTGTATCCCCATTGAAGTAGCTGGTTACATAAACCACCAAGGTTTCTTTTTGTTTGTTTGTTTTTTGAGATGGGGTCTTGCCCTGCTGCCTAGGCTGGAGTGCAGTGGCACAATCATGACTCACTGTAGCCTCAGTCTTCCCAGGCTCAAGCAATCCTCCCACATCAGCCTCCGGAGCAGCTGGGACTACAGGTATGTGCAACTGCGCCCACCTAATTTTATTTTTTGTAGAGACAAGGTCTCACTATGTTGCCCAAACTGGTCTCAAACTCCTAGACTCAAGGAATCCTCCTACCTCAGCCTCCCAAAGTGCTGTGATTACAGGCATGAGCCACAACCACACCCAGTACCCATCCTGATTTTTTTTTTTTTTGAGACCGAGTCTTGCTCTGTCGCCCAGGCTGGAGTGCAGTAGCGCGATCTCGGCTCACTGCAAGCTCCGCCTCCTGGGTTCACGCCATTCTCCTGCCTCAGCCTCCAGAGTAGCTGGGACTACATGTGCCCGCCACCACGCCCGGCTAATTTTTTGTATTTTTAGTAGAGACAGGGTTTCACCATGTTAGCCAGGATGGTCTCGATCTCCTGACCTCGTGATCCACCTGCCTCAGCCTGCCAAAGTGCTGGGATTACAGGCGTGAGCCACCGCACCTGGCCCCATCCTGATTTTTAAGGAAACTTCAACACGAGTTCTTCCAGTCCCTTTTAAATGATGGACACTGTCAAGAAGTAAATTTCACCTAATAACTGGTTTATCCAGAAAGAAAACTGACTCCTCATTCAAATGGCATTATATTAAACCAGAATAATCTCCTTACCTTGACACAATGGTTTTTGTAAATGTAAAAAAAAAAAAAAATCACACAGAGGTATTCTGATTCATCCAAGGACATTTTCTATATTAGCCTAGTAACATATAGAATAAAGTAATATACAAGAAAACTTAGGGGTAGACAGGTATATATTCAGCCACATGCTTCTCAATAAGAAAAATGATTTATCTACTGTAAGAAAAAGTAACCTTATAGTAAAAAACAGCAGCAGAATATTACTTGTAATAGATGTTAAATATTTAGTGTCTCTGTTAGTTCTATATACAGTTATACCTAATCATGTTAAGTGTAGAGATTTAGCCTCATAAATATTTCTATAACAGAATATAACCTATATTTCTTAATACACAAGGCAAATGTAAATAAAACAAAGATTTGCTGGTCTAAATACCCAATTCTTTAAAAGTAAACCAAAATTTTCCCATATAAATTTTCCTTTGGAGAACACAGGAATAAATCCCATCTGATGAAGGAAATTATCAAAAGAATACACATTGATCTAACATGTCTGGCTCAGTTTGCCTATTATAAACAATTCTGGTCTCTGGACATGAAAAACTAATAATTTTCAGCCACTTGTTTTATTACATCTAAGTCTCAATTATTCACAACTAAAAAAGATAGAATAATGACATTTTACAATGTCCCAAACACATGAATCAATCATACAGCAGGTGGAAAAAATGCTAGAAAAGATAACATTTGTGTCAGCTTTACCTCTCTCTCACAGGAGTCTCAACAGTGTAAACCTTAATTCGTATATCTTGACTGCCCAGAGCCTTCCAGAGAAAAGGATCATATTGTCTTTTTAAAAAATCTCAATTGTCAATAACTGAAGGAAAGCAAGCATAGCTTTCCAAAACAACTGAGTCCAGATATTTTTTCCATTGTTGCTGTCAATTACTTTTCTAATTTCTAATTATAATTCTAATAAAAACTTCAGCATAACTAAGAAAGACAAACTAAAACTACTCAGGAATTTTCATGCAAAACTTCCAATTATGTGTCCTAAACTCTTTTACTCCAACATGAGTTCACAAACTCTGACAGATGTTTTATAACCCTGTTTAAATATTTAGTCAGTAAAAGGATAAAATTTTTAAAAAACAGAATGATTTCATTCTTTTCAAAAACCAGGGTGGTCTATGGGCAATTTTGGTACTAGCAGTGTTGCCGGGGGAACAAAATGAAAACAGGTGTCATCAAATTCAAATTAAAGATTTACTTCTATTTTAAACCACCTTAAACAATGTTTCCATAAACTTTCTAACTGATACTACTATAAATTTGACAATATTTTATAACAAGAAAAGGATTATAAATTGTCTGTAGACCATCAAATTTTAACTGTAACAAATTTTGACTGATTGGCAACACTTCCTTTTAAAAAACTTTTTTCATTAAATATGCAGCATCATTTTAAAAATTGAATGTATAAAAGGCAAGTCAAAATAAGAAAAGAGAGCAAGTATAGACTCTGATAGTCTTTTCTGAAAGATTTTACTTTGTTTTGAGCCTATGCTGTTTTAAAAATAAAAAACGAAGTACAAAACAAATGTTAAATTCACAACATATAAGGAAAAAGTGATACAATTAGTAACATGACAATCATAACTTTTCCTCATAAACTTAATTGAACTACAATCTTCAATGTTAAAAAAATCCATTAATTTTTGTGTCTTATTTTGGTAATGAAAAGAGTATAAATACTTGGTTTCTACCATTAAATAGCACTTATTTTTACTCTTAAAAGAGATGATGAAGCAAGTGACTCACCATATAAAAGTTAATCAATGCTTAAAAATACATTAGAGTATTAGACACTTTCTCAGTTGTTTAATACAGTTTCAGTGACAAAATACACTTACTTTTGTTAAAAGCTTTAATTAAGAAATGAACATATAAGAAATTTTTAAATAGGTAATATTGCAGATTGGTTATGTTCTTCTTAATAAAACTGTTTAAGATTCTTTCAGAATGGATTAAATACTTACCCAGTGAGGATTCTAGATACAGGTAAGATGAGGTGTACATTCTTCAGTATTATTAATTTAAACAGAATTAATTTCTCTTTGTATTAGTTTTGACAGGTGAAAACTTCTTAAACTTTTAGGGGCATTTAATCTTGCACTGAGGAGAGTCCTTTTATCTTGACTGTGAATAATCAAATTCCATTGTCATTTCAAATCTTTCAGACAGTTCAAAGTTTTATTTTTAGCAGTGCTTCAGGGAGGCACAAGTTGGTTCACTAGTGTGGAATCATAACTTACAGTCAGCTCCACCAGTTGGATTATTTCCAATATTTATTAGTTTCATCAACTAGTTTTCAAAAAAGCTTAAAGTTTCAGTATTAATAGATAAATGTCTTTGAAACTAATATTTCTAGCTTAAAGTTTCCATTAAATTGTATTTATAAAAATAATACAAAATCTTTTTTCAGATTACTACATGTATTTTAATAGTAAAAGAAAAATATACAGCATTATATAATGTTGAACAATATAAAACTTCCTTTACAGTTAGTTTAAAATAATCTCACTTGCATATAATTATAAAATTACTATACTCATCTATTGCTTACTTTGAAAGTGATTAATCAAAGTCAGAGAAAGCCAACCATCAACTGAAGTGTGTTACAAATTTCCTTCTCAGAGGCACATCAAAAAAAGATGAGTCAATTCTACTTTAATTAAAACCTTGTTTAAGAATATGAAATAAGTGTTTTCTGTATAATTCCAATTATATTTCAATTGTGTTCAGCTTTCAAACTGCCTCTGCTACTTGATTACACGTGCCAAATTAATCTTGTCTTTTTTTTTTTTTTTTTTTTGAGATGGAGTCTTGCTCTCGCTCTGTTGCCCAGGTTGGAGTGCAATGGTGTAATCTCAGCTCACTGCAACCTCCGTCTCCTGGCTCCAAGCAATTCTCCTGCCTCAGCCTCCTGAGTAGCTGGGATTACAGGCACGCACCACCACACCTGGCTAATTTTTGTATTCTTACTAGAGATGTGGTTTCATCATATTGATCAGGCTGGTCTCGAACTCCTGACATCATGATCCACCCACCTCGGCCTCCCAAAGTGCTGGGATTACAGGCGTGAGCCACTGCGCCCGGCCCATTAATCTTATCTTTTAAATCATATCAACAGTTCTAAAAAAAGACTTGGATTTTTTATTGTTCTAGTGGGTATTGTTCTAGAAGCAAGACTCCTCTAATTGATCATAACACCAAGCCTACCCCTTAGCTGACAGTTCAGATGTGTGTTTTTGGTTGGTTCAAATACAGGAAGACACCCTTTGTATACATTTGACTAATTAGTCAAAGAATAAGAAGGCAGGGGAAAGAAATTTATCTAAAATATTTTTTGACTAATACATAGCAGTCTTCCAAAAATTCAAAGTGGAATTTTTAGAGAAACTACATGTTCTAACATGTTCTCTTAGGGTGCTTCATACAGATCGTCAAGGAAGTATCCCAAAAAAAATCAATGAACACCCGGAATACAGGGTCTTCAACAGAATCAAGCAACATGTTACACAACTGAGGGTAACAAAGTATCAGTCCCTACAACACTTGTGTCAAACAAATCTGTTTCTCCTTTCACCTTACTTACCTCCTTTCTCCTACCCTGTTCTATGTATGGCCTAGCCCTTCGAAGATACCCAAACACAGGAAAGATTAAAGATCCCTTTCAAACGATAGAAGATCTCTTTCACACGATAGATGATAAAATGAAGAGATGTTCAGAAGGCTGTAGCTGCTAGCATTCTTCCACCATAAGCTTCTCCACCTATATCTGTAGTAGATAACTGTACTTTTAGATAACTTTTCAACCCTTTTGAAGGGTTTCAGGTTAACAAATATTTGAAAATTAGTACTCACAACACTGTATATAAAAATGAATAGAGGCCAGGTGCAGTAGCTCATGCCTGTAAATCCCAGCACTTTGGGAGGCCAAGGCAAGTGGATTGCTTGAGTCCAAGAGTTCGAGACCAGCCTGGGCAACATGGTGAAACCCCATCTCTACAAAAAATAGAAATATTAGCTAGGCGTGGTGGTGTGTGCCTATAGTACCAGCTACTCCAGAGGCTGAGGCGAGCAGGTGCCCAGGCTCGAGGGGTTGCAGTGAACCGTGATCGCACCACTGCTCTCCAGCCTGGGTTACAGAGTGGGGCCTCATCTCAAAAAAAGAAAAAAAATGAAAGAAGTATGGACTCAGGAAAGAAGTACTGACACATGATAAGCAATAATCTAGATGCAAATAAAAATCATTAGATTTAATATAACATCTTTAGGCTCAAATGGAAGCTCACTAAATATTAAGTCAATCAACACTGATAGAGGCAGGAAGCAGAAAAATCCTAGTCAGACAGGGTGAAACCCCACCTTCAAGTCAAAAACAGCCTGAAACCCATGACCCAGAGAGAGAACTTCTATTTCTGTTTGCCTGCTCTTTCCCAACTGGTTCTTTCTGAATAATGCTTTTTAACCAATCAAATGTTGCCTTTTCCAATACTACCTGTGGCCCATGGGCCCCCCCGATCCTGTGCCCATAAAAACCCCAGATCCAGCCACACTGAGGGAGATGACCCAACTTCGAGTGAGAGACCACCTTCCTGTCCCCTCTCTAGACTGAGAGCTGCTTCATCACTCAATAAAATTCTCTGTCCTCATCACCCTTCAATTGTCAGTGAGACCTCATTCTTCTTGGACATGGGACAAGAACTCGGGACCCACTGAATGTGGGGGCTGAGTGTGCAGTTGTGGCAGCTGTGGGATCCACACTGGAGTGCAAGCCAGATGCGGCCTGGCAGGCTGAGTAAATGGGGCACCTGCTCCTGCGAGCCCAGCAAAGGGGCCAAGAAAAATCCTGCATCAACACTATTTAAATGTTAAAGGAAAAGTCAATATAAGTAACATGTATAACACACTAAAAATATATTAATGATAAGGCAAAATGAAATTAGAGAATGTATAATAAAGCTCTGTGGGATAAGAACCTTCTCTTATAACATTCTGTCAATGGCTGAACTTCCAGAAACATTACCTATGAAATTAAGGACAGCCTTTGTAAATAGAAGGGCTAACTCCTTACATGGAGACTTACCACCCAGAACTATTGTCTGAATCCATCTGAGGGGGAAAAAACCCATTTCCATGGTAAGGAACAAAGCAGAGACAAAGTTCATTACAGCTACATACAAATGGAAATGCCATAAATTACATAAAAGCTCATACAACAAAGAAACTAGCAACTTGGTTATTTGTATACATAGAAAGACAGCAGGAAATAAAATATTTTATATTATATGAAAACAAAATGCTTAAGAACTCACTGACACAGTTATTTGACAAATATGCTGAGGTTTTTGTATATAAATTTTTTAGTTTGGGGTTTTTTTTTGTTTTTTGTTTTTTTGGGACAGGGTCTCTCGCTCTGTCACCCAGGCTAGAGTGCAGTGGTGTAATCATGGCTCACTGCAGCCTCGACCTCCTGAGCTCAAAAGTTCTTCCCACCTCAGCTTCCAGAGTAGCTGGGACCATAGGCACATACCACCACACTTGGCTACTTTTTAAAAAATCTTTTGTAGATAACAGTGATATGGTTTGGTTCTGTATCCCCACCCAAATCTTACCTTGAATTGTAATAATCCTCAGGTATCAAGGGTGGGACCAGGTGGAGATAACTGAATCACAGGGGCAGTTTCCCCCTGCTGTTCTCATGATAGTAAGTGAGTCCTCATGAGATGTGATGGTTTTATAAAGGGCTTCCCCCTTTGCTTGCCACTCATTCTCTCTCCTGCCACCCTGTGAAGAGGTGCCTTCCACCATGATTATAAGTTTCCTCAGGCCTTCTCAGCCATGTGGAACTGTGCATCAATTAAACCTCTTTTCTTTACAAATTACTCAGTCTCGGGTATTTCTTCATAGCACCATGAGAATGAACTAACACAGACAGGGTCTCTCAAACTTGCCCAGGCTGGTCTTGAACTCCTGGGCTCAAGTGATCCCCCAACCTCAGCCTCCCAAATATGTAGACCCAGCACTTTGGAAGGCTGAGACATGGTGGGCGGTGGGTGTGGGGGGTTAGGGGGTTAGGGGGTGTGATTGGTGGGGGTGTTGTGCCAAGGGGCTTGAGGTCTCAAAGAGCTACGATCCCGCCACTGCACTCCAGCCTGGGCAACAGAGAGAAACCTTGTATGGGAAAGAAAGAATTTTTGTTTTGTTTTGTTTTACAGCTTTGGGAAAGATCTTTTCTATAGAATCATATATCTGATATTACAATAAAATTATGACTCAAAAATTTGTTTTACATAAAATCTCTCATCTACATGTCCTCAAGCTAATTACTTAAACAACATCACCATCTCTTCCACAGGCACTAGCACATTTAGAAAAGAAAGAGGTTTGGGTTTTGTTTTTTTCCTGTACTCAAAGTTCAGCTAAGTAAAGAAACAATTATTTCCCAAAGGTTTCAAAGCAATTGCCTCAGTAAATCAAAAGAATGCTTTCCTATTAGCAAAGCCATATAATTTAAGAGTAAAGGGTTAAGATGATTTAATTTTCTCAAAGAAAAAAGTGAAAAGTTAGGTGGCTATACAGTTAATGACCAGAATTCTGGAAAACTGCCAAATTCAGGCACATTCTAACCATCAAGTTATTACTATTTAGTGGAGGTCGGGGGCAGTCACTAAGAACTTTTTATGCAGGTTTAAATTTTACATACAGAGAAGCCATATAATTATTGTGAAATACTTCAAGGGATTCAAGAAGAAGCTATGACAGTTTGCTGTGTTTCTTTAAAAAAAAATGCACATTTACTGACTTTGAGTGGTATTTAGTTCCAAAAATATCAAAAATATCAGAAAGATAATGTCTATATTTAATATTTGGTATTACATATTTTGGTTATGGCTTCTAAACTTTCTCATAGCCCAGGCACTCAGCTATTCAACCTAAATTTTTCCAGTTGCCTCAATGTTATATAATTCCCTTTTCAATTTTGTTCAGTCATACTTAGGATCTACTTTATACAAGGATGAATAAAACACTATTTTACATCTAGGTCATAAGACCAGGATATAAAGTCCAGTGTCTGGGTTCTAATCCTGGTTCTACCAATTACTAGTTCTTTATTCTCTCTATACCTTACTTTGATCATCTGTAAGCTGTAGATATAGTACTAACACCCACAAAATAGGGTTTGATGTGAGAATCAAATAAGTTAGTATACAAAAAATACTCAGAACACAACCATATAAAGGAATAAAATGCGTGCTACAACATAAATGAACCTCAAAAACATTAAGCTAAGTGAAAGAAGCCAGACACAAAAGTCACATATTGCATGATTCCATTTAGATAAAATATATAAATCCATAAAGACAGAATGCAAACTGGTGGTTGCCAGGATCGGAGGGGTGGGGAGGGGCAGGTGGGATGGTGGAGAATGGGGATAAAATGCTTAACAAGTACCGGGTTGTATTTTGGAGTGAAAGAAATGTTTTAGAACTAGATAAGAGTTCTGAAGGCCACTGAACTGTTCACTTTAGAATGGTTAATTATATGTTATATGAAATTCATCTCAATAATTTCAAATTTTAAAAAAAGAAATAAAAAACAATTTATTAACACCATCCAAAAAAATACTTAGAACAATAGCAGTGATACAAAATGAGTTCAGTAAATGTACACTGTAATAATTATCAATGCCACATAAACTGGTAAATATGTAGAATACTATGCTACATTCCAAAGATTAAAATAAATATACATAGGTTTGGAGTTTATGTTTTCTTTTAAGTACTCATTTTAACAATTTATTTCTCCTAAATTCAGCATGAAATTATGTAATTCATCTACAAGGAACTCTCGCTTCCTCCAAAAGAGACACTCAGAGAGAAAATACATATGAAAAATGGAAACTAAAAATTTATTTTGTACATTTACTGCTATATGTCATCCAAGTTATGTTATTTTAACATACAGTGCTTATGTGTTAAACTATCTGGGAAATAAAGAGATGACATGCATGAAGAAAATATACACAAAAGGACAACCAAAGAATTATTTTGTAAATTTAACCCCACAAATTATAAATATTATATTGTTACATTCAGTTGTTTAAACAATATATAAAATACCACTAAAAGACTCATACACATATTTATAAACTCAATGAAATGTTCAATTTGTGATGAATCAGAAAAAAATGAGAAAACATCTTCATAATGGGATACAAAAATGGAATTTAGAACTGGATCAGCCTGGGGAAAGCAAATTTTAAAAAGACAAAATCATAGGGCTAGATTTGTGGATATGAGAAATCAATGAATTCATTTTTGAGGCAAAAAAAGGTCAAAGTAAAAAAGCATTCTATATATCAAACTTAACACATTTATACTATAGTTTAAAGAATATGTCAACAAATGAAGAGATCACAGTTCCCAAATAATTATAGCAGCCAAAAGGTCAAGTCTAAAAACCCTTCACTTCAAATAAAAAGCTACTAGGAGAGACTATGAGGTACTTTCTACTAATATCTCAGAAGAAAACTCATGAAATATTCAAAAGCAAGAGAATAATTCGTATCTTCCGTTTCTTTGCCTCACATATTTGTTTTACTATTAGAAGAAGGCTGTTTTTTTGTTTTCTTTGTCATGACTAATGTTTATCTTATAAATTTCTATTAAATGTGTTACCAAAAGTTCCTGTCGGGAATGGTAACTACATTTCACATACACATTTATAAACAACAAAAGAGAAAACTGTCATTAATTTTAATATGGAATTAAATTATTAGAATAAACTTTCAAACATATGTTGACCAGTCAAAGAATTGTGGCATGATGCATGTAGCCTTCACTGTTTCAAAAGCACAGAGTTTAGGTCAAGCTCCTTAAAACAGCCAAATGTTTTAACAAGTAAAGAAAAATATACATAAAGTGCTTCATGAATAAAAGTAGTTCAAATGAACAAGGCTTGTGGAAAATAAAGCACTGTACAGATTTTATATCAAACATGCCAAGAATGTTAATAACACTACACTACACTATATATGAGAAAGAACTCTCCAACTACAAGAATTGTTATATTAAAAATATACATGTTATCTTTTTCTGTTAACATCTTTAAACAAATAAGTCAGCTAGCTTCCTGAAATGATGTAAATGTGATTCAACCTAAAGATGTGATTTTCTTGCACGTCATGAGTTCCATAAATCTTTGAATACAAATATTATGCATTTTATATGCCATCTTATCTGTATGTCTATAAAAAAAATGGCTGAGCTATGGAAAAACAGTATGGTGGTTCCTCAAAAAAGTAAGCATGAAATTATCATATGATCCAGCAATTCCACTTCTGGGTATATACCTAAAAGAATTAAAAGCAGGGACTCGGGCTGGGCGTGGTGGCTCATGCCTGTAATCTCAGCACTTTGGGAGGCCGAGGTGGGTGGATCACGAGGTCAGGAGATCGAGACCATCCTGGCCAACACGGTGAAACCCCCTCTCTACTAAAAATAACAAAAAACTAGCCAGACGTGGTGGCGGGCAGCCTGTAGTCCCAGCTACTCGGGAGGCTGAGGCAGGAGAATGGTGTGAACCCGGGAGGCGGAGCTTGCAGTGAGCCGATATTGCACCACTGCATTCCAGCTTGGGTGACAGAGCGAGACTCTGTCTCAAAAAAGAAAAAAAAAAGCAGGGACTCAAACAGAATATTTGTGTGTCCACATTCATAGCACGATTCACAAGAGCCAAAAGGTGGAAACAATCGAAGTTTCCATCAATAGATGCACAGATAAACAAAATGATGTGTACGCATAAATGAAATACTATTCAGCCATAAAAAGGATATGAAATTCTGACAGTTACTACAAGATGAATGAACCTTGAATACATTGTGCTATATGAAAGCAGCCAGACAGAAAAGGACAAATATTTCTTGATTCCACTTACATGAGGTACCCAGAATAGTCAGATTTATAGAAACAGAAAATACAATAGTTCTAACTTGAAGCTAGAGGAGAAAGTAGTAGGAAGTAACTGTTTTAACAGGCATGGAGTTTCAGTTTGGGATGATGAAAAGTTCTAGAGATGAATAGTGGTGATGTTGCAGAGTAATACGAAAGTATTTAATGCCACTTAAAAACAGTTAAATGGGGCGGGGCGCGGTGGCTCACGCCTGTAGTCCCAGCACCTTGGGATCACCCGAGGTCAGGAGTTAGAGACCATCCAGCCCAATCAACATGGTGAAACCCAGTCTCTACTACATATACAAAAATTAGCCAGGAGTGGTGGCACATGACTGTAATCCCAGCTACCTGGGAGGCTGAGGCAGGAGAATCGCTTGAACCTGAGAGGCAGAGGTTGCAGTGAGCTAAGATCATGCCATTGCACTCCAGCCTGGGGAACAAGAGTGAAACTCTATCTTTAAAAAAAAAAAAAAAGTTAAACGGTAAATTTTGTTAAGTGTATTTTGCCACAATAAAAAAGTAAAAAAAAATAAGTTCTGTGTATGGATGGTAGTGACGGCTGTACAACAGTGTAAATGTGTATATAACATCTCTGAATTGTACACTTAAAAATGTTAAAATGGTGAATTTATGCTTATTTCCACAATATTTTTAAAAGCTGGTTAAGGTCTTTCAGTAATTAGCTTCACTCTAAATTATTTTTAAGGCAGATCAGAATATAGTTGCTCAGAGGCTTCTAAATACTTTGTAAGCAACTGAACCACCACTACAGCTAACCAGCACCCCTAAACCAATTATTGCCTAGCAAAGTATTACTGCCTTTCAACCCACTGGCCCTGCCTAAGTCTGGCAACCATATAAAATGCTTGATACTGCTTCTGCATTAATAAGCAGTGAGCTCTTCAAATGTAACACTTGATGTCCAGGGCAGGAGCAGGTTATAGACATAGTATGCTTAAATCTACTTTCCCCATGGTTGATGACTAGACTTAAATCCTCAGTCACATTCCCTGCTACCTGACTGGGGCCTTGTTTCATTATCTGTCGCCCTTGGCCCTACTCCTTACATCTTTAATCCTCTCCTCTGGGTCCTACATCTCATTCTAAAATCAGACTAAGTCTCCTCATGCCATTAAAATCTTCCCTGGACTCTCAAACCTTCAAATCTCACCGCACCCCCACCCCCCGCCCCCACCGCCACCCAACTTACTCCTCTTCTTGGCTACCGAACTTCATTTCTGGATCCCCCAGGAATTGACTTCAGCCTGCTACTTGACTGAATTACACTCCTGAAAGTTAACCATGACCTCCAATCTGATAACCTATTATTCATACTACCCAAACTAAAGGCAAAAAAGAAGAAAGAAGAAGAAAGACAAAGGAGGAAGAGGAAGGAAGAAGGAAGAAGGAAGGAGAAGGAGACGGAGATGGAGATGGAGACAGAGAAGAGGACAAACATTTGTAAAAGGTCATCAATCACAACCTCCTTAAAACTATTTTCTCCCTTGGCTGAAACTCTCCTAATTCTTCTCTTACTCTCTGGTCTCTTTTATCTCCTTCCACCAAATCTCCAAATATGGGTACTTGTCATTCTGCCTTCACCCTTTTTCTTCCCTCTCCTAGGAATTTTTCAGAACTTTTCTTCTCAAAACTTCGCAAAACATTTGAAAATGTTTTTTACATTTTATATGAATACCATCAGCACAAGAGGTTGCAGAAGGAGTCAGGTAGTTGGAGAACAATTCTGCCTACCCCAGTAACTAAGAAGCTGGCAACAGAAGTATGCTTCCCTACTGCACATGTATATATCAGTGTCCAAGGTTAAGAAAACCACATTTGTATTTTTTGGCAGGTACAATACATTTTAAATGAAAAAAACATTTAGAATGTTTTCTTTTCAAAATGATTGTACTGATAGAAGGAAGTATCTAACAATCTGTTCATTATTAATTGCATGTTTTCTGATATGGTTAATTATTTAGGCTTGATGTAATCACTCAGCTGGTTAAGACTGCTTACTGATACAAAGTTAAAGATAGGATGTACAAATGCAATTAAATATCAGTTTCTTAAGGTTAAAAAAAATAATAATTTCCTCCAATAGAGAGTTCTTAACATTCTATGTGGAAATAAAATTTGTAGAAAAGAAACAGAAAAATGAAATCCATAGAGAATTGATATGCTACACCTTAAATTAAAACTTATCATCAGAATACTTAAATTCTTAAAAAGTATAATTTATGATATTTAATAAATAATTTATGAGTATGAAAAATTAAAACCATGGACTTTTTTAAACTTTAGGATTAATGACTAGTAATGGCTTCTTTGCATAAGTTGCTTCCTTTCGCCTTAAACAAAGAAACCATACATTTTAAAGTTTTATCATAAAAACAGAATGTATATGAAATTATTTCACTTTAGCAATTTTTAAAGTATTTTAAGGCTCAAAAACTTAAGGATATGGGAAAGTGATCAAGATGTAGTGATAGAGGAAAAAAAGAAAGTTATAAAACAATGTAATCTCATGATTCCAATTTTGGTTAAAAACCAGTATGTACTAATGGGCACAGTAGATACACAAAGTACACAGAAGCCCATATATCAAAATGTTAATGGTAAATCTTGAGGTAGTACAAGTATTTTTATTTTCTTCCTTATACTTTGTTTTCTTCCTTTATACCTTTATTCCTTTCTATAGCAAACATGCATCACATTTACAGTTGAGTTTTGTGGAAGAATAAACTCTATATTTCATTCCATTTCTGCCTTCCTGCTTATATTTTGATAGACTAGGAAAGGACCATCTTTCAAAGCTGTGCAGAGTAACTCTTTAGCATTGTCAGTGCTCTCATATACCTAATCCATCAGCAAATCCTGTTAATCCACTTACAAAATATAACAGAATTCAACTACTCACTATTTTCACTGCTTCTTCAAGAGAAGTCACCGTCATCTCTCGGTTTATGCAAAAGTCTCCTAACTAGTCTATGTAATTCCACCCTTACCACCTTTCTGGCTCTAATGTCACTCCTCTACTTAGAAATTCTGTGACTTCTCATCTCATTCAGAATAAAAGTCTAAGCACTGATTGTGACCTTCTAGGCTCTATGATCTGGACCAGGAATCACCATGCACACTCCCACTTCAGCACCACAGAACTTGCAGTAAGTTGGCTCTGCCTAGATATTCTACATCCAGATACCCTCATTTTCTTCAGCTTTTTATTCCAGTATCATCTTCTCAATGAGGCCTTCACTGGCAATCCAACACAACACATCAACCACTCCACCCTACCCTTGAAATTTCCTATCTTGTTTCCCTGTTTTATTTTTTCTACTCTAGCACTTATGACTATCTAAGACACATGATGTATTTATTTATTTTTGATATTATCTCCCTCCCTCAGTAGAATATAAACTCAATAAAGAGAAATTTTTACCTTTGTTTTTCCTGCTGCTGCATCCCTAGTACCTAGAATAGTCCCAAGCACATGGTAGGTACTCAATATATATCTACTGAATAAATGGATAAATGCATTCCAGTGAATCCACAAGCTTAAACCCACAGCTTCTCAGTTACAGTAATAGTTGGCTCAATGAATGTCATGAAATGATAGCAACACATTTATTCATATTCTGAGAATCAATGACTTTCTAAGTGACTTTGCATAGGGCAAGAGAGCTGAAGAACAGCTATAGTAAACAATAATGTAGACATATTTTCTCAAGCCTAAAAGGGAGCATCTAGGATCTTAGCTTCAAAATTTATGAATAAAATTATGACTTGATTTGGTATAACAAAGGTAAGGTACCCTGAGATCATATTGCTGTTATTGTTGGTACTAAAAAGTAAGCAAAACTGTCTAAAATCATATTGTTACTCTTCTAACTTTTCCATTAGAATATTCAATACCAGTCTGTGAAACTGGATATATAACTTTCCTTATGCAAACAAAAAACTAGCTGAATATCATACTACTATGCACCTGAGTATCTGTTATCTGAAAGATCTTTGGATCTTTTATAAACATCAATCAATGCTGTGCAGACAGAGCTAAGAGGGAAAGGCAATTAGATACTGTGAAAAAATGGAGGCAATCAGAAGAAATACAGTCCATGGTGGCAGTGACAGAGCTAAGCAGGAGGTATGGATAATCTGGGTAAGTGCCATGGAAAAATAAATATCATGATTGAACTTGAGGCAAATGGAAACAGTTCAAATTGGCTTCATACACTACTCTGTGGAACATATGATGTCCATATGTCCATTACCAACAAACTGAAACATGGAAAATAACAAAAGCCGATGCTATGATGGCTATAAGAACACACCCAATGCCAGTCTCTACCACACCGCAGCAGCATAACTTACTACAGCTGCCAGGTAAGTTGGCTAAGAAGTCAGAAGCAATAAGAAAAAAAGGAGAAAGAACTAACTATAAACTGTTCTCTTTCCCTACAGAAGACAAAGTTGGGATCTATACTAGAAAGTAGAATGTAGCAACGATAAAGGCTGAAAGTAAAGCACAATTTTTTCTCTGTAGACAGTTTCTAAAAGTATAAACTACTTTGGAATTAAAGAAGGCAACATTTTATCCAAAACTACAAACGATTTAAGATCCAGAGAACTAAATAAAATAACAGAGGAATAAGATGGAATAACTTCCAAATAAAAAATTATAAATATGACCTTTCAAGTTTTGAAATACATAATAGAGTATAAAAAGAAACTGAACAAAAGATGTGGTGGGAATCCATTATGTTTTACATCAGTTTTAATTAGTCTACCAAATTTTCCTTCTATAGTTTCTAACCCCACCTTTCTTTTTTTTTTTTTTTTTTGGTGTTGTTGTTGTTTTGAGATGGAGTCTCACTCTGTCACCCAGGGTGGAGTGCAGTGGCATGATCTCGGCTCACTGCAACCTCCGCCTTCTGGGTTCAAGCAACTCTCCTGCCTCAGCCTCCCAAGTAGCTGGGACTACAGGCGCGTGCCACCACACACGGCTAATTTTTGTATTTTTAGTGGAGACAGGGTTTCACCATGTTGGTCAGGCTGGTCTCGAACTCCTGACCTTGTGATCCAACCACCTCGACCTCCCAAAGTGCTGGGATTACAGGCGTGAGCCACTGCACCCGGCCTCTAACCTCCACCTTTCTATACTCTCTAACCCCCAAAGCGATTCATCTTCAAGATACAATAAGAGTTGACATAAAAGAAGTAGAGCTTAACTTAGGCAAGTATCATGAAGGACCAATTTACACAGCAAAGCCAAAACTGTAAAAAAAAATAAAAATATAAATTTTTTAATAATGTTTAAGTGTTAAAGCCTATCTGGTGGTCCTGACCTTTTCAACCAATCAAAACCAGGCCAGTCAGATGAACTGTATAAAAATAATATGTACAACTACTACATATCCATAATACTTAAAATGAATGTTTAAGAAAATAATCTCAGCACTTATTCAGAAATATACTAGTGTCACTCAAACTATACAGTAATGAAATTCAGCAGCTAAAAATATATAACTATTTTACAGTAAATATCAATGTCATTCCTGTTTCAACCTGACTTCCCATTCTACCCCTAAACTCCCAAACTTGAAACCAACTACAATTTCTTGAGTAGCTGGAGTGTGGTTTAGGAAAGGAAGCTATGCTTGTTTGTATGGAATCTGCCATTTCCTCCCTGCCAAAACACTTGTTTAAAAAGTCATGTAATATTTCTATTAAATTGTAAATGCAGTCGACAAGGAAATGGCCTACTAGCAGTGTATTACCTTTGTGGCAGTGCCAACGGGCCTACAGCAAAATAGTGCACATGATAATTTCAACATGCATTCCCAAGTAACAAAATTGTGCTTTACATAAATACCACAGAACCTGAGCAAGATCCAGAAAAAGCAATGAAAATCTGCCCAAGCTTTCATGCTTGCCTATATCAATTGTATGTCATAAGTAAAGCAAAATAGAAAAGCATCTACATATGTTCAAGAAGCTTGTGAAGTTAGATCATATAACCCTGGGAAAACTATTGCAGCTTAAATCTGTGTATTTCTTGTTAACCACTGTAACAACTCACTAATAAAAATGAAGAAAAACCATGGATATCAAATGAACCAAAATGTACTAACTACATACAAGTCCTTAAAGATCATGATGCAACTTATTAACAGGAACATATTTTCAGTGTAAGCCACAATTGTTATGTTAAATTACTTCTTTCTTTGATATCATTCATTTGATTACAGAATGTAAGAGATTCACGAGCATTCCAATTAAAATGGTGACCTTCAGTTTATAAGTCACTTACCGAAATGCTTACAAAGTCACCGCTAATCATTTATTTCTTACCTTGCATTGCATAGCACAACTACATTTAATTATGCAAATTAAATGATCCCAGATGTAATAAAGATGGTTCTATTCATGTGAAAGTTATACTTAAAACCAAGTTAACAAAATTAAATAATTAATCTGTAATTAATATAGTCTTCTAGGACAGCTGAATTCTATTCTACAGCAATTTAACTAAAATGCATATTTATTTTATAAGTCAGGTATGACTTGTCTTTCTTTTTAAAAATATCAATCGACACATAATTTCAAAATTTAAACCTGATAGAGACACCATTTCCTCCAAAAATGTAAATTTTTAAGTGTTATACACATGAAATTAGAGTAAATACCTGCCCTCAGTATACCTCCTTCCACCTTCCTACCCTATGCACACCTAGCTATTTATGTCTCCTAAAATAAATGCTAGCTTAAATCTCTGGCACAAATAGTTACTATTACTGGCTTAGAATAAAATAAAACTTACTATGACCAACAGAGTAAGTCCACACAATTGCTTTTAAGATATATATCTTCAATAATGCTTAATGGTTGTCTGTTAAAACAGTTTTCATCCCCAATTAGCAAACCAAAGCTACTATATCCTGAGGCCAAAATTAAGGGTGCCCACTACTGATTTTTCTGATCTCTAATAAGGAACAGGAACTAAAGTGCCAAAAAATAAATAAATAATATAAATTATATCAATTTAAAATTTAAATGTTAAATAAATAAATTGTGCTAAGTAAAAGTTTGAAAGGCAAGCTGTGAGGGATGACAGCTCTTTCAAGTTGGATTTGATTAGCATTTAATTACTTTCACTTTTTAATTTATTTCATTGATTCTTATGCTAAGTTGTAAGTACAACACTTATTATTTTAAGAAAGAAAAATCTGAGCTTACCAGATTTCAGTATTAACACCACAGAAGTATCTTTGAGATAGGAAAGGAAATAAGCACATATTCAACAAAAATATTTATTGGATATTCTTATGTTAGAATCTGCTAGATTCATTTAGACACACAAAGATGAAACATACTTGAATTTAAAACTTAGATTTAGTAGGGAAATACGACAACTATATCAAAATAACTATGATAATACACAGTAAGTTTAAAAGTGCCATAAGAAAATTATAGATAAGGTGATATGAGAATTCAAAGAAAGAAAAGATTTTTTAAATCAGTGGGATGAGGAACTTCTAACAATAATTAGACTTATCTAAAACTAAGCTTTCCAGAAGTAGAAAGATTACGGGAGGAAGACATCATAATCTACATTTGGTTCCAGGTTGAAATGCAGAACTGTAATATGCTATGATAAAGAAAATAGTAAACAAAACACTACCCTAAATACACAATGTAACAAGATACACTCTTGAGGGTCACTGATATTAAGAACCACAGTTCTCAGTTATTTTCGATCAAGGAATCCTTGTTTCAAGGAGTTATTATTTTCATTTGATGGAAAACTATGAACTATCTTACCAGAAAAATACATATCTGCACAAACATCAATATTTAAGTGCAATTTCATAAGATGTGCTGACTGAATTCTCTGCCCCAGAAACAGCTCATTCTACCCTCTTGTGAATCATGGTTTCCATTACTGGGCTAGTATGCAGTATAGGGGAAAATGAAGAAGTAAAAAATAACTGTTTTTCATCATTAGAAAAGATAAAATGTATCACAGTCCTAATAGGCTCATTATTTTCATATTGCTTCCAGTAGAGGCTGCAGAAGACATCTCAGCAGCCATAAGCAAGAACTTAAAAGTTTTCAGCAATCTCCCCTGGCTAGCAATAAACTGTCAATAAGCAGGTTCAGGCACAGAAACAGTAATTCCTTTGGGTACTGTGTAACGTCCCAATACCTCCCATCCTACTGAATGTCCTACAACAAAATCAGGTGATGAAAAACAACTGCTCGATCCTTCCACAGCTCAAAGTTCCTTAAGTAACAATAGTAAATATTAAACGGGCATCCTCTGTAAGAACCTGAACTAATTTATAGTCTCAATATGTTACTTCAAAAGCAACTTCATAAAGCTAGTTCATATTTCTACAGTACTTAGTATTTTACATGTATTGTTCATATACACTATCCCTTTTGATCTTCAAAAAGAACTCTGTGAAGTAGATGGATGAGGGTCCATTATAACTAATTCAGAGATAACAAAATTGATTCAAGCCTCACAAGTCTCAAACATCAGGTCACACCATTATTACGTAGCAACAATAGAAGCATTCGGACTTTGTTAGAATTTGGATTTCCAACACCTGGTTCAGTAATTATTGCTCTATAGATTCAAGTTGCAAATCATTACTGGGTCATAAAATCAATGTAATGGATTTGGACCACACATTTTTTAACGAAAAGATGAAACAGAATAGAATACTGTGATAGAACAGAAGTCAGAGTGAATCACAAATAAGGAAAATAAGTATGGTTTCATGTATATTTTGTTTCACTTATGTGTGTGTGTGTGTCTGTACACATGTGCATAATGGATCACACTGTGAAAATATTTCTACCATGGACCACAATTTTAAAAGTCTGAAATGTAAATGTCATCTTTCAATCATTAATAAATCAATTTAACTCATCTCCTTTAAATTCTCCCACACAAATACAGAGAAATATTGCATTTGTCAGTATCCCACATTAAAATCCTAAAAAGATGAAATGTAGTATAATTCTTTCTCAGTAAGTATTACTCTAAGCAATACTTAATGGAAACACGTCTCCAAAACTATAATTCATATTTATATAATTTGTATGTCAGTAGGAAAATGATAATTATTTCCTCAATATTACCAAACTAATCATGTGTACAGAGCACTTGGCAATACCAACAGCAAGGTTAGAATACAGACGAAGAGTAGGAATGCCTCTTTCCTGTGTAAGTATCAGGGGTGACCCCAGCAGGCTTAATCTAGAGAAGTTGAGACCTGTTTATTCTCTTCACTTGTTCATGTCTTAAAGAATAATAACTCTGACAAGACAAAAATATGTTGAAACTGTCACTGTAATAAACCTTAATCCCCAGTTTAGGGTCTAGGATGCCTTATACCACCACCACCCTTCAATGTGTATCAGGACCACAAAGCAGAGAACTCTTAACTTTCAAATGGAGTAAAAATCCATGTCTTGGAAGCAGTACTGAAATTCCCTGATGATCCCATTTCTCCCACTCCTCTGGATCCTTGGATGATGTGAAAGTACGGTTAATAGAATCAAGGTATCACCTAAAATAGGCAAAAAAATAGGGAAGAGAAAGGAAAGGAAACCAAAGGTAGAGAGGGGGGTGAGGGGAGAGTATTCACCTACACACCCTGTCAGGAAACAAAAAAATGAAAAGACAACAGTAGGAAGAAAAGAAAAAAAGGAAGATAAGGGCAGGTTCAAGGGAGAAATGCAAGTAAAGTATGTAATGACAAAATAATAAAATTTTTATCTACAACCATATGATCTTATGTAATTTGAGATAATATATACATATAACTGAATAAACGTTTTACAGTGTATAGCTTCCTATTCTAATCAACAAAACTCTTATCTACCCTTTCCTATTAAATAAAACAGAAATCTAAATGATTCTAACATTAAAATGCTAGTTATCACTGAACTATAAATTCCAAAAGAACAGTGAACATGTCTGCTGTGCTTACTACTACTTCCTAACAGCTCAAGTGGTACCTGATAAGTGTGCACCAAGTATCTACAGAAGGAAATAAAGGAAAGGGAAAGGGAGTAAAAGAATACAGAAGGCACTCTAGATGACATTTAATTTCTCTGACACAAAACAACCAATTTGGGAGAGAAGAGATACTGTCCAACTGGTCCCAAAGCCAAATTTATTGCCTTTATGTTAGAATATGCATTTCTTGCATTAACAATATTAAATCAAAAATAATTTAATATTAATGATTAAATTTAGTATTGACGAAAACATGGGACTGTCCCATCATGAGAAGATACACATTTACATGGCAGAAAATTTCAAGAGTGTCATTCTCGTTGCTAAAAGATTCATTAAAAATTATTTGTACTCCAAAAGGTCCCACTAGCTCCCAAGCAATTACTCCTAACCAGAATGAAATGTATGAAATAACAGATACAGAATTCAGAATATGGATGGCAAAGAAACTCAACAAGATCCAAGAGAAAGTTGAAATCCAACACAAAGGAAACAGAAAAATAATCTAAGATTTGAAAGACGGCACAGTTATTTTAAGGAAGAACCAAACAGAACCTCTGGAACTGAAAAATTTACTAGAGGAATCTCAAAATACAGTTGGAAGCCTTAACAACAGACTAAACCAAGCAAAAGAAAGAATTTCAGAGATTGAAGATCAGTTCTTCAAATCAACCCAGTCAGATAAAAATAAAAATAATTTTTAAAAATGAAAAAAGCCTTCAAGAAATATGAGATTATATAAAATGACCAAATATGTGACTTACTGGCATTCCTGAGAGAGAAGAGAAAGTGAGCAACTTGGAAAACATATTTGAAGATAGATATAATTCAGAAAAAATTCCACAATCTTGCTAGAGGGATCAACATGCAGATACAAGAAATCCAGATAACTCCTACAAGATACTACACAAAATGACTATTCCCAGGGTACACAGTCATCAGACCATCCAAGGTCACCCAAAAGAAAAAACCTTAAAGGCAGCTAGAGAAAAGTGTCATATGACCTGTAAAGCAGCAGTCTCCAAACTTTTTGGCGCAAGGAACCGGTTTCGTGGACGACAAGTTTTCCATAGATAGGGTTGGAGGGGGTGGTTTAGGGATGAAACTGTTCCACCTCAGTTCATCAGGCATTAGTTAGAGTCTCATGAGGACTACACAACCTAGATCCCTTGCACGTGCAGTTCACAAAAGGGTTCACGCTCCTAAGAGAATCCAATGTCAGTGCTGATCTGACAGGAGGCGGAGCTTAGGCTGTAATTCTTGATCGCCCACCGCCCACCTCCAGCTGTGTGACCCGGTTCCTAACAGTTCATGGACCGGTACCAGTCTGTGGCCCAGGAGTTGGGGGACCCCTGTTCTAAAGGGAAACCCATCAGACTAACAGTAGACTTCTCAGCACAAATCCTACAAACCAGACAAGATTAGGGGCCAATTTTGAGCATTCTTAAAAGAAATGCCAGCCAAGAATTTCATATCTTGCCAAACTAAGCTTCATAAATGAAGGAAAAATAATGTATTTCCCAGACAAGCAATTACTAAGCAAATTCATCACTGCCAGACCAGCCCTACAAGAGATGCTTAAGGGAGGTCTAAACATGGAAACAAAAGAATGACATTTACTAACACAAAAGCACACGTAAAGCACATAACCCACAGACTCTATAAAGCAACTATACAATCGAGACTACAAAGCAACTAGCTAACAACCCTGTGATGGGAACAAAACCTCACATATCAATATTAACCTTGAATATAAAGGGCCTAAATGGCCCACTTAAAAGACATAGAGTGGCAAACTGGAAAAAACAAACAAAATCCCTCTTTCTCTTATCTGCAAAAGAACCATCTCACAAGTAACAACACCCATAGACTCATAGTAAATGAATGGAGAAAGATCAGTTAAACAGAAAACAAAGAAAAGCAGAGGTCTTATATTAGATAAAATAGACTTTAAACAAACGACTGTAAAAAAGGACAAAAAAGAGCATTATATAATTTTTAAAGGGTTCAGTTATACAAGAAGACTTAACTATCCTTAAATATATACACACTCAACACTGGAGCACCCAGATTTATGAAAACAATTACTTTTAGACCTAAGAAAAGATGTTGACAGCCACACAATAACAGTGGGAGACTTCAACAACCCACTGACAGCATTAGACTGATTATCAAGGCAGAAAACTAACAAAGAAATTCTGGACTTAAATTTAATGCTTGACCAACTGAACCTGATAGACATCTACAGAATACTCTACCAAACAACCACAGAATATACATTCTTCTCATATGTACATAGAACATACTCAAAGACTGACCACCTGCTCAGTCATAAAGGAAGTCTCAATAAATTCAAAAAAATCAAAATCATACCAAGCATCTTTTCAGACCACAATGGAATAAAAATAGAAACCAACACCAAGAGGAACTCTCAAAACCACATAAATACATGAAAACTAAACAACGTGCTCCTGAATGACTTTTGGGTAAACAATGAAATTAAGGCATAAATAAAAAAGTTCTTTGAAAAAAATGAAAACAGAGACACAACATACCAAAACCTCTGGGATACGGCAAAAGCAGTGTTAAGAGGAAAGTTTAGAATGCTAAATGCCTACATCAAGAAAATGGATCTCAAATTAACAATCTAACCTCACACCTAAAGGAACAAGAAAAAACTAAACCCAAAGCTAGGAGAAGAAAATAAATAAGTAAAGTCAGAGTAGAACTAAATGAAATTGAGAACAAAAAACCATACAAAAGATCAATGAAACAAAAAATTGGTTTTTTGAAAGGATGAATGAAACTGACAGACTGCTAGCTAGATTAAAAAAGGAAAGAGAGAAGATCCAAATAGGCACAATCAGAAATAACAAAGGTGACATCACAACGAAGCCCACAGAAATACAGCAGATGTTCAGAGGCTACTATGAACATTTCAGTACATACAAAGTAGAAAATCTAGAGGAAATTGATTAATTCCTGAAAACACAAAACCTCCAAGATTGAACTAGGAAGAAACAGAAATCCTGAACAGACCAACAAGTAACAAGATTCAATCAGAAATTACACACCTACCAATGAACAAAATCCCCCAAAGAGAGAGATTCACAGCTGAATTCTACCAGTCCTAATAAAACTATTACAAAAAATCGAAGAGGAGGGCCTCCTCCCTAACTCATTCCACAAAACCAGTATCATCCTGATATCAAAATCTGGCAAAGACATAACAAAAAAAGAAAATTACAGGCCAATATCCCTAATGAACATAAGACCCAAAATTCCTCCACAAAATATTAGCACACTGAGCTAGGTGGAATGGCTCACATCTATAATCCCAGCACTTGGGGAGGCTGAGGCAGAAGGATCACTGGAGCTCAGGAGTTTGACACCAGCCTGGGACATATATTGAGATCCCATCTCTCCAAAAAAAATTTTTTAATTAGCCAGGTACAGTGGCACATGCTTATAGTCCTAGCTACTCAGGAGGCTGAGATGGGAAGATCACCTGAGCCTGTGAGGTCAAGGCTGCAGTGAGCCATGACTGCACCACTGCACCCCAGCCTGGATGACAAAGTAAGCCTGTCTCAAGAAAAAAAAATTTATATATATGAGCAAACCAAATCCAGCAGCACATCAAAAAATTAATTCACCACCATCAAGTGGGCTTTATTCCTAGGATGCAAGGATGATTCAACATATGCAAGTCAGTAAATGTGATTTACCACATAAGGAGAATTAAAAACAAAAACCATATAATCATCTCAATAGACACAGAAAAGGCTTTTGACAAAATCCTATACTCCTTCATTATAAAAATCCACAACAAACTTGACATCAAAGGAACATACCTTAACATAATAAGAGGTATCTATTACAAACTCACGGCCAACATCATACTGAATGGGCAAAAGCCAGATGCATTCCCTTAAGAACTGGACCAAGACAAAGATGTCCACTCTTACCATTCCTATCCATTATGTCACTGGAAGCCCTAGCCAGAGCAATAAGGCAAGAGAAAGAAGTAAAAGACATATAAATAGGAAAAAAAGAAGTCAAATTATCTCTCTTCACTGACAATATAATTGTATACTAGAAAATCCTAAAGATTCTGTCAAGACTCCTAGGCCTGATAAATGATTTCAGCAAAGTCTCAGGATATAAAGTCAATGTACAAAAATCAGTAGCACTTCTATACGCTAATAATGTTCAAGCTGAGAGCCAAGTCAAGAATGCAATGCCATTTACAATTCCTACCAAAAAAAAAAAAAAAACAACCTAGGAATACACCTAACCAAGGAGGTGAAGGATCTCCACAAGGAGAACTACAAAAGACTACTAAAAGATAGCAGAGACGACACAAACAAATAGAAGAGCATTCCACGTTCCCAGGTTGGAAGAATCAATATTGTTAAAATGGTCATACTGCCCAAAGCAATCTACAGATTCAATGCTATTCCTATCAAACTACCATCATCATTTTTCACAGAATTAGAAAAAAACTATTCCAAAATTTATATGGAACCAAAAAGGAGCCTAAATAGCCAAGGCAATTCTAAGCAAAAAGAACAAAGCCAGAGACATCAATTTACCTGACTTCAAACTATACTACATGGTACTGTAACCAAAACAGCAAGGTACTGGTACAAAAATAGACACACAGACCAATGGAACAGAATAGAGGCATAAAAAAATAATGGGATCATGTCCTTTGCAGGAATGTGGATGCAGCTGGAGGCCATAGTCCTAAGCAAACTAACACAGAAACAGAAAACCAAACACTGCATGTTCTTACTTATAAGTGGGGGCTGACTACTGGGTTCACACAGACATAAAGATGGAAACAACAGACGCTAGGAACTCTAAAAGGAAGGAAGGAGTGGAGAGGACAAGGGCTGAAAAACTTCCTATCGGATACTATGTTCACTATCTGGGTGACAGGATCAGCAGAAGCCCAAACCTCAGTACCATGCAATATACCCTTGTAACAAACCTGCACATGTACCCTAAAATAAAAATGGAAACTTAAATAATACAAACTGTGAAAAAATATTTTTAAAAAATAATTTCCAAAGAATATGAAATGCTGATTTACAATTATTAAATATTTACACAACTTCTTCAGAACACACCTATTGCATAATGCAAAGTACATATATATGATTTAATAAAAATAATCCTCTACTTGGTAGACAACTAAGTCATTTGCATAGAAACAGTGAAAAGCATTCTGATTGAAAGATCTCTCAATATAGTGATTACAAAGAAGACATACAAAGGGACTCAGACTGTGTATTATAATTGGGGTGGAGAAAGTGATATGGGGACAACTGGAAAGACAATAAACAGGCAGTAAAAAGTTAAAGGAGTAGGACACCTTCACCAGCATAGAAACAACAAGCAGGTCAGTACTAGAGAGAGGTTAAACAAAAAGCCCAATTTAAAAATGGGCAAAGCAGCACCGGGCGCAGTGGCTCAAAACCTGTAATCCCAACACTTTGGGAAGCCAAGGTGGGTGAATCAAAAGGTCAAGAGATCGAGACCATCCTGGCAAACATGGTGAAACCCCGTCTCTACTAAAAATACAAAAATTAGCTGGGCGTGGTGGCGCGCATCTGTAATCCCAGCTACTCGGGAGGCTGAGGCAGGAGAATCGCTTGAACCTGGGAGGTGGAGGTTGCAGTGAGCCGAGATCATGCCACTACACTCTAGCCTGGGTGACAGAGCAAAACTCCGCCTCAAAAAAAAAAAAAAAATGGGCAAATGAATTGAATAGACAGTTCCCAAAAGATATACATAATGGATAATGGACAATAAGCATATGAAAAGATGTTCAATATCACTAGTCATCAGAGAAATGCAGATCAAAATCACAATGAGATGCCACTTCACTCCCATTACTATGGCCATTAGCAAAGAAAAACAACAGAAAATAACAAGTGCTAGCAGGAACGTGAAGAAACTGGAACTCTTGTACATTGGTGGTAGGAATGTAAAATGGTACAGCTGCTGTGGAAAACAGTATGGAGGTTCCTCAAAAAATAAAACACTCTTGAATTGATGATTGTGGATCCAGTTCATGGTAGCATTATTCACAAAAGCCAAAAGGAGGAAGAAACCCAAGTACCCATCAACAAATGAATGAATAAACAAAATATGCTATATACATACAAAGAAATATTATTCAGGCTTTAAAAGGAAGCAAATTCTGACACATTCTATGACTTGTATAAATTATTGAAAACATTAGGCTACATAAAACACACACACACACAAAAGAACAAATATTGTTTGATTCTACTTATATGAAATATTTAGAACAGTCAAACTCATAGAGACAGGAAGTAGAATACTGGTTGCGAGGGGTTGGAGCAAGAGGATATGGAGAATTATTGTTTAATGGGTACAGGGTTTCAGTTTGAGATAATTAAAAAATTTCTAGAAATAGTGGTAATGATTGCACAATAATGTAAATGTACTTTATGGCAATGAATTGTATAGAGTACTTTAAAATGGTTAAAATGATAAATTTTATGTTATATATTACTCATTAATCCTAATTATAATCTTAAATTATGTAATTATACTTATACTATATAAATGTTAATCTTAAATTATACATAATTATTAATCTTAAATTTTCTTTCTCTATTTGAAAGAAGAGAACATATTATGGGGAGTGTAGTGAGTTGAAAAATGGCCATCCTCAGAAGATATGTCCACATCCTAATCTCTGAAACCTCTAAATGTTACACAATTTGGGGGGGAAAAATACAATTTATGCAGATATAATTAAGTTAAGAATCTTGAAAGCAGAAGATCATCCTGGATCATCTGAGTGGGCCCTAAATCCAATGACAAGTGCCCTTATAAGAGAAAGGCAGAGAGAAATTTGAGGTAGATAGACAAAAAAGAAGACACAGGGCTGGGTGCAGTGGCTCACACCTGTAATCCCAGCACTTTGGGAGGCCAAGGCAGACAGACTGCTTAAGCTCAGGAGTTCGAGACCAGACTGGGCAACATGGTGAACCCCATCTCCACAAAAAAAATATAAGATTTAGCCAGCCATGGTAGCTTGTGCCTGTAGTCCCAGCTACTTGCGGGGCTGAGGCGGGAGGATTGCTTGAGCCCAGGAATTCGAGGCTGCAATGAGCCATGTTCACGCCACTCCAGCCTGGGTGACAAAGCAAGACCCTGTGAAAGAAGAAAGAAGATGATGATGATGACACAGACACTCAGAGGAAAATGCAATATGGAGATGTAGGCAGAGATTAGAGTAAGACAACTACAATCTAAGGAAAACAGGATTGCAGGCAGCCACCAAGAGCTGGAAAAAGTGAAAAATAGATTATCCTGTAGAGCCCCTTGAGGGAGTACAGTCCTGCCAACACTTTGATTTCAGACTTCTGGTTTCCCAGGCTAAATGAAGATACTCCTCTATGCCATTCACCACTGTGTTAAATCCTTGCAAGGAATCTTCCAACAGGTGGTGTCAGACAAACACAGGTGCACATACACTAAGACATCCAAGGTATCTACAAATACCTACACAGCAGGGACTGGGAGATGGAAGGTGTGTTAAGTGTGTTGGGTGTGGTATTACTCAAGTCTCACCACTACAGAGAATCAGTTTTCCAGAATTTCTCAAGCAAATTTTATTATTAATTGAGCAGGAAAGGAGGACATGGATGCTTTTCTCTTTTTTGGTGTTGGGTTTTTTTAAATATTAAAAAACGGTTAACTAAGTGTTCACTCTTCACATGTGGACATAACCACATTTTTTGTCTCTTTTTTTAAAATCCTTTCTTTGTGAAAAAAGTAGTGCCATGGGATTTCCAATGGGAGAGAGCTACTGTGTTTTACTTTTTGATATGCACTATAAAGAATGATCTTCTAACCCATGTCTGTTTTTACGCTGCCTATACTAAAGCATTTGTTGCATCTATTTAAATGCTATGTTTCTCCAAAAAGGGAGGTGGAAGCCAGTTGGAAAATATGGTGGGTTAAGGAAAAGACTCTTCAGGAAAGGATAGCATTATTTTTGAAAACATCATTCATCAAAAATGACTCCTTATGTTTGAAAATATCTGCAGGGCTCCTTTATTTGTAAGTAGGTAGTGTAAGGACACAGAGATAGAGACCTTTTTTTAGGCTAAAATAATTCTTTTTTTTTCATACTTTAAGTTTTAGGGTACATGTGCACAATGTGCAGGTTAGTTACATATGTATACATGTGCCATGCGGGTGTGCTGCACCCATTAACTCGTCATTTAGCATTAAGTATATCTCCTAATGCTATCCCTCCCCACTCCCCGCACCCCAGAACAGTCCCCAGAGTGTGATGTTCCCCTTCCTTTGTCCATATGTTCTCATTGTTCAATTCCCATCTATGAGTGAGAACATGTGGTGTTTGGTTTCTTGTTCTTGCGATAGTTTACTGAGAATCATGATTTCCAACTTCATCCATGTCCCTACAAAGAACATGAACTCATCATTTTTTATGGCTGCATATCATTCCATGGTGTATATGTGCCACATTTTCTTAATCCAGTCTATCATTGTTGGACATTTGGGTTGGTTCCAAGTCTTTGCTATTGTGAATAGTGCCACAATAAACATACGTGTGCATGTGTCTTTATAGTAGCATGATTTATAGTCCTTTGGGTATATACCCAGTAATGGGATGGCTGGGTCAAATGGTATTTCTAGTCCTAGATCCCTGAAGAATCGCCACACTGACTTCCACAATGGTTGAACTAGTTTACAGTCCCATCAACAGTGCAAAAGTGTTCCTATTTCTCCACATCCTCTCCAGCACCTGTTGTTTCCTGACTTTTTAATGATTGCCATTCTAACTGGTGTGAGATGGTGTCTCATTGTGGTTTTGGTTTGCATTTCTCTGATGGCCAGTGATGGTGAGCATTTTTTCATGTGTTCTTTGGTTGCATAAATGTCTTCTCTGAGAAGTGTCTGTTCATGTCCTTCGCCCACTTTTTGATGGGGTTGTTTTTTTCTTGTAAATTTGTTTGAGTTCATTGTAGATTCTGGATATTAGCCCTTTGTCAGATGAGTAGATTGCAAAAATTTCCTCCCATTGTGTAGGCTGCCTGTTCACTCTGATGGTAGTTTCTTCTGCTGTGCAGAAGCTCTTTAGTTTAATTAGATCCCATTTGTCAATTTTGGCTTTTGTTGCCATTGCTTTTGGTGTTTTAGACATGAAGTCCTTGCCCATGCCTATGTCCTGAATGGTAATGCCTAGGTTTTCTTCTAGGATTTTTATGGTTTTAGGTCTAACGTTTAAGTCTTTAATCCATCTTGAATTAATTTTTGTATAAGTTGTAAGGAAGGGATACAGTTTCAGCTTTCTACATATGGCTAGCCAGTTTTCCCAGCACCATTTATTAAATAGGGAATCCTTTCCCCATTGCTTGTTTTTCTCAGGTTTCTCAAAGATCAGATAGTTGTAGATATGAAGCATTATTTCTGAGGGCTCTGCTCTGTTCCATTGATCTATATCTCTGTTTTGGTACCAGTACCATGCTGTTTTGGTACCAGTACCATGCTGTTTTGGTTACTGTAGCCTTGTAGTTTGAAGTCAGGTAGTGTGATGCCTCCAGCTTTGTTCTTTTGGGTTAGGATTGACTCGGCAATGCGGGCTCTTTTTGGGTTCCATATGAACTTTAAAATAGTTTTTTCCAATTCTGTGAAGAAAGTCATTGGTAGCTTGATGGGGATGGCATTGAATCTATAAATTACCTTGGGCAGTATGGCCATTTTCACGATATTGATTCTTCCTACCCATGAGCATGGAATGTTCTTCCATTTGTTTGTATCCTCTTTTATTTCATTGAGCAGTGGTTTGTAGTTCTCCTTGAAGAGGTCCTTCATGTCCCTTGTAAGTTGGATTCCCAGGTATTTTATTCTCTTTGAAGCAATTGTGAATGGGAGTTCACTCATGATTTGGCTGTCTGTTATTGGTGTATAAGAATGCTTGTGATTTTTGCACATTGATTTTGTATCCTGAGACTTTGCTGAAGTTGTTTATCAGCTAAGGGAGATTTTGGGCTGAGACAATGGGGTTTTCTAGATATACAATCATGTCATCTGCAAACAGGGACAATTTGACTTCCTCTTTTCCTAATTGAATACCCTTTATTTCCTTCTCCTGCCTAATTGCCCTGGCCAGAACTTCCAACACTATGTTGAATAGGAGTGGTGAGAGAGGGCATCCCTGTCTTGTGCCAGTTTTCAAAGGGAATGCTTCCAGTTTTTGCCCATTCAGTATGATATTGGCTGTGGGTTTGTCATAGATAGCTCTTATTATTTTGAGATACGTCCCATCAATACCTAATTTATGGAGAGTTTTTAGCATGAAGCATTGTTGAATTTTGTCAAAGGCCTTTTCTGCATCTATTGAGATAATCATGTGGTTTTTGTCTTTCGTTCTGTTTACATGCTGGATTACATTTATTGATTTGCATATATTGAACCAGTCTTGCATCCCAGGGATGAAGCCCACTTGATCATGGTGGATAAGCTTTTTGATGTGCTGCTGGATTCGTTTTGCCAGTATTTTATTGAGGATTTTTGCATCAATGTTCATCAAGGATATTGGTCTAAAATTCTCTTTTTTGGTTGTGTCTCTGTCAGGCTTTGGTATCAGGATGACGCTGGCCTCATAAAATGAGTTAGGGAGGATTCCCTCTTTTTCTATTGATTGGAATAGTTTCAGAAGGAATGGTACCAATTCCTCCTTGTACCTCTGGTAGAATTCGGCTGTGAATCCATCTGGTCCTGGACTCTTTTTGGTTGGTAAGCTATTGACTATTGCCACAATTTCAGAGCCTGCTATTGGTCTATTCAGAGATTCAACTTCTTCCTGGTTTAATCTTGGGAGGGTGTATGTGTCGAGGAATTTATCCATTTCTTCTAGATTTTCTAGTTTATTTGCATAGAGGTGTTTGTAGTATTCTCTGATGGTAGTTTGTATTTCTGTGGGATTGGTGGTGATTTCACCTTTATCATTTTTTATTGTGTCTATTTGATTCTTCTCTCTTTTCTTCTTTATTAGTCTTGCTAGCGGTCTATCAATTTTGTTGATCCTTTCAGAAAACCAGCTCCTGGATTCATTAATTTTTTGAAGGGTTTTTTGTGTCTCTATTTCCTTCAGTTCTACTCTGATTTTAGTTACTTCTTGCCTTCTGCTAGCTTTTGAATGTGTTTGCTCTTGCTTTTCTAGTTCTTTTAACTGTGATGTTAGGGTGTCAATTTTGGATCTTTCCTGCTTTCTCTTGTGGGCATTTAATGCTATAAATTTCACTCTACACACTGCTTTGAATGTGTCCCAGAGATTCTTGTATATTGTGTCTTTGCTATCATTGGTTTCAAAGAACATCCTTATTTCTGCCTTCATTTTGTTATGTACCCAGTAGTCATTCAGGAGCAGGTTGTTCAGTTTCCATGTAGTTGAGTGGTTTTGAGTGAGTTTCTTAATCCTGAGTTCTAGTTTGATTGCACTGTAGTTTGAGAGACAGTTTGTTATAATTTCTGTTCTTTTACATTTGCTGAGGAGAGCTTTACTTCCTGTTCCAAAATGTGGTCAATTTTGGAACAGGTGTGGTGCGGTGCTGAAAAGAATGTATATTCTGTTGATTTGGGGTGGAGAGTTCTGTAGATGTCTATTAGGTCTGCTTGGTGCACAGCTGAGTTCAATTCCTGGATATCCTTGCTAACTTTCTGTCTGGTTGATCTGTCTAATGTTGACAGTGGGGTGTTAAAGTCTCCCATTATTATTGTGTGGGAGTCTAAGTCTCTATGTAGGTCACTCAGGACTTGCTTTATGAATCTGGGTGCTCCTGTATTGGGTGCATATATATTTAAGACAGTTAGCTCTTCTTGTTGAATTGATCCCTTCACCATTATGTAATGGCCTTCTTTGTCTCTTTTGATCTTTGTTGGTTTAAAGTCTGTTTTATCAGAGACTAGGATTGCAACCCCTGCCTTTTTTTGTTTTCCATTTGCTTGGTAGATCTTCCTCCATCCTTTTATTTTGAGCCTATGTGTGTCTCTGCACGTGAGATGGGTTTCCTGAATACAGCACACTGATGGGTCTTGACTCTTTATCCAATTTGCCAGTCTGTGTCTTTTAATTGGAGCATTTAGTCCATTTACATTTAAAGTTAATATTGTTATGTGTGAATTTGATCCTGTCATTTTGATGTTAGCTGGTTATTTTGCTCGTTAGTTGATACAGTTTCTTCCTAGCCTCGATGGTCTTTACAATTTGGCATGATTTTGCAGTGGCTGGTACCGGTTGTTCCTTTCCATGTTTAGTGCTTCCTTCAGGAGCTCTTTTAGGGCAGGCCTGGTGGTGACAAAATCACTCAGCATTTGCTTATCTGCAAAGTATTTTATTTCTCCTTCACTTATGAAGCTTAGTTTGGCTGGATATGAAATTCTGGGTTGAAAATTCTTTTCTTTAAGAATGTTGAATATTGGCCCCCACTGTCTTCTGGCTTGTAGAGTTTCTGCTGAGAGATCAGCTGTTAGTCTGATGGGCTTCCCTTTGTGGGTAACCCGACCTTTCTCTCTGGCTGCCCTTAACATTTTTTCCTTCATTTCAACTTTGGTGAATCTGACAATTATGTGTCTTGGAGTTGCTCTTCTCGAGGAGTATCTTTGTGGCATTCTCTGTATTTCCTGAATCTGAATGTTGGCCTGCCTTGCTAGATTGGGGAAGTTCTCCTGGATAATATCCTGCAGAGTGTTTTCCAACTTGGTTCCATTCTCCCCGTCACTTTCAGGTACACAGTGAGATGAAGATCTGGTCTTTTCACATAGTCCCATATTTCTTGGAGGCTTTGTTCATTTCTTTTTGTTCTTTTTCTCTAAACTTCCCTTCTCGCTTCATTTCATTCATTTCGTCTTCCATCACTGATACCCTTTCTTCCAGTTGATCGCATCGGCTCCTGAGGCTTCTGCATTCTTCACGTAGTTCTCGAGCCTTGGCTTTCAGCTCCATCAGCTCCTTTAAGCACTTCTCTGTATTGGTTATTCTAGTTATACATTCTTCTAAATTTTTTTCAAAGTTTTCAACTTCTTTGCCTTTGGTTTGAATTTCCTCCTGTAGCTTGGAGTAGTTTGATCGTCTGAAGCCTTCTTCTCTCAACTCGTCAAAGTCATTCTCCGTCCAGCTTTGTTCCATTGCTGGTGAGGAGCTGCGTTCCTTTGGAGGAGGAGAGGCACTCTGCTTTTTAGAGTTTCCAGTTTTTCTGCTCTGTTTTTTCCCCATCTTTGTGGTTTTATCTACTTTTGGTCTTTGATGATGGTGATGTACAGATGGGTTTTTGGTGTGGATGTCCTTTCTGTTTGTTAGTTTTCCTTCTAACAGACAGGACCCTCAGCTGCAGGTGTGTTGGAGTTTGCTAGAGGTCCACTCCAGACTCGGTTTGCCTGGGTACCAGCAGCGGTGGCTGCAGAACAGCGGATTTTCATGAACCGCGAATGCTGCTGTCTGATCGTTCCTCTGGAAGTTTTGTCTCAGAGGAGTACCCGGCCGTGTGAGGTGTCAGTCTGCCCCTACTTGGGGGTGCCTCCCAGTTAGGCTGCTCCGGGGTCAGGGGTCAGGGACCCACTTGAGGAGGCAGTCTGCCCATTCTCAGATCTCCAGCTGCGTGCTGGGAGAACCACTGCTCTCTTCAAAGCTGTCAGACAGGGACATTTAAGTCTGCAGAGGTTACTGCTGTCTTTTTGTTTGTCTGTGCCCTGCCTCCAGAGGTGAAGCCTACAGAGGCAGGCAGGCCTCCTTGAGCTGTGGTGGGCTCTACCCAGTTGGAGCTTCCCGGCTGCTTTGTTTACCTAAGCAAGCTTGGGTAATGGCGGGCGCCCCTCCCCCAGCCTCGCTGCCGCCTTGCAGTTTGATCTCAGACTGCTGTCCTAGCAATCAGCGAGACTCCGTGGGCGTAGGACCCTCTGATCCAAGTGCGGGATATAATCTCCTGGTGAGCCGTTTTTTAAGCCCCTCGGAAAAGCGCAGTATTAGGGTGGGAGCGACCCGATTTTCCAGGTGCCGTCTGTCACCCCTTTCTTTGACTAGGAAAGGGAACTCCCTGACCCTTTGCACTTCCCGAGTGAGGCAATGCCTCGCCCTGCTTCGGCTCGCGCACGGTGCACTGCATCCACTGTCCTGCGCCCACTGTCTGGCACTCCCTAGTGAGATGAACCCAGTACCTCAGATGGAAATGCAGAAATCACCCGTCTTCTGCGTCGCTCACGCTGGGAGCTGTAGACCAGAGCTGTTCCTATTCGGCCATCTTGGCTGCTTCCCCAATAAAATCAATAATTCTTAATTTACTCTTAAACAGAGATTGTCATGCTTTATGTGAGTTAAATTTCCAGAAAGTTGACAAGTGCCTCCAATTATCTCCTTAAATCACATTTGACATAAATCTTCCAAAATACACTATTTATTTACACATCTTTTTTTAAAGTTATAAACATTCAGTATTGCATTGCATAGAAGTAAAAATTCTTGGTTTGATTTCTATTTTCTTTCCTTTGCCTGATTCAAGAAATCATCAGGTACTTCTCCTGCTGTCCACAGAGTGATCCATACAGTTCTTTCCTTACCCCTTTCCCTATGCTGAACAACAGGTAAGCAAACACAAAGGGTTTTTACAGGTTACGCCTGTACTCCCAACTACTCAGGAGGCTGAGGCAGGATAATTGCTTGACCCAGGGAGGCGAAGATTGCAGTGAGCCTAGATGGCGCCACTGCACTCCAGCCTGGGTGACACAGCGAGAATCCATCAAGGAAAAAAATACAAAAATTTGCTGGGTGTAGTGGTGTGCACCTGTAGTTCCAGGTATTCGAGAGGCTGAGGTGGGAGGATTGCTTGAGCCTGGGAGGTTGAGGGCTGCAGTGAGCTGTGATTGTGCCACTGCACTCCTTCCTGCCTGGGTGACACAGTGAGACCCTGTCACATGGATGGAAGGAAGGGAGGGAGGGAGGGAGGGAAAAGAAAGGAAAGGAAAAAAGTAAAGAGAAAAGAAAAGAAAGAGGGAAGGAAGGACGGAAGGAAGGAAATGATACTATTTATTCATCTCCTGATTTAAAATATATACATATATATACATACTTCCTAAGGCTGAGTGCACTGGCTTACGCCTATAATCCCAGTACTTTGGGAGACCGAGGCAGGTGGATCACTTGAGGTCAGGAGTTCAAGATCAGTCTGGCCAACATGGTGAAACCCCGTCACTACTAAAAATACAAAAAATTAGCTTGGCATGGTGGTGCGCACTTGTAATCCCAGCTACTTGGGAGACTGAGCTGAGACAGGAGAATCGCTTGAAACCGGGAGGCAGAGGTTGCAGCAAGCCAAGACTGCCACCGTACTCCAGCCCAGACAACAGAGCGAGACTTTGTCTCAAAAAAAAATATATATATATATATATCTATACACACACATATATATACACACACACACTCACACACACACACTCTCTCTCTCTCACACTCACTTCCTAAAGGCCTGAGAAAAAGAGAAGACTGATCTCCTCAAAAGTATGTGGTTAACTGAATTCAAAACTAAATTTTTTTAACTATTCTATTTATCTAACTGATCAAAATTAATTTGGTGGTTTCATATTTAACTTTATAAAATAAACTGAGTTTTAATTTAAAAAAATTTGTTTCACTTAACATTCTGATTAGACTTACTCCCATTTGCCACTACTCACTAATTTTAATCTCATAGCTGAATATAAATTTATAAGCACTTTTATCCCTCTCCTGTTTAAAAGCTTTATATGTTTCAATGTGTACATCATCATTTCCCTTTACTAAACAGATAATCATTACTGTCTACCACAGTGAAGATTCGGTTTACATATACTACAAGTTTCTTTGGGGGGAAGAAAAAGTTGTATGGAAACTAACAAATTTGGTTAACTCCTTGCCATCAAACAAATCCAGTGTTTTTAATAGTTCTTCTTATTAGAAAATTTCTCCTTGAACATCTATATTCCAAATATTCCTTATTCTGCCCAGGAATGATAAAAGAAATAATCAATCTCTGACAAACTGATAAACTAAAGCATATAAAACAAATGACCTCAGACTTAACACCTTTGAAAGACCCATTCTCAAATAACTGCAAATTTCCAATTTAACCACTTTCATTTTCTAATTTAGTGCCATCTTTAAGTTCTTCGTATCCCTCAGACTATGACACCCTAAATATATGTCCTACAAAAACCTTAATCAGTGAAAAACAGTATTAATTTGTGGCCACTTAAGGAGAAGCAACTCCATTCTAAATTATCCAAGCTCAAGGCATCTCTTTTTGCCCCTAATTTTTGCTGGCCTAAGCAATACTACTTTACAAACAGGCCTGGTACCTAAACACGGTAAAAGGCTGAGAAAATGACTGGGAAACCAAATCCCAGTTCACTCAGTCTACAAGGCAGCACCACTGTTCTGGAGTGTTCCTAATTATATACAGCTAGTGGGCAGGCATAGTGGAAAGGGCTAGAACTCTGTGAGGATGAATGCAAGGCATTTCAGAAAGACTGGCTAGAATCCTCACTCCAATTAGGCAATACCACCAGTGGCTGGGCACCCCACTATAGATGGAGGCTGGGGAAACTCACCCACCACATCCTAACTTTGTCTCTAACTTTGTTCTAGATAGCCATGTATATGTAGTAAATTGTATCATTTACTTATATTAAAATAACTATCAGGTTTTTTGCCTGTTATCAGCTGTGGGGTCTTCATGTCAATCACATCTTTGTCTCATTGTGGCAACTTTGTAGATTATTGATTACCTCATTAGCCTATATGTCTACCAAAACATGGCTGGAAAACAAAACTTTAAAAATTGAAATCTTACCTAGGTTACCATATTTCCTGCTACTCTGGAAAACTTAGAGGGTTCAGATTTTAAATCAGTAATTATAATATTGTGATTACATGGTTTTAAAATGTCTTATTTTTGTTAGCCGCTCCTCCACTTGCACTGAGTTGGGATATTAACACAGAGGATATTTCTTTGGTGTCTAGGCAAAAACACAGAACAAACTGAGTTCATATCTCAGTTCTGCCACTGACAAGTTATGTCATCTTAAATAACATAATCTTATCCATTTCATCCAATCCACCCAATGGAGGATAAAATATTTATTTCACAAAATTACTACAGTACAAAAAAAAATGTTGGTAAAAAACTTCAATATTTCACTCACTTACCATAGTGTCATATCCTACCAGCTTTCTCATATCTTAACTACCACTTTATCTCCTCTCTAACCTCCTGAGATTCTGATTTAATCTGTTTAGGGTAGGGCTCCCCACATGACGGCTATGCAGCAAGCATGGAGAACACTACCTATTCTTTGATCACCCCATTTCCTTACACTCTCTCTTTTCTTTCCAGACTGTGCCCTGTTAGTAACCCCTTGAACTGTCTCTCAGCAGCATCCTTAAATTCCCTATAGCCCCATCCTTCTAAGACACTCATTCATTAAAACCCAAACCCTCCATATCAAGGCCATAATGCATTCTACTGCACAGCAGAGCACACTACCATAGGAAGGCCCACAAACCAGGATTAATTACACTATACTTTCCCAATTACCAATTTTAGCTGGGCCCTCAACAATTTTTCTCTCTTGGACAGCTCTTTCTTTCATTGCCCTCACTATACCCCCCACAAAACTACTGTAAACCTTGATGAAACAGTAAAGTTTATTAATTCTATTAAATTTCTACACTTGAATATGTATTTTTAATATTCTACATTGACAAAATGGAAAATATGCATAAAGCACTTCCCCACATATCAAAGAACAACAATAATCTGAAAAAAAGCAGTTGTGTGACTGAGCTGCAAGCTAAATAAACTACAAGGCTCTTTTCAAAGAACATCATTTTTACTTGAAGAATAACTAACAGAAAACTAAGGTTACACAGACTTGGGTATTTGACAGACATTTTCTCAAAAAGGAACCAAGTGAACCTGTCATTTCAAGGAAAACAAAAGGCAGTACTTGTTACCAGTGATAAAACTATCTGTTACATGATCTCAACAGCTTCCAATACTTGCAGTTCAATACTCTACTTTGTAAGACAGCTCACAAACACAAGAAAAGTTAAATAATGATATTATTTAAATAGGAAATAAACTATATTATGTTTGGAAATGCACGAGGCAACACTTGATTAACTGTCCAAAGAACTGGACTGTGAAGAAATTGCCTATATACAAAATATGAGGAAAAAGAGAAATTTACTTGGGCGATAGCTGTCAAGAATGGCTCTACACAGGCATAAAATCCAAGTTGGGACTTGAAAAACTGGTAGGATTTAGATTTAAAAAAAAAAAAACAGTGAGCAAGGCATCCTAGGAAGTTTGCAATACAGGTATATTTTTTTCTAAAAGAAATATTATTTTCAGGTATATTTTTAATAATGTATAATGTATTCATTCAAACTCTCAGGTAATATTAGAAGATCCTTAAAGGAAGAGGCCACATATTACAATTCTCTGCTATCTGAGCACAGGATCAAATTTAACATGTTGAACTATTTGGTTGGAAAAATAAGATTTACACAGGGAAGAAGCAGAATAGTAATAATGGAAGTCCTAAGTTAAATCCCAGCTCTTGTACTTACCTAGGTTGCCTTGGGTAATTTAGTAAACCTCACTGATTCAAACTCAAATACACCTACTTTGAGGATCACCCTACAAACATCCTAACTAAAAGAACCACAGATAACTAATGATCAGAGATGAAATAAGACTTTGTGTTCCTGTTTTTATGCTGACCTTGTTGTTTTTCAAGTTATTTTCAAACAATTGATGCATTTTTATCTTTCATTTACCAAAAGGAATTTATATACACCAGGAAGATGATACATATTGTATACAATTACATTACTCAAAGAACTCTAGGCTGGGCACACTGCTGTAATCCCAGCACTTTGGGAAGCTGAGGTGGGCGGATCGCTTGAGCCCAGAAGTTGGAGACCAGCCTGGGCAACATGGCGACACCTTGTCTCTACAAAAAATTAGTTGGGCATGGTGGTGCATACCTATAGTCCCAGCTACTCTGCAGGCTGAGGTGGGAGGATCACCTGAGCCCAGGAGGTCGAGGCTCGAGTGAGCCATGATCGCACTACTACAATCCAGGCTGGGTGACAGAGTGAGACCTTATCTCAAAAGAAAAAAAAAAAAAACTCTCTTTAAAATGTTTCAATACAGCAGACAGATTTTTAAATATTTTCTGTATAATACACTGTTACCTATATTATCGAAATTTAACCCACAATGGCATTATAATATCAGATGTAATTCCAATTTATTCTTCTTCAGATATTCTAAAATATCTGAATTTTTATGCATTCTTCCTCTTTCTATCTATTTACTTCACATTCCTCCAGCCACCATGATATTATCTTCTCTTTTCTACAAATACACACATACATACACTCCTCCCCTCATTCCTACATCCTTATTGAGATAACTACAGCCACTAGAGGGCAATAAGTATACAAAGATCAGTGTACCTATTTATGATGATGAACTTATCTATATGATTCACATAGTAATAAACCTAAAAAGTATATCATCACAAACCCTGAAACACAGGCAATTAGACTTGAATATGCAAAATATATATTTCAAACTCAAAAATTATCCTGCAGAGTTCACAGAAGCATATAATGATGTTCAAAAAAGGAATTCCATTTTCTCAGCATGCATTCATTAAAAAAAATTAGCCGAATTCCTTTATATGTGCATAGTAATATTAGAAATTAGGATTGCTTAATACCATCCTCAGACCAAAGAAGAGAAAAGGCAGAAAAAAAAAAACACACAGTAAGGTATAAATCACAGAGTGGGTAAAAAAGTGAGAAATGATTACTTCCAACTCTTTCACTACCACAATCAAGAAAACAATAAACTGAAGAGCAAAGAGGATTTACCAACCCTTTCTTCTATTGAAAAGCAAGCAAAAATTTTACAAGTATATTTTTGGGGGAGGAGAACAGTGATGGTAGAGATATACAAAGCCTTCAGTTCTTTTCTCACAATTAAGAATGCAGAAGGAAGAGAAGTTAACAGTTACTAATCTTTAAGAGGTAATTTTACCATTTTTAAAAAGAATACATTTAAATGAACTTATTTAGTTTATATTTACTTACATTGACATTACAAAACGGCAACACTTATATAAGGCTAACATTTTCAGCAAACCATAATTTTCTTACCCTCATTGGATGTATATCAGCATAAGGAGGTTTTCCTTCAGCCATTTCTATAGAAGTAATGCCAAGGGACCAGATGTCGGCCACACAGTTATAGCCTATTTCTTGAATCACCTCAGGAGCCATCCAAAATGGAGTTCCTATTACAGTATTGCGTTTTGCCATTGTATCCTGCAATAATGTTACATAGCCATAAATGCTACTACAAAAGCACAAAGGAAATCTGTATGCCAAACATACTTTTAAAAAATGTTAAAACCTCCAATGCCACAGATTATATCAGAAATTGACTATTTTGCTAAAATTTCAACTAGTTATGACATACTTAGGAATTCCGAATTCTGAAAATAACCAAGAGTCCACAGGTAACTTATCCACACTACCATCATTAAACACAGTCATTAAAGATAGTGCTACAATGATAAAAGCTACAGAAATGAGCTACGTAGCTTCCCTTTTAGAACATTTAAGCATTTTGATTATAAGATATATTTTCACATTCAATCACCCTAAATTATAAATTAAATAATACTCAAATTTGGCTCAATTATGGTTCCTTCTCCACAAAAATTAAAAAACTACACATTTCTTTCCATTCCCCCTCAAAAAGTAATTGAAGTTTAGTTATAATCAAATCTGAACAAATTAGCCAAGTGTTTAGAAAACCATTAAAGTTAACTTACTGTTAACTGACCAGCCACTCCAAAATCTGCCAATTTTGCATGTCCTTCTGTATTGAGGAGAATATTTCCAGCTTTTATATCTCTGTGTATTTTTCTCATAAAGTGCAAATATTCTAGTCCTTTCAATGTAGATTTAAGAATGGTTGCAATTTCATCTTCTATTAACTGGAAAGAAATATTTTTAAAACCATAATTAAAATGCCACGTTAGATAAAATCTTACGAAAGAGCACTAGTAACAAGTATGTCTTTCCGTGTGTGTGTGTGTGTTTTTTTTTAAGAGACCCCACTCTGTTGCCCAGGCTACAGTGCAGTGGTGTGATGATAGCTCACTGCAGCCTAAAATTCCTGGGCTCAAGGCATGCTCCCACCTCAGCTTCCCGAGTAGCTAGAACTACAGGCACATGCCAACCCAATAGGCTAACTTATTTTTATTTTTGTAGAGATGGGGATCTCGCTATGTTGCCCGGGCTGGTCTTGAACTCTTTGCTTCAAACAATTCTCCTTCCTCAGCTTCCCAAAGTGTTGGGATTATAGGTGTGAGCCACCATGCCTAGCCACAAGTACTTCTTTCTAATGACCGCTAAACCTCCAGGAAAATGCTAAAGGGGTAAATAATCGAGAACCTCTTCTTCCCACAATAAGCTTTCTTATTACACATTTTACTAATGAAAGGATGATCAAATTTCTCTCTTTAAGATTATCAGTATCAGCAGGGCGTGGTGGCTCACACCTGTAATCCCAGCACTTTGGGAGGCTGAGGCGAGCAGATCACTTGAGGTCAGGAGTTCAAAACCAGCCTGGCCCACATGGTGAAACCTCGTCTCTACTAAAAATACAAAAATTAGCCAGGCGTGATGGCGTGCACTTGTAATCCCAGCTACTCAGGAGGCTGAGGCAGGAGAGTCACTTGAACCTGGGAGGCAGAGGTTGCAGTGAGCTGAGATCACATCACTGCATGCCAGCCTGGGCGACACAGCGAGACTCCATCTCAAAAAAAAAAAAAAATTATCAGTATCATTCCTAAAGCAAACAACATATCTCAAGAATCAGCCTGATATAAGGAATCATAATAGTGATTTCCCACATCTTCTAATACTGGGAGGGCACTATCACAGCTAATATCTGTTCTGAAAAAGTAAATTCAGATACTTCCCCTGAGATATTTCAGATTCTTGATGAAAATGAAACCAACAGCTTTACATAAAGGAAAGTAAATGAGGGAGGGAGGCTTGCAATGAATCTTCTGCGAGAAGCTCCTACACCAATGCCACTCCTAACCCTTCCAAGTTCTGGACTTCTGACCTAATATTGAGAACTCAGAAGAAAAAACGTCAGAGAAAGATTAGGAAAATGGAAACACAAGCAAAGACTATCAGAGGAGGGAAAAAGGGGAGAGTAGAGAAGGCCGAGGAAGAGACGGATGGGAAAGAAAGAAAATCTTCTTAACAGTTGTAGCAGTAGAGCCACTGCTATCTGTACCAGGCAATGTGCTAAGAGTTATGCATGCATTCTCTCATTTATTCTTAAAACAACCTTGTAAGGTAGTGTGATATTATGAAATCACAGGAAATATTTGGTCTTTGTAGGTTCTTGGCACAAAATCTCCTAAGACCCTGTGAATTGACTGAGTGAGTGAGAAGTTGAATCAAGATATTTTATCTTTGTTTTCTCACCCTCTCACAAGAGTGAGAGGGGCTGTCTTTTGTCATTCATAATAAGCTCCTTTCAACCATACCAGAATTTATACTGATCAGGTGACTCTTGGTGGGAGCCTAGATAGCTTCAGGATGGGAGCTGGTTGCCGAAAAAACCAACCAAGTGATTAGATGTTTGGAAATTTCTGCCTGACCCCTGACTTACGGGAGGGCTGCAAGGAGAGAGGGGGTAGAGATTTAGTTAAGCACAAATGTCCAAAGACTTAATCAATCATGCCTATGTAACAGAATCAACCATAAAAATTCTAAATGATTAGGGACTGCTCTCAAGCTTATATTCTATCTATAAGCAACGGGATAATTTGATAGAAAATAGGATAACACAGGAAAATGTCTGTGAAAATTGCTATGAGGACAACAATAGAGAGCTACTGATAGAGAACGACTGAGAAGCTACTTTAGATTGACATTCAAGAAGGCCCAAAAGACATTTTACTGAAGTCTAAATGATATAATGGGGCCAACCATGTGAATGGCTATCTGGGAACATACACTCCACAAAAAGGAAAAAAAAAGATTAAAATATCTTGATTCAACTTCTCAAATTTTCTAAAACACTGAAGAAAAGAGAACACTTCCACACTCATTTTAAGAGGCATTATTCTGATATCAAAGCCAGACAAAGTTACCACAAAACAACTAAGACCAATATCCCTTATGAACATTGATACAAAAATCCTCAACAAAATATAGCACACTCACTTCAACAGGATTGTAACAGGTTATACACTATGACCAACTGGAATGTATTCCTGGAATGCAAGGTTGATTCAACATACAAAATCGAACAATGCAATACACCACCTTAACAGAATGGAGAAGAAACCACATGATCATTTCAAATGAAAACAGAAAAAGCATTTGATTAAATTTAACTTCTTTTCATAAAACACACAACTAATATGAATAGAAGGAAACTATCTCACCATAGTAAAAGCCATATACAAAAAACCCAAAGTAAATGTCATACTCAAAGCAGTAAGACTGAAAGCTTTTCCACAAAGATCAGGAACAATGAAAGGATGCTATTAGGTTGGTGCAAAAGTAATCGCAGTTTTTGCCATTTTTTTTTTAAAGTAATGGCAAAAACCGAAATTACTTTTGCACCAGCCTAATACTTCTGTTACATATAGTACTGGAGGTTCTAGACAGAGCAATTAGGGAAGAAAAACAAATAAAGGCATCCAAACTGGAAAAAAAGAAGTAAAATTATCTCTGTTCACAGATGATATGATCATATATGTAGAAAATTCTAAAGATTCCACAAAAAAAACCTATTAGAACTAATAAATAGGGATGGAGACAAGACGGCTGAATAGGAACAGCTCCAGTCTAAAGCTCCCAGCGTGAGCATTGCAGAAGACACATGATTTCTGCATTTCCAACTGAGGTACCAGATTCATCTCACTGGGGAGTATCGGAAAGTGGGTGCAAGACAGTGGGTACAGTGCACTGAGCATGAGCTGAAGCAGGGCGGGGCATCACCTCACCTGGGAAGTGCAAGGGGTCAGGGAATTCCCTTTCCTAGTCAAAGAAAGGGGTGACAGATGGCACCTGGAAAATCAGGTCACTCCCACCCTAATACTGTGCTTTTCCAATGGTCTTAGCAAACGGCACACCAGGAGATTATATCCCGCGCCTGGCTTGGAGGGTCCTACACCCATGGAGCCTCGCTCACTGCTAGCACAACAGTGTGAGATCAAACTGCAATGCGGCAGCGAGGCTGGGGGAGGGGCGCCTGCCATTGCCCAGGCTTGAGTAGGTAAACAAAGCAGCCAGGAAGCTCAAACTGGGTGCAGCCCACCACAGCTCAAGGAGGCTGGCCTACCTCTGTAGACTCCACCTCTGGGGGCAGGGCATAGCCAAACAAGGCAGCAGAAACGTCTGCAGACTTAAATGTCCCTGTCTGACATCTTTGAAGAGAGTAGTGGTTCTCCCAGCACACAGCTGGAGATCTGAGAACAGACAGACTGCCTCCTCAAGTGGGTCACTGACCCCCAAGTAGCCTAACTGGGAGGCAGCCCCAAGTAGGGGCAGACTGACACCTCACACAGCCCGGTACTCCTCTGAGACAAAACTTCCAGAGGAACGATCAGGCAGCAACATTTGCTGTTCACCAATATCCACTGTTCTGCAGCCTCCATTGCTCATACCCAGGCAAACAGAGTCTGGAGTGGACCTCCAGCAAACTCCAACAGACCTGCAGCTGAGGGTCCTGACAGAAGGAAAACTAACAAACAGAAAGGACATCCACACCAAAACCCCATCTGTACATCACCATCATCAAAGACCAAAGGTAGATAAAACCACAAAGATGCAGAAAAAACAGAGCAGAAAAACTGGAAACTCTAAAAATAAGAGTGCCTCTCCTCCTCCAAAGGAACACAGCTCCTCACCAGCAATGGAACAAAGCTAGACAGAGAGTGACTTTGACAAGCTGAGAGAAGAAGGCTTCTGATGATCGAACTACTCCGAGCTAAAGGAGAAGTACGAACCCAGGCAAAGAAGTTAAAAACCTTGAAAAAAAAATTAGACAAATGGCTAACTAGAATAACCAATGCAGAGAAGTCCTTAAAGGACCTGATGGAGCTGAAAACCAAGGCACGAGAACTACGTGACAAATGCACAAGCCTCAGTAGCCGATTCAATCAACTGGAAGAAAGGGTATCAGTGATGGAAGATCAAATGAATGAAATGAAGTGAGAAGAGAAGTTTAGAGAAAAAAGAATAAAAAGAAATGAACAAAGCCTCCAAGAAATATGGGACTAGGTGAAAAGACCAAATCTATGTCTGATTGGTGTACCTGAAAGTGATGGGGAGAATGAAACCAAGTTGGAAAACACTCCGCAGGATATCATCCAGGAGAACTTCCTCAACCTACCAAGGCAGGCTACCATTGAAATTCAGGAAATACAGAGAACGCCACAAAGATACTCCTCAAGAAGAGCAACTCCAAGACACATAATTGTCAGATTCACCAAAGTTGAAATGAAGGAAAAAATGTTAACAGTAGCCAGAGAGAAAGGTCGGGTTACCCACAAAGGGAAGCCCATCAGACTGACAGCTGATCTCTCGGCAGAAACTCTACAAGCCAGAAGACAGGGGGGCCAATAGTCAAGATTCTTAAAGAAAAGAATTTTCAACCCAGAATTTCATATCCAGCCAAACTAAGCTTCATAAGTGAAGGAGAAATAAAATACTTTACAGACAAGCAAAGGCTGAGAGATTTTGTCACCACCAGGCCTGCCCTAAAAGAGCTCTTGAAGGAAGCAATAAACATGGAAAGGAACAACCAGTACCAGCCACTGCAAAAACATGCCAAATTGTAAGACCATGAATGCTAGGAAGAAACTGTATCAACTAACGAGCAAAATAACCAGCTAACATCATAATGACAGGATCAAATTCACACATAACAATATTAACCTTAAACGTAAATGGACTAAATGCTCCAATTAAAAGACACAGACTGGCAAAATTGGATACAGAGTCAAGACCCATCAGTGTGCTGTATTCAGGAAACCCATCTCACGAGCAGAGACACACATAGGCTCAAAATAAAAGGATGGAGGAAGATCTACCAAGCAAATGGAAAACAAAAAAAGGCAGGGGTTGCAATCCTAGTCTCTGATAAAACAGACGTTAAACCAACAAAGATCAAAAGAGACAAAGAAGGCCATTACATAATGGTAAAGGGATCAATTCAACAAGAAGAGCTAACTATCCTAAATATATATGCACCCAATACAGGAGCACCCAGATTCATAAAGCAAGTCCTGACTGACCTACAAAGAGACTTAGACTCCCACACAATAATAATGGGAGACTTTAACACCCCACTGTCAACATTAGACAGATCAACAAGACAGAAAGTTAACAAGGATATCCAGGAATTGAACTCAGCTGTGCACCAAGCGGACCTAATAGACATCTACAGAACTCTCCACCCCAAATCAACAGAATATACATTCTTTTCAGCACCACACCACACCTATTACAAAATTGACCACATAGTTGGAAGTAAAGCACTCCTCAGCAAATGTAAAAGAACAGAAATTATAACAAACTGTCTCTCAGACTACAGTGCAATCAAACTAGAACTCAGGATTAAGAAACTCACTCAAAACCGCTCAACTACATGGAAACTGAACAACCTGCTCCTAAATGACTACTGGGTACATAACGAAATGAAGGCAGAAATAAAGATGTTCTTTGAAACCAACAAGAACAAAGACACAACATACCAGAATCTCCGGGACACATTCAAAGCAGTGTGTAGAGGGAAATTTATAGCACTAAATACCCAAAAGAGAAAGCAGGAAAGATCTAAAATTGACACCCTAACATCACAATTAAAAGAACTAGAAAAGCAAGAGCAAACACATTCAAAAGCTAGCAGAAGGCAAGAAATAACTAAGATCAGAGCAGAACTGAAGGAGATAGAGACACAAAAAACCCTTCAAAAAATTAATGAATCTAGGAACTGGTTTTTTGAAAAGAGCAACAAAATAGACCGCTAGCAAGACTAATAGAAAAGAGAGAAGAATCAAATAGAAGCAATAAAAAAATGATAAAGGTGATATCACCACCGATCCCATAGAAATACAGACTACCATCAGAGAATACTATAAACACCTCTACGCAAATAAACTAGAAAATCTAGAAGAAATGGATAAATTCCTTGACACATACACCCTCCCAAGACTAAACCAGGAAGAAGTTGAATCTCTGAATAGAACAATAACAGGCTCTGAAATTGAGGCAATAATTAATAGCTTACCAACCAAAAAAACTCCAGGACCAAAAGGATTCACAGCTGAATTCTACCAGAGGTACAAGGAGGAGCTGGTATCATTCCTTCTGAAACTATTCCAATCAATAGAAAAAGAGGGAATCCTCCCTAACTCATTTTATGAGGCCAGCATCATCCTGATACCAAAGCCTGGCAGAGACACAACAAAAAAAAAAGAGAATTTTAGACCAATATCCCTGATGAACATCGATGCAAAAATCCTCAATAAAATACTGACAAACCGAATCCAGCAGCACATCAAAAAGCTTATCCACCATGATCAAGTTGGATTCATCCCTGGGATGCAAGGCTGGTTCAACATACGCAAATGAATAAACATAATCCAGCATATAAACAGAACCAAAGACAAAAACCACATGATTATCTCAATAGATGCAGAAAAGGCCTTTGACAAAATTCAACAACCTACATGCTACAAACTCTCAATAAATTAGGTATTGATGGGATGTATCTCAAAATAATAGGAGCTATCTATGACAAACCCACAGCCAGTATCATACTGAATGGGCAAAAACTGGAAGCATTCCCTTTGAAAACTGGCACAAGACAGGGATGCCCTCTCTCACCGCTCCTATTCAACATAGTGTTGAAAGTTCTGGTCAGGGCAATTAGGCAGGAGAAGGAAATTAAGGGTATTCAATTAGGAAAAGAGGAAGTCAAATTGCCCCTGTCTGCAGATGACATGATTGGATATCTAGAAAACCCCATATTGTCTCAGCCCAAAATCTCCTTAAGCCAACAGGCAACTTCAGCAAAGTCTCAGGATACAAAGTCAATGTGCAAAAATCATAAGCATTTTTATACACCAATAACAGACAAACAGAGAGACAAATCATGAGTGAACTACCATTCACAATTGCTTCAAAGAGAATAAAATGCCTAGGAATCCAACTTACAAGGGACATGAAGGACCTCTTTAAGGAGAACTATAAACCACTGCTCAATGAAATAAAAGAGGATACAAACAAATGCAAGAACATTCCATGCTCATGGGTAGGAAGAATCAATATCGTGAAAATGGCCATACTGTCCAAGGTAATTTATAGATTCAATGCCATCCCCATCAAGCTACCAATGACTTTCTTCACAGAATTGGAAAAAACTATTTTAAAGTTCATATGGAACCCAAAAAGAGCCCGCACTGCCAAGTCAATCCTAAGCCAAAGGAACAAAGCTGGAGGCATCACACTACCTGACTTCAAATACACTACAAGGCTATAGTAACCAAAACAGCATGGTACTGGTACCAAAACAGAGAAACAGACCAATGGAACAGAACAGAGCCCTCAGAAATAATGCCGCATATCTACAACTACCTGATCTTTGACAAACCTGACAAAAACAACAAATGGGGAAAGGATTCCCTATTTAATAAATGGTGCTGGGAAAACTGGCCAGCCATATGAAGAAAGCTGAAACTGGATCCCTTCCTTACACCTTATACAAAAATTAATTCAAGATGGATTAAAGACTTACATGTTAGACCTAAAACCAGAAAAACCCTAGAAGAAAACCTAGGCAATACCATTCAGGACATAGGCATGGGTAAGGACTTCATGTCTAAAACACCAAAAGCAATGGCAACGAAAGCCAAAATTGACAAATGGGATCTAATTAAACTAAAGAGCTTCTGCACAGCAGAAGAAACTACCATCAGAGTGAACAGGCAACCTACAGAATGGGAGAAAATTTTTGCAATCTACTCATCTGACAAAGGGCTAATATCCAGAATCTACAATGAACTCAAACAAATTTACAAGAAAAAAAAAACAACCCCATCAAAAAGTGGGCAAAGGATATGAACAGACACTTCTCAAAAGAAGACACTTATGCAGCCAAAAGACCCATGAAAACATGCTCATCATCACTGACCATCAGAGAAATGCAAATCAAAACCACAATGAGATACCATCTCACACCAGTTAGAATGGCAATCATTAAAAAGTCAGGAAACAACAAGCGCTGGAGAGGATGTGGAGAAATAGGAACACTTTTACACTGTTGATGGGACTGTAAACTAGTTCAACCATTGTGGAAGTCGGTGTGGCGATTCCTCAGGGATCTAGAACTAGAAATACCATTTGACCCAGCCATCCCATTACTGGGTATATACCCAAAGGATTATAAAACATACTGCTATAAAGACACATGCACACGTATGTTTACTGTGGCACTATTCACAATAGCAAAGACTTGGAACCAACCCAAATGTCCAACAATGATAGACTGGATTAAGAAAATGTGGCGCATATACACCATGGAATACTATGCAGCCATAAAAAATGATGAGTTCATGTTCTTTGTAGGGACATGGATGAAGCTGGAAACCATCATTCTCAGCAAACTATTGCAAGGACAAAAAAAAACAAACACCGCATGTTCTCACTCATAGGTGGAAATTGAACAATGAGAACACATGGACACAGGAAGGGGAACATCACACACCGGGGCCTGTTGTGGGGTGTGGGGAGTGGGGAGCGATAGCATTAGGAGATATACTTGACATTAAATGATGAGTTAATGGGTGCAGTACACTAACATGGCACATGTATACATATGTAACTAACCTGCATGTTGTGCACATGTACCCTAAAACTTAAAGTATAATAAAAAAAGAACTAATAAATAAATTCAACAAAGTAGCAGTATACAAAATCAACCCAAGAAAATCAGATATATTTTTATACATTACCAATGAGCAATCTGAAAAGGAAACTACAAAAAAAATTCTATTTACAATAGAAATAGAATTTCTTTATTTTAAAGAATAAAATACTTAGGAATTAATTTCACCAAGGAGGTGAAATATCTGTACAATGAAAACTACAAAACACTGCTGAAAAAAAATTTTAGGACATTAATAAATAAAAACCTATCATATCTTCATAGATAAGAAAATTTAATGTTTTTAAGATGCCCATGCTACCCAAAGCAACCTACAGATTCAATGTAATCCCTATCAAAATCCCAATGATGTTTATTGCAGAAATAGAAAAACTTATCCTAAAATTTGTATGAAATCTCAAGGGGCCCCAAAACAACACTGAAAATAGAAGAACAAAGCTAAAATTCTCATAGTTCCTGATTTCAAAACTTATTACAAAGCTATAGTAATCAAAACAATGTGATATTGGCATAAACACAGACAGATAGATGGGAGGAACAGAGTAGAAAACCCAGAAATAACCCTTGTATATATAATCAAATTATTTTCAACAAGAGTGTCAAGAACATTCAATAGGAAATGAACAGTATTTTCAAGAAACAGTGCTGGCACAACTGGATATCCGTGTGCTAAAGAATAAGTAGAATCCTTACCTAGCACCATATACAAAAATTAATTGAAAATGAATCAAAGACCTAAACATAAGACCTAAAACTATACCACTCTTGGGAAAAAATAAAACAGGGCAAAAACCTCATGATACCAGATTTGGTAATGATTTCTCAGATACGACCAAAAAGGCACAGAGAACACAAGAATAAAACAGACAAATTGGACTTCATGAAAATTAAAAAAAAAAACCTGTGCATCCCAAGACAATATCAACAGAGTAAAAAGACAACCCACAGAATGGGAGAAAACATTTAAAAATTACGTATCTGATAAGACATTAATATACAGAATATATAGAGAACTCCTAAAACTTAACAATAAAAAAATCAAATTCAAAAATGGGTAAAGGACTCGTATGGACATTTCTCCAAAGGTATACAAATGGCCAAGAGGCACGTGGAAAGATCCTCAACATCACCAATCATAAGACAAATATAAATCAAAAACATAATGAGATACCACTTCACACCCATTATGACGGCTATTATCAAAAGACAGAAAAGAACAAATGTTGGCAAAGAAGTAGAGAAATTGGAAACTTTGTGTATAGCTAATGGGAATGTAAAATGGTACAGCCTCTGTGGAAAATAGTATGAAGATTCCTTTAAAAGTTAAACATAAAATTACCTTTTGACCCAGCAATTCCACTTTTGGGTAAATACTCAAAAGAATTAAATGCAGGGTCTCAAAGAGGTGTTTTTGAACAAGTTTCACCTCACGATGAACGTACACCCATGTTCATAGTAGCATTATTCACAATGGCTAAAAAGTGGAAGCAACCCAAATGTCATTCGACAGACAAATGAATAAGTAAAATGTGGTAGAAACATACAATGGAATTTTATTCAGCCTTAAAAGGGAAGGCAATTCTGCAATATGCTACAACATGGCTGAACCTTGAGTACATTATGCTAAATGAAGTAAGTCGGTCACAAAAAAAGGCAACTAATGTATGATCCTGCTTATATGAAATACTCAGAGTTACCAAAATCACACATCTAGATAGACAGTAGAACAGTGGTTGCCAGGGGCCGAGGTAGCACACAATGGACAGTTAGTGCTTAATGGGTACAGAGTTTCAGTCTTACAAGATGAAAAGAGTTAGGGGGATGGATAATGGGGATGCTTACACAACTTTATAAATGTATTTAATGCCACTGAACTGCACACTTAAAAATGGCTAAGATGGCAAATTTTGTTTATGTGTATCTTGGCACAATAAAAATAAAACTGAGGGGGGGAAATGCCTTGATTCAAGAAAAAGCTCACCATATTTGAGTTGAATAAAGAAGGCTGAAGTTTAATGCACCAGAAGACTAGCTCTAGATGAGATCTGAGAGACAGGCAAGGACCAGATCATGTAAGGCTTTCCTGGCCATAGGTAAGCAGTCTGGATTATCTGAAAATTCCGGTACTTCCAGGAATTTATTCTCTCCTTCAGACTAGATGGTCTGACTTGACAGCGCAGAGAAAGCAAGCACCATACTCTAAAGCTGCACCATCCAACAGAGTAACCACTAACCACACATGGCTCCTAAACATTTGAAACGTGGGTATTCTAATTTCAGTTATGCTATAAATGTAAAATATACACCAAAGATCAAGGCTTAGTACAAAAAGAATGCAAGCTATTTTGTTAAAAATTCACATACTGATTACCCACTAAATATTTACATATTATGTTATGATATTAATATATTAATGTTGAACATATAAAATGTTAATGTTTAATATAGTAAGTATTAAATATGGTATTTCATATTATATAATATTGTTATTTATTAATATGTGTGATACATTATGAAAGTTAATTTCACTTTTTTTAATGTGGCTACTCAAAAATTTAAAATTACATGTGGCTTGTGTTTCTTTTGGACAGTACTGCACTAGAAAGGGTCCACAAGAATGTTTTGTGAACACTTTGTTCACTGATGTATCCACAATGCTTGGAACTATGCCTGGCGTACAGATAGCACTTGATAAATAATGAATGAATGGGTACAGACTTGTCGATACAAAAAGAAAGGAGACACCTTCATCTGATGTTCCCAATCTTTCTAAGTTAGTGGTGTGCAGCCAAATGTGGGGGAGTGGGAGGTAGGAGTGTGTTTAGGGCCACCATAATGGACCACTACAGACGGTGGGCAAGGTGGTGGTGCTGTCATGTGCACCTAGCTTTTCTCGTCTGTCCTCATCCTCCACTCTTTGTATAAAGACTAAAAAGCTTGGGGTGTTAATAAAGGCAGCATCAGCCCATAAAATTGTGTCTTATTTAGTTACTTCAGTACAGACCTTTTTAGTTACCTAGACTTCAATTTTTATCTCTTAACATTCTATTTCCAACCAATAAGTCACTAATTTTCTATTAACTCTGATTTGTTATCTCTGCTCCTGTACCCTATATATCACTGCTCTACTAAAGAATGTTCAGAATTAAATAAACTGACTGTACTTCAGGGTCTTAGGATCTGTCTGATTTTAATGCTATAAAGCCACTGGACAAATCCACAGCAAGTCTAAAGGAGGATTTTCCAGGGATATTATACTAATTCATGAACTGTCTGGCTTTGCTCAATGACTTGAAAGGGTCATTCCAACTCTATGATTCTATGTTATCAAAGTATCTTCATGTAGAGGCAATCTTCACTAAATAAAATTCTCACTCATTTGGGCATCAATCTATGTGTTCATTTAGTAAATATATTCTTGACTGGCTCTACCACAGCGCTGATACTCTTCAAGGTGCTGGATATACACGGACAGGGAAACTGATAATCCCAGTCCTAATGAGCAGACAAGAATATCTGAGGGCATAACCTGAATTTGGCTCTGAACTGTTAAAGGTGGAGAGTGCAGATCTGAAGTTTATACAGCCTCTCTTTCATTATGCTTCCCTTTGGTAACAAATCCCTCCCACTACTTCAGAGAGTCAATGTCTTCCCATTCGCTTCATATCCTCCTTAATCAAAAAATGATGCAATATCCAGTCATTCATACAAGTACATGAATAGAGCTTAATTTAAATTTATTTTAACAACCCAATTTAGTATTAAGGCTTATAAGCAGTATCTGTACTTTAAGACTTTTAAATTCAATTATGAAATGAAAGGTTCCTATCCCTCAATAAAATCACTTTAAACAACAATAAACAGGTGGAGAAATATTTTCTAGAACGTAAAGGCATACTGTTGTCTTAAATTTTTATATTTATTTACAGTTTATAAAAAGTATTTTATGTGATTTCTCTACTTAAGTAAGTAAGCAGAAACACTTATTATTATTCCTTTTAACAGACGAGGAAACGAATTCAGAGAAATTAAATGGACTACCGAATGTCATACAACTACTAAGTAGCAAACCTCACATTTCTTCAACAATCAATATTACTTCCATCCCACCACTGCCAGATGTCACAAACATAAATATATGAATTAGTCTAATATAAGAAAAACTGGGGCCAGGCACGGTGGCTCACGCCTGTAATCCCAGCACTTTGGAAGGCCGAGGCAGGTGGATCACAAGGTCAGGAGATCGAGACCATCCTGGCTAACACAGTGAAACCCCGTCTCTACCAAAAGTACAAAAAAATTAGCCAGGTGTGGTGGCAGGCACCAGTAGTCCCGGCTGCTCGGGAGGCTGAGGCAGGAGAATGGCATGAACCCGGGAGGTGGAGCTTGTAGTGAGCATAGATCACACCACTGCACTCCAGCCTGGGTGACAGAGCGAGACTCCGTCTCAAAAAAAAAAAAAAAAAAAGAAAAACTGGGGGTTTTGAGACTTGTTCTAAGTGTGATATTCAAAATATCTGACAGTCATTAAAGCAAATGTCTAATTAGAACAGTTGCCAACCACAATACCAACCAATCAAAACAGCTACCAGTGGTAAACAACAGTAAGAACAGATACCAGCCATAAATAGGCAGTAAAAAAAAATCATCCCTGAATATCAGACAGAGTACCTGCCCCAGCTCAGCATTCAAATTTAAATTATTTTCAATGGTATGCCAGCCAAACAAAACAAATATACCTGTTAATGAATTGTAGAAGTAAGCACACTCACCTGGCCAATAATTTTTTTGATTCCTTTCACCCTGAGTACATTAATGGGTGGCTTTATGAGCATTTTATTGAAAACAGATGCTTAATTCTGCTAAAACAAATATATAAATCAAAGATTTAAACATTTTAAAAATACTTAGAAGAAAACCAAAGTAAGTTTCAAATCACTAAGCAGGAAAGATAGTTTCTAATCAAAAAAAGCAAAGAAAGAATTATGAGAACTTATTAGTTTTGTCTACACAAAAACTTAAAATACATAAGCTTAGAATACATACAAGGTTCTACATAACCTTAGAAAACTCAGAAAAATAGCCAGTTATGGTGGCACAGGCCTATAGTCTCAGCTACCCAGCAGACTGAGGTGGGAGGATCACATGAGCCCAGGAGTTCGTTCAAGTCCAGGCTGGGCAACATAGTGAGGCCTCGTCTCTAAAAAAAACTAAATAAATTTTTAAAAAGAAAAAAATAGTCATAGCAAGATATTAATATATATAATTATTTATTTAGAACATAGAGCTCATATAAAACCTTCAGAAAAACAATAAAATCTCAATAAATAAACAGGCCTAAGAAATGAATATAAAATTCACAAAACTAAAAAAAAGAGCTAATTAACATACATGGAAACTACTAAACTGCTCTAATTATCAAAGAAAGGCAAATTAAAACAATAAAGTACCAAATATAAAATTACCCCAGGGGTTACAATATTGCTGTGAATAACAGCACATATATAACCAGAATGTAAACCAGAGTGTAAAAGTGACATAAGAATTCAGAAGTATTTTCCAAGAAGCACTAGGAAACATTGATCCACTGAAAAATTATTTATTGAGCACCTACTCTAGATTTAATTTTTTTTTAAATCTCTAACCTAACCTCATGGGGCTCCAATCTAGCAGGAAATACAGACTTAGAGACTCATAAATGATCATAAAAAGCTCTTTCAAAGTGAAACATAACCAAAAAGGAGTGCAATTAATTAGGAACAGATAGAGGAAGTGGCATTAAAATCAAGCTTTAAATAAAAAAAGTAGCTCACTATCCAGAGAAAGGAAAGACTACTAATAGAGTAACTCAAATAATGAACTAAAGAATAGAAATATAACAATTATAAAATGGCACTCAGAAACCAAGTAAGGCCCAGTTTTCTTCCTTCCACTACAATAAGAAAAATGACAAAAAGCGATAGTCCAAATTTCAGCCTTGTACCAAAACGGAGACAAATCTTAGCAAATTTGGAAGATAAATGTTTACTTGGTCTCTTTTAAATATCAATGGTGCCAAATGAACTTTGGACAAGAGAAATATCTGTATCAAGGTTTAAGGTACTCTACAAGTATTGTGTGTCACTAATGGAAAAGGAGGAGAGTGGAAGGAAATAAGAACGTATACTTAGTGGACACCATACAGCAGGTTCTGATCTAGATGTTTATATCATGCTCATTTCATGTCATTTGGACATATGTTAACCTTTTTGTTATTAAAAAATAAAGAAGTTGACAGTCATTTTCCTAGATAGATGGAGTTTTGTTTTCAAATAATCTCTAGCTGTTTTAACAAATTTCATTCACATATAAGCACAGCCAATTACCAAAAGTAGCTAGATTTTTATTTGGCAACAAAGAGAACTACTTCTTTCCATTGTGACATAAAATTTAAAGCAGTACCTTTCTCATATCTGTAAGACTTTTCATGAGGCTGGATAGGTCCATACCCAACTATTTCAAAATGGTCAGATTTATACTGAAAACACCAAGAGGGAGAAAACACATGAGAGAGGATCTGCTTCATATAGAAGAAGGTAATGTAAGAATTCAGCTCCAAGATGGAAAAGCGTTAGATCCATTCTCAAATCACAGCTAGCACTTCCTTCAGTGGTATCTGTTAAGAATCCCTTAAAACAAACAAAAAAAAAATTGTGGACACCATTGATTGGAATACAAAATATTTTATCAACAGAATACTTCATTTGTGGATTTAATTAGGTTATCCTCAATACATTACAGATTTCATTTCATTTAGGTCACTATACAAATGGTGCGATGTCATTTTTAAATCCTCTGAATCACATTTTATAGTCTGTTTTGCTGTATTTTTTTAAAGAAGGGTGGTAGAGAGATAATAAACCATGAATGAAATACTCAGCAATCAGGGATAAAAGTAAGACATTTATAGCTGAGCTAATACGTTAAAAGATGGAAGTCTACATCTGGTTTCAATTGGTATGAATTCACTGGCAAATTTAAGAAGAATTTCATTGTACGAAAACAAAAAGATGGTTTTGATAGGCTTTAGTCCTCTGGTTACTTTTGTTTCTTTAGTCACATGATTAGTATAATAATATGATACATTTAATATGTCACTGTGTATATGGTTTTGATAAAAATACACCCACCAACTTGTCTCAAGGGCACATGCACAAATGGTTTTAAAATACATATACTGCCTTAATGTTTTTAGATCAGTAAAAATGAATTCAAGTGAGGTTTTAAGTTCACACAAAATTAAGAATTTTAATTTTCTAATAAGTCTTTCGCAATGTTAGCTAAACACCTTTTGGACATAATTACTTATGCATATAAAATGACGCATTAATTCTACATTTAATACCTATTAGATAGTAAGGATACAAAAAATTAGACATACGCCCCCCTTTTCAAATGCCATAAATAGATAAGTACAGGTACTTCATTTAAGTTTTACTTTCATAGGCACTTGCATAAGGTCTTAAAAATTGATCGAAACTCACCAATGTAATCCTTACACAGTCTTTTAAGGCCTGGATCAAACTTTGCCTCTTTCAAGAAATCACCCTATATTCCTCGAGTCAGGATTAATCTATCCAGTGTTAACAATGGTGATAACAATAACAGCTTGCATTTATTGAGTTCTTACTAGTCAGCCACTCCACAGGTTTCATTTCATTTAACACCCAAACAGAACTGTAGAAGGTAGGCACTAACAAGGATTTACTGAAAGTCTGTTACATGATCACTGTCTTCATGACACTCAGAATTTTGTGGGAAGGGAATAGGAACAATTAATTACAATACTAAGCGATGCCTGCAACAACAGGATTAGCAATAGGAGCACTCCAGGACAGCAGTTCTTAAAGCTGATTATGCATAAGAACCAGTACTCTTAAAATCCAAACCATCTAATACAACATTTAAGGCCTTGAATGATACAATTCCTGCCAGCCTCGACCATCTACCTTACCATTCTACCACTCAGGAAGGGCTTCACAGAGATGACTTTTGAGCTGACTCTAAAAGAGTGAACAAAGTTTATCAGGTGACCAAAGAGGGAAAGATACATAAGGCATGTGCAAAGGCACTGAGCATAAAAATACATAAAGTGCATTACCAATGAATAGTTCTTTGTGTTTGAACATAGTGTGTATGGTAAAATAGTGCAAAATGGGAAGTCAGATTAGGGCCAAACTGTTTTACACACCCACATATTTTTAAGTGGAAAGATGACATGATCATATCTGAACTTTTAGGAAGAAAACTCTGACAGCAGGCTCTCAGACAAAGACTAAAAGGAGGAAAACAGAAGTGGAGAATTTAATAATAAAATAATTCGTAAAAATAACAGTAGTAGTAGTAGGAGTAATAGTAACAGGTCTATAACCTTGCTTAGAATCCTAAGAGAGACTTGTGTGGTAGAATTAATAGTGAACACCTTAAGCAAAATTATTCAGAAGACGAAGAAGAGTCAGACCATGCAGAGAAGCCAAAAGGTGCCAAAAGCAAAATCCATCTTTCCTAATTTACGTAGGTCTTAAAGACTATCTAGAGTCTTTTCCCACAACTGAAAGTGCCTTAGCACTAAAGAATCATATATTGCTTAGTTAGCATCCTCTCAGTTCTCCCAAAAAATTGTTATAAAAAATGAACATGTCCTTTGACTCAGTAATTCCATTTCATTAATACATCCAATGACCACAACACAAATATGCCAATACCTATGTACAAAAGTTCCCTGCAGCTTTGAGTGTAGCAATAAAACATTAAAAAGTTAGAAGTCACTTTCATCCAGGAGACTGAAAAAAATACATTCTGTTACACACACATAAGACCTATATGTACTGGTATGGGAAGGTATCTAAAATATATCAGAAGTTGAAAATGAAAAACGGTAAGGTATAAAACATCACATATGGTATTAATCCCTTGTGTAAAACAAGATATACATACATATGTGGTGAAAGAATCCACAAGAAATTAACTGACACAACCTCAAGGAAGTAAAATTGAAGGGTAGATGTGAAGACATTAACTTCCTCTTTTGTACCCTTTTGTATTATTTGAAATTTTTACAATGTGCTCGTGTTATGTTTTTCTCTATAATTTATATAATTAAAAGGAATGAAGCAGTTAAAAGTACACTCTAGTTAAAAGTACAGATAATTATGCAACGCAATTTTAGAAGATCTCCATATAATACTGTTAAAATTAGAAATTTGCCATCCAAGGAACTAACTTTCCATTTCCTGGAATATTAACTTATATATATTTCTTGATTTCCTAAGATTAAACAAAAGTAAGATAAGACACAATGATCTTTTCATATGTTTTTTCTAATGCTGAAGAATATCCACTATTTCAACAAACATCATACAATTCTTAAATCACTTGTGATTTAAAACTAAATACCACTTTTTAAAGTTTTTACCTTAACAGTAAAAAGTGGCAATTTACATTTGTATAGAACTTTACAGGTTACAGAGTCCTCTGACACTTACCATGTTTTTTTCCCACAAGAAAACACTGATGTAGGTAAAGCAAGTAATATGATATTAGATCAATTTCAGGATTAGGAAACTGAAGCTGAGAGGAGTTACACAATGTACCCAGGGTCACAGAGCTAATAAGTAACAACCCAAGCACTGAAGCTTGGTCTTCCTGCTCCACATCCAAAGGGCTTTCCACTAAACCACATCACTCCAAATAACCACTGTTACAGCGTGCTATGGGGTCAGGCTTCTGACAGGGAAGAAGGGCTCACTACAGATCTGGCAATGACAGGCAGTCTGCCTGCAGAGGAATGTACAATACAAAAATAAAGTGTATGAAGGTGGGCCTGACTGACGAAAGGGAAGTAGAACTGGGAGAAATGCCAAGAAGAATAACAAAGGTGAAAACTGGGCAACTTACCAATAAGGGAAGCCAAGGAAATACCTTTGTAAACTTAATTTACTTAGTTAAGGTAGAAGGGATAGTCTATGTAGGGGACTATATATTATAATGTGGAAAAATCATAAAGTGTTTATAATTCAATCAAAAGATTTAGAAAAGATGTAATGAAGCGTGATGTGTATGCTGTATTTAATCAGAGATTACAATGTGGCAGCACATGACTGCCATGAAAATTTTAATGGTCTAATCCCACAATGCATATCCTGTTAATGTTGTGGCTTAGAACTTTAAGAGGCAAGTGTGAAGTACACTCAGAACTCATACTCACTCCATGGGACACCCGAAATAAGGAGCAAAAAGTATCACTTTCTACACAAAAGAACTCATTCTCCTAAGATTCTAGTACAGCACTGATCATTAGTACCCACTCAGAGTCAGAAAATCCTTGTAAGAACGGGCCAGGGACACCAGAAATAACACCAGGATCAAGCCATCCTGGACTAAAGAGAACCATGGGTCTTTCCACTGAGTACTTTCCAGGAAAATCCTTTAGCAAACATTTACTGCTGACCTAGCAGGAACAGGCTCCTTGAGAAACATCAACCTTACTGTCCCTTACTGTGACAGAAGGAAAAAAGAGATGGGACCCAAAAGCTTTGACTCAATGTCACCAGATGTATCTTCCACAGTTTAAGATTCATTTTGTGAGCTATTTTAGAGTTTTTAAATTATTGTCCTTTATTCCTGGTGTGTTTTGAAGTTTAGTAAATATATAGAAACATCTATTATTTTTTGCCAGTCTAGCACTCATTTGCTCTTCTCCTGCTAAACATATTCTGATTTCCCTCTAGGAAATCACTACTTCTCCATTCTCAGACCATGTATTTCTGGTAGTCAAGTCTACCCTAGCTCCAGATTGAACATATGACCTAGGTCTAAGTCAATTACTAAATCACATTGTAATGGCCACAATGATTTGCTCAGAGAAGGGCACATGACCCACGCAGAGGCACAAGATTATCACTCTTTTCTGCTGGATTTCAACTAGAAAGATATAACCCAGGGAACTGCTGGCAGACATCTTGTAACTGAGGGAAGAGCTTGTGTGAGTGAGGCCAAGAAAGAGGTATCAGAACAAAAACATGAATTCAAGTAATTCCTCTCACCCTGAATCAAGCCATGCACAAACTAACTTTGCAATGAGCAAGGGTTATGTGAACAAATAAATTCCCTCTTTGGCTTGAGCTGGCTTAGGCTGGGTTTTCTGTAACTTATAACCAAAAGTTGAAACTGATTCAGTAAACTTGAAGTAAATACCAAACAGGAGAAGTTCTTGGAAAAGAGGTTTGTGTAAAGCACAAACCACTGACTAACTCCAGAAATGCTAGAGGTTATTCCAGATGTATAACAGCTTTAGATGTCTGATCTATTTTCTACTTTCTGGCCCATCAAAAAAAGGGATACAATAATTGGCGGAAAGAAAAGTAGAATAAACATATTTTTTAAAAGGAACATGCACAGTCATTTTTTTAAAGTCTCCTGCTGCCTTCATTTTCCTACTAGCACCTCCCCTAGCTAGTTTGTCATTGTATTCATTTGCATTTGATTTCTCATTTTACGGAACTCTCAGATGTTTCAGTTTCCATTCATTTTTATGGCATAATCAACTCACACAATAGTTACCAAAACCCTTTACAGAAAAATCAATGGTTTCGAGAAACTTGGTGAATATGTAGCAATTTCTGAAATACTTAAATCTCAAAAGTAATACTTAAGCTTACATGTAAGATTTTATCTGATCATTCATCAAGCTTCATATTCCAACTTCTTAACAACCAAAATTTCTCCCTGCCCCCTCCTCCTCTCCTAGGATAAAGAATACACACATTAAATTGGGGCTCCCAGGTATCCTGGATGAGGAAAATACTCTGGGAAAAACAGCACAGCTGTTCAGTTAACTCCCTTCTACCCTCACAAATCTATTTCATTCCACCCCCCTAAAGAAGAGACTTGAAAATATAAAATATCCAAGGTTATAAACAATAAAAAAAGTTATGGAATTTGTCCAGAAAAACACAAATCTTCTGTTCAACACAAAGTACATACATTAGGAAAAATAACTAGAATATTTTAACCATTATTCGAGAGGGCAGAGAGAGGTTGTCTTTCATGAAATCTGGATTGCACATGTCTGGCAAGGAAAAAAAAGATTAATAATCTATCACAAAGCCCCACAACTAGTGATTCAAAATGAAAGCTTTCACTACTTACACCATATGTAAATATATATATATACAAGCTGCTTATAATCCCTTGATCTGCAGAGAAAGAGAACTGATACTCTACTGTGAAAATGGTCAGTGGGTACACATTTTAAAATCCTTTCCCACATGAAAAGATTCCTGAAAAAGAGATCAGAAGACAACAGAAAAGCACTCAATATATATGGAGTTGTAAATCCAGTATGAACCAGTATCTATTACACAAAGGAGGAACATGCAACAAAGTGATTAGGAAAGTCAAACATGAATTAATCTAATAACACAAAGGTAAATATAAACCCCAAAGAGCACTTTATTGAACAGAAATCCACACATATCAAAAAGATGTCTACTATTAACAATGACATATCAAGCTTTTAAACTCCAAATTAATCTTAATAATCAATAATGCAAACTTGATATGCCCTTACCAAGAAAAAAAAGTTTGAAGAAGCACTTAACATCAAGGCAGAACATATACATATTTTTAAAATATAACAAACCAAATGTTTACCATAAAGGCTATTACATGCAAGGTATTGATTCTAAGGGCACTTGGATAAAATATGCTAGTATATTTTGAATAGCCACTGCTTGACTCTTTTATTTATTTGGTTATTTGGTTATTTATGTATTTATATGTTTATTGAGGTGGAGTCTCACTCTGTCACCCATGCTGGAGTGCAGTGGCGAGATCTAGGCTCACTGCAACCTCTGCCTCCTGGGTTCAAGTGATTCTCATGCCTCAGTCTCCCGGCAGCTAGGATTACAGGCGCATGCCAACACACCAGGCCAATTTTTGTATTTTTAGTAGAGACGGGGTTTCTCTATGTCAGCCAGGTTGGTCTCAAACTCCTGAGCCCAAGTGATCTCCCCGCCTCAGCCTCCCAAAGTGCTGGGATTACAGGTGTGAGCCACCTCGCCCAGCCACCACCGTTTGATTCTATTAAAGAAACTAACACTGTACCTAAAAATGTGAGGTCTATGTTATGGAATGTATACTTTCTTCATTAACAACAATAATTCAAAGTACCAAAGTACCAATGGTGAATACTAAGATTCTATCCTTGGTTCTATAGTTCTCTGCATTCTTCTACCCAAATACATCTGGTAGATGATCATGTCCAAAATGCAAAGACACTTTTATCTACCTAAGTGAGATGATAGGATAAGGATGACAATGTCAAAAGCAAATATATATAGGGCCACTTATGTGCCAGGTGTTATTCTTTAAATACATGTAATCTTTATAACAACTCATATCTTGTCCCATATATCAGATGAAGAAATTAAGTCACAGAGAAGTTTAAAAACTTGCCCAAGTTCAGAGAGGTAGTATGTAGCAGAGCCAGGATTCAAATCCTGGCAGTCTGGCTCCACATTTCATGTTCTCAGCTCAATTCTAGTCTTCAGCTATAATTCCAATCCTTTCTTTCCATATCACTACTTAACCTCCATATGTTTCCATTTCTCATCTGGAAAATGGGTCATTAATAGTTCTTACCTCATAGAGTTCTCCAATCCTCATGAGGATTAAATGCCATAATATACATAATGTATTTAGAAAAGTACCTGGCACATAAAAGTAATACATATTTCTGTTGTTATTTTATCTACCAAATGTCTGTCACTGGAGTTGAGAACCATTGTTCTAAAACTGTAACAGTGAGAATTTACCAAGCAGAATAGTCTTAATGTGCCCTTACACTGGTAACTAAAGAAAACTGGACTTTCTCAATTATTTTCAATATAAAACAAGTCCACCACCAGCCTTCAAGAAAATATACAAATCATTTAAGAGTTGCTATCTTCAGTCTGGAATTTCTTCTCCATTATTTTGTGTTCCCTCACACCCACCCAATATTACAGAAATAGATCTCATCCTGATAAAGGTATATAGTGAAAATGTCTCTTATATATCAAACTGAATGTTTATACAACTTTTAAGACATAAAGGCCAGGTGTGGTGGCTCATATCTGTAATCCCAGCACTTTGCGAGGCCGAGGTGGGTGGATCACCTGAGGTCAGGAGTTCAAGACCAGCCTGGCCACATGGTGAAACCCCATCTCTACTAAAAATAGAAAATTAGCCAGGCATAGTGGTGCATGCCTGTAATCCCAGCTACCCGGGAGGCTGAGGCACGAGAACTGCTTGAACATGGGAAGCAGAGGTTGCAGTGGGCCAAGATAGTGCCACTGCACTCCAGCCTGAACAACAGGGCAAGACTCCGTCTCAAAAAAAAAAAAAAAAAAAAAAACACCTGTGTGGTATTTTAATGTAATTCTCATCTATACAGCTGGATGCTGGGTACTCTTGAATCAGAATACTACTCCCAGAGTTTGGCTTCACGAAAGAGCTACAAAGTGTGAAGACTGAGGGAACTACAACCATCCTTTAACCCAGGGACTAACGCTGATCGACATTTAAATATGCTTCTATTAATAGTTTTCTGTTGTGACAACACTCTTGCACAGGCCCCACTATACAATTGTGCCAAGATTTCTCAAAAGTACAGAAGGAGGAGGAAAACCACTGGATAGAGCCTAGAGTACATACATATTCAACGACAGGAGATTATCAAATTACTCTTTGAAGTAGTTGTACTAATTTAAATTCCTAAGAGTATGATAGCATATAGAGTATATATAAGGCACAAGTGAGTACAATAAATTTGGAAGCATTTCTATGGAGAAGGTCATAACCAAGAGCAGACAAAGAAGTGATCTACCAAGTAAACCCCAGAAGGACTCCAAGCTTAGAACCATAGGGTAGGGAGAGCAAGAGGGAAAGGGAGTTCACTTTTTCACGGAAGCTGTAAAGAAGAAAATGGAACAAGAGTTGGCTCCTTGACCCCAGTCTGCCCCTGCTCCCATGTACATGCAGATTACATGAATTCTGGCATTTATCCCCAGATCAAAAAAAAGGGGAAAGGGTTCCTCTCTAAAGAAATTCAGGGGGCCGGGCGCAGTGGCTCACGCCTGCAATCCTAGCACTTTGGGAGGCCGAGGTGGGAGGATCACGAGGTCAGGAGATCAAGACCATCCTGGCTAACATGATGAAACTCCGTCTCTACTAAAAACAATACCAAAAAATTAGCCAGGCGTGGTGGCAGTAGCCTGTAGTCCCAGCTACTCGGGAGGCTGAGGCAGGAGAATGGTGTGAACCCGGGAGGCAGAGCTTGCAGTAAGCCGAGATGGCGCCACTGCACTCCAGCCTGGGCGACAGAGTGAGACTCCGTCTCAAAAAAAAAAAAAAAAAAAATTCAATAAAAACCTGTTGTAGGCCCTTTCCCTTAAAAGCTAGCTCCCAACCCATTCACCCTAATATTATGCCTGTCAGTCAAAAGGCATTGTCCCAGTGCTTACGGTGAGACCTGAGCAGCCTTCCAGTCCCAAGGGCAAGACCAGAATAAATAAAACAAGGAAATCCATAACCCTAGAAGAAACAGAAATGATTCAGGAAACAGACAATAGCATTTATTTAAAAAACGTATTATTCTTAAAGCAATTTCAAAAGCTTTTCTATCCATGTCAGCATCAATATGTTATGAAAAAGGAATAATCAAAAGAGTTCTTGTAATTAAAATATAACTGCTAAAATAAAAAGTTCAGTTAGAAAAGTCAGAAAATAAAGCAAAATAAAGCACCCCGCCTCCTCCAAAAGGCAAAAAGACAAAAAGAGACGGATAATCTAAGAGGAAAAACAAATTCAGGAGATTCAACCTTTCAATAAAGAAAATAGAAATTTTCCAAAGCTGAAGACAGACAATTGTTTATATATTAAAAGGAACTACTGAATGCTGAGCATAACTAATAAAATGGACTCACATCTAGGCACATTCTTGTGAAATATCAGAAACGTCAAGATAAAAAGAAAACTCCAGAAATTTCCAGAGGGGGAAAAAACCTACAAATAAGTAAGACTCTGACAGCCATTAGCAACACTAGATGTTAGAAGATAAATGGAGGAAAGTCTCAAAGCTCTGAGAGAAAATTATTTTCACTGTAAAATTCTACGTAGGCTATCAACCAAGCATAAAAGCAAAATAAAGACATTTTCAGATATGCAAAGGCTCAAATAATAATTGACCCCTTATTCTTGTATCATGAAGAAGACAGTTTAGGAAGAATACAAAACAAAGGTAAAAACCAAGAAAACAGGAAATATCCTTTTTTTAATGGTGGCACTAACCCAAGAGTCAAGTGAAAAGAAATTCTAAGGATACGGCTATAAAACAGACCTCAAAGCAATAAGTCCACATTAGAACAAGAAATCAGGAAGCTCCAAAGAAATCTCAAAGAAGAATCACATACATTTCAGGAAATAAATACACTGAGTAAGAAGCTCAAAGATATTACCAAAGGGATAAAAGATGCATACATTGCTTTTTTCAAAATAACAAAAAAAGAAAAAACTCCCAGAAACAGAAAATTATATAACAACATGATCCTAACATAGAGCCATCAACCTAAAATGTGGCAATGATTTTGAGTAATTAATTGTGAGAAAAGTAAATCCATTTAGACCACATGCTGGGAACATTCTTCTTTGGGTAACCTAGGGGTACAACACTGGATATTTAGAGACAGAAATAAAATTTGAGCATATCATTGTTTCCTCTTCCAAGATGTTCTTTGCCCTCTCTTCTCTGACTTACTCATTTATTCATTCACTCTCTCAATATTTACTGAGCACCCATCCTAGGAGCTAAAGATAAAACAGTGAACGAAAAAAGAAAAACACCTGCCCTTTTGAAGCTTATATTCAATAACTCCTATTCTTTCAAGAATCTGCTAAAGCAGGAGTCCCCAACCCCTGGGTACTGGTCCATGGCCCGTTGGGAACTGGGCCACATAGCAGCAGGTGAGTGGCGGGTGGGCAAGCATTACTGCCTGAGCTCCACCTCCTCCTGTCAGATCAGCAGCAGCATTAGATTCTCATAGGAGAATAAACCCTATTGTGAACTGCACATGCAAGGAATCTAGGTTATGCACTCCTTATGAGAATCTAATACCTGATGATCTGAAGTGGAACAGTTTCATCCTGAAACTATCACCCCCATCCGTAGAAAAATTGTCTTCCATGAAACCAGTCCCTGGTGCCAAAAAGGTCGAGGACCACTGTGCTAACGGATTCTCTCACCAATGAAACTTTTTCTAAATTGTTAGGCTATGTGCATCTCCTTTTTTCCTCCTAAAGAACTCTAACTCTTTGCAAAACAGAATTTGGCTTTTTACATACCTATTACCTCATCTAGTGTGTGAAGAATGCAAGACAGCAACATTTATTAGTTATTTGTACTTCTAGTGAACAGCACTGGGCCTAAATCAATAAATGTGTTTTGAACCTTTCCATTCAACCAAAATGTAAATAAAACTGCTGTATTCATCCACTCTCACACTGCTATAAAGAACTACCTGAGACTGGGTAATTTAGAAGAAAAGAGATTTGATTGACTCACAGTTCCACAGGCTGTACAGGAGGCATGGCTGGGGAGGCCATGGAGACTCACAATCATGACGGAAGGGCAAAGGGGAAGCAAACACCGAATTCTCATGGCACAGCGGGAGAGAGGATGAAGGGGGAAGTGCTACACACTCTCATGAGAACTCACTATCACAAGAACAGCCGGGGGAAATCTGCACCCATGATCCAATCACCTCCAATCCACCTCCATGATCCAATCACCTCCCACCAGGTCCCTCCCCGAACACTGGGGATTACAATTCAACATGAGATTTGGGTGGGAACGTAGAGCTAAACCATATCAACTGACAAGTAAAATGTAAAGCACTAGGCAAATGTTACTTATTACTTAACAGATGAGGACACTGAAGTCCTTGTCAGTTGAATGATTTGCTACAGACCACAAGACTAGTCTGTAGAAGAACCAAAACTAAAACCCATATTGCTGAAAGCCTGGGTTCATGCCGTTTCTCCTATACTAGGTTGAATGAAAACAAGTAGTCAAATCAAAAAATGGGCCTAAATGGGAAAGAATAACCTTAGGCATTTTCTTAGAATGTTTTTAAGTATACAATAAACATCCAAAATATAGACTCTATTTCTTCCATATGTCAAGACATAGCTTTACAATTATGTAAAGATCATTTGGAAAGCCTCTAATCAAAAATCTAACCTATCTTTTAAGAGCTTCAATTTCACAGAGTTATGCATTTCTACTCTGCAGTATATGTTTGAAATGCATAAATGTTTCGAGATGTTTAACGGCATTTAATATAATATAAATTGGTTTTTAAAAAATTTCTTCATGGGAAACCTTCAAAACTTACTACCACAAATATACTAAAGTTTTTATTCTTTTAAAACTTGAAAACACTTGACTCCTCAAAAAAAAAAAGCTCATATTACCTTACACAAACAACAACAAAAAGCTTTTTCATGAGTCACAGAAGGCCTATGGTTAAAATTATCAAGATACACATTTTTAAAATTAAGCAAAAAATTAAACAGACACATATATAACTTTTGTAAAAATCAGGGAACTAATGAAACATTCTGGTATTTCACACATGCCAAGGTTACTAGTAAGCATACTTTTTATGGCTTGTCTTTGGTATATGACCATATTTGTTCAGCAATCCACATTATTAATACCGAATAGTAGCCATGCAAATTATAACTTATCCACAAAAATATAACACTGAATAAAGAGGTAGGGTAATTTTATATTCACAGGACAAGAAGCCAAAAAATTGGCTGTTTCAGCTCAACATTTATCAAAGGCTTGTAGGTGCCAAAAGCTATTCTAGGCACTTGGAATATTTCAAGATTAATATATTAAAACTCCTGGGCAACTGCAACTACTCTTCTCCCAAACACTAAAAGCTGACTAATTAAATGTAACTCCCATATATAGGATACCATGACTGGGTTATCTACAAAGAAGTTTCATCAAACTTAAAAGATAGTTTAAAATACTGTGAAAAAATCAGTTACTGAATGTGAATGATACGAGGACTTGAGCTGTGTTTGTGAGTCTGATCACAAAAATCAGAAATTTAAGTCACATATACTATTTTATAGAGCCCCAAATACTTAAAAACCAAAAGGACTCAATGAATACTAATCTTACAGTGATTTTTACTCATAATGTAACCAGAAGAGTCAGAGAAACTTTTATCACCCATTAGAATACAGGAGTTTTACCTTTTTCCTAATTCTAGTACCACTACCATTAATTACCACAATTCGTTACCAGCTCAAGTGCCAACTCTGTGATCTGGCCCATGTTGAGTAAGAATCAGCACTTAAATAGACAAAATCTCTACCCTTTACAACTCAGACTCAGTTACAATCACTGGAATATGTCTAATTAACCCACAACTTAATTCTATGCCTTCATCTTTTCCTACATGTTTCCCAAAGGAAAAGTATAGATCAGATTTTGAAGGTCCTTCTTTAATATCTATGCTGACAATCAGATAATTTGTTTTATGACTTTTAAAATATGTGAAGTACTCATATAACTATTAGCAAACTGTCAAGCAATAAAACATAAAAAAAAGGCCAACAGAAACAACAAACAGCAAAGAACAGGCACAAAAAGAACATGAAACAGCCAATACAAATATGAAAAGATAGCCTACCTAATAGTCAAAATAAACATCATCATCACAGTAAAAATAGCATTTATTGTGCTTTCTTTATGTAAGAGTGAATATGCAATAAACACCCAATTAATTAATCAATGAATTACTAAATAGACAACAAACTACCTGAGAAAATAAGCAAATTTTCAAATAAGAGGTAACATTTTCAGCTGGGCCTTCATGGATGCAAATACACTAGGCAAAGACTGGGGGTAGGGATAACACTAAAAGAAGTGCAGAGGATGAGGCAAGGGCATACATATAATCACCAAAATATGAAGCCAGTTCTTATTCTAGGAGCCAGTTCTCATTGTAACACTGAACTGGAAAGTACCTGATAAAACAGTGACAAGGTATGAAACTGTACAGGAAGAAAGGAGGTAATACATAAACTCTGTTTATACATCAGGCTAAAAAATTTGAACTTAAATGTTTTATTTAAAAGACATGTAACTTAATTGGACTTGCTCTTTCCTGTGCCTTTTATTTTCAATTTTCAAGGAAATATTTGTTCAAAAATAGACAATAGTCAATAATTCAGAATCAAGAACGCTTTACCCCTAATAAGATTTCTTTCAAAGACAAGCACAATTCCACACACAAAATAAATATGTTACTTAGGTGGTTCTCCAAGACTTACTACTCTTAAAACAAATTAAAAATTTAGAATCTATTGTCAACTCCCTAAATCATCACATAATTTTGTTTCTTCTCTATAATAAATGAAGCTCACTATATATAAATATGTACAAATAGAATATGCAAATTATACATAGACAATATCCAGAAAGTTTCTAATAATGTAATCTAAACTGTCCATTACTCTGAGAAAGCTTACTATTAATGTGGTTAATATATGTAGTATATACATAATCAAATGAATTATAAAGTTAAGGTCTCACATCAGAACAGGATTATGCTGTCACAACAACATCCATCTGGGTCCACTTGAGCACCAATCCAACCTTGTTCTCAACCTATATTTTATAGTTTTTATTAACAATTTAAAGATAAGCACAAAACAATTTCAGTAATCATGTTTTTATATCTTTTTTTAGATTTATAAAGGTTAAAGCTGTCAATAAAGTTTTACATCCACAGATCATACATGAATTCATTTAAGTGAATATAATAATAAGAAAAGTCAATTCAAGGGCTCTACCTGACATACCCAAATGAACAAGAGTAAAAAGAGATGCAAGCAAATGAGTAAACCAGTATCTGAGATACTCACTCCAAGGAAAAGGCCCCAAACATAAAGCATGAGTTTCAAGGACAAGATAAAACTCCTAAAAAGAGATTAAGAGAAATAAATGGGGTACTAGGCAAGAATAATACAAAATGTCACACAGGATTATTAACTGGATTACAAAAAAGGTACATGAATAGAAAATAAATAAGCAAATGACTAATTAGTAAAATCAAGGAACAGGGTCAGAGGAGTAACAACGGTAAAAACTGCTATGGTGAATAACAAAAATATATGAGATACAGCATTCTTAGATACTAGCATTAGCCGACTAGAAAATATAACAGCAACAAAAGATCATTCACATTAGCAGTAAAAATGACAAAGCTCCTAGAAGCAAATCAAATTTAAAACGTATATAATTTTCTTTTTCTTTTTTTTTTAGATGGAGTTTCACTCTTTCGCCTAGGCTAGACTGCAGTGGCGCAATCTCAGCTCATTGCAACCTCTGCCCCGCAGGTTCAAGAGATTCTCCTGCCTCAGCCTCCAGAGTAGCTGGGATTATAGGCACCTGCCAGCACACCCAGCTAATTTTTTTGTATTTTTAGTAGAGACAGAGTTTTGCCGTGTTGGCCAGGCTGGTCTCAAACTCCTGACCTCAGGTGATCCACCTGCCTTGGCCTCCAGAAGTGCCAGGATTACAGGCGTGAGCCACCGCACCCGGCCGAATGATTTTCAAGAGGATTTAAAAATGCATTTAAATACAAAAAAGAAGAACTGAACACAAAGATATTCTATGATCATGCATTGGAAAATATTAGTTAACACAAATTATGAGTTAAATGTAATTCCAATCACAAACCCAGCAAGACTTTTTGTGGAGCTTGACAACTTATTCTAAAACTTATGTGAGGCCAGACACGGTGGCTCATGCCTCTAATCTCAACACTTTAGATGACCGGGTGGATCACCCCACGTCAGGAGTTCCAGACCAGCCTGGCCAACGTGGCGAAACCCTATCTCTACTAAAAATATAAAAATTAGCTGGGTGTGATAGTGGGTGCTTATAATCCCAGCTACTAGGGAGGATGAGGCACAAGAATCACTTGAATCTGGGAGGCGGAAGTTGCAGTGAGCCAAGATCACGCCATTGCACTCCAGCCTGGGGAACAAGAACGAAACTCCGACTCAAAATAAAATAAAAAATAAAATAAATAAATAAATAAAACTTATAAGAGAGATCAAGGAAAACAAAGACAAGGGAATTGCATCCCAAACATCAAGCACGCCACCATATAATTAAGAACATATTTCTGGATCCGGGAGCCAAGATGGCTGAATAGGAACAGCTCTGGTCTACAGCTCCCAGCGTGAGCGACGCAGAAGACGGGTGATTTCTGCATTTCCATCTGAGGTACCAGGTTCATCTCACTAGAGAGTGCCAGACAGTGGGCGCAGGACAGTGGGTGCAGCGCACCGTGTGCGAGCCTAAGCAGGGCGAGGCATTGCCTCACTCGGGAAGCGCAAGGGGTTCAGGGAGTTCCCTTTCCTAGTCAAAGAAAGGGGTGACAGAGGGCACCTGGAAAATCGGGTCACTCCCACCCGAATACTGCGCTTTTCCGACGCGCTTAAAAAACGGTTCACCAGGAGATTATATCCCACACCTGGCTCGGAGGGTCCTACGCCCAAGGAGTCTCACTGATTGCTAGCACAGCAGTCTGAGATCAAACTGCAAGGCAGCGGCGAGGCTGGGGGAGGGGCGCCCGCCATTGCCCAAGCTTGCTTAGGTAAACAAAGCAGCCGGGAAGCTCCAACTGGGTGGAGCCCACCACAGCTCAAGGAGGCCTGCCTGCCTCTGTAGGCTCCACCTCTGGGGGCAGGGCACAGACAAACAAAAAGACAGCAGTAACCTCTGCAGACTTAAATGTCCCTGTCTGAACAGCTTTGAAGACAGCAGTGGTTCTCCCAGCACGCAGCTGGAGATCTGAGAACGGGCAGACTGCCTCCTCAAGTGGGTCCCTGACCCCTGACCCTGGAGCAGCCTAACTGGGAGGCACCCCCAAGTAGGGGCAGACTGACACCTCACACGGCCGGGTACTCCTCTGAGACAAAACTTCCAGAGGAACGATCAGACAGCAGCATTCGCGGTTCATGAAAATCCGCTGTTCTGCAGCCACCGCTGCTGGTACCCAGGCAAACAGAGTCTGTAGTGGACCTCTAGCAAACTCCAACACACCTGCAGCTGAGGGTCCTGTCTGTTAGAAGGAAAACTAACAAACAGAAAGGACATCCACACCAAAAACCCATCTGTACATCACCATCATCAAAGACCAAAAGTAGATAAAACCACAAAGATGGGGAAAAAACAGAGCAGAAAAACTGGAAACTCTAAAAAGCAGAGTGCCTCTCCTCCTCCAAAGGAACGCAGCTCCTCACCAGCAACGGAACAAAGCTGGACGGAGAATGACTTTGACGAGTTGAGAGAAGAAGGCTTCAGACAATCAAACTACTCCAAGCTACAGGAGGAAATTCAAACCAAAGGCAAAGAAGTTGAAAACTTTGAAAAAAATTTAGACGAATGTATAACTAGAATAACCAATACAGAGAAGTGCTTAAAGGAGCTGATGGAGCTGAAAGCCAAGGCTCGAGAACTACGTGAAGAATGCAGAAGCCTCAGGAGCCGATGCGATCAACTGGAAGAAAGGGTATCAGTGATGGAAGACGAAATAAATGAAATGAAGCGAGAAGGGAAGTTTAGAGAAAAAGAACAAAAAGAAATGAACAAAGCCTCCAAGAAATATGGGACTATGTGAAAAGACCAGATCTTCGTCTCACTGGTGTACCTGAAAGTGACGGGGAGAATGGAACCAAGTTGGAAAACACTCTGCAGGATATTATCCAGGAGAACTTCCCCAATCTAGCAAGGCAGGCCAACATTCAGATTCAGGAAATACAGAGAACGCCACAAAGATACTCCTCGAGAAGAGCAACTCCAAGACACATAATTGTCAGATTCACCAAAGTTAAAATGAAGGAAAAAATGTTAAGGGCAGCCAGAGAGAAAGGTCGGGTTACCCACAAAGGGAAGCCCATCAGACTAACAGCTGATCTCTCAGCAGAAACTCTACAAGCCAGAAGACAGTGGGGGCCAATATTCAAGATTATTAAAGAAAAGAATTTTTAAACCAGAATTTCATATCCAGCCAAACTAAGCTTCATAAGTGAAGGAGAAATAAAATACTTAACAGACAAGCAAAGGCTGAGAGATTTTGTCACCACCAGGCGTGCCCTAAAAGAGCTCCTGAAGGAAGCAATAAACATGGAAAGGAACAACCGGTACCAGCCACTGCAAAATCATGCCAAATTGTAAAGACCATCGAGGCTAGGAAGAAACGGTATCAACTAATGAGCAAAATAACCAGCTAACATCATAATGACAGGATCAAATTCACATATAACAATATTAACTTTAAATGTAAATGGACTAAATGCTCCAATTAAAAGATACAGACTGGCAAATTGGATAAAGAGTCAAGACCCATCAGTGTGCTGTATTCAGGAAACCCATCTCACAAGCAGAGACACACAAAGGCTCAAAATAAAAGGATGGAGGAAGATCTACCAAGCAAATGGAAAACAAAAAAAGGCAGGGGTTGCAATCCTAGTCTCTGATAAAACAGACTTTAAACCAACAAAGATCAAAAGAGACAAAGAAGGCCATTACATAATGGTAGAGGGATCAATTCAACAAGAAGAGCTAACTATCCTAAACATATATGCACCCAATACAGGAGCACCCAGATTCATAAAGCAAGTCCTGACTGACCTACATAGAGACTTAGACTCCCACACAATAATAATGGGAGACTTTAACACCCCACTGTCAACATTAGACAGATCAACCAGACAGAAAGTTAACAAGGATATCCAGGAATTGAACTCAGCTGTGTACCAAGTGGACCTAATAGACATCTACAGAACTCTCCACCCCAAATCAACAGAATATACATTTTTTTCAGCACCACACCACACCTGTTCCAAAATTGACCACATAGTTGGAAGTAAAGCTCTCCTCAGCAAATGTAAAAGATCAGAAATTATAACAAACTGTCTCTCAGACCACAGTACAATCAAACTAGAACTCAGGATTAAGACACTCACTCAAAACCACTCAACTACATGGAAACTGAACAACCTGCTCCTGAATGACTACTGGGTACATAATGAAACGAAGGCAGAAATAAAGATGGTCTTTAAAACCAATGAGAACAAAGACACAACATACCAGAATCGCTGGGACACATTCAAAGCAGTGTGTAGAGGGAAATTTATAGCACTAAATGCCCACAAGAGAAAGCAGGAAAGATCCAAAATTGACACCCTAACATCACAATTAAAAGAACTAGAAAAGCAAGAGCAAACACATTCAAAAGCTAGCAGAAGGCAAGAAATAACTAAAATCGAACCAGAACTGAAGGAAATAGAGACACAAAAGACTAATGAATCCAGGAGCTGGTTTTTTGAAAGGATCATCAAAATTGATAGACTGCTAGCAAGACTAATGAAGAAAAGAGAGAAGAATCAAATAGAAGCAATAAAAAATGATAAAGGGGATATCACGACCGATCCCACAGAAATACAAACTACCATCAGAGAATACTACAAACACCTCTACGCAAATAAACTAGAAAATCTAGAAGAAATGGATAAATTCCTCGACACATACACCCTCCCAAGACTAAACCAGGAAGAAGTTGAATCTCTGAATAGAACAATAACAGGCTCTGAAATTGTGGCAATAATCAATAGCTTACCAACCAAAAAGAGTCCAGGACCAGATGGATTCACAGCCGAATTCTACCAGAGGTACAAGGAGGAACTGGTACCATTCCTTCTGAAACTATTCCAATCAATAGAAAAAGAGGGAATTCTCCCAAACTCATTTTATGAGGCCAGCATCATCCTGATACCAAAGCCGGGCAGAAACACAACCAAAAAAGAGAATTTTAGACCAATATCCTTGATGAACGTTGATGCAAAAATGCTCAATAAAATACTGGCAAAACGAATCCAGCAGCACATCAAAAAGCTTATCCACCATGACCAAGTGGGATTCATCCCTGGGATGCAAGGCTGGTTCAACATACGCAAATCAATAAACGTAATCCATCACGTAAACAGAACCAACGACAAAAACCATATGATTATCTCAATAGATGCAGAAAAGGCCTTTGACAAAATTCAACAACGCTTCATGCTAAAAACTCTCAATAAATTATGTATCGATGGGACATATCTCAAAATAATAAGAGCTATCTATGACAAACCCACAGCCAATATCATACTGAATGGGCAAAAACTGGAAGCATTCCCTTTGAAAACTGGCACAAGACAGGGATGCCCTCTCACCACTCCTATTCAACACAGTGTTGGAAGTTCTGGCCAGGGCAATTAGGCAGGAGAAGGAAATCAAGGGTATTCAATTAGGAAAAGAGGAAGGCAAATTGTCCCTGTTTGCAGATGACATGATTGGATATCTAGAAAACCCCATTGTCTTAGCCCAAAATCTCCTTAAGCTGATAAGCAACTTCAGCAAAGTCTCAGGATACAAAATCAATGTACAAAAATCACAAGCATTCTTATACACCAATAACAGACAAACAGAGAGCCAAATCATGAGTGAATTCCCATTCACAATTGCTTCAAAGAGAATAAAATACCTAGGAATCCAACTTACAAGGGACGTGAAGGACCTCTTCAAGGAGAACTACAAACCACTGCTCAATGAAATAAAAGAGGATACAAAGAAATGGAAGAACATTCCATGCTCATGGGTAGGAAGAATCAATATCGTGAAAATGGCCATACTGCCCAAGGTATTTTATAGATTCAATGCCATCCCCATCAAGCTACCAATGACTTTCTTCACAGAATTGGACAAAAGTACTTTAAAGTTCATATGGAAAAAAAAAAAAAAGAGCCCGCATCGCCAAGTCAATCCTAAGCCAAAAGAACAAAGCTGGAGGCATCATACTACCTGACTTCAAACTATACTACAAGGCTACAGTAACCAAAACAGCATGGTACTGGTACCAAAACAGAGATATAGATCAATGGAACAGAACAGAGCCCTCAGAAATAATGCTTCATATCTACAACTATCTGATCTTTGACAAACCTGAGAAAAACAAGCAATGGGGAAAGGATTCCCTATTTAATAAATGGTGCTGGGAAAACTGGCTAGCGACATGTAGAAAGCTGAAACTGGATCCCTTCCTTACACTTTATACAAAAATTAATTCAAGATGGATTAAAGACTTAAACGTTAGACCTAAAACCATAACAACCCTAGAAGAAAACCTAGGCATTACCATTCAGGACATAGGCATGGGCAAGGACTTCATGTCTAAAACACCAAAAGCAATGGCAACAAAAGCCAAAATTGACAAATGGGATCTAATTAAACTAAAGAACTTCTGCACAGCAAAAGAAACTACCATCAGAGTGAACAGGCAACCTACAAAATGGGAGAAAATTTTCGCAACCTACTCATCTGACAAAGGGCTAATATCCAGAATCTACAATGAACTCAAACAAATTTACAAGAAAAAAACAACCCCATCAAAAGTGGGCGAAGGACATGAACAGACACTTCTCAAAAGAAGACATTTATGCAGCCAAAAAACACATGAGAAAATGCTCACCATCACTGGCCATCAGAGAAATGCAAATCAAAACCACAATGAGATACCATCTCACACCAGTTAGAATGGCAATCATTAAAAAGTCAGGAAACAACAGGTGCTGGAGAGGATGTGGAGAAATAGGAACACTTTTACACTGTTGATGGGAATGTAAACTAGTTCAACCATTGTGGAAGGCAGTGTGGCGATTCCTCAGGGATCTAGAACTAGAAATACCATTTGACCCAGCCATCTCATTACTGGGTATATACCCAAAGGACTATAAATCATGCTGCTATAAAGACACATGCACACGTATCTTTATTGCAGCACTATTCACAGTAGCAAAGACTTGGAACCAACCCAAATGTCCAACAATGATAGACTGGATTAAGAAAATGTGGCACATATATACCATGGAATACTATGCAGCCACAAAAAATAATGAGTTCATGTCCTTTGTAGGGACATGGATGAAATTGGAAATCATCATTCTCAGTAAAGTATCACAAGAACCAAAAAACCAAACGCTGCATATTCTCACTCATAGGTGGGAACTGAACAATGAGAACACATGGACACAGGAAGGGGAACATCGCACTCTGGGGACTGTTGTGGGGTGGGGGGTGGGGGGAGGGATAGCATTAGGAGATATACCTAATGCTAAATGACGAGTTAATGGGTACAGCACACCAGCATGGCACATGTATACATATGTAACTAACCTGCACATTGTGCACATGTACCCTAAAACTTAAAGTATAATAATAATTAAAAAAAACATATTTCTGTTGCAGAAGCAGGCAAATAAATCTCTGCTAGAACAGACAGACCAAATATAGAGACAAATATATACATAACTTTAGTAGGACAGGCTTATAAGCCAGTTAAAAAGGGATAGAAAATTGTGTTAGGACAATTAGATTTCCACACAGAAAAAAAAAAAAGTGCTGTATACCCCTATCTCCTATCATATACAGAAATAAACTCCAGCTAGATTAAAGATGTAGGTAAAAAGCCAGCCTATTGCAAGATAAGAGTGACACCATTTCAAAGCAAAACCACCATAATGACAGGAGTTTGGCTCCAGCAGCAAGGTCTTTAAACAATGCCTGTAGCATAGACAACCCCTCATAAAGATGTTTATCTAACCTCTCCAGTGGTCATGAGTAGCAACAAAGTCTGAGGTGTAACCAGCTGCATATGTTTTACCAAAAAAGCTTGCTATATAAAGGATATTTTCGGGAGGGTGGATGTGGGAATACACCACCTCTTGGCCACCCAAAACATTATTTCTGTTTGTTAGTCTGTAATAAATGTTTTTTTATAAGAAACTGGATTTGTCAGTGTCTTTCTTCAGCTCTCAGCTCCCTTAGCCTTTGGGGGTAGCTTTGCATATGTTTGCTCATAGCAGAACAGAACTGCTAATAACAAAACTTGTACTATTTGAAAGAGTTCCACTTCTGGTAGTGATAAACTAGATAATTCAGACCACTCTCCTGCTTAAAGAACTAAAATGTCTGGAGAAAATACATTTAAAAGTCTATGTTAAGGCTAATGAAGACACACGAGCAGTGTATTTTGTCTGAAAACAAAATATTAAAAAAAGAAAAAAGAAGAGGTAAGCCTAGCAATAAGGGCTGCTTTTCCCCAAGAGGCATCTATCAATTATGGAACAGAGGCCAAGAGGCTAATAAGCAGAGCAGACCTTTTGACTGACTTACAAGATGAGAAGGTCAAAGACTGGAAATCAAAACCTACCGAGAAACTGAGAAGCCCTATAATGCCAAAGGACCATATCCTAGATGTAAAGGAGGATCAACCCTCAAAAGTACAGTCATGTGTCACCTGACAACATGGATACATTCTGAAAGACATCATTAGGCAACTTCATCATTGTGTGAACATCACAGAGTGTGTTTACACAAACCTAGATGGTATAGCCTATTGCTCCTAGGCTACAAACCTGTGTAGCATGTTACCGTACAGAATGCTGTAGGCAGCAGCAACACAATGGTAAGTATTCGTGTATCTAAACACATCTAAACATAGAAAAAGTACAGTAAAAATACGATACTATAATCTTATGGGACCACAATTCTACATGCAGTCCATCATTGATAGAAACATCATTATGTAGCACATAACTGTACTGAAGCCCAGATTCAAATTATCTCTAACCCCAATTGAATTAAGTGATCCAGGATTGCTAGTTCTAGCCACCAGATAGAAACAAAAACCTTAAGTAAAATACGTCAACATTCAGAAGTTCAAATAACCTCTATCACGTTTTACGCAATGTCTAGCACTCTATCAAAGATCACAAGGCACAGACAAAAACAATAAAAAACAAGAGAAACAATATAAAATAGAAAGAGACCCACAGGAGATTAACATTTAAAAGATTAGCAGACAGAATTAGACTATAATTAATATGTTCTAGGATATGAGCCTAGGCAGCGAAGTGAGACCCTATCTCTTCAAAAAATCAAAAAAATTAGCCAGGCATGGTACCACACGACTGTGGTTCCAGCTACTCAGGAGGCTGAAGTGGGAAGATCACTTGAGCCCAGGAGGCCGGGGCTATAGTGAGCCATGATCACACCACTGCACTACAGCCTGAGTGACAGAGCAAGACCCTGTCTCAAAAATAAAAATAAAAAATAAAAATAAATTATGTTCTTGGATATAAAATACAAGATTTCTGGATAATATCTTTAAAAGGCTAAAAGGAATCACTAACCTAGAATTCTTTACCCAGCAAATATACTGTTCAGAAGTGAAGTGAGGGTCAGACATGGTGGCTCACATCAGTAATCCCAGCACTATGGGAAGCCAAGGCAGGAGAATTGCTTGAGACCAGGAGTTGAAGACCAGCCTGGGCAATATAGCCAGACCCCATCTCTACAAAATAAAATTGTTTTAATTAGCCAGGCATGATGGCATGCTCCTGAAGTCCTAGTTACTCAGGAGGCTAAGGCTGGAGGATCGCTTGAGCCCAGGAATTCAAGGTTGCAGTGAACTGTGATCACACCACTGCATTCTAGCCTGGGCAAAAGAGCGAGAACCTGTCTCAGAAAAAGGAAAAAAGAAAACATGAAGTAAAATAACAACATTTTCACCAAAAAAAAAAAAAAAAAAGACATTATCATCATACCCACCACACATAAGGAAATACTAACAGATATTCTTCAGACAACTGAGAAACACAGAAAGAAATAAAGAACAATAAAAAGCATAAATATATGAGTAAATATAAACATTTGCAATACAAAATAAGAATAACAATATAAAATAACAAGAATTCCATGTGCTATTTAAAATGTATACAGAATTTAAAGAAACAAAGCAGATCACAAAAAAAACAACAGACCATACAAGCTCTTAAAAACAAATTGCCATATTCTTAGGAAAAGATTGTTTCATGACCATGAAAACAATTACTAGAGTGAGTTTTACACCTGTTTAATCAAAGACGACTGTTAGACTCGTCAAATTTTTGAAAGCCAGTCAGTCAGTAATAGTCATGCTTCTGAAATTCAGACAATCAAGAGTTAACACTCTAGTGAACAAAGGCCTACAACATCCAGATATTTTTTAAATAGGATGTTACGTATCTTTATATTATTAACCTTAACAATAATGGTACTCTTTTTGGATAATAAATAAATGAAGAAAAATGTCCTTGCACTAGAAAAGAAAGATACAAATATTCTTGAGACTTAATAGGAGCTGTCATCAAGGCAACACTCAGAAACAATATACCTACAGCTCCTGATCAATCTCTTGTGCAGCTCTGGGTTCCTTTTCATATATGGAAATTAGACTCTTACCATGCCATCCCAGAACCCAGGGTACCTGTTGTGTGAGCGTAACAACTATGTTATTCCAAGTGTACAACTCCCCAACATGCTCAGTGGACTGTGTCTTATAACAAAGAATATGAATGGATAAAATCTTTCCTTTGATAACTGACAAAGAGTTTTCTGAAGATAATGATCTGATCCATACCTATCTTTAAGAACTATAGTATGTCTTCACAGTTGTAATTATTGGCAACAAGCATTAAACTTCTTGGATCAAATACTTCATATCTACTCAAAATTGTAACATTAACACTTAAAACTAAGAAAATAGAGATGTTTAAAATTTTCCATTTCACACACTACTTCATATTCCTACCTGATAACTTTAAATACCAAATGCACTGAGTTTAGCCCTGAAATGAGTTTAAAACAATTCTCTAACTGGGATATAATTACTTTCCACTGAAGCATTTTTCTGCCACTCAAGAATCATCTGATTTACATAAATGCTAGTTAAGCACCATAGAAATTCTAAAATATATCATTAGCAGAATGTCACAGATCACTTAATCTACTCTGTCAAAACAGGGATTATTTCAACTTCTGTTTCACTTCCCTTAAAAGAAATCCTATTTACTTTCTTTTCTCTAACAGGGAAAAAAAATTAGTAAAATAAACTTACAGTGTACTTCCCAAATCAAACTTTAAAATGATTCTGGTTAACTACAAATTGACTGAAGTATTTTTTCTGAATGTATTTTACTGAAACATGGCTGACAACATATAATAATGTTACTGCTACAGAATTACAAATTATTTCACTGATTACTCTTCCTATTCAAGAAAAAAAGGTCACTTTGGTCCATACAAATTGTCCAAATAAACTAGATGTATTACTAGCTTAAAGTAAACAATTTTGTAAATAGCACTTCTAGTTAGAGTTAAAACATAACCATAAAAAGCTTTTATTAAACAATACATTTCACTAAGCTAAATTTATAGAAATATATATATTTCTATCACTTTCACACATCCTGACAATATTTGGGAAAATAAATACAAAAATGTTTTTTTTTAATTCAGAAGTATATAATTTCTTCAAATATTCCAGCCATAAATTATAATACATAAAATTTAAGATACGTAAATACCATGAATATTATAAACTTTAAATAAAATTCTAGCCATAATTTATGAAACTCACATTATTAAACAACACACACACACGCTGATTCCAAATGAAGAAGAGAAGTACCATGGTAGTTTCTCTGTGACACACCAAAAATTATCCTAATAAATAAATTAAACAATCATGTAATTCCTAAATTTGTTACAGAAAGATATGTGGCTGGTTCTCACACCTCCTACTAGATATCTTTACACCACTTAAAACCTTTTCTTTTTTCATGCTATTATTTTCTGTGTAACAAAATACCAACTAGTCAGATTCTAAAATATCAATCTTTAGAAATGATATTAGCAAAACAATTTTAAAATACTTACTGTCTTGTTTCGTAATCTAATTATGTCTGAGACAGAGCCAGCGCCACAGTACTCCATAACAATCCAGAGGTCTGTATTCTTAAAATAACTGCCATAGTACTTTACAACATATGGGCTAAAGGAAAATACATAAACAATTAAATTTAGTTAATTCCCAAAGAAATTTTTTTCTTAATCCCAATACAAAGTATTTTCAACATTTCATACTGTTCCAATAAGTTAAATAAGTAAATTTCTATTGCACATCAAATTCTCAATATCTGGAGTTCACCAACTATGCATAATTAGGCTTTACTTCATGGACGAAATTTAACAGGATTACAAACCAGAAGAGGCCCAAATGTTTTGAGTGATTCTGAAGAAAATAAGACTTCATTTTGGCAAAGAACTTACTACTTAACATGAGGAACAAATGAAAATTTTTCCCTTTAACTAAAGCATTTTAAATATGTCTTCTAAAGGATTTTGCATTCAGTCAAATATTAATCAACTCGAAAATAATCTATATTTCCATGAGGCCAAAAAGTTATTTTAAATTTTCTTTCATTCTGGCTTTTGAAAATTCTAGAGAAAAAAAATTATAAATTTTTCTGCTTAAATTTATAGAATTAAAATATTAGCAATTTAATTTCTAAACTGAGGTCTTACGTCTTCCAGAGCAGAATAAACTATGTTTATAGCCAAGCTGTCTTCAGGAAGATTTAGAAAGGGACAAATGACCATCAGCAATAATGTATATTATGGATAAACTACATATAGTGATGTATGAGAAATCTAACCTATCTCAAAGAGGCAGAATATCATATTCAAAAAATGCATAGAGATAGAAAATACAAGACAGCAGAAACTAAATAGGACACAACTTTAATGCTACAAGAGCTCAAATGAGGAAATAACATTGGAATCATCCAAAGAGAACTTTGTGGAAGGGAGTGGGATTTGAATGAGATTTTGAAAGAAAAGTTTAAACTCCAAAATGTAGATGGAGAAGAGGGATAAGAAAATTCTAGAAAAGAGAAAGACCATGAATAAAGGTACACAAATAGAAAGGGAAAAACCAAGTATGGCATGTAAGAGGACAACTTGTTCAAATAAATACTTCTATCTAGTAATAGCTACAATCAAAAACAGTAGCCATTTTGCTGGGCACAAATGTAAGATAAATATGACAGAAAAACAAATAAGCAAAAAAAAAAAAAATTGAAAGTACAATAAAAGAACACGTAGAGACTCTATCAATTGTGGAGGTTAAGAGAAGACTGTCAGGGAAGACTTCTCAGTACAGCCTTTAAAATTTTAGCTATGCTCTAACACTGAGGCAGTAATAAACAGCCTACCATCCAAAAAAAAAAACCACCCAGGACCAGATGGACTTAGGGCCAAATTCTAGCAGATGTACAAAGAAGAGCTGGTACCATCCCTGCTGAAACTATTTCAAAAAATTGAGGAGAAGGAAATGCTCCCTAACTCATCCTATGAAGCCAGCATCATTCTGATACCAAAACCTGGCAGAGATACAACAAAAAAAGAAAACTTTAGGCCAATATCCTTGATGAACATTGATGCAAAAGTCGTCAACAAAACATTAGCAAACCAAATCCAGTGGCACATAAAAAACCTAACTCACCACAGTCAAGTAGGCTTTCTCTTTGGGATGCAAGATTGGTTCAACATATACAAATCAATAAATGTGATTCATCATATAAACAGAACTAAAGACAAAAACCACATGATTATCTCAATAGATACAGAAAAGGCTTTCGATAAAATCAGACATCCATTCATGTTAAAAACTCTCAACAAACTAGGTATTGAAGGAACATACCTCAAAATAATAAGAGCCATATATGAAAAACCCACAGCCAACAATCATACTGAATGGGCATAAGCTGGAAGCATTCCCCTTGAAAAGCGGCATTAAGACAAGGATGGACTCTCTCACCATTCCTGTTTAACATAGTATTGGAAGTCCTGGCAAGGGCAATCAGGCAAGAGAAAGAAATAAAGGTCATCCAAATAGGAAGAGAGGAAGTCAAACTACCCCTGTTTGCAGATGACATGATCCTGTATCTAGAAAACCCCATAGCCTCAGCCCAAAAGCTTCTCAGGCTGATAAGCAACTTCAGCAAAGTCTCAGGATACAAAAGCAATGTGCAAAAATCCCTAGCATTCCTATATACCAACAACAGTCAAGCCGAGAGCCAAATCGGGAACTAACTCCCATTCACAACTGCCACAAAAAGAATAAACTACATAGGAAGACAGCAAACTAGGGAGGTGAAAGATCTCCACAAAGAGAACTACAAAACACTGCTCAAAGAAATCAGAGATGACATAAAGAAATGGGAAAACATTCCATGCTCAGGGATAGAAATAATCAATATCATTAAAATGAGGCTGGGCACTGTGGCTCACGCCTGTAAACCCAGCACTTTGAGAGGATCACTTGAGGTCAGGAGTTTCAGATCAGCCTGGCCAACACGGTGAAACCCCCATCTCTACTACAAATACAAAATTAGCTGGGCATGGTGGCGCATGCCTGTAATCCCAGTTACTTAGGAGGGTGAGGCAGGAAAATCACTTGAACTCAGGAGGCGGAGGTTGCAGTGAGCTGAGATTGTGTCACTGCACTCCAGCCTGGGCAACAGAGCAAGACTCCATCTCAAAAAAATAATAATAAAAAATAAAAAAATAATATATAAACACACACACACAAACACACATCATTAAAATGGCCATACTGCCCAAAGTAATTTATAGATTCAATGCTATTCTTACTAAAACTACTATTTGAGATTCGGCACAGAACTAGAAAAAACTATTTTGAAATTCATATGGAACCAAAAAAGAGCCCGAATAGCCAAGGCAATCCTAAGCAAAAAGAACAAAGCTGGTGGCATCACACTACCCGACTTCAAAATACACTACAGGGCTACAGTAACCAAAACAGCATGGTTATGATACAAAAAAAGACATACAGACAAATGAAACAGAATAAAGAACTCAGAAATAAGACCACACAACTACAACTATATGATCTTTGACAAACCTGACAATAACAGGCAATGGAAAGGAAAAAGGATTCCCCATTCAATAAATGGTGCTGGGATAACCAGCTAGCCATATGCGGAAGATTGAAACTGGACCCCTCCCTTATTATCATGTTCAAAAATTTAACTCAAGATGGATTAAAGGCCTAAATGTAAAACCCAAAAATATAAAAACCCTGGAAGACAACCTAGGCAATACCATCCAGGACATAGGCAAAGATTTCACGACAAAGACACCCAAAGCAATCACAACAAAAGCAAAAATTGGCAAATGGGATCTAGTAAAATCAAAGAGCTTCTGTACAGCAAAAGAAACTATCAAGAGAGTAAATAGATAACTTACAAAATGAAAGAACATTTTTGAACAAACTATGCATCCAATAAAGGTCTAATATCCAGCAGCTATAAGGAACTTAAACAGATCTACAAGAAAAAAAAAACAAACAACCCCATTAAAAAATGGGCAAAGGACATGAACAGATACTTTTCAAAAGAAGACCTACATGTGGCCAGCAAGAATATGAAAAAAAGTTCAACATCACTGATCATTACAGAAATGCAAATCAAAACCACAATGAGATACCATGTTACACCAGTCAGAATGACTATTATTAAAAAGTCAAAAAAAAAAAAACAGATGCTGGCAAGGTTGTGAAGAAAAAGGAATGCTTATATACTGTTGGTGGGAGTGTAAATTAGTTCAACCATTGTGGAAGATAGTGTGGCAATTCCTCAAAGACCTAGAGACCTAGAGACAGAAATACCATTCAACCTAGCAATCTCATTACTGGATATATACCCAAAGGAATATAAATTGTTCTATTATAAAGACACATGCATGCTTATGTTCTTTGTAACTAGCACTCTTCATAATAGCAAAGACATGGCATCAACCTAAATGCCCATCAATGATAGACTGGATAATGAAAATGTGGTACATATACACAATGGAATACTATGCAGCCACAAAAAAGAACAAAGTCATGTCCTTTGCAGAGACATGGATGGAGCTGGAGGCTATTGTCCTTAGCAAACTAACACAGGAACAGAAAACCAAATACTGCATGTTCTCACTTATAACTGGGAGCTAAATGATGAGGACACATGGACACACAGAGTGAACAACACACACTGGGGCCTATCAGAAGGTGGAAGGTGGAAGGAGGGAGAGGATCAGGAAAAATAACTAATGGGTACTAGGCTTAATACCTGGGTGATAAAATAATCTGCACAACAAACCCCCATGACACAAGTTTACCCATGTAACAAACCTGCACATGTACCTCTGAACTTAAAATAAAAGTTAAAAATAAATAAATAAATAAATAATAAAAACATCAGTCATCTAAAAAACAAAAGTTTAAAATTTTCCCATTATAATTAAATTTTATATTAAAAACAAAGGCAATAAATACAAAAAAAAATAACTATGTCTTGAAGTCAAAGGTAGAACAGAGTGGTTGGAGCTGAAGGGCCTGAATTCAAACCTGTTTTATCCCCACTGCTACTCCGTTACCTCTTGCACAGACTTGCTCCCCACTGGTCTCCTTGTCTTAGTTTTCTCCCCTGTTCTAGTCTATGCTACATACAGTTGACAAGGTACCTTACTTTAAAACAAAAGTAAAACAAGCTGATCATACTGCTCTCCTAGTTAAACAAAAATACTCTAACAGCTCTCCATTACCCAAAGGAAAAGCTCTTAACTGCTTCATATCGCATACAAGTTATTTCAGAGTCTACCTTGTTACCCGTATCTCTGATTACTCTCCATCTCATACCTTAAATTTCCAGACACACTCAGCTTTGCTAGGTCTTGGGAATTGAAAGTATGTATTTGGAGTTCATAAATGTTCACTGAACCATTTAAGAAAAGTGCTTGTTTACAAACAAATGAAACTAAATACAGACTTAGAACTGCAACATATGAGAAACAAAAAAAAAAATTCTTTACATGTACTCCTTTAAGGTATGGCGCCTATGTGGAAACTTTTATAGGGAGTAGCGTTCCTACACCTGGCTGTGCATGAGAGCCACCTGTGACCCAAGCCCACACTCCTTTGAGGTTCTGATTCAGTAGGTTTTTAAAAGCTCTACCGGTGACTCTGACATAGACCCAGAGTTAAGCTTCACTCTACCAGTGAATAGACTGTATATCCTTCAGGGGAAAAAAAAAAAACTCTCTCTCTCTCTCTTTTTTTTTCTGAAGCAGAATCTCATTCTGCCACCTAGGCTGGAGTGCAGTGGCACCATGTCGGCTCACAGCAATGTCTGCCTCCTGGGTTCGAGTGATTCTCGTGCCTCAACCTCCCAAGTAGCTGGGATTACAGGCCTGTGTCACCACGCCCAGCTAATTTTTGTAGTTTTGGTAGAGATGGGGTTTTGCCATGTTGACCAGGCTTGTCTTGAACTCCTGGCCTCATGTGTTCTGCCTGCCTCAGCTTCCAAAAGTGCTGAGACTATAGGTGTGAACCACCATGCCCGCCAAAAAAAAATTCTTTAAATATGAATGTTCTCATTCAAAATTTTGAAAAGTGTTAAGTAACAATGAATTGACGATTATGTTCACTGAAAAGCATACAAAAAAATGTACATTTTTCTTGCCATACACACTAATCAGCAATGCTAAGGGTAGAAGTGACAACTCATGAAAATTAGGAATTCTAACCTGGGCAGCCACCTGAAAACACAGCCCTATCTCTCCATAAGAGTAAGTCAAGAGAAAACTTTGGCAAAACGTAAAATTCTCTTCAAAAAAATAATTCATGGCCCATCTAACACCCACGTAAGTAGATGGATCCAAGTCCAACACCTCTATAACATAAAACATGGCCTCACTAACTTTAACCCAGCAAAGTATTTAAGCAACTAGAACTAAACAGCCACATGCATTCACTGACCCTCTACTCGGGCCAGGCATTTCACCAGATGTTCAGTATGCACTAGTGAAACACACATTCACAATTTGGACCCTCATACCGAATACACTAGCATGAATATACAGGAATTAAGGAAGTAAACTCACAAATAAATATGATTACTAACCATGGCAAGAAAAGAAGAAAGGGTGCTATAAGATAAACTGGCTGTGACTTTATTTTGTATTCACCATTTCTGCAAATAAAATTGCTCCTAGTTCATATGAAGGAATGGAATGCATTCATATTCCATGGTAGCCTCTGAGACTTGGAAGGCACTGGAGTATGTGAAAAACCTTTGAAAGCAGATAAGTGAGCTTTAACAATAAAATGTCCTTTCTCCACTGAACTGCTGTGAATTACAAAATCCACAGATTGGAAAAGAAAGAAATGCTTAAACTCCAGAGTTCATATGTATACAGTGGCCATCCTCTGACACTTTCTAAGTCAGCACCTTTTATACTGTAAAGCACTTATTACATCCTGCAAGGACTTTGTCATTGACTTTTATCTGCCTCCCCCAGAAGAACAGAAGCTCCATAAAGATAGGTACCAATCTGTCTCGCTTTCCATTTTATCCTCAGTAGCTCTCTTCTCCTATATACAAACTAAAGAAGCAGGCCGGGCACGGTGGCTCATGCCTGTAATCCCAGCACTTTGGGAGGCCGAGGCAGGCGAATCATGAGGTCAAGAGATCGAGACCATCCTGGCCAACATGGTGAAACCCTGTCTCTACTAAAAATACAAAAAAAATTAGCTGGGCGTGGTGGCAGGGGCCTATAATCCCAGCTACTCAGGAGGCTGGGGCAGGAGAATCGCTTGAACCCGGGAGGCAGAGGTTGCAGAGAGACGAGATCGTGCCACTGCACTCCTGCCTGGCAGAAGAGTGAGGCTCCGCCTCAAAAAAAAAAAGAAAAATTAAAATTAAAAAATAAAGAAAGAAAGAAAAGAACCAACGAATAAATAAATCACACAAAAAACTAAGACAGGACCTAATTTAGGACTCTCCAAGGGAATAATATTTAAGCTAAGATGCAAAACTTAACGAGAAGTTAGCCAGATAACTAAGCACTAAGAACTGCCCTGCAAAGGCCCTGAAAGACAGAACAAATCACGGTCAAAGAACTGAAAGATTAGCGGGCCCAGGATAAAGTGAGTAAAGGATACAGTAGAACATAATGGAGTTGCATATGTAGGCAGAAGCCTGACCATGAAGGGCCTCAAAACCAAGGTAAAGAGACTGGGCTTTATTTGAAATACAGAAAAAAAAATCAGTGAAGAATTTTAAGCAGACGAATAACATGATGTAAAGTTTCTGTGGTTGCTGAATGAAAGCTAGATTGTAGGGAAGCAAATGTGAATACAGAGAGACCAATTAAAAAGTAATGTTAGTCCATGCAGAGATTATAGTAAGCATATCTTTTTATTTTCTGTATTCTTGATGCTTTGGTATCTGGGACCTTGCTAAAACTGAAGCGACTGCCCCTCTCAGGGTAAGCTAATTCCTAGAGACAGCAAACTAACTCCCATGGAAGGATGTCTTTCATATGCACACCAACCTATCTAAAGCCCAAACCTCCAACCACCTCTATGGTTACACTCTAGGGTCAACTTTTCACCTGCCCAAATTGCCCCAGGGCCAGGTACCAGACAACCAGAGAAAGCCCTATGCCCCAGAACCCACTCAAAATACTCAAAGTAGCCAATCCTAAACCTGTTTACCCTATCTCACCTGTCCCTTCCCAGGGAAACCACACAAACATTCTTGTCCACTTCTTCCCCCCTCTTTCTCTGCCTCCTAACTGACTCTGGTACTTCCCCGTGGAGCCCCTGTGACACAGCACGCCTCCTTCTCTTGTGAGCTGTATATATAACAATATATCTTTTCCATAGCAATAGTCTCTTGATCTGTTGGCCTCATGATATGTGAGTAATAATAAAGCATACTTTTTTTTTTTGAGACAGAGTCTCGCTCTGTCGCCCAGGCTAGAGTGCATTGGCGCGATCTCGGCTCACTGCAACCTCTGCCTCCCGGGTTCAAGCGATTCGCCTGCCTCAGCCTCCTGAGTAGCTGGGATTACAGGCACCCGCCACCATGCCCGGCTAATTTTTGTATTTAGTAGAGATGGGGTTTCACCAGGTCAGGAGTTCGAGACCAGCCTGACCAACATGGTGAAACCCTGTCTCTACTAAAGATATAAAAAATTAGCCGGGCCTGGTGGCATGCACCTGTAATCCCAGCTACTCAGGAGGCTGAGGCAGGAGAATCTCTTGAACCCGGGAGGCAGAGGTTGCAGTGAGCCGAGGTCGCGCCATTGCATTCCAGCCTGGGCAACAGGGCGAGACTCCATCTCAAAGAAAAAAAAAAAAAAAAAAGCCTACCAATAGGCTCAGACAGTTCAAGACCTGAGACTTCTAAACTCAAGTCTATTTCCATTAACACAGATATGCATTCAAATTCACATTTATTTATCTTTTTTTTTAAGTAATTCAAACAACAAATATTCACTGAACAAGCCTACTAGCAGAAGCTAGGGAGAAAAATGGAAAAACATTAGACTAGTGACAAAGAAGAAAGGGCAGTCCAGGCAATGGGGAACCCCTGAAGAAATTTATATAAGGAAATAATACAATCAAACTAGCATTTAAACATTATCCTGAGCAGGATTGTCAAGGATCAAACATGATGTTGTTCATTCTAGCCAGCAAGTTAACTAACTACAATTATTTAGATGTTCTAACATCTGTTTTTAAACCAGCATGTTGATTATTAAAGGTTAGGGAAGAAGGGGAGAGAGTTTCACTCAAAACACTGTAACACTCTAGTGTTATATACAGGCAAATCTATAAGATATTGCAGGTTTGATTCCAGACCACCTGGATAAAGCAAATATCACAATACAGTGAGTCACACAAATTTTTGTTTTCCAGAAAGAAACCTTGGATCAGGCAGATTCATAGCTGAATTTTGCTAAACGTATAAAGATGAGCTGGTACCAATCCTACTGAAACTATTGCAAGAAAGCTGAGGAAGAGAGACTCCTCCCTAACTCATTCTACGAGGCCAGCATCATTCTGATACCAAAATGTGGCAGAGACAAAATGAAAAAGAAAACTTCAGACCAATATCTCTGATGGACATAAATGCAAAAATTCTCAATAAAAGACCTGCAGACCAAATGCAGCAGTACATCAAAAAACTAATCCACCACGATCAAGTAGGCTTTATTGCTGGGATGTAAGGTTGGTTCAATATACACAAATGAATAAATGTGATTTGCCACATAAACAGAGGAGATTTTGCAAAATTCTTGAGGGTCCTAAGATTTTTGGAATGGGCAATGAACACTGGCTTCAACTTAAAGTCATGAGAGGCATCAGCCCCTAACAAGAGAGTCAGCCTGTCCTTTGAAGCTAAGCAGTGACTTCTCTCTAGCTAGGAAAGTCCTAGATGGCATCTCCTTCCAGTAGAAGGCTGTTTCGTCTACATTGAAAATCTGTTGCTTAATGTAGCCACCTTCATCAATTATCTCAGCTACATCTTCTGGATAACTTGCTGCAGCTTCTATTTCAGCACTTGCTGCTTCATCTTGCACTTTTATGTTATGGAGACAGCTTCTTTGTTTAAGCCTCATGAACCAACCTCTGCTAGCTTCAAACTTTTGTTGCTTCCTCACGTCTCTCAACCTTCATAGAATTGAAGACAGTAAGGGCATTGCTCGAGATTAGGCTTTGGCTTAAGAGAATGCTGTGGCTGGTTTGAACTTCTATCCAGACCACTCAAACTGTCTCCATATCAGCAATGAGGCTCTTCCACTTTCTTACCACTCATGTGCTCACTGGAGTAGCACTTCTAATTTCCTTCAACAACCTGTCCTTTGCATTCAAGCTTGGCTAGCTGTTTGGCACAAGAACCCTAGCTTTCAGCTTATTTCGGCTTTCAACCTGTCTTCCTCACTAAGCTAAATCATTTCTAGCTTTTTTATTTAAAGTGAGAGTTGTGTGACTCTCCCTTTCACTTGAACCCTTACGGACCATTGTAGAATTACTAATTGGCCTAATTTCAATATTGTGTCTCAAGGAATAGGAAAGCCTGAGGAAAGGAAGGGAGATGGGGCCCACGGCCTAGCAGTGGGACAGTCAGAACACACACGACATTTATCAATTTAGTTCACCATCTTACAAAGGTGCAGTTCGTGGCACCTCAAAACAATTACAACAGTAACATCAAAGATCACTGATCACAGATCACCATAACAGATATAATAATAATGAAAACGTCTGAAATATGGGAAGGATTACCAAAACATGACATAGAGACATGAAGCAAGCACAAACTATTGGAAAAATGGTGCTGACGGACTTGATTTGCTCAGTACAGTTGCCACAAACCTTCAATTAAAAAAAAAAAATGCAGCATCTGCAAAGTGAAGAAGTACAACAGAGTAAGGTATACCTGTATATAAATTTTAAGCAATGCAGAAAGTTTTAATTCAGCCATATGCCTAAGAATTTTGACTAAGCCAGTATATGGACTTGCAGGTTGTATCAGAACCCAGCAATTCTATACACAGTCATCCCTCAATATCCATGGCGAACTGGTTCCAGGAACCCCACAGATACCAAAATCCATGAATGCACAAGTTCCTTATATTAAATGGCACAGTATTTGCATATAACTACATACATCCTCCAGTATACTTTAAATCATGTCTAGATTACTTATTACACCTAATACAATGTAAATGCTATCCAAATAATTGTTATACTGCATTGGTTTTTTTTTTTATTGTTTTTTTCTATTGCTTTTTTTCTCCCAATATTTCCAACATGCAGTTAGCTGAATCTGTGGATGCAGAACAAGCAGGATACAGAGGGCTAACTGTAGTTTTGTTACATTTTTTATTTTTATTTTTTAAGAGACAGGGTATCACTCTGTCACCCACGCTAGAGTGCAGTGGCACAATCATAGCTCACTGTAGCTTCAAACTCTTGGGCTCAAGTGATCCTTCCACCTCAGCTTCCCAAGTAACCGCAACTATAAACATGCACACACCCGGACTAATTTTTTTTATTTTTTGTACAGACAGGGTCTCACTACGTTATCCAGGCTGCTCTCAAATTCCTGGCTTCAAGTGACCCTCCTGCTTTGGCCTCCCAAAGCACTGGAATTACAGGCGTGAGCCACTGTGCCTGGCTAGTTTTGTCTCTTTTAAAGAGGAGTAAGCAGCTATGTCTTTGAAAATTTCACTGGGTGGAAGAACCAGGAAAACACAAAGGAAATTACAGACTACACCAGGAAGCAGAGGTGAAATATGATGCCTTAATAACTAGCATGCCAATCATGAGCCACATTCTATGCCTTTCTCTTATGCATCTTCTCTCCATTTCATCCTCCTGTCTCATTAATTTTTTCCTTCCCCTATTTAACGCCTTCAATCCAATAAAATGACGTATCTTGTTCTCGTTTTCTTTTTTTTGAGGGGGTGGGGGGCTTCTGGGCTTCCTCTCATCTCATACCTAATGATCACATCCTTTCCATTTCCATCTTCACTTTACAGCTCCCTACACTCTTTATCCTAATGGTCCTCCTCTAGTATCACAACTCAAAATAGAAAGAGTATTAAAAAAAAATGAGAAAAACCAAAGGGGAAAAATGGAAAAAGGACTACATACTCCTATCTAATTGTACCTTACTTAAACACTATGCATGATACAAATTATACGGACTGAATCATTACGTTTAAGCTTCTTATAAAAATCCAAATGTTCTATTCATAACACCCAAAATATGGAATCAATCTAAGTGTCCATCAACAACATCATATAATTAAATAAAGAAAATGGAATACTATTTGAAAATACTGCTTGAAAGGTGACTTTTTCTTTTTTTTTTTTTTTGAGACAGGGTCTGGCTCTATCACCCAGGCTGGAGTGCAGTGGCATGATCTCAGGTCATTGTAACCTCTGCTTCCTGGGCTCAAGCAATCCTCCCAACCTCAGCCTCCCAAGTAGCTGGGACTACAGGCACGTGCCACCATGCCTGGTGAATTTTTGTATTTTTTTTAGAGAGAGAGTTTTGCCATGTTGTTCAGGCTGGTCTTGAACTCCTGAGTTCAAGCAATCTGCCCACCTCGGCCTCCCAAAGTGCAAGGATTATAGGCATGAGCCACCACATACAATCAAAAGGTGACTTTTTAAATAGTAACTTGAATTTCATTCTAATTGAAGAAAACCATATATAGCTAAAGGTATACTTTTTAAAAGTCTTCCTAATATGAGCATGTGATAATTAAAATACTAAAGAAATGGCTATTTTTAATTACATCATTTTCATCAACATCTTACTATAATCTTAGTAGTGTTCTATAACTTAGTATGGTAATACAGTGTTTTTACAAAGGCAATGTGGATATTCTATTAAAACTGAGCTGTTTCCAGCATAAATCTCAATCACACAGCAATTTATTTCTTGGCCCACCCAAAACTGAATATACAAATTGCCAAAGTTCAAATTGCTGATACAAATTGCCAAAGTTCATCAATAATCCTCCAACATGGTGATTTTGAAACTTTTGATTTTTTATTTATTTATTTATTTATTTATTTGCCTCAGAAACAGTGTTCAAATGGAATCTTATCTAGAAACATGAGGAAATAGAACAGGTAAGAATGTAGAATACTCTGGTAGAAGCCAAGGGGTGCTCAGTGACACCCTGAACAGGCCAGCTGAAAATGCTCTATTTCACCATAAGAGTTATCTCTTCTCTTTGCCCAGCAAATCTAACTCATCAATCAGGACTCAGCTGAGGTATGACCTCCCTGGGAAAACTTTCCCTGAACCTCCAAACATGAGGTGTTAGATATCTCTTCCAACCCACATACTTCCCCATATCTATCCCATCACAGCTGTTACCACACTGTGTACTGAAACAGCCTACCCATTCGTCTGTTTCTTCCAGCTGAGTGAAAGTCTCTCTAAAGCCTCAAACCCATTCTTTTTTGTTTCTTTTTTTTGTTTTGTTTTGTTTTTGAGATGGAGTCTCACTCTGTCACCCAGACTGGAGTGCAATGGCACAGTCTTGGCTCACTGCAACCTCTACCTCTCGGGTTCAAGTGATTCTCCTGCCTCAGCCTCCCCAGTAGCTGGGATTACAGGTGCCTGCCACCACGCTCAGCTAATTTTTGTATTTTTAGTAGAGACGGGGTTTCACCATGTTTGCCAGGCTGGTCTCAAACTTCTGACCTTGTGATCCACCCGCCTCAGCCTCCCAAAGTGCTGGGATTACAGGCGTGAGCCATGGCACCCGGCCGAGACCCATTCTTTGTTGTATCTCTTGTGAGAGCACATCAGGCCTACACTTAGGAGTAGGTGGTACTCAATACATACTAGTTGAACAGGTAAAAAGGGGATAAGTGTGTGCCCTGATTCATAACAACATATTTATCTTTGTTTAGATATGAAAAGTTCCTTCTCTGCATATAAGCACCAGGAGGGTAGGGACTATGTCAGTTGTGATTACCTTGTGTACATATTACCTGCCACATAGTATTGCTAACCAGCTGTTGCCTCTACTCCTAGGAATGCCTTGAGAGTGCTTCACTTTGAACTGTTGGAATCTTTTTACAGGCATTGCTTTCTTCAACACTGGCCCTGAAGTAGGGTAAATGTGGGTTCTTATTGCATCTCAGTCACTAACTAGCAGTGTGATTTTGGGCAATTCATGTAAAAGCTCTAGGTCTCATTTTCTGTATCTGCAAAATTGTTTTTAAATATGCTTTAGCACTAGAAGACTTTTCCTCAAATAAAAATTTCAAAAGAGTCCCATATATAAAAAAGATAAAAGCAATAATGAGGTTCTCATTCTACTCAATTCTTCAGTGAAGAAAATGCCCCTAGAAGTACCTTCTTAGAGCAGGGTATGATTTGAAAACACTAAACTAGCTGACCCACAGAAGTTGAATCTAGCACTAATATTCTATGATTTATCCATTTAATAAATACTCATTAAATGTATACTCTGTACCTGGTACTGAACTAGGCACTGCACATTCAGCAATAAACAAAGCAGATGGGCTCCCTGAGATATTTATGCTAACATGTAGTATTCAGCCCATTATTAAATATTCACTTAAAATGAACAAAAAAAGATTAAAACACCACCTCTGGTCCTTTTATAGAGTATAGAAAACAAGACAATTTACCAAATTCACAAATAGCTGAATGTATTAAGAAAATAGTTAAATTTCAGAAATGCATATCTCATTTTCCCTATCAAAATTTCAGTGTATTATTTGGGAATTTTTCAATTCATACTGTTTTCTTCCAATCATTTTTATGCTAATTTCTTAATAACACATTTACATTAATACTAGTTATTGGTAGCTAAAATCTAAGTTTCTCCCTGTCATTTCCTAATTGTTTTTCTTTTTCTTTTTTTTTTCTTTTTGAGACAGAGTCTCACTCTGTCACCCAGGCTGGAGTTCAGTGGTACAATCTCAGCTCACTGCACCTTCCGCCTTCCAGGTTAAAGTGATTCTCCTGCCTCAGCCTCCCAAGTAGTTAGAATTACAGTCACCTGCCACCACGTCCAGCTAATTTTTATATCTATTTAGTAGAAATGGAGTTTTGCCATGTTGGCCAGGCTGGTGTTGAACTCCTGACCTCAGATGATCCACCCACCTCCGCCTCCCAAAGTGCTGAGATTACAGGCGTGAGCCACCATGCCCGGCCCTAATTTATTTTTTACTAGTCCTATCTTTTAGCATTTTAGGATCTTTTAACCAACTAATTTTTTGATCCTTCGCAACTTCATACTTACAATATGAATTTGACAGTAAAATCTTAAAAGGCAGAAACCATTTTTCATCAATATTTGCCTCAGCATTTATTTCATTCAACAAATATTTGAGAAGTACCTACTATGTGCAAGGCATTCTGCTATAAAGTGGTACAAAAGTTCTAGAATTCTATAACATTTCCTTCTCATTGTATTCTTTACTTTTCTTTCCCTTTAAAAGCTTAAAGTGCATAACAAGAATAAGTACCTGATTTCCCTGGGGTTCCCTCAATCTGTAATGCTCTTCCTTGTACTCCTCATACATACCACACCCTTTCATTCATTCATCAAAAAGTATACTGCTAGGCGCTGAACAGGTGCTAATAAAGAAAAATATATGGTTCCTTTCCTTAAGGAATGAAGAGAAGAATAAAGATAGTGATGACATTTCAGAAGGAAAATCTACAAGACTCAGTATCATCTGAAGTATCATAAAAAGGAATAAAGATGATTCTCAGCCTTGCTAAAAGACTAAGTAGATGATGATGCCTTTGATACACAGGAATTTGAAAGGCTTGTCTGGAATGTTTAAAACTGGTTTTAGAATGTTAAATGTGTAATTCCCTCTGGATAGTCTAGTTGAGTTGCCCAAACAGAAATTATTAAATAGAAGTACTCATTAGTATCTGAGTAACCATTATGTGGCAGGATCCAAGGACACTGAGTAAAATACAATCCCCGAACTCAAGGAACTTAAGACTTAGATGATAGAGAATACAAGTAAACAGGCACTTAAAAGAGAAACTCAGGTAAGAGACTGGAGGTGTAAGCACTAGATGGAACATGAAGGACCTTGTATGCCACTCTTAGGAGACTGGATTTCTCGAGGCAATGGGGAACCATGGGTTTTAAACAGGGAATGCTTGATTACATTTGCATTTTGGAAAGAACGCTCTAGCTTCAAGGAAGATAATGGGTTGGAGGAGGCAAACAAAGTGAACAAATAAGATGCTGTTGCAGAAATCTGAACAAGATTTGAGGGAAGAGATATGTAATAGTAATATTTGAGACCCTGACTTTCCTAGACAACACTCAAAGTACAATGCTAATCCTTGAACTATTTTTAACCATAATAACAAAATAATACTCGCATCAGGCAAGTATAAAGCATACCTGGTGGCCGAGCACTATGCTATCTCATCTCTTATTCTATATCAAATTGTGGGAACCACAGTTGAGGAATGTATCTTTTTTTTTCCTATAACCACTTGAATTTCACATGCTATGGGAAATATGTAACATAATTTAAATATACAGCATATTCTAAAGAAAAGCAAAATTGAACAGATCCAAGCAGCAAAGTTCCTCTAGGATTATGCAATCACTTCATTAGCCAAAAAGCTTACAATCTATAGATCCTATGTATTGTTAGGAGTGAAAGCTTTCCATAAATCTCTAATTACAGGGCCCTGAATTGATAAGGGGAGACAATGTGCCCAGACTACCCTGTGTCACCAGCTCTAAGTCACACGAGACAATTTTTACAAATAAGACTGAAGTTGAAGGTTTCTGGGAAAGCCCCTTCCCTGCTTCTTCTTTTCTTCCTCCTGCCTGGAATGTAGACATAAAGCTGGGGCTGTAGCAGCCCTGTTGTAGCCATGAGATAATAAGCATGAGGACAAAGCACATGCTAACGATGAGAGAGTACAAGAAAAGAAGACTGAGACATGGCTGTTCCTTTGTTGCTGCTGTACTAGCAGACTTTTTGTTAAGGGAGAATAATAAATCCCTCTGTGGTTAAGTAACTTTAGGCTAAACATAGTCATAATTTATATACTCTGAATCCCTTATAGAATAAAGCCTAGGCTACTTCACATTGCATAAGATGCTTCTCACCATCAGCTCCATTTAACTATCCAACCTCATTTCATTCTGTTCTCTGTCCCATACTTTCCATTCCAATAATTCTAAATCTTGTCAGATGAGCACACCCCAATGAGTTGTTTTTACCTTTCTACCTGTCATCCCCTTGACTCTCCCTTATCACTCCATTTCTTCACCCAATTAACTCTTCGTCAGCATTCCAGATTTCCTGGCTCCACTGGCTGAGGAAGATGCCCTGCCTTCTTCTTTTCACATTACCCCATGCACCAGTCACTACAATGAGTGTGCTATATTACAGCTATTTATTTATATATTTGTCTTCCCAACTACACTACTGACCCCTCAAAAAGAAAAAAGTATCTTAGTTCTTTTGGCATTCTTAGATCCTGGCACAGTACCGGGTCAACTGGGGATGCTCAGTGAATGTTGAATGAATTAGATTTACATAAAACATGACTTCTTAATTAGTAAAAGTGATTACATAATACAGACTGTTAAATGACCCCTTTAACATCAAAAACTCATTCTCATCCATAAATTTGTCCTAAAAAAGTCCAGGCTATAGTGCAGTGCTGCAATCATAGCTAACTGTGGCCCTGAACTCCTGGGCTCAAACAATCCTCCCGCCTCAGCTTCCCAAGTAGCTAGAACTACAAGTCCAAGCTACCACCTGGATAATTTTTTCTTTTTTGGTAGAGAAAGGGTCTCACTATGTTGCTCAGACTGGCCTTGAACTCCTGGGCTCCTTTACCCTCGATGCTCTGGCCTCTCTAAGGGTTGAGATTACAGGCGTGATCTACCACATCCAGCCTCATTTCTGCTTTTAAGCAGAAAAGCTGCAAAGAGCTGTAAGTCCTAAAGACACTTGACAAAGCCATCCTCATCTGCCTTAAAGGATTAATCTCACTTCCAATGGGAAGTCAGAAATGAAAACTAGGCCAGGCATGGTAGCTCACGCCTGTAATCCCAGCACTTTGGGAGGCCAAGGCGGGTGGATCACCTGAGGTCAGGAGTTCGAGATCAGCCTGACCAACATGGAGAAACCCATCTCTACTAAAAATACAAAATTAGCCAGGCATGGTGGCACATGACTGTAATCCCAGATACTCAGGGGGCTGAGGCAGGAGAATCGCTTGAACCCAGAAAGCGGAGGTTGTGGTGAGCCGAGATGGCGCCATTGCACTCCAGCCTGGGCAACAACGGCAAAACCCTGTCTCAAAAAAAAGAAAAGAAAAAGAAATGAAAACTAAACAGATGATCAAAGAATAAATTTTGTTATATTTTATTAGCAAAACTCGTCAAAACAAGGGTAAGCAAAGAAATAAAATCTCTTCATACCTGTCACATTGCTGCATTATGGAAATTTCTTTGATTATTTCCTGAAGATCTGATTCAACAGGTACTTGTTTAATTGCGACAACTTGACCGGATTCCTTGTGTATTGCTTTAAATACACTTCCATAAGACCTAAAAGAAACCAAGACATTATTTTTTTCCTATCAAACATCGTAACTATAAGATTAAAAGTCTACTATGAGTTTTCTGTGGATAGTCTTTTCTAGTTTAAAACACTATTTAAATGATTAAAAAATCAAAGTAAACAAGTAACAATTTTAAAAGGTAATGAATTATATCTTAGCTTTATTGCTTCAACTACAGACTTAAAATAGTCAAGTTAACATATAATGAGTAGCTATTTTTCTTATGAATGAAAGAAACAGACTTGCGTTTGGTCAACTCAAACAAATGCAGCATTAAGAAGATATAAATGGAAATTAAAAGAATGAAATGTAGATTAAAAATAGCCAAAGCCTCAAATTAGGAGAAAAGGCTGATCTCAAGGAAAATGACCCCCAGAATATCAAAAAGTCACACTTCTGTTCAGAGTACCTTAACAGTTAAAACCCTCAGCTGGGGACCATATTAACATCAAAGTTAGAGAAGCAAGGAATCTGCAGCCATCTGCTTCTACCTGATTTACAGATCCAAGGTCTCTTTTTAAAAAGTTCCTTTCATTACCTTTTCCTCAAGAGAAAAACTACAAACTCACAGGTAAATAAAATGAGGAACAGGGTCTAATAGTCACTTGCCCAAAACCTGTCTCTGCTACAACTCCTGAAACTTTGCCAACTGAATATTCACGTGTTTTAAAAAGCAAAAACAAAGAAGGAAGAAGCCATTTGTACCTTAGTATGAACTTAAAAACGAGGTTAAACACTACTATGTACTGAGTTCTTACTATAAACCAGGTCCTATGCTAGGTGTTTTACATGCATTATGAAATTCAACCCTCACAATCATAAGGAAAAACACTATTATCGTCATTAAAAGATGAGAAACAGACCAGTAGGGCCAGAATTCAAACACATTCCCACCCCAAAAATCAGGTTTTTCTCACCATATTTTTCTACAGAAGAGAAACAAGAGCAAGCCAATGGAAAACATCGAATGTTTCCTAATATTAGAAATCTATGCAGAAGCCCTTCCAAATTTATAATCTTTTAAAATAAGTGAAAAAGAGACAAATAAGTGATAACGCGGCTACTTCAATAAAATACATTTTATCCTCTCCTCTGTTTCTTTGGGCTCTCTGAAGTCATTTAATTTGGTTTGGTACCCAAAGTCACATTGGGCTGGGTGTGGGGGAATGTATGTGTGTGTATCTCCCCTTGAAAGCCATATGTGTGTATGTGTGTATATTCCCTCAAAAGCTAACATAGAATTCAGTGCTAGATCATCTACTGTCAATTAGGCAACACCATCACTCCTTTCTAAGGACTCCTCAGCACTACGAAAGAGAAGCTGCAATCCCCACTTCCCAGAATCCCCTTCCCTGAATGGTTCCTCATTAAAAGTCTGCCAGTGAGAAAAACACGTATGTGTGAATGACGAAAGGAGAAACCATTTTTCTCCAGATACAGTTGTAGCAGATGGACTGACAGATATGAAGTGCACAGCAGCTTCCTGCTGAGCTTCCAACAGCCACCACTGCTGCAGACTGAGGTAGTTGGTGGGAGTTTCTCAAGACTGCAGGATTCCAGCAGATTCCCAGAGAGCTTTTGAGAAACACCCACTTCAGTGCTTCAGGCTGAGATCTTCAATGCTGACTTCGACCTTCAACCTTTGGCAACAGTTTTCATGAACTTTGCATCCCTGGCCCCTCCACAATTCATTTGAGCTCCTAACTTCATTACTAAATTCTTCATATCTATAGAGTACATACAGTAGCTTATCTTTTCCTTGATAGCAATATAGTTTTTGGTAGAAGAAGTGTTTCCAAGGGAAAGAATCTTAAAGATGAGAATCTTGAATTAGTTCTTTCTTAGATGTTGATATGGTTTGGCTATGTCCCACCCGAATCTCATCTTGTAGCTCCCATAATTCCCACCTGTTGTGGTAGGGACTCAGTGGGAGATGACTGAATCATGGGGGCAGGTCTTTCCCATGCTGTTCTCATGATAGTGAATGGGTCTCACAAGATCTGATGGTTTTAAAAATGGGAGTTTGTCTGCACAAGCTCTCTCTTTGCCCGCTGCCATCCATGTACGATGTGACCTGATCTTCCTTGCCTTCCACCATGATTGTGAGGCCTCCCTACCCACGTGGAACTATAAGTCAATTAAACCTCTTTCTTTCGTAAATTGCCCAGTCCCAGGTATGTCTTTACCAACAGTGTGAAAACAGACTAATACAGATGTGTAGACAGTAATGACTTCAATACAAGTAACAAATAGTATACTGATGGTCTATGGCATTCAGTGGCAAACAGTTATTTAAATTATCACCCTTAGTTGCCTGGAGTCTAAGCAAAGCTTTAAAAGACCAAGTAGCTGTATCAATACAATGTATGGTGAAAATAAAGTATAAGGACTATAGAATGGGCTGCTGCCTCTGCCTGCACTGGAAAAGTTATAGAACAAACACAGCAAGCTAAAGGCTTAAATGTCCAGCTCAAGACTGAGAGAACCAGAAAACTTCTGAATTTCTTAATTCTTACAGAAACAGGGTTGAGATTTCTGAAAAACAAACTCTAGGTATAGTCTTACTGGAAGTTGAATTACATTTCAAGTTGAATTCACATCAGCACCAGGTCTGTTATGTTAAAGTTAAGGTATCTAACAATAAAGAGAAGTACCTAGAGAACTGGTATTAGGACATTTAGATAGATTCTCATTAATCTGAGTACCTTGAATCCCCAAATCCTATCAAGCCTCCCTTGATACCAAAAGCAACTCTGCCCTCCTGTCTGAGAAAATTAACCTTACAATGCCTGAAGACTCTATCTACCTCCTGAGGCAGTCACTTTTCAGCAGCATGCAGTGGTCCTCCAGACCACTCCACCACCACTTATTGCTTCCAGACCCAAAGTTATACTCAACTCCCATAGACACCAGGGAGACAAGTATAAAATTTAACCCAAGCAGCTACTATTCACACTAAAAAAGTTGCAAGATTTTGCCAATTTTTATCAGAACCCTAAAGAATATGTGTGAGAACAAATTCTAAGATTTCCAGAGAGGAAGAAATGTACTGATATGGATGCAAGACCAGAAATTCCAGACTCAGCATGTTAGCTCAAACAGTTGGGGGTGTCCCTAACAGTTGCTCAGCCAGTTAACTGAAACCTGGACTCAAAAGTGGCCCATATTAAGTGAGATGCTAAGTGAGCCTCAGTACACACCAAAGGAAGCATATCAAAGGCTCAAGGAAATGGGATACTAGAATGGATATATATTATAAGTGCCATGCTCACATACTCCCTAACTATGTTGACAAAAAGGGTCCAGAGGATACCAGCATCGACCAAAGCTCTATTAGTGCAGGGGAAAGATGACAAATATGCCAACAGTGAAACTGGCTCCTTGAGTTTAATAGATAACAGGATCCCAGCACAAGAGAAGTGGCAACAGCTATTCACCTGAGACAAAGTGGGAACAGTTACCATAATGAGTAACAAAGCAAGGCTGAATTACAGTTTTCTTTTATTGTACATTTAGGTCTTGATATTAAAGTTACACTAGCTTCATTTAAAAAAAAACTATAATTAACTGTCCTTTAAACACTGTATAAAACAGTGTTTAATACAGTGGAACCTTTCTGGAGGGGAGGAGGTGAAATACACACAACATAAAATTCACTGTTTTAAAGTGTATGATTCAATGGCATTTAGTGCATTCACAATGCTGTACAACCATTATCTGTATGTAGTTCCAAAATATATAGAATCTGCTTTCTGTCTCTACAGATTTATCTATTCTAGATACTTCATATAAATGAAATCATACAATATGTGACCTTTTATATCTGGCTTCTTCCTTCACTTAGCATAATATTTTGTAGGTCCAACTACACTGTAAAATGTACCAGTACTTCACTACTTTTTATGGCTAAAAGGTCACTGTACAGACATATCACGTTTTGTTTATTCACCTGGGATAGCAGATGGACATTTGAGTTGTTTCCACATTTTGGCTATTGTAAATAATATGCTATGAGTTGGTACCTTTATAATTAACAGTTATTTAATCATTTCTCTATCACTGGCTATATCTTCCTTCTTATTCCAAATCTTCTGTATTTTCTATTTTCTTTAGTCAACATTGTAAGAGGTTTAATTATTTTACTGATCTCTTCAAAAGCTTTTATATATACAAACATATACGTATCTTTTTTTTTTTGAGACAGAGTCATGCTGTGTCACCCAGGCCAGAGTGCAATGGCACAATCTCGGCTCACTGCAACCTCCGCCTCCTGGGTTCAAGCAATTCTCCTGTCTCAGCCTTCCAAGTAGCTGGGATTACAGGCACATGCCACCACGCCCGGCTAATTTTTGTATTTTTAGTAGAGATGGCTACTCTACTAAATGACAATATGGTTTCACCATATTGGTCAAGCTGGTCTCGAACTCCTGACCTCAAGTGATCCACCCACCTCGGCCTCCCAAAATGCTGGGATTACAGCGTGTAAGCCACTGCACCTGGCCCATATTTATCATTTCTAATTTTTTTTCTATCTCATTAATTTCAGCTTTTTCTTTAATTCAATCTTCAGTTTCTTTTGGTATGTTTCATAATTTTTCTAAGTTCTTTAAGTAAGCACTAAGTTTATTTTTTGCCTTTCTTTGTTAGTCTAATGAAAGAATTTAGAACTAAAACTTTTAATTAGTTTTGCTATATTCCATAGATACTGGCACAATGTGTTCTCCTTTTCATTGTTTTATAATTTATAATATCCTCTTCAATCAATGGGTTACTTCAGATTATGTTTCCTAATTTCTAGTTGGTGTGGATTTTGTCATATTATAATTACTTATTTCTAATTTAGTGAGTATAATCAGTGATATGGTTTGCATATTTGTCTTCTCCAAATCTCATTTTGAAATGTAATCCCTAATGTTGGAGATGGAACCTGTTAGGAGACGTTTGGGTCACAGGGGCAGTTTCCTCATGGCTTGGTGCTGTCCTTGAGATGGTGAGTTTTCACAGGATGTGCTTATTTAAAGCGGTGTGGCAGGCCGGGTGCAGTGGCTCGTGCCTGTCATCCCAACACTTTGGGAGGCCGAGGTGGGAAGATCACCTGAGGTCAGGAGTTCAAGACCAGCCTGGCCAACATTGTGAAACCTCATCTCTACTAAAAATATGAAAATTAGCTGGGCGTGGTGGCAGGCACCTGTAATCCCAGCTACTCGGGAGGTTGAGGCAACAGAATCCCTTGAACCCGGGAGAAGGATGCAGTGAGCCACGATCACGCCATTGCACTCCAGGCTGGATGACGAGAGTGAAACTCTGTCTCAAAAAAATTTTAAAATAAAAAAAAATAAAACTGCGTGGCACCTCCCCTGCCCTATCTTGCTCCTGCTCTCACCATGTGAGACATCTGCTCCCCCTTTGCCTTCTTCCATGACTATAACCTTCCTGAAGCCCTCACCAGAAGCGGATGCCGGCACCGTGCTTTTTGCAGTGTCTGCAGAACCGTGAGCCAATTAAATTTTTCTTTATAAATTACCCAGCCTAAGGTATTTTTCTTATAACAACACAAGAACAGCTTAATACAATCAGAAAATGTGACCTGTAAAAATCTCTTATTTTTTAGAATTTGTAACTTTTCTTTTATCAATGGTCCTTTGAACATACACCAGAAAAGCAGGTCTGCAAGAATATATATGCATAGTTATATAGACATACAGGTACTTTATATATTTTTACTTTATATATATTTACATTTCTATAAAATCAAGTGTATTCATCATAATGTTTAATCCCTCTATGTCCTTTCTCTTTTTTCTATTATATCTGTCCAATTCTAAAAGAGATACATTGAAATCTCCCATGCAATTATACTTTTATTAGATGCCTCTGACATCACTAATAGCTTTTCTGTCATAAATTTAGCTGCCATGTTGTCTGACATGTTTTGTTATAAATTGTCCTTGATATTGCTACCTAATATATCTCTTTATTTAGTTGAAACCTTTTAAACTTTAATGTATCTAATATAAATATTGCTACTATTACTTTCTGTTTTTTTATTTGTATGTTTATCTATAATATTTTTATAAGAAATATCCTTATAGGCTATGCACAGTGGCCCACACCTATAATCCTAACAATTTGGGAGGCCAAGGAAGGAGGATCACTTGAGGCCAGGAGTTGAAGACCAGCCTGGGTAACATAGCAAGATCCCATCTCTATTAATAATAAATAAATAGCCTTATATTTCCATTATTTGTTTTACTTGCATCTCCTATAAACAGAATATAGGTAGATTTCGCATGTTCATTTACTCTAACAGTTTGTCTTTTAATGGGAAAATTAACATTTACTGAAAAGTACACTTGATTTTATTCCTTCCATCATGTTCAGCTTATTTTTATTTTTTATTTATTTATTTATTTATTTATTTATTTTTTGAGACGGAGCTTCGCTTGTGTTGTCCAGGCTAGAGTGCAATGGCGTGATCTCAGCTCACCACAACCTTCACCTTCCGGGTTCAAGCGATTCTCCTGCCTCAGCTTCCCGAATAGCTGGGATTACAGGCACCCGCTACCACGCCCAGCTAATTTAGTATTTTTAGTAGACATGGGGTTTCTCCATGTTGGTCAAGCTGGTCTTGAACTTCCGACCTCAAGTGATCCACCCACCTCAGCCTCCCAAAGTGCTGGAATTACAGGCGTGAGCCACCGCGACCGGCCTAGCTTATTATTTTACCTTTTCATTTTCTCTATTTCCTTGTCCTTGTTCTTGCTGATCTATAAGCTTCTTTTAATTCTGTTTTGTACCTTTATTATTTTGGAAATTCTCCTATACTTTGCCATTCCATTAAATGCTCCCTACCTTTCTCTCTGCTCAAACCGGCACGTTTCTCTACTGTTATTTTGAAATCATGTCAACTATTCTTCTGCCTATATAAACTGTTTCCCTCACTAAGATATTCTTGTCATATCAAGACAAAGACTACTTACCTTTTCCAAAATAAAATGAGCCTCAAGATCTAAAAGGATGGCCTTATGGTCACTTGCCTAACAAAGTCAAAACCTTCAAACGTATTAATAAGAATGCCGTAAGGGATGAACTAACAAAACTCTTAAACATCATTTCACAGCACATTTCTTGCTTTTCCCTTATATATATATATGGCCTACTTTCTCTGAAAAAACACTATTACCAGATTTAGCACAAACTAATCTTTAAAATTCAGTATCACCTGCCAAGTTTAATTACTATTAAATACTATTCAATTCATACGAATATACTCTAGTTGAAAGATTAACATCATATAATATTTTTTAAATTGTTCTGAAATTATTTACATGCTTTCATACTTTTTGTACTTACCCTTCTCCAAGCTTCTCTAATACATCAAAAACTTCTTCAGGCTGCTTAGTCAAACTGTCTTCACTCAGCTTTTTTAGTTTACTGATTTAAAAAAGAAAGAAGAAAGAAAATATTTTCTTTAAAGACCTTTTACAAAATTTTTAATTTTTAAAATTTTACCAAGTTTTTAATTTTATTTTAATATATTCAGAAGACTCAAACAATATAAAAACATACATAGTAAACATTCTCCTTTCAAGCCCTGTTCCTCATGTGCCCAGCAACACCTCCAAAAATAATCACTTTTATTAGTTTTTTGTGAAACCTTTATATAAATATGAATACATATTCTTAATTCCTCCCCTTTGAATATATAAGAAGCATATACACACCCTTCTGTATAAATATTGTCATGTTGTCTACTGTTTTCTCTTGACAAAACTATGTTAGAGATCTTTCCATACAGGTTAATCATCCATAATCCAAAAATCTGAAATCCAAAATGCTCCAAGATCTGAAATTTTTTGAGCACCAACATGATACCCACAATGGAAAATGCCACACCTGACCTCATGTAATGAGTCACAGTCAAACTGTAAGCACATAACACAATTTAAGGAAAAAAGATCCTCCCCAGCCCCCTTCAGCTCTGACATATCTTTTCCATGCATGCACAGATTCTCCCACCCAAGCACATCCAAAGAAGGGTAATAAAATGGCACAGGTACACGCCAGACGCACCAATGATAGGTTCCCCACGATGCCCCACACGGAGCCAAGACTGTGCATTACTCACTGTGGGTTTTTTTGCTTATTCTCTGCTTTGTTGGATAAAGACAATGTTGAAAATCTGAGTAAGTGACAGAAAAAGAGGAAGCATTTATGCTTATCTCTAGCCAAAAAGTCAAGCTGCTGGATAAACTGGAAAGCAGTATGGGAAATGTCTTACAAAAGAGCATGGTGTTGGAATGACCACCATATACAACCTGAAGAAACAGAAGGATAAATTGTTGAAGTTCTATGCTGAAGTGTCAATGAACAGAAGTTAATGAAAAATTTTTCTTAATTGCAGAAAACCAAATGAAGATCTCAAATGTGTACTGAAAGAGTAAATCTGTCAGCACGGCAGAGAAAACATACTACTTAATGGTATGGTGCTCATGAAACAAGCAAAGATATATCATGATGAACTGAAAATTGAAGGGAACTATGAATATTCAACAGGCTGATTGCAGAAATTTAAGAAAAGACACATTAATTTTTCAAAGATTTGTGGTGAATAAAGCAACTGCTGATCATGAAGAAGCAGAAAAATTCATTGACAAGTCTGCCAAGGCCATCACTGATGAAAATCTGACACCAGAACAAGTCTATAATGCTGATGAAACATCACAGTTTAGTGTTAGTTCCCCAGAAAGACTCTGACTACAGCCCCTACAGGATAAGAATGCCATGGACAGAGTAACTGTCCTGGGAGGTGCTAATGCAGAAGGCACACTAAGTGTAAACCTGCTGTGTGGGAAAGATTGGGTTCATTATTAGACTAACAAAAAGGCATGGGTCACTAGGGACATCTTTTCTGATTGGTTTCACAAACATTTTGTAGCAGTGGTTCAGGTTTGCTGCAGGGAAGCTGGACTGGATGATGGCTACAAGATTTTGTTATTCCTTGACAACTGTTCTGCTCATCCTCCAGCTGAAAAATCTCATTAAATATAATGTTTATTCCATGTACTTTTCCCCAAATGTGACTTCATTAATTCAGCAAGTGAGCAGGGTATCCTCAGATCAATAAAGAATAAAAATAAAAACACTTTCTTGAACAGCCTACTTGCAGCAGTGAACAGAAATATGAGCGTGGAAGGTTTTCAAAAGCAGTTCAGCATTTAGAATGCTGTATATGCTATTGTCGATGACTGGAACACAGTATCTAAAGACACAGTTGTGCATACCTGGCACAATCTCTAGCTTGCAACTATGTTCAGTAACGATGATGAACAAGGCAATGACTTTGAAGGATTCTGTATGTCAAGATAAAAAAAAAAAAAAATAGGCCAGGAGCGGTGGCTCACGCCTGTAATCCCAGCACTTTGGAAGGCCGAGGCGGTGGATCACGAGGTCAGGAGACCGAGACCATCCTGGCTAACACGGTGAAACCCCGTCTCTACTAAAAATACGAAAAATAAGCCAGGCATGGTGGCGGGTACCTGTAGTCCCAGCTACTTGCGAGGCTGAGGCAGGAGAATGGCGTGAACCCAGGAGGCGGAGCTTGCCGTGAGCCGAGATCGCGCCGCTGCACTCCAGCCTGGGCGACAGAGCAAGACTCCGTCTCAAAAAAAAAAAATTAATTAAAAATTTTAAAAATAAATAAATAAAAATAAAAAGGTGTTTGACTTCCTTACATATACAAAAAAATACCTTCAGAGTCTGTCAGTAAGTTGGAAGAAATGGATATCAAATAAGTTTTTAACATTGATAATGAGTCTCCAGTTGCTCATTCATTGACCAATGGTAAAATAGCAGAAATGGGCTGGGCACGGTGGCTCACGCCTGTATTCCAGCACTTTGGGAGGCCGAGGTAGGCGTATCCTTTGAGCTCAGGAGTTCGAGACCAGCCCGGGCAAACGGCGGAACCCTGTCTCTATTAAAAAATACAAAACGTTTGGTGGGCATGATGGCACATGCCTGTGGTCCCAGCTACTTGGGAGACTGAGCCTGGGAGATGGAGGTTGCAGTGAGCCGAGATCACGCCACTGCACTCCAGCCTGGGTGGCAGAGTTAGACCCTATCTCAAAAAAAGAAAAAAGAAATAGCAGAAATGGTTCTGAATCAAGGTTATGGTAGTAGTAATGACAATGAAGATGATGTTAACATTGCAGAAAAAGTGCCGGAAGACAACATGGTGTGATGGGCTTATTTTAGGACTAGAGTGCATTCTTAACAGAATAGGAAATCACGTCACTTTATAACATCAAAGAGAGACTTCTAAGACAAAAGCCACTGTTAATGAGGCAGACGATTCTCGAGGAAACATTTTAAAAAGCCATCCAAGCAATGGGGAAAGGATTCCCTATTTAATAAATGGTGCTGGGAAAACTGGCTAGCCATATGTAGAAAGCTGAAACTGGATCCCTTCCTTACACCTTATACAAAAATTAATTCAAGATGGATTAAAGATTTACATGTTAGACCTAAAACCAGAAAAACCCTAGAAGAAAACCTAGGCAATACCATTCAGGACATAGGCATGGGTAAGGACTTCATGTCTAAAACACTAAAAGCAATGGCAACGAAAGCCAAAATTGACAAATGGGATCTAATTAAACTAAAGAGCTTCTGCACAGCAAAAGAAACTACCATCAGAGTGAACAGGCAACCTACAGAATGGGAGAAAATTTTTGCAATCTACTCATCTGACAAAGGGCTAATATCCAGAATCTACGATGAACTCAAACAAATTTACAAGAAAAAAACAAACAACCCCATCAAAAAGTGGGCAAAGGATATGAACACACACTTCTCAAAAGAAGACATTTATGCAGCCAAAAGACACATGAAAACATGCTCATCATCACTGACCATCAGAGAAATGCAAATCAAAACCACAATGAGATACCATCTCACACCAGTTAGAATGGCAATCATTAAAAAGTCAGGAAACAACAGGTGCTGGAGAGGATGTGGAGAAATAGGAACACTTTTACACTGTTGGTGGGACTGTAAACTAGTTCAACCATTGTGGAAGACAGTGTGGCGATTCCTCAGGGATCTAGAACTAGAAATACCGTTTGACCCAGCCATCCCATTACTGGGTATATACCCAAAGGATTATAAATCATGCTGCTATAAAGACACATGCACACGTATGTTTATTGCGGCACTATTCACAATAGCAAAGACTTGGAACCAACCCAAATGTCCAACAATGATAGACTGGATTAAGAAAATGTGGTACATATACACCATGGAATACTATGCAGCCATAAAAAATGATGAGTTCATGTCCTTTGTAGGGACATGGATGAAGCTGGAAACCATCATTCTGAGCAAACTATCACAAGGACAAAAAACCAAACACCGCATGTTCTCACTCATAGGTGGGAATTGAACGATGAGAACACATGGACACAGGAAGGGGAACATCGCACACCGGGGACGGTTGTGGGGTGGGTGGAGCGGGCAGGGATAGCATTAGGAGATATACCTAATGCTAAATGACGAGTTAATGGGTGCAGCACACCAACATGGCACATGTATACATATGTAACAAACCTGCACATTGTGCACATGTACCCTAAAACTTAAAGTATAATAATAATAAAATAAAATAAAATAAAATAAAAAAGCCATCCAGCAGAATGTTTCCTTATCCCTAGCAGACCTATTTCCTGGCCCCTCAGCTGCTTCTGATGTTTCTTCTCAACTAAAAAAAAAACCACACAGTGTATAATAGTAACCTTTCAATCAAAAATCAGCATCATAGGTGAAAACTAAAAGCCTGCCGTTGTTTGTTGTTCCTGTTGTTTAAAAGCTGATAGAGGTATTCTGGTAATGCCACTGTGCTGCTTCATTACCCTGAACATATTTTTTTTCCACTGTATTAATGTTATGCCATATTTTTTGCAGTTAAGTACTTATGCATGAGCAAGTATAAGAAAATGATTGCTTATCAGTAGCATGTAAATTCAGAGTCAGAAATGAAGGTGATGCCAAACAACTCCACAGACTGTCCACATGGGTGGCTGAGATAGTGACACCTTTCCTTTCTGATGGTTCAATGTATGCAAACTTTGTTTCATGCAGAAAATTACTTAAAATATTGTATAACATTACCTACAGGCTATGTGTATAAGGTAGATACAAAAATTTCATGTTTGGCCTTGGGTCCCAGCCCCAAAATATCTCATTATGTATATGCAAATACTCCAAAAAACAAAACAAAACAAAATTCAGAAATCTGAAACATTTATGGTCCCAAGCATCTCAGATAAGGGATTCTCAACCTGAATAAAGCATCAATGTTCTTTTTTACAGCTGCATCCTATTCAATTACAGAGATATAGCATATCTTACTTGCCCAGTCTTTTGCTTATGGACATCCAGGTTCTCTTTTGATATGATAAACAATGCTGCACTGAGTAACCTTATATATAAGTCAATGAATGAATGAATGAATGAATGAATGAATGAATATATATAAACTTATATATAAGTCAATGAATGAATAAGTCATGTGCTAGTATATATGTGGAATAAATTCCCAGAAATGAAACTGAGAATACAGACACATTCACACACACATAAATATAAAAGTAGATATGCTGACAAATAAGTATATAATCATGTAATAATATAATTTTAATAATGTAGTATAACATAAGATCACTATTGTCATAACTATATGGTAATTATTAAAATTATTGATTACATTATGGTATATTTTACCTATTATAATTATATGTTATATAAATATATATACATATACACTGATTTCAGCAAGTTGTCCTCCATAGAGTTTGTACTAATTTATTCTCCAACAAGTAATATATGAGAGCCCTTCTTTCCCACAGTTCCATCAATAGGGTATTTAATGAAATTATTTGGATTTTAGCCAATCTGTGATGAAAACTTATTAGCTCAGTGTAGACTTAACTTGTATTATTATGAGTGAAGTTGACCATCTTTTCATATGATTAAGAAGCTAAATCACCTACTTGTTCTTTGCTCATTTTTCCACTGGGTTTTCGGTCCTTTTCTTATGTGTATACAAAGGAAACTAGCCCTTTTTTCGAGATTATAAACATTTTCATTTGGATTTTGACTTCACTTATAAGCTTTTAGTTTTGCAGTCTATTTGATTTTTTGCCATATAAAAAATGTCATTATTTTATTTTTGCAAATGAGTGGATGGTAATGCCATTTACTAAGGTAAGAAACACAGGGGAAAAAAAAAACAGTCTGGAGGGGAACAAGATGGGCTCAATTCTAGTCATCTAAAAGTAGATTTCCGGTAAGCAACTGGATTTACAAATCTCAGGAGAGATTTGAACTAGAAATATAATTTTTGGTGTCATCAGCACATTGCTTAAAGCTTTCAGAAGAGACAAAATCATCAAGAAAATGTCTAAGAAAAAATAAGAGTCAAACACAAAACACATATCAAGGAAACACCAATATTTAAGAAATGAGGTCATGAAGCACAAGAAGGTAATATTTGGCTACATCAAAAGCTACCAAAAGTGCAAGCAGCTTGAAAGTTTAAGTATCCATTGTAGAACTTCCACTTCTAGCCACCAGGTTTATGACAGGAAGCAGAATTATCTGTCAGCTGCAAATAGCTACAAAACTCAACAAAATGTAAGAAACTATTTTCAGATGCTGGCTATCAGGCATTCCAGAACTGGATATACTGAGGTCCCCAAGAGAAGGAGAAGAAATAAGATGAGCCCTGCCATCGCCCAGGCTTTAGATCTAGAGACTATGTCAGACTGTAGCACAGGAAAAGAAGAACTCAAAGAGAACCAAGTAATTTTGCTGAGTTGAAGAAATAGAGCTTAGAGTTTGGTGAGGAATCAAGGCAAATGGAAATTCCATTACAGAGTATCGGGAGAAGGGAGCTATGCAGGGAAAAGGTTCAGCAATCTATCTAGAGGTTTCCATGAAATGCCAATCTGTGCATGCTTACAAAACACTCCTCAAAGCCCAGCAAAACCAGTTTCTTAAGGCGAAAAAAAATGACCAGGGAGGAATAAAAAGCAAAATTCCCAGACAAGGCAATTTATCACAAAATATCACAAGGCAGGGAATCTTTCCCACTATCCAGAGTTGAAAGAACTCCACGAATACAAAGGTCATTCAGAAAAGAACTCAGAACAGCATTATTTTAGAAAGGAGATTATATTACCAAAAGATAAAGGATATTCCAGATTCTCCCTAGAGGAGCTTAAAAACTAACCTCAAAAGCATCAAGCCAAACCACAAGACAACTTGCTTAACTGCCTACCAGAACGAGTCTGTAACTTCTTAAGCAAAGCAAAATTCAACATTCACAAATGTAAAATTAACAATGTCAAAAAAATAAAAAAAAAAATTATTAAACCTATGAGTAATCAGGAACTATAACTCATAAAGAGAAAAATTAGCCAATAAAACAGACCCAGAAACGAGGTGGTGAAATTGATAAAAATCTTAAGAAAACCTCTTATGAATATACTTTCACATACTCACAGATGTTAAAGGAAATGGAAGGTAGGGGGAAAGATAAATGGAAATTTAAGAGATAAAAAATAAAATATTTGCTTTCGTTGCTGCAGCAGACGCTGTGAGTATTTTCAATGCTTCAGAAGAGGCTTGCCTCTAGTGTCCTCCGCTGTGGCAAAAAGAAGATCTGGCTGGACACCAATGAGACCAATGAAATTGGCCATGCCAACTCCTGTCAGCAGATCCAGAAGCTGATCAAAGATGGGCTGATTATCCATAAGCCTGCGACTGTCCGTTCCTGGGCTCACTGCCAAAAAAGCACCTTGGCCTGCCAGAAGGGCAGGTACATGGTCATAGGTAAACAAAAAGGGTACAGCCAATACTCAAATGCCAGAGAAGGTAACCTGGGTGAGGAGAATAGGAATTCTGCATCAGCTGCTCAAAGATACTGTGAATCTAAAAAGACTGATCGCCACATGTATCACAGCCTGTACCTGAAGGTAAAGGGGAGTGTGTTCAAAAACAGGTGGATTCTCATGGAACACATCCACCTGCTGAAGGCACACAGACCCACAAGATGCTCCTGGCTGACCAGGCAGAGGCCTGCTGGTCTAAGACCAAGGAAGCATGCAAGTACCATGAAGAGCGCCTCCAGGCCAAGAAGGAAGAGAGCATCAAGACTTTGTCCAAGGAGGAAGAGACGAGGAAATAAAGCTCCCCTTCTCTTGTCTGTACATAGTGGTCTTGGTGATTATACAGATCAATCATTAAAATAAAACAAGCCTTTATCTGCTAAAAAAAAAAAAAAATCTGAAATATAAATTTTGTTGAATAAGATTAAAAGGAGATTAGACAGTGCAGCACAAAAGATGAAATCATTTGAAAAGGAAAAAGTGTTATTTAAATAAAGGAAGAAACAAAAAGCCTGAGTCCCACATGAAAAAGAAACAAATGGGATGGGAAGTAAGGAAAGAAAAGTAAGGAAAGGAAGGAGGGAAATAAGGAGAAACATTTTCCAAATTTTATGTAAACCATAAACCCACACAGATGCATCAAATTCAACAAATTTGAAAAGATAAAACACACAAAGAGAGAAAGAAGGAGAGGGAGAGAGAGAGAGAGAGAGAGAACCAAAATATATTATGATCAAATTGCTGAACATCAGTGAGAAAGAATACTAAAAGTAGTCACAGGAAAGACATATAGGCATATCTCAGAGATACTGCAGGTTCAGTTCCATACCGCAACAATAAAGCAAATACCACAATAAAGCAAATAACACAAAAATGTTTGTTTTCCCAGGATATATAAATGTTTACACTATACTGTAGTCTATTATGTGTACAATAGCATTATGTCTGAAAAAACAACGTACATACCTTAATATAAAAATAATGTTTGAGGTGAAGGATACCCACTATGCCCTGATGATTGTTATGCATTATATGCCTGTATCAAAATATCTCATGTACCCAATATATACACCTACTATGTACCCATAAAAATTAAAAATAAAAAAGATTTTAAACACTTTATTGCTAAAAATGCCAATGATCATCTGAGCCTACAACGAGTCAAAATCTTTTTGCTGGTGGAGAATCTTGCCTCTATGTTGATAGCTTCTGCCTGATCAGGGTGGTGGTTGCAAAAGGTTGGGTTAGCTGTGGAAATTTCTTAAAATAAGACAACAATGAAGTTTGCCACATCAATTAATTCTTCCTTCCCAAAAGATTTCTCTATAGCATGTGATGCTGTTTGATGCATCTTACTCACAAGTAGAACTTTCAAAATTGGAATCAATCCTCTCAAACCCTGCCACTGCTTTCTCAATTAAGATTATGGAATATTCTAAATCCTTTTTTATTTCCAAGATGGCAGATTAGAGGCTTTTAGTGGGCCTCATTCACTTGGAAATAGCAAGATAGTGTACAAAGGCCAACTCTGAGAGCTTTAATTCACAAAGGAAAACAGGAATCCACTGGAATCGTGACAGACACCTCAGATCCAAGGAAGACACACAAACACAAACAGCCCCTATTATGGCATCCAATTGATAAAAGTGAGGGAAGCCCAAGTATGCAAGACAGTCAGAAAGCCTCCCTCTGTGACTCACTTTTCCACTGGAGATCTGAGCAACCCAGGTCAAGAAAGAGCACTTTGTTTCTTCTAAGCCCTGGATCTAACTTGGGGACAAGCTGATTTGGAGATGCTGTGAGGGACAGACACTCGGAAAAGCTACTGGCATTTCCCAGACCCAGGATGGAGAGCAGGACACTATTTTAAATGTGGGTGCATGCAAGTCAACCATTCTTTGGCAACCCAGTAGCATGGCCACATAGGCTTCTGGCTCTGGAGCAGGACAGAGGTCTTCACAGCCACACTGTAGTTAGTGCCTCAGCAGTAGGTGCTGGGATTGTGCTCTCCTCCACTGCAGGTCAAGGATGAGAGAAGAGCTGCTACAGCTATTGTTTCTCCTGGACAACCAGACTTCAAGCCAGATCCAGCTTAGCAACCTGGAACTGGTCTGCATGTGCCATGATTGGTTGCCACAGCCTGTTCCCCTGTGGTGCAGCAGGGCCCTCTCTGCTCTACTCCCTGGCAAAAATCCAGGCATTTGGAGCAACTGTTTGCCTGGACAAGCAGGCTGAACCACCTCACCCTTCATGGATATAGATCATGGCACAGTGGAGGCCTCTCTGCTCCACATGCAGGCAGATCTAGAGCTATTCAGAGCACCCCCTCACCTGCAACCGCAGTCTGAGTTGCCTTACCCTTCCTGTGTGTGCATAGATTGTGGTACAGTGGGGCCCTCTCCACTCCACATGGAGACAGATACCCAGGCATCTAATGCACCTGCTCACATGGACTAGCAGATTGAGTTGCCCCACTTTTCCTGTGCAGAGATTCTGTGCAGGGGGGCCCTCTCTGCTCCATGCCCAGGCAAATCTCCAGGCATTCAGAGCATCTGCTCACCTGAATCAGCAGCCTGACTTGCCTCACCCTTCCTGTGCAGAGATCCTAGTGTAGGGAGGCCCTCTCTGCTTCACACTCAGACAGATCTCCCAGGCATTCAGAGCACCCACTCACCTGGATCAGCAGCCTGAACTGCTCCATCCTTCTATACATAGATTATGGTGCAGCAAGGCCCTTCCACTCCATTGCCCAAGAAGATCTCCAGATATTCAAAGTACCTATTTGCCCAAATTGGCATATTGGGCCATGCCACTCTTCCTATGAAGAGATCTGGGTACAGGCAGGCCCTCCCTGCTTCATGCCCAGGCATAACTCCAGGCATTCAGAGCACCTGCTTGCCTGGTTCAGCAGCCTACATCACCCCAACCCTCCTCCGCAGAAATCTTAGTGGTGGTGGGGTGGCAGGGGGACCCTTTCCACTTCATATCCAGGCAGATGTCCAGCCATCTGGAGCACCTACTCTTCAGGATTAGGAGTTTAAGCTGCCACCCATCCCTGTGCAGAGAACTTAGGGCCAAGGAGGTCTCCCAGCTTCATACCCAGGTACACCTCTGGGTGCTTGGTGACTACCCACTGGATTCTCCCTATGCGCTGACACTTGTGCTTGCCACTGGAGGGTCTGGCGGTGAGCCTGCCCAGTCCAGCCCTGCATATCTTTCCCTCTGCCCCCTCAGGGCTGAGCAGGAAACTCAGACTACTGTACACTCCACAAATCAGCCCACTGCCTGAGGCAACGGAGAGCTGCTCCCAGTAAACAAGGATCAAATATATACCCAGTCACACTGGCAACACCTGGCTCTTACCCATAAGCTTATAGGCCAAACTACACAGCCCAATATAAAACCTGCCAACTGAAGTGCATAGGACTATAAAAACAAAGCCAAAAGACTCTACACAGCATTATTTCCACTCACAACCCCTAAGGAGTAGGGGAAAGGGAAAGAAGAAAAAAACAACATTGTAAGACAAGAAAGAAAAAATCCTACCAGTACGAAAATAATTACACAAATTAGCAGTGCCAGTGTCTCCAGATGGGAAGAAACCAGTACAAGAATACTGGCACCATGAAAAAATCTGAATGTAGTGCCACCACAGAAGGATCACACTAGCTCTCCAGCAATGGTCCCCAACCAACAAGGACACTCAGAAATGACAAAGAACTCAAAGCATGGGTTGCAAGGAAGCTCAGAGATCCAAGACAAGATTGAAAATCAATACTAAAAAACTTCAAAGGAAATCCAGGAAATAAGAGGTAAAGATTTTTAAAAGAAATCAATCAGAGCTTCTGGAAATGAAAAAGGTTTACTTAAGAAATTTCAAAATATAACTGAAAGCTTTATCAATAGACTGGACCAAGCAAAAGAAAGAATTTCAGGCCAGGCATGGTGGCTCATGCCTATAATCCCAACACTTGAGGAGGCTGACGTAGGAAGACCATTTGAGCCAAGTAGCTTGAGACCATCCTGGAAAACATAAAGAGACCGTGTCTTTCCAAAGAAATTTAAAAATTAGCTGGGCATGATGGTTTGCACCTATCGTTCTAGCTACTTGGGAGGCTGGGGTGAAAGGATCACCTGAGCCTGGGAGTTCAAGGCTGCAGTGAGCCATGATCACATCACTGCAAAACAGATGAACAAAAGGAAAAAAGAAGAAAGGAATGAAAGCTGATCTTTTGAACTAACCCAGTCAACAAAAATAGAGGAAAATGAACTTTTAAAATTGAACAAAGTCTTTAAGAAATACAGGATTATGTAAAGCGATCAAACCTATAAATTATTAGCATTCATGATACAGAAAGAGAAAAAGCAAACAACCTGGAAAATATATTTGAGGAACTAACTCAAAAAAATTTCCCTAATCTTGCTAGAGTAGTAGACATCCAGATACAACAAATCCAGACAACAACTGTGAGATAATATACAAATCCAGACAACACTTGTGAGATAACATACAAAATGAACATCACCAAGGCATATACTCACCAGGCCGTCCAAGGTCAATGTGGTGCGGTGGCTCACGCCTGTAATCCCAGCACTTTGAGAGGCCAAGACGGGCAGATCAAGAGGTCAGGAGATCGAGACCTTCCTGGCCAACATGGTGAAACCCCGTCTCTACTAAAAATACAAAAATTAGCTTGGTGTGGTGGTGCATGCCTGTAGTCCCAGCTACTCGGGAGGCTGAGGCAGAAGAATCACTTGAACCCAGGAGCTGGAGGTTGCAGTGAGCTGAGGTCGCACCACTGCACTCCAATCTGGCAACAGAGCGAGACTCCACCTCAAAAAAAAAAAAAAAAAAAAAAAAAAACAAGAACTGAAGGAAGAGATATTTAATGAAATAGATAGCATAAATAAAAAAACTTCAGGAAACAATGGACACATTTACAGAAATGCAAAATGCTCTGGAGAGTCTCAGCAATAGAATCAAACAAGCAGAAGAACGAACTTGAGAGCTCAAAGACAAGGTTTTTGAATTAACCCAATCCAACAAAGACAAAGGAAAAAGAATAAGAAAATATGGACAAAGCCTCCAAGAAGTCTGGGATTATGTTAAACGACCAAACCTAAGAATAATCAGCATTCCTGAGAAAGAAGATAAATCTAAAAGTCTGGAAAATATATTTGGGGGAATAATTGAGGAAAACTTCCCAGCCTTGATAGAGACCCAGACATCCAAATACAAGAAGCTCAAAGAACACCTGGGGAATTCATCACAAAAAGATCATCGCCTAGACACACTGTCATCAAATTATCTAAAGTTAAGACAAAGAAAAGAGTCTTAAGAGCCATGAGGAAAAAGCACCAGGTAACCTTTAAAGGAAAACCTATCAGATTAGCAGCAGATTTCTCAGCAAAAACTTTACAAGCTAGAAGGGATTGCAGCCCTGTCTTCAGCCTCCTCAAACAAAACAATTATCAGCCAAGAATTTTGCACCCAGCGAAACTAAGCTACATAAATGTCGGAAAGATACAGTCTTTTTCAGACAAACAAATGCTGAGAGAATTTGCCACTACCAAGCCAGCATTACAAAAACTGCTAAAAGGAGCTCTAAATCTTGAAACAAAGCCAGAAAACACATCAAAACAGAACCCCTTTAAAGCATAAATCTCACAGGACCTACAAAACAAAAATACAATTTAAAAAACAAAACAAAACAAGAAAACCAAGGTATACAGGCAACAAATCGCATAATGAATGGAATGATACCTCACATCTCAATACCAACGTTGAATGTAAATAGCCTAAACATTCCACTTAAAAGATACAGAACTGGCCGGGCATGGTGGCTCACGGGGGTAATCTCAATACTGGGAGGCCGAGGCAGGCAGATCACAAGGCCAGGAGTTCGAGACCAGCCTGGACAACATGGTGAAACCCTGTTTCTACTAAAAATACAAAAATTAGCCGGGCGTGGTGGTGCGCGCCTGTAATCCCAGCTACTCAGGAGGCTGAGACAGGAGAACTGCTTGAACCCAGGAGGCGGAAGTTGCAGTGAGCCCTGATTATACCACTGCACTCCAGCCTGGGTGATGGAGTAAGACTCCATCTCAGAAAAAACAAACAAACAAACAAACAAAAAAAAAAATACATATATAATTGCAGAACGGATAAGAATTCACCAACCATCTGCTGCCTTCAAGAAACACACCTAACACATAAGGACTCACATAAACTTAAGCTAAAGGGGTGGAAAAAGACATTCCATGCAAATGGACACCAAAAGCGAGTAGGAATAGCTATTCTTATACCAGACAAAACAAACTTTAAAGCAACAGCCATTAAAAAAGACAAAGAGAGTCATAAAAGGCCTTGTCCAACAGGAAAATATCACAATCCTAAATATATATGCACCTAACACTGGAGCTCCCAAATTTATAAAACAATTACTAATAGACTTAAGAAATGAGACAGCAACTATAATAGTGGGGGACATCAACACTCCACTGACAGCACTAGACAGGTCATCAACACAGAAAGTCAACAAAGAAACAATGGATTTAAACTATACCCTGGAACAAATGGACTTAACAGATTATACAGAACATTCTACTCAACAACTGCAGAATATACATTCTATTCAACAGCACATGGAACTTTCTCCAAGATAGACCATATGAGAGGCCACAAAACGAGCCTCAATAAATTTAAGAAAACTGAAATAATATCAAGTACTCTCTCAGACCACAGTGGAATAAAATGGAAAATCAACTCTAAAAGGAAACTTCAAAATCATGCAAATACATGGAAATTAAATAACCTGCTTTTAAATGATCATTGGGTCAAAAATGAAATCAAGATGGAAATTTAAAAATTCTTCGAACTGAACAACAATAGTGACCCAACCTATCAAAACCTCTGGGATACAGCAAGGCAGTGCTTAGAGGAAAGTTTATAACCCTAAATGCCTACATCAAAAAGTCTGAAAGAGCACAGACAATCTAAGGCCACACCTCAAGGACCTAGAGAACCAAGAACAAACCAAACCCAAACCCAGTATAAGAAAGGAAATAACCAAGATCAGAGCAGAAATAAATTAAATTGAAACAAAAAAAATACAAAAGATAAATGAAACAAAAAGCTGGTTCTTTGAAAAGATAAAATAAAATTAATAGAACATTAACAAGATTACCAAGAAAAGAAGAAAGAAAATCCAAATAAGCTCAATTAGAACCGAAAAGGGAGATATTACAACTGATACCAAGGAAATACAAAAGATCATTCAAGGCTACTATGAACCCCTTTATGTGCATAAACTAGAAAACCTAGAGGAGATAGATAAATTCCTGGAAAGATAAAACCTTCCTGGCTTAAATCAGGAAGAATTAGATACCCTGAACAGATCGACAGCAAGCAGCAAGATTGAAATGATAATTTAAAAATTACAAACAAGGCACCTGGGAGGCCGAGGCAGGTGGATCACCTGAGATCAGGAGTTCAAGACCAGCCTGCCCAACATGGTGAAACCCTGTCTCTACTTAAAATAGAAAAAAGTAGCTGGGCGTGGTGGTAAGCAGCTGTAGTCCCAGCTACTCGGGAGGCTGAGGCAGGAGAATTGCTTGAACCCGGGAGGCAGAGGTTGCAATGAGGCGAAATCGCGCCATTGCACTCCAGACTGGGGGACAAGAAGGAGACTTCATCTCAAAAAAAAAAAAAAAAAAAGTCCAGGACTAGAGAGATTCACAGCAGAAGCAGAAGTCTACCAGACATTCAAAGAAGAATTGGTGCCAATCCTACTGAAACTATACCACAAGACAGAAAAAGAAGGAACCCTCCCGAAATCATTCTATGAAGCCAGTATCACCCTAATACCAAAACCAGGAAAGGATGTAACCAAAAAAGAAAACTACAGACCAATATCCCTGATTAACATATAAGTTAAAATCCTTAACAAAATACTAGCTAACCAAATCCGACAACATATCAAAAAGATAATCCACCATGATCAAGTGGGTTTCATACCAGGGATGCAGTGATGGTTTAACATACACAATGTGATGATACACCACGTAAACAGAATCGAACACGAAAATCACATGATCGTCTCAACAGATGCAGAAAAGCATTCAACAAACTCCAACATCCCTCTATGATTAAAACTCAGCAAAATCAGCATACAAGGGACATACCTCAATGTAATAAAAGACATCTATGACAAACCCACAGCCAATGTAATACTGAATAGGAAAAAGCTGAAAGCACTCCCTCTGAGAACTGGAACAAGACAAGGATGCCCACTCTCACCACTCCTCTTCAACATAGTACTGGAAGTCCTAGACAGACCACTTAGACAAGAGAAAGAAATAAAGGGCATCTAAGCCGGGTGTGGTGGCTCACGCCTGTAACCCCAGCACTTTGGGAGGCTGAGGCAGGTGGATCACGAGGTCAGGAGTTCGAGATCAGCCTGGCCAACATAGTGAAACCCCGTCTCTACTAAAAATACAAAAACTTAGTTGGGCATGGTGGCAGGCGCCTGTAATCCCAGCTACTTGGGAGGCTGAGGCAGGAGAATCACTTGAACCCCAGAGGCAGAGGTTGCAGTGAGCTGAGATCGCGCCATTGCACTCCAGCCTGGGGGACAGGGTGAGACTCCGTCTCAAAAAAAAAAAAAAGGCATTCAAATCGGTTAAGAGGAAGTCAAGCTGTTGCTGTTTGCTGATGATATGATTGTTTACCTAGAAAACCCTAAAGACTCCCACAGAAAGCTCCTAGAACTGATAAAAGAATTCAGCAAAGTTTCCAGATACAACATTAATGTACACAATCAGTATCTCTTCTATACACCAACAGCGACCAAGCTGAGAATCAAATCAAGAACTTAACTCCTCTTACAATAGCTGCAAAAATAAATAAAATACTTAGGAATACACCTAACCAAGGAGGTAAAAGACCTCTACAATGAAAACTACAAAACACTGCTGAAAGAAATCATAGATGACACAAACAAATGGAAACACATCCCATGCTCATTGATGGGTAGAATCAATATTGTGATAATGACCATACTGCCAAAAGCAATCTACAAATTCAATGCAATTCCCATCAAAATACCACCATCATTCTTCACAGAATTAGAAAAAACAATCCTAAAACTCATATGGAACCAAAAAAGAGCCCACATAGCCAAAGCAAGACTAAGCAAAAAGAACAAATCTGGAGGCATCGCATTACCTGATTTCAAACTATACTCTAAGGCCACAGTCACCAAAACAGCATGGTACTGGTATAAAAATAGGCACATGGACCAATGGAACAGAAAGAACCCAGAAATAAGCCCAAATACTTACAGCCAACTGATATTCGACAAAGCAAACAAAAACAAAGTGGGGAAAGGTCACCCTATTCAACAAATGGTGCTAGGACAACTGACAAGCCACATGTAGGAGAATGAAACTGGATCCTCATCTCTCACCTTATAAAAAATCAGCTCAAGATGGATCAGGGACTTAAATCTAAGACCTGAAACTATAAAAATTCTGGAAGATAACATTGGAAAAACTCTTCTAGACATTGGCTTAGTCAATGATTTCATGACCAAGAACCCAAAAGCAAATGCAATAAAAACAAAGATAAATAGCTGGGACTTAAACTAAAGAGCTTTTGCACGACAAAAGAACGGTCAGCAGAGTAAACAGACAACCCATAGAGTGGGAGAAAATCTTCACAATCTATACATCTGACAAAGGACTAATATCCAGAATCTAAAACAAACACAAACAAATTAAGAAAAAACAAACAATCCCATCAAAAAGTGGGCTAAGGACATGAATAGACAATTCTCAAAAGAAGATATACGAATGGCCAACAAACATAGGAAAAAATGCTCAACATCACTAATAGATCAAGAAATGCAAATCAAAACCAAAATGCGATTCCACCTTACTTCTGCAACAATGGCCATAATCAAAAAATAATTGATGTTGTCGGGGATGGAGTGAACAGGGAACACTTCTGCACTGCTAGTGGGAATGTAACTAGTACAACCACTATGGAAAACAGTGTGGAGATTCCTTAAAGAACTAAAAGTAGGGCTGGGAGCAGTGGCTCACGCCTGTGATCCCGACACTTTGGGAGGCCGAGGTGGGCAGATCACCTGAGGTTGGGAGTTCGAGACCAGGCTGACCAACATGGAGAAACCCCGCCCCTACTAAAAAAAAATACAAAATTAGCTGGGCATGGTGGCGCATGCCTGTAATCCCAGCTACTTGGAAGACTGAGGCAGGAGAAATCACTTTAACCCAGGAAGTGGATGTTGCGGTGAGCTGAGATTGCACCATTGCACTCCAGCCTGGGCAACAACAGTAAAACTCCGTCTCAAAGAAAAAAAAGAACTAAAAGTAAAACTACCATTTGCTCCAGCAATCCCACTCCTGGGTATCTACCCAGAGGAAAAGAAGTCATTATAAGAAAAAGACACTTGCACGCAAGTTTATAGCAGCACAGTTCGCAATTGCAAAAATGTGGAACCAACCTAAATGCCCATCAATCAACAACTGGATAAAGAGACTGTATGTGTGTGTGTGTGTGTGTGTGTGTGTGTATTACATATGTGTGTACATATATGTGTATGTGTGTGTGTATGTATATATATGATGGAATACTACTCAGCCATAAAAAGGAATGAATTAATGGCATTCACAGCAACCTAGAGGAGATTGGAGACTATTATTCTAAGTGAAGTAACTCTGGAATAGAAAACCAAACATCATATGTTCTCACTGATATGTGGGAGCTAAGCTATGAGGACGCAAAGGCATAAGAATGACACAATGGACTTTGGAGACTCAGGGGGAAAGGGTGGGAAGCGGATAAGGGATAAAAGACGACAAATTGGGTACAGTGTATACTGCTCAGGTGATGGGTGCAACAAAATCTCACAAATCACCACTGAAGAACTTACTCCTGTAACCAAACACCACCTGTTCCCCAATAACTTATGGAAATTAAAAAAAAATTTTAATAAAAAAATGGAGAAACCCCATCTCTACAAAAAATACAAAAAATTAGCCAGATGTGGCGGCACAAGCCTGCAGCCCCAGCTACTCAGGAAGCTGAGATGGGAGAATCACCTGAATCTGGGAGGTTGGAGCCGAAATTGTACCACTGCACTCCAGTCTGGGCAATCAGAGTGAGACAGTCTCAAAACAAACAAGCAAACAAATACTTCTAGACCTAGGAAAAGACTTAAACAACCATACATAATAATGGGAGACTTCAACAGCCCACTGACTAATGCATTAGCCTGACCACTGAGGCAGAAAACTAACAAAGAAATTCTGGACTTAAATTCAACACATGATGAATTGGACCTAACAGACATCTGCAGACTACTTCATCCATCAACCACTGAAGATACACTGTTCTCGTCTGCACATGGAAGATACTACGAGATCAACCACATGCTCGGCCATAAAACATGTCTCAATTAATTCAAAAAAAAAACAAAATCATACCAACCATACTCTCAGACCACAGTGTAATAAAAATAAAAATCAATACCATGAAGATCTCTCAGAACCACATAATTACATGGAAATTAAACAACTTACTCCTGAATGACTTTTGGGTAAACAATTAAATTAAAGCAGAAATCAAAAAGTTCTTTGAAATAAATGAAAACAGAGTATCAAAATCTCTGGGAAGCAGCAAAAAAGTATAAACAGGAAAGTTTACAACACTAAACACCTACCTCAAAAAATCAGAAAAATCTCAAATCAACAATCTATTATATCTAGAGGAACTAGAAACAAAAGAACAAACTAACCATAAAGACAGCAGAAGAAATAAAAGCAAAGAACTAAATCAAATTAAGACCAAAAATACAAAGGATCGATGAAACAAAAAGTTGGTTTTCTAAGAGGAAAAACAAGACCGACAGACTGCAAGCTAGATTAACAAAAGAAAAAAGAGAGAGAAGATCCAAATAAGCACAATCAAAATGACAAAGGTGACAAGCAACCAATGCCACAAAAATACAAAAGTTCCTTAGGGACAATTATGAACACTCCTATTTACGCAAACTAGAAAACCTAGAGAAAATGGATAAATTCTTGGAAACCCACAATCTCCCAAGATTGAATCAGGAAGAAATAGAAACCCTGAGCAGACATCAGTATTGAATTCTGAAATTGAATCAATAATTAAAAACTTATCAACCAAAAAAATCCCTGGACCACATGGATTTACAGCCGAATTCTATCAGATGTACAAAGAAGGGCTGGTATCAATCCTTCTGAAACTATTCCAAAAATCAAGGAGGAACTCACTGCAACTCATTCGAAGGATGCATCACCCTGATACGAAAACCTGGCAAAGACACAAAGAAAAAAGAAAACTACAAACCAATATCCCTGATGAACATAAGACACAAAAATCCTCAGTAAAATAACTAGTAAACCAAGGCTCGGCACAGTGGCTCACGCCTGTAATCCCAGCACTTTGGGAGCCTAAGGCAGGTGGGTCACCTGAGGTTGGGAGTTCGAGACCAGCCTGACCAACATGGAGAAACCCCGGCTCTACTAAAAAACCCAAGTTAGCCAGGCGTGGTGGTGCATGCCTGTAATCCCAGCTACTCCAGAGGCTTGAGGCAGGAGAATGGCTTGAACCCGGGAGGCAGGGGTTGCTGTGAGACGAGATCGCGCCATTGCACTCCAGCCTGCGCAACAAGAGCCAGACAAGAGCAAAACTCCGTCGCAAAAAAAAAAAAAAAAAAAAAAAAATATATATATATATATATATATATATACATACTAGTACACCAAATCCAGCAGCACATCAAAAACTTAATTCACTGTGGTCAAGTAAGTTTCATTCCTGGGATGCAAGGTTGGTTCAACATATGCAAATCAATAAATGTGATCCACCACATAAACAGAATTTAAAATAAAAGTCATATGACCATCCCAACAGACATGGAAAAAGCTTTCAATAAAATCCAACATCCCTTCATGATAAAAAAAAAAAAAAAAAACCTCTTGAACAAACTAGACATCAAAGGAACATACCTCAAAACAGTAAGAGCCATCTATGACAACTCCACAGCCAACATCATACTGAATAAGCAAAAAATGGAAGCATTCCCCTTGAGAACTGGAATAAGACAAGGATGCCCACTCTTAGCACCCCTATTGAACACAGTACTGGAAGTCCTTGCCAGAACAATAAGGCAAAAGAAAGAAATAAAAGGCATCCAAATAGAAAAAGGAGAAGGCAAACAATATCTCTTCACGGAAAATATGGTTCTATACCTAGAAAACCTGAAAGGCTCCACCAAAGGCTCCTGGAACTGATAAACTACTTGAGTAACGTTTCAGGATACAAAATGAACAAAAACCAGTAGCATTTCTATACACCAGTAACGTTCCAGCTGAGAGCCAAGTCAAGAACACGATCCCATTTACAATGGCCACAAAATACAATACAATACAATACAATACAATACAATACAATACAATACAATACAATACAATACAATACAATACCTAGGAATACATCTAACCAAGGGGATGAAGGATCTCTACAAGGAGAACTATAAAACACTGCTGAAAGAAATCAGAGATGACACAAACAAATGGAAAAACATTTCATGTTCATGAAGTGGAAAAATCAATATCATTAAAAATAAAAAACATTTCATGTTCATGAAGTGGAAAAATCAACATCATTAAAATGGCCACACAGCCCAAAGGAATACACAGATTCAACACTATTCCTATCAAGCTACCAACATCATTTTGGACAAAACTAGAAAAAAACTATTCTAAAATTCATATGGAACCAAAAAAGGGCCTGAACAGCCAAGGCAACTGTAAGTAAAAAGGACAAAGTCAGAGATATCACATTACCCAACTTCAAACTATACTATAAGGCTACTTTAACCAAAAAATCATGGTACTGGTACCAAAACAGACACATAGACCAATGGAACTGAAAAGAGAACCCAGAAATAAAGCTGCACACCTACAGCCATCTGATCTTCAACAAAATTGACAAAAGCAATAGGGAAAGGACTCCTTAATTCAATAAATGGTGCTGGGATAGCTGACTAGCCATACGCAAAAGAATGAAACTGGACCCCTAACTCAAGATAGATTAAAGATTTAAACAGAAGACCTCAAACTGTAGGAATCCCAGAAGAAAAAAGAGGAAACACCATTCTGGACATCAGCCTTGGGAAAGAATTTATGACTAAAAGCAATTGCAACCAAAAAACTGACAAGTGGGACCTAATTAACCTAAAGAGCTGCTTTTGTGCAGCAAAAGAAACTCTCAACAGAGTAAACAGACAATCTACAGAATAGGAGAAAATATTTGCAAACTATGCAGCCGTCAAAGGTCTAATATCTAGAATCTGTAAGAAACTTAAATCAAAAAGTAAAAAGCAAATAATCCCATTTTAAAAATCGGCAAAAGACATGAACAAACTTTCATCAAAAGAAGACATACAAGTAGCCAAACATATGAAAAAATGCTCAACATGACTAATCATAAGAGAAATGCAAATCAAAACCACAATAATATACCATTTGTACCAGTCAGAATGACAATTATTAAAAAGTCAGGCCTCGGATTTCTGGACTGATAGTGAGCACTGGCTTCAACTTAAAGTCACCAACCTCACCAGTCCCTAACAAGAAAGTCAGCCTGTACTTTGAAGTTTTGAAGCCAGCCACTGACATCTTTTCCCTAGCTATGACAGTCCTAGATGACACCATCTTCCAGTAGAAAGCTGTTTCATCTACATTGAAACTCTGTTGTTTACAGCAGCTACACTCATCGATTACCTTAACTAGATCTTCTGATAACTTATTGCAGCTTCTATATCAGCATTTGCTGCTAGTGGGTGGTTTCTTGGCCCACCTGAAGGGCAGACAGCTTTTGCTTCTACTTGCCCATCAGAAACATGATTTTTTGCCTGGAGTCAGAATGAAAAATATTCCTATCCTTCCCCCATCAGCAGATGGCTTTTCCTTCTCTCTCTCTCCCTTAGGACAAGTATATCATGTGCAAGGATTGGAAGACAATATTTTTAAACTCAATCCTCCCCAGTTTGAGCTTAGATCAAGGCAATAAGAATCAAAATCCCAGAAGCCTTTCTGGTATGTCATTACACATCACTTTGAAAGGTGCATGCCAAAACTGAGAGAAAGTAAGATAACTGACTGCAAAGGAACACAACACAACTTTTTGAGGTGGTAGAAATGTTCTAAATCTTGATTTGGGTGAGTTACAGGATTATACACACTTTGTCAAAACTCATCAAACTGCACACTTAGAGAACATGAACTTTATTATATAAAAATATTAATGATCCTATCTTTTAAAACTTCAGCCAGTTTTTCTAGTAGAAATTGACAAGCTGGCAATCTTAGAGTTTGTGTATTTTCTTCAATGCTGCTCAGAACTCTGACAGTAGAATTTGTCCAGAGTTAGCATTTTCCAGGCAGATGCCACAGAACAACAATGATATAAGGGAGTTAAAGATATTAGCAAAAGAATGGTTGATGAAATAGACCGAGCAGAGAAAGAAATTTTAAAAGAGGGAGGGGAACTAATGAGCAGGGAGAGGAATAAAGTAGAAACATTTTGTGAACGATTAAAGAGCATATTCCTATAGAAAGAGAAGCAATCTTTTTTAAAAATTGACAATTGTGCCTTAGAAATCAAAGAGACTTCACCTTCATGGCTAAGCTCAAGATGAAGCCATCCACATGATACAGCAATAGAGGCAGCACTATACTAACAAATCTCATTAATATTAAACCAAACAAGTAATCTAATGGCTACATTATTCTCCAGGAGTAAAAAGTTTGCTTCAAGGCAGCTCATAATCTGGCTCACTTTAAACAAATAAGTCAAAGATCCCCCAAATGAATCCAGTAAACACGAGAATTTTCTATATTTCTATATTTCTATGTCAATATAAAATACACATACAACACAATTTTCTATTTTCCTGACTTGGCAAACACAATATAATGTACAGAGTTTCATCTGTCTTTGACATATTGTGAATTTTAACACCTCAGAATATCATCATAAAGGTAATGTTTTTAATCAAAGGCCCCCAAAAACGTTATTCTTGACTGAGTGGCTTTAGAGCATGTACTCTTCTAGTTGCTTGGGAATTTTGTGGAGAACAAGTTACCCACAAAGTACCTCTCCTGGAAGTTAAAACAGAGGATTTCTTATATGCTTAGGCAGACATACTCTAGAATCATCTTTTTAAAATAAGCAACTAGCAAATGCAATCTGGTTTTCCTATTGCTATGTTTTGGATATGTCCCCTCCAAAATTCAGGTGCTGAATCTAAACGGTCAATGTCATGTATTAAAAGGTGGGGTACTTTCAGAAGTTTGAGGTTATAGTGAGCTATGATCATGCCACCACACTCCAACCTAGGCAACAGAGCAAGACCCTTTAAAAAAAATCAGGCCTTTAAGAGGTAATTAGGTCATGAGGGCTCCTCACCTCGTGAATGGGATTAAGACCCTAATGAAAGAGATTTCACCCCTGTCCTTTCACAATGTGAAAACACAGCATTCCTCACCACCAGAGGATATAGCAACAAGACACTATCTTGGAGGCAGAGAGCAGCCCTTATTGGACAACCAAACCTGCTGGCAGCTTGATCTTGGACTTCCCAGTCTTTAGAACCATGAGTAAATAAATTTCTCTTCTTTATAAATTACCCAGTCTATGGCATTTTGTTACAGCAGCACAAACAGACTTAAGACATCTATCATTTGACTATCTCATTAAGTTTAGGCAAGAGCATAATCTCCTATTATACTGGCAATGGAAATATACTGAATCAAAGATAAAAGCAATCATTTTTAAACATTAGTATTACATGCAGTGCAAAAACCCAAAGTGACGGCAGTCTTACATTGCCAAAGCCATCAAAAGGGGAAGGAGAGGGAAGAACAGCAGCATAAGCTGCTGGCAGAGGCAGGGAAAGACAAGCAGAAAGGAAAGAGAGAAAGAGACAAAGTCAGAGAGACACAGGGGAAGAGACAGAGAGAAAAAGAGGGAGTCACAGAGAAAGAGAGAGACAACAAAGAAGTCAAAAAGAAAGGGAGATAGAATTAGTAAAGAAAAAAGCAGTGTACCCTATTCCTTTAAAAGCCAGGGTAAGGTTCTGTCTACCCAGCCAAGGTATATTCTTCTTATGTGGAATGTCTACCTATATCTGCCTCCCCACTAACTGGACCGGCACCTGCACCTTAGTCTTTCCAAGTTCCAACATTAACATTGCCCCAGGAAATCAGACCCTATCAGTACCCCTCAAAGCTCAAGTCCATCAGCACAGAGCCATACAACTAATACCCCTACTTAATAGGGTTAGGAATGGCTACTGCTACAGGAACCGGAAGAGCCAGTTTATCTACTTCATTATCCTACTACCACACACTCTCAAAGGATTTTTCAGACAGTTTTCAAGAAATAATGAAATCTATCCTTACTCTACAATCCCAAATAGACTCTTTAGCAGCAGTGACTCTCCAAAACTGCCGAGGCCTAGACCTCCTCACTGCTGAGAAAGGAGGACTCTGCACCTTCCTAGGGGAAGAGTGTTGTTTTTACACTAATCAGCCAGGGATAGTACAAGATGCCACCCAGCGTTTACAGGAAAAGGCTTCTGAAATCAGACGCCTTTCAAATTCTTATACCAACCTCTGGAGTTGGGCAACATGGCTTCTCCCCTTTCTAGGTCCCGTGGCAGCCATCTTGCCGCTACTCGCCTTTGGACCCTATATTTTTAACCTCCTTGTTTTGTTTCCTCTAGAATTGAGGCCACCAAGCTACAGATGGTCTTACAAATGGAACCTCAAATGAGTTCAACTAACAACTTCTACCGAGGACCCCTGGACCGACCTGCTGGCACTTTCAATGGCCTAGAGAGCTCCCCTCTGGAGGACACTACAACTGCAGGGCCCCTTCAAAGCCCCTATCCAGCAGGAAGTAGTTAGAGCGGTCATCGGCCAAATTCCCAACAGCAGTTGGGGTGTCCTGTTTAGAGGGGGGATTGAGAGGTAACAACGTGCTAGCAGCCCTCACTCACTCTCAGCACCTCCTCGGCCTCGGTGTCCACTCTGGCCACGCTTGAGGAGCCCTTCAGCCTGCCGCTGCACTGTGGGAGCCCCTCTCTGGGCTGGCCAAGGCCGGAGCCGGCTCCCTCTGCTTGCGGGAAGGTGTGGAGGGAGAAGCGTGGGCAGGAACCAGGACTGCGCGCAGCACTCATGGGCCAGCACGAGTTCCGGGTGGGTGTGGGCTTGATGGGCCCCGCACTCAGAGTGGCCAGCTGATGCCGCCAGCCCTGGGCAGTGAAGGGCTTAGCACCCGGGCCAGCAGCTGCGGAAGGGGCACCGGGTACCCCAGCACTGCCGGCCCTCCCGCGCTGAGCTCGAATTCTTGCCAGGCCTCAGCCACCTCCCCACAGGGCAGGGCTCAGGACCTGCAGCCCCCCATGCCAGAGCCCCCCCCACCAAGGTGGGCTCCCGTGCAGCCGGAGCCTCCCCAACAGGCGCTGGCCCCTGCTCCACGGCGTCCGGTCCCATAAACCGCCCAAGGGCTGAGGAGTGCAGGCGCACAGTGCGGGACTGGCAGGCAGCTCCACCCGTGGCCCTGGCATGGGATTCACTAGGCGAAGCCAGCTGGGTTCCTGTGTTGGGTGGGGACTTGGAGAACTTTTATATCTAGCCAAAGGATTGTATATGCACCAATCAGCACTCTGTGTCTAGCTCAAGGTTTGTAAACACACCAACCAGCACTCTGTGTCTAGCTAGAGGATTGTAAATACACCAATTAGCACTCTGTCTAGCTCAGGGATTGTAAACGCACCAATCAGCACCCTATCAAAACAGACCAATCAGCTCTCTATAAAATGGACCAATCAGTTCTCTGTGAAATGGGCCAATCAGCAGGATGTGGGTGGGGTCAGATAAGGGAATAAAAGCAAGCTGCCCAAGCCAGCAGTGGTAACCCGCTCGGTCCCCTTCCACACTGTGGAAGCTTTGTTCTTTCGCTCTTTGCAATAAATGTTATTGCTGCTCACTCTTTGGGTCTGCACTGCCTTTATGAGCTGTAACACTCACCTCGAAGGTCTGCAGCTTCACTCCTGAGGCCAGCGAGACCATGAACCCACCGGGAGGAATGAACAACTCCAGACACACTGCTTTAAGAGCTGTAACAGTCACCGCAACGGTCTGTAGCTTCACTCCTGAAGCCAGCAAGACCACGAACCCACCAGAAGGAAGAAACTCCAAACGTGTCCGAACATCAGAGGGAACAAACTCCGGACACACCATCTTTAAGAACTGTAACACTCACCACAAGGGTCCACAGCTTCATTCTTAAGTCAGTGAGACCAAGAACCCACCAATTCCAGACACATTAGGATATGCCTTTTTTTTTTCAGTGACATCCAAATTCTCTAGCACTTCAAAACAGTAAGCTTGTTGTATCTCATTTTTGTTGTTTCCTGTTCAATGTAAGAATTTCCAGCCAGAAACAGTGGCTCATACCTGCAATTCCAGCACTTTGGAAGGTCGAGGTGAAATGACTGCTTGAGGCCAGGAATTCAAAACTAGCCTGGGCAATGTAGCAAGATCCTGTCTCTACAAAACATTTTAAAATTAGCCAGGCATAGTAATGGGTGCCTGTAGTCCTAGCTATTGAGGAGGCTGAGGCAGGAGAATCCCTTGAGCCCAGGAGTATGAGGTTATAGTGAGCTATGACTGTGCCACTGCACTCCAGCCTGGACTACAGAGCAAGACCCTGTCTCTTAAAAAAATAAAAAAGGAAAAAATAATTCTGTCAAAATTTTTCCTAGCTCTCAATACAAAGTTTTCTAAATCTTGAGGGGAGGTGAAGATTCTGTATAGAATAGTCTCCATTTTCTCCAAATTCTTCCTAATTTTTTATAATTTCAAGAATAAGTTACATTTCAAATTATACCACAGATAATGCTAATATGGTGATAAATTATTTAATATTCTTATCATTTAGAGATGCATGCTACAAGTTAAGAACATATCTAAGATTAACTTCAAAATAATAAAGGATGCAGTATATATAGGGGAATATATTATGTAAGATTGGCCAAGGAATTAATAATTGTTGAAACTGGGTGATGAATACATATAGGTTCACTTTCTCAACTTTGCTAAACTATGTTTAAAGTTCTCCCTAATAAAAAGATTTTTAAAGAGTAAACAATAGGTATTAAATCTAATTAAATTGTTCTTAGAAATAATTAGACACAAAAAACAGTATTAATTGTAAATTATTTATAACAAAATTTAGAAGGAAATTAAATGTCCAAACATAAAATATTAATTAGTTATAGAACACTCATTCCATGAGATACCAAGTAGCCACTAAAAATCATGTTGCAGAAAACTCATTGATATAAAAAGAATTCACAATATACTTCTAAGAGAAAAAAAGGCAGGTTACAAAATAATATGTACAGAATTGAACCATTTTTTAAATGTGAGCATCTGTGTGTGTATGTGCGTGTTTGCATATGTGTGTATTTCTGCCAAATACTGACAGACTTTGTTTCATTCACTGCTTTATCCCCAGCACAAAAAACTGTACCTGGAACATAATAAGAACAATACATACTTGTTGCAGGTAAAGGTTTTAGAATTCCAGACAACAGGGTTTCCCTTGGGGTATGATTCTCTCTACGCTTTTGTTTCATACGGTTTCTCAAATAAACATTCAGTTTTTTCTGTTATTGGGGGAAAACCTTTAAAATTGTATCTCACATAACAAAATTAAAATTTATTTGCCTGATTCAATAATTACTTCATGAAATGCATTCAATAAAATCATCTTATACACTGAAAAAAGAAAGGCCTCTTCTATACTTTGAATGAATAAACTGGCCACGGCAATCAGAAATAGTAAAAACAGGCCAGGCATGGTGGCTCACGCCTGTAATCCCAGCACTTTGGGAGGCCAAAGCAGGCAGATCACGAGGTCAGGAGATGGAGACCAGCATCCTAGCTAACATGGTGAAACCCCGTCTCTACTAAAAATACAAAAAATTAGCCGGGCATGGTAGGGGACGCCTGTAGTCCCAGCTACTCGGGAGGCTAAGGTAGGAGAATGACATGAACCCAGGAGGCGGAGCTTGCAGTGAGCCAAGATCGCGCCACTGCACTCCAGCCTGGGCAACAGAGTGAGACTCTGTTTCAAAAAAAAAAAAAAAGAAAAAAAAAGAAAAGAAATAGTAAAAACAATAACCTGTTAATCAGTCTTATCCCTGTGAGTGAATTCTGCTGCTGAGCAATAACATAACCTTACTATCTTTAGGAAACTAATACTTCTAAAATGAATCTTTAAAACGGGTACAAAAAATTATAAAATCAGTTTTAAAAAATTAGTCCATTATATTCATTCAATACACACTTACTGAATTTGTAGACAATAAGTTACCTGCTAGGGTAATCCAAAGAAAATTAAGTTGTAGCCCTTGATAACCAAGAGGCTCCCAATCTAGTGGGAAAGATAGATGAATAAAAGCTAAATGAAACATAATAATAAAGGTAGCTGACATTTATTAGGTTCTTTTTTTGGCATTGTGCTGACACTTAACAAGCATTTTCTTTCTTTTTTTTTTGAGACAGAGTCTCACTCTGTTGCCTAGGCTGGAGTGCAGTGGTGCAATCTTGGCTCTCTGCAACCTCCGCCTCCCAGGTTCAAGCAATCCTCCCAACTCAGCCTCCCAAGTAGCTGGGATTACAGGTGTACACCACCACGCCTGGCTAATTTTTGTATTTTTAGTAGAGATGGGGTTTCAACATTTTGGTCAGGCTAGTCTTGAACTCCTGGCCTCAAGTGATCCGCCCACCTCGGCCTCCCAAAGTGCTGGGATTACAGGCGTGAGCCACCACACCTGGCCAAACAAGCATTTTCTTATTTAATCCCTATAACAATCTTTTTGGTAGTTACTACGATATTCTCAGTTTTTAGATAAGAAAACGTTAAGACTTAAATGACTTCCTCAGTCACTTGAGTAATAAATGGCAAAACAGAATCAAACCAAATAAACCCTGTCCCAGATACAATATAGTGTCTCTCATTATTAGGATGCTAGTAAACACCAAAGTGGACTCTATCAGTTCCATCAGTTACTATCAAGTATAACACAATAGTCACCTTTTTTAAGGTAGATATCCTTTTGGAAGTCTTCCCAAGAATTTCTTATCTTCAACTCAACTAGTTATCTCCACTTTGAAATACACTATTACAACCATTAACCTATGAGCCTCTAGAGCACAGGATTCAGTAGTTTCTCTTCTCCCAGTGCTATACAATGTATGCACTCAAGAAATATTAAACAGATGAACTTTTAGCTTCTTTTATGCTTCCTAAATTCCAAATCACTATGCCATATTACATAATAGTTGGTCTAGGTCAATAGCAATTTCATTTATGTTATTAGGAAAATGTGGTATGAGAGAATCAGAGAATAAAATTCTGAAGTGCTAAATTATGGTGGTTATGCTAATGGCGGAACACTGCTGACTGTATAAGATGAACCAAGATACTCTTCCTCCAGGGACTTCTTCCTAATCTTCTAAATGTCCTATAAGCCAAATTTTATAAGAGAACTGGAAATGTGCAAAACTAGGGGGTAGTTTTGTTTCTTGCAAAAATCTGGTGATAAAGATCTGAGCTAAAAATAGCGAGAATGATGGGAAATAATTCAAGAGATATTTCAAAAGCAGAATCATTTCTCACTACATGCAAGACAAAACTCATAACTAACTGCGGAACCTAAGACCTTCTCAGTCATCTCATTTCTGTTTCCTACAGCCTAGCCAGAGTGAACTACTTCTTAAAGGTCCTGAATTCTCACATAACATTTTAAAACTCCCACAATAACTGTAATATAGGCCGGGCGCGGTGGCTCACGCCTGTAATCCCAGCACTTTGGGAGGCCGAGGCGGGCAGATCACTTGAGGTCAGGAGTTCCAGCCTGGCCAAAATGGTGAAACCCCGTCTCCACTAAAAATACAAAAATTAGCCAGGCATGGTGGCGGGTGCCTGTAATCCCAGCTACTCGGGAGGCTAAGGCAGGAGAATTGCTTGAACCCAGGAGGCAGAGTTGCAGTGAGCCAAGATCATGCCACTGCACTCTAGCCTGGGCGACAAGAGCAAAACTCCATCTCCAAAAAATAATAATAATAATAATAATAATAACTGTAATATAAAAAGCAGATAGTGTGCAGTCACTTGTATGTTACATAAGAAATAGACAGTAGAACACAGGAATGGGAAAGGCATTCAAATTTTGTGTTGGAAAATGAATGAATGAAGATAATGCAGGAGACCTTCATAACTGATTTGAGAAGGGACTAGCAGCTATCTCTTCATGATGAGATAATACAGGCCCTACCTCTATATCACCATTTTCTCTTACAACATGATCTTCCCCTTCTCTCTGCCTGTCAAAATTAACCACCTCCTTAAAGACACAATCAAAAATTTTCTCTGGGAAGTTTAAAGAAATCACCTCCTCACTTCTACCACTGTCCCCACCCATCCACACAAGCACACACACATACACAAAGAACTAGTCCCACTGTCTACTATGGTCCCACAGCACTTGGCACCTGCCTCATTGTAGTACTTAGTACAGTGATTCATTATTCCTTTCATTATTATGTACTGTATGAGAATATCACTAGAGCTAGAATATGAATTCCATAAAGATATGGATCATGTCTTATCTAGCCTATTTCCATTAAATACCTACCACAGAACCTCACACACTACTGTTTAAATAACATATCTAATAAATAAATGAATAAACAAATGAAAACAAATTTGCTAACTCCTGGAGACCTAAAGGAACCTCAAAATGTCTGTGACTTAAAACATGCCTTTATGGGAAAAAAAAAATATATCTTCCTATATAAACGCTTATGGCTAACCATGACCTGCTTCAACTTAAATCAGTTTTGCTACCACAGCAATAAAAAATACACATATATGGCTAGAAGTCGATGCAAAGGCCAAAAGCATCCCTACCAGGGCTGAAATGGCCAATGGGGATATTCCAAATTTTATGGTTGCAAAATGACCCAATTAATCTTAGATTTCAGCAAAGTATACATGCTAACTGAACAAAGACAAAAGTCACTGGAGCTCAAGTCATTATTCCAAGTGACTCTAAGCTGTTAGTCCCTGTGTTAATGGAGCCTGTTAAACAACCCAGTATTAGAAAACACTGGAGCTCAGAGGGAGCATGCTACCCCATGCACATTTCCCAAGTATCCTCACAATAAACTTCTATTACTGAAGATAATCTATGTACTTCTCTACCTTGAGTCTTAAGAGACCTAAGTAACAGTAAATAATATAGGAAACCAAGCAGAGGAAAGAATCACACACCAAATGTGAACTGGAAAAAGTGACAACGCCAATTAGTAAAGATTAGGTGGGCTGAACACGGTAAGATTAGGTGGGCTGAGCACGGTGGCTCACGCCTGTAATCCCAACACTTTGGGAGGCCAAGGCAGGCGGATCACAAGGTCAGGAGATCGAAACCATCCTGGCTAACACAGCGAAACCCCGTCTCTACTAGAAATACAAAAATTTAGCCAGGCGTGGTGGCGGGCACCTGTAGTCCCAGCCACTTGGGAGGCTGAGGCAGGAAAATGCCGCAAACCCAGGAGGTAGAGCTTGCAGTGAGCCAAGATCGTGCCACTGCACTCCAGCCTGGGCGACAAGCGAGACTCCGTCTCAAAAAAAAAAAAAAAAAAAGGATTAGGTAGAAGGTGAGGATTCAGTTCTGAACATAATGCCTTTAAGGAGACAGTAATCAAATATTTGGGTTTTTGGTTTTGGGGGTTTCTGTTTTGTTTTGGAGACAGAGTCTCATTCTGTTGCCCAGGCTGGAGTGCAATGGCATGATCTTGGCTCACTGCAACATCTGCCTCCTGAGTCCAAACAATTCTTGTGCCCCAGCCTCCCGAGGAGCTGGGATTACAGAAGCACACTACCATGCTCGGTTAATTTTTTGTATTTTTAGTAGGGATGGGGTTTCGCCATGTTGGCCAGGCTGGTCTCAAACTCCTGGCCTCAAGAGATCCAGCCACCTCTGGCTCCCAAAGTACTGGGATTACAGGTGTGAGCCACTGTACCCGACCAGTAATCAAATGTTATTTAGGAGACTGGAAATAGTGAATAAGACTGAGTACAAAAATTCCAAGTCTCAAAAGTATTTGTGGGTCATTTCAATCAAATTGAAGCCATTAGAGTAGATAAACTCACCAAGGAAATAACTATGCAAAATAAATAAATAAAGGAGGAAAAGATAGAAAATGCAAAGTCACTGTCAATTATGCACTGTGAAGATCAGTTCATAACCGAACATAAAGCAGGCAGAGAAACAGAGGCAACAGGAGAATCAAAATGCCAGAGAAAACTTCAAGAAACAGATATGAGGAATGTTAAGAACAGAGAAAAAGTTTCTGGTCTTGCCAAAACAATAACTAATTTGCAACCTAGAGTAGTTTCATTAATAAACAAGGCCTGACCATGTTGGAAGGCTGAAACAGAATACACTCGTAGAAACAGATTTTTAAACTGGGGGGCAAAAGTGTGATTACAGGAATAAAGTCCTAAGAGCTATGAAAAGGGACATGTTCAAAGGTCAGATAAAAGGAAGAAGAGAAAAAATTGTCGTGTGACAGAAGCAAAAATTATGTAGAACAATAATCAAATGAAATTAAGATGAAAGTACATAAGGCAGCACCTCTTCCTAACAGCCACTGTATTTCAATCTTCTCTAAGAAGTAGCAGAAAGCATCTGTGTTAAATTATATGAAAACATGAGGGCAGGACAGGAAAGAAAGTGTGAAGTGAGAGGACTGGAGCTGTTTCTGAAAAGTCTGCAAACACCAAAACACATGAAACAGCTCAGTCAGTCATAAAAGGCCTTACGGCAGAAAAAATGAAGGGACTATATTTGGTCCTCTTTCTTTATTTTCTCTGTTTCCAACCTTGGAACAGCAGTTTGCAAGTTTGTGGACAGGTTGTAACTTCTGCTAAGGATGTCTCTTCAGTTTTGAAGAGACTCAGGAAAAGTTCAGAAGAAAGGAGAGAGCTGTTTATGATTGGCTAAAGGCTTTTTTTTATTATTGTGGCAGAATATACACAACATAAAGTTTACTATTTTAACATGTACAATTCAGTGATCCATACATTCAGCTCTTGTGCAACAATTACTGTTATCCATTTCCCAAACTTTTTCATCATCTATAATATGGTGATCTAGTAAGAAATTCCTGGCACACTGCCCCTAAAACCTTTGGAATTTCCCGAATGATAAGGGTGGAAGAATTATCTTTTGCTATTCATAATAAGTCCCTTTCAAACATATTTGAGCTTATGCTAAAGAGATGACTCTTGGTAGGCCCCTACAAAGCTGCAGGGGAGTGGGTAGGGAAGCTGGTCACCCAAGAAATCAATCATGTGATTACATAGTCAGAACTTTCAGCCCCACCTCCAGGGAGGGGAGAAGGACTAGAGACTGACCTAATCACCAATGACCAATAATTTAATCAATCATGCCTACAGGGTGAAGCCTCCATAAAAACCCTAAATGATGGGACTCAGAGAATTTCTTCTGGATCGATGAACACATCCACGTGCTGAAAGAGTGATGCACCCCAACTCCATGGAGACATAAGCTCCTGCACTGGGGACCCTTCCAGACCTCACCCTATGTGCCTTTTCATCTGTATATCCTTTATAATAAACTGGTAATAGTAAGTAAAGTGTTTCCCTGCATTCAATGAATCATTGTAGCCAATGACTGAACTTGATTTGTAGCCAAGTCAGAAGTACCAGAGGCCTGGGGCTTGCAACTGGCATCTGAAGTGGTGGAAGTCTTATACAACTCAGTCCTTAACCTGTGGTGTCTGACACTCACTCCAGGGAGATAGTATCAAAATTGAATTAAATGCTAGGACAGAGAACTGAGAGCTGTAGGGAGAAAACCCCATGTATTTGGTGTCAGAAGTCTTATAAGTGTAGAAAAAGTTTTTTATCATCTCCAACCAAAATTCTATACCCATTAAATAACTTTCCATTTTCCACTTCCCCATAGTCCCGTGTAACCACTATTCTACTTTCTGTTTCTATGACTTTGACTATTCTAGTGGAATCATACAAATTTGTCCTTTTGTGTGTACTTTGCTTCAGTTAGCATAATGTTTTCAAGGTTCATCCATGTTGTAACATGTATCAGAATTTTATCCCTTTTTAAGGCTGAATAATATTCCATTGTATATATATATACCACATTTTGTTTATCCATTCATCCGCTGGTGGACACGTGAGTTGCTTCCACCTTTGGGCTGTTGTACATAATGCTGCTATGAATATAGGCACACAAATATCTTGAGACCCTGCTTTCAATTCTTTTGGGTATTGCATTAATCCGTTCTGGCGCTGCTATAAAGAAATACCTGAGACTCGGTAATGCATAAAGAAAAGAGGTTTAATTGGCTCATGGTTCTGCAGGCTATACAGGAAGCATAGCAGCTTCTGCTCTGCTTTTGGGGAAGCCTCAGGAAGCTTCCAACCATGGTGGAAGGCAAAGGGGGAGTAGCACTTCACATGGCCACGTGGCCAGAGCAGGAGGAAGAGAGAGAGATGGGGAGGTGCTACACACTTAGAAACAACCAGATCTCGTGAGAACCCTATCACAAGACCAGCACTGTGGGATGGTGCTAAACCATTCATGAGAAACTGCTCTCATGATCCAATCACCTCCCACCAGGTCCCACCTCCAACACTGGAGATTACAATTTGACATGAGATTTGGGCAGGGATACAGATCCAAAGCATATCAGGTATATACCCAGAAGTGGAATTACTGAGTCACAGGGTAATTCTATGTTTATAATTTCTTGAGGAATTGCTACACTGTTTCCCACAGTGGGTGCACTATTTCACTCTCCTACCAGCAATGCACAAGGGCTCCAATTGCTCCACATCCTCACCAACACCTGTGATTTTCTGCTGTTTTTTTTTTTAATAATAGTCATCCTAAAGACTATGAGGTGGCATCTCATTGTAGTTTCCATTGCATTTCCCTGATTACTAGTGATGTCAAGCATCTTTTCATGTGCTTATTGGCCAATGTATACATTTTCTTTGGAGAAATCTCTAAGTTCCTTGCCCACTTTTTATTTGGGTTATTTGTTTTGGAGAAAAGCTTTTAAAGAGAGACACAGAGGAAAGCTTTCTGTACAATCAGATCTAGCTCTCTAGTCAAAAATAATTGGTGATATAGTTTGCATGTTTGTCCCCTCCAAATCTCATGTTGAAATGTGATTCCCAATGATGGAGGTGGGGCCTAGTAGGAAGTGTTTGGGTCATGGGGGAGGATCCTTCATGAATGGCTTGGTGTTGTCCCTGGCGATGAGTGAGTTCTCACTCTATTAATTCACAAGAAAGCTGGCTGTTTAAAGAGCCTGGCACCTCCTCTTCTCTCTTGGTCCCTCTCTCTTCCCATGTGACACACCTGCTCCCCCATGCCTTCTGCCATGAATAAAATCTTCCTGAAGTGTCACCAGAAACTAAGCTGATGCTGCTGCCATGCTTGTACAACCTGCAGAACCATGGGCCAAGTAAATCTTTCTTCATTAATTACCCAGTCTCAGGCATTCCTTTATACTAGCAACACAAAACAGACTAATACAATTGGTATCTGCCCTCTAGATCTTTTAGGAAACTAATCATGGAGAAGAGGCACTGGCAAGAGTGCTAACCCAGCAGAAGAGAAAAAACTTCCACCCCTGAGAACAGAGATTTCTTTTTCATAAAGTGCCTTCTACCTGATTTCAGCTCTGTAACTGTCAATCTCTTTTTCTCTTCTGGCAGATTTCCCTATCCACTAGAGCATAGGTTTTAATGACCACACTGCTGGTAGCTGTATCACTACTAATAGTAGCTACTTAATGAGTCATAAGTGTTACTGCTATGTGCTAGGCATGATCCTTCATCTCATATGTGAAATCTCATTTAAAATTAAGTCCTACTAATGATGCCGAGAAGATTATCATGGTTCTTACACAAGGATGATATGCAAATTCATTAAGTGTTCCATTTAAGAAAAGAAAAAAGAAAAAAAAAAAAAACCTCTTGTACCCTAGCAGTTTCATCTTGAATACTGTTAAAAAAAAAAAAAAATACATCTTTAAAACACATGAAAGGTTTTCATCCTTTAGTCCTTCAATGTAACATTATTAAACGATGTCAAAAAGTCTCAAAGTTAGCGTTAAATAACAAGCATTTTCTAAATTATACATTGAGGAGTCTGATCTTGAATCCACAAAATAAAACATCTTTTCTACATCAACTACAGGAAGTACATTTTTACCTCAAACTAGTAAAATGAAAGGTTTTGTTGTTGTTTTTTGAGACGAAGTCTTGGTCTGTCACCCAGGCTGGAGTGCAGTGGCACTGCAGCCTCCGCCTCCCAAGTTCAAGCAATTCTCCTGCCTCAGCCTCCCAAGTAGCTGGGATTATAGGTATGGGACACCATACCCAGCTAATTTTTGTATTTGTAGTAGAGACAGGGTTTCACCATGTTGGCCAGGCTGTTCTCGAACTTCTGATCTCAAGTGATCTGGCCACCTCAACCTACCAAAGTGGTGGGATTACAGGGGTGAGCCACCATGCCTGGCCATTTTTTTTTTCAATCCTGCTCCCTTTTGCCTTTTAAAAGCTCAACATTTTATAAATATTTAGCAAATGTTTAGCTCTGAAGTAATAAAGTTGATTTTTCTTAAAAAATTCAACTAGAACTAGAAGTGAACATCGTCTTTTTATACTCTTAGAAAGTTATGTGTTTCTCATGAAAAAATGTTCACCATCACTGGCCATCAGAGAAATGCAAATCAAAACCACAATGTGATACCATCTCACACCAGTTTGAATGGCAATCATTAAAAAGTCAGGAAACAACAGGTGCTGGAGAGGAAGTGGAGAAATAAGAAAACTTTTACACTGTTGGTGGGACTATAAACTAGTTCAACCATTGTGGAAGACTGTGTGGCAATTCCTCAAGGATCTAGAACTAGAAGTACCATTTGACCCAGCCATCCCATTACTGGGTATATACCCAAAGGTTTATAAATCATGCTGCTATAAAGACATGCACACATATGTTTACTGTGGCACAATTCACAATAGCGAAGACTTGGAACCAACCCAGATGTCCATCAATGACAGACTGGATTAAGAAAATGTGGCACATATACACCATGGAATACTATGCAGCCATAAAAAAGGGTGAGTTTATGTCCTTTGTAGGGACATGGATGAAGCTGGAAAACACCATTCTGAGCAAACTATCACAAGGACAGAAAAGCAAACACCGCATGTTCTCACTCATAGGTGGGAATTGAACAATGAGAACACTTGGACACTGGGTGGGGAACATCACACACCAGGGCCTGTTGTAGGGTGGGGGGAGTGAGGAGGGATAGCATTAGGAGATATACCTAATGTAAATGACAAGTTAATGGGTGCAGCATACCAACATGGCACATGTATACATATGTAACAAACCTGCACGTTGTGCACATGTACCCTAGAACTTAAAGCACAATAAAAAAAAAAAAAAGAAAGTGATGTGTTTCTTCAAAAGATGCTGACGACGTCAGACACACTTTTTAAACAGTTTGGAAGCTGTCTTCAGAGACAAATGCTTTACAATCAATATTTCATTTAATCTTCACAAAACTCAAGGAGAAGGTAGTATATAACTTCCATTTTACGAGTAAATTCAGACAGAAAAGCTAAATAACTTGCCCACCACTGCATTTCAGTAAATGGCAGAGCTGAGATTAGAGCCAACATCTATCGGACTCTAAAGCACCAGCTCTTAATTGCTTCACTTTCTATCATTGTTTTGATAGCAAAATAGATGTAATCTGATGATCTCATAGTGTATTTACTTTTATAAAACAGTATTAAATTTATGGGGGTTTAATTAATTATTGGCACCATAAAGACCTGAAACCACCTAAGAAAATAAATGCTCTGCAATAGACAGAAGAGCTTTTTTAATTATATGAAAGTCTTGTTTTTCAACTCTATCATACCATTTCCTCTTAAGTTGGGCTCTTTGCCCAAAAGTACTCTAAAATTATAATTTTCTGGCAAGGAGTTTTAAAAGAAGCTGAAATTTTCTCTTCTTCCTTCACCCTTGGACTCTAATTTTTATTATCTAAGAATTTTCTCCACTTATCATAAACTGGAAAGTGATATGATTTCTTTACATTTCTTGTAACAAACCTATACAAAATTAACAAACACTGCAACATACTCCCTATCCCTAAGACATGTTATTACATTCGCTTTCTTAATTACTAATTACTCAAAAATCACAAATTCAGAAAATATAGACAAATTTGAAAATGCTCTAACATATTCACGTCCTATTAAAATAAATTTGAAAATTCCCTAACATATTCATGTTCTAGTAAAATAAAAATTAAAAATAATTTTATTAGAAATATGGACACCTATAAGGCTCATACATTTTAATCCAGTTCGTTGTAAGTATTCTGAAATAACCATACCTAGATTTGAGAACTAAAAAAGGCAACTGAATCTTTAATTGATTTTTTTCTTCTTTTTGAGACGGAGTCTCACTCTGTCGCCCAGGCAGGAGTGCAGTGGCATGATCTCAGTTCACTGCAACCTCCACCTCCTGGGTTGAAGCAATTCTGCCTCAGCCTCCCGAGTAGCTGGGACTACAGGTATCTGCCACCATACCTGGCTAATTTTTTTTGTATTTTTAGTAGAGACAGGGTTTCACCATGTTGGTCAGGCTGGTCTCGAACTCCTGACCTCAGGTGATCCACCTGCCTCAACCTCCCAAAGTTCTGGGATTACAGCCGTGAGCCACCGCGCCCAGCATTTTTTTTTTTTTTTTTTGTCACCCAAGCGCAGTCCAAGCTGGAATGAAGTGGTATAATTACAAGTCACTGCAGCACAACCTCCTAGGCTCAAGCAATCCTCCAACCTCAGCCTCCCAAGTCACTGGGACAAAGGCATGCGCCACCACGCCCAGCTAATTTTTTGTTTGTTGTAGAGACAGGGTCTCACCAGGTCACCCAAGCTGGAGTGCAGTGGTACAATCACAGCCTGCTGCAGCCACAACCCCCCAGGCTCAGGCAATCCTTCCACATCAGCCTCCCATGTAGATGGGACTACAAGCGTGAAACACCACACCTGGCAAATTTTTTTTATTTTTAGTTTACTTTAGTTTGAGACAGGGTCTCACTCTGTAGCCCAGGCTGGGGTGCGGTGGCATGATCATCGCTCACTGGAACCTCAACGTCCCAGGCTCAGGTGATGCTCCCACCTCAGCCTCCTGGCTGTGACCACAGGTGTGCACCACCATGCCCAGCTAATTTTTGTATTTTTTTGTAGAAACCAGGTTTTGCCATGTTGCCCAGGCTGGTCTTGAACTCCTAGACTAAAGCAATCTGCCTGCCTCGGCCTCCCAGGTGCTGGGATTAGTGCATGAGCTACTGCACCCAGCCTAAAATCTGCTCTTATCAACAGTGGTGTTATTTGTCTTGGATTATTTTATTTTCTATCTTTTTCATTTAAAATGACACTAGGTCATCTGAAATATTTAGTGGTGAGAAAAAAGTAAGACTGGGTATTAGGATTATAGTGGGTCAAAGAGCAACCAGAGCAAATAGGAAGAACATAAAGATAAAAGTCTGCTCTGAATAGTCTATATCACGTAATTTGAATTTATATATGCCCAATTTCTGACTCAAACTTAGAAAATAAATGTGTAGTGGAGAGACTATCCAGAGAAAAGAGCTCAAAACCACCAGTGTCATCACTTTTGGCAGAATATCCATAGTTTGAAAGAAAAAATCAGTTATCCTATCTATGAATAAAATGCTATTAAAAATAACAGGATATTAGTTATTAGGATATTAGTCTCCAGGTTAGGATCTTGAAATATCATTTCTTACTAAGAGAAACCACGGCTTTTTGGAGAAATGGATGATTCCAGATCTAGGACAAGAAGTATACAAGATGGGCCCCAAATATCACAGCAGACAACAAGGAAACTATCAAAAACCACTAGGGTCATGTTATCTCCTGAAGAGACTCCCACTAACCAAAGGTGAGACAATTTGCGCTTCAGTGAAAGTGATTCCAATGGATTAAATCCATCAAGTATGTTTAAATCCATCTTCTCATAATGGCATTTAAAAGAAAAAAAAATGGCCACCTTTGGAGAAAGACAGGGAACTAATTCGTTATCTTGAAAACTTGTAAATAAAAGGAAAGAATCAAACATTTATCCTGTCTTTCCTTTATCAACAGTACCACTGGGTAACTAAACAGAAGATGAGGGGAAGTTACTTTTTATAAAAACATTCCAATTAATAAATGAAAGCAAAATGATGTATTTAGAATTTCATTATATTGCAACACCCACTAACCATCCACAGCCGCTAACATCACAAAAAAGAAAGACAATTAGACATTATGATATTCCCATGGTCTTGCCAAACCCCATCTATATATATATATATATCACAATGCCTAAGGGATCGAACTTGAGTCTGCTCCATCTCTGGATCCAGCTGCACGTTTGCAGAAAATACAGAAGACAAAGGAACATGTTGAACTGACCTATATTAAGCAATCAGCAAAATCCAACTCTGGGAAACTAGTACAAACAACCTGGGTTCTCCAACAGGAAAAGGAAAAGGATGGAGGACTAAACTAAAGATTAAAAGTGACAACTCATATCAAAACTGCTTTTTGGGCTGGGTGCTGTAGCTCATGCCTATAATCCCAACACTTGGGGAGGCCAAGGCAAGACCACTTGAGCCCAGGAGTTCAAGACCAGCCTAAGCAACATGGCAAGACCCCATGTCTACAAATACACAAATTACCTGGGCATGGTGGCCAATGCCTATAGTCCCAGCTCCTCAGAAGGCTGAGGCAGGAGGATCCCTTGAGCCCAGGAGGGTCAGGCTGTAGTGAGCTGAGATTGCACTACTGCACTCCAGCCTCAGTGACAGGGCAAGATCCTGTCTCAAAAAACAAACAAACAAACAAACAAACAAAACACAACCTAGAGACAGTGTTTCCCTCTTGTTGCCCAGGCTAGAGTGCAATGGTGCAATCTCAGCTCACTGCAACCTCCACCTCCTGGGTTCAAGGGATTCTCCTGCCTCAGCCTCCCGAGTAGCTGGGATTACAGGTGCCTGCCACCATGCCTAGCTAATTTTTGTATTTTTAGTAGAGATGGGGTTTTGCCATGTTGGTCAGGCTGGTCTTGATCTCCTGACCTCAGGTGATCTACCCACCTCGGCCTCCCACAGTGCTGGGATTACAGGTGTGAGCCACCGTGTCTGGCCAAAACTTACTATTTCTTAATCATCAAGACTAACCTACAGTATCTAGCAATGCACATTTGGGTTATTACTACACAAGTCAGGAAAATGATTACTTATAGGGAAAGGCCACTGTGATCTATTTCTCAACCTGAGGGGTGATTACAAAGGTATCTGCCTTATAATAATTCACCAAGCCATACATGTGTTCTGTACTAATGTTTTATTTTGCAATAAAAAGATTTTTTTTAAAATAGCAGGTTACCAGCACACCTGAACATGTCAACACCTAAAAACGGCTAGATATGTTTTCCATTCTCTACTCTAACTGAGTGAAAACAATAGGATAAAAATAGAAATCAGGCCGGGCATGGCGGCTCATGCCTTTAATCCCAGCACTTTGGGAAGCCGAGGTGGGTGGATCACCTGAGGTCAGTAGTTCGAGACCAGACAGGCCAATATGGTGAAACCCCATCTCTACTAAAAATACAAAAATTAGCTGGGTGTGGTGGCACACGCCCGTAGTCCCAGCGGCTTGGGAGGCTGAGGCAGGAGAATTGCTTGAACCTATAAGGCGGAGGTTGCAGTGAGCCAAGATTGCACCATTGCATTCCAGCCTGGGCGACAGAGCAAGACTCCATCTCAAAAAAAAAAAAAAAATAGAAATCAGTGTGCATCATTTCCTCCCTACCCACTTCCTCTTCTAAAGGAACCACTTAATATCACATTTTAGGCCAATCAGATTCACTTTCTTGGGATTATGAAATTCCAAGAAAGAGACTATAGATATCCAAACCTGTTCTCCCGGTCTTTCCTCATTCCCCAAGTTGTTTCAATTCAAAACATAGGAGCCAGGATTGATTCTTTTTTTCCCCTCATTCCCCACATCTAGTCTATCAGCAAGTCCTTCATTTATAACTCCAAAATATCGCAAATCTCTCAACTTCTATCTCCACTGACTCTACCATCTCAAATCACAAACTATTCAAATAGTTTCCTAACTTGTTTCTCTTTTATTCTTAACCCTCTACAATCTACTCTACCCAAAGCAGCCAAAAGGATGTTTTAAAAACATAAACTGCTTAAAAACCTTTAATGACAGCACACAGAGCTCTGACTTAAATCCAAATTCCTTTCCATGGCCGGCATCATTGAATCCGTGCCCATCTCTCTGAGCTCATCTCTAGCCACTGTCCTCTTCTCCAATCCAGGCACACTGGTGTCATTTCAATTCCTCCCACACATTAAGCTCTTTCCCACCTCCAGGCCTTCTCATAGCTTTCCCCCCTGCCTGGAATACTTTTCCCTTGCTACTCACATGGATAACTTCTCAATGTCAGGTTACAACTTAAATATCACCTTCTCAGAGAAGCCTCTGCCAACTGCCCTATTAAGCAGGTTTCACCATCTTTCTCTACACACTACTTATATCTTTCATAGCTCAAGCTACAACAAGAGTGTATGTTATATGAGGGCAAAGAACCCACCTGTTTCATTCACCAATGAGCATCTGGAATGTGGAAAACAATTAATAATTACTGAATGTATGAATAAATGAGGAAATGAATGAAGTAAAGGCCGAATGCCAATTTTGCCATGAGTAGTGATCAGTAAGTAAAGAAAGCCAGTTTTCAGAAAGAACAGAGCAACACAACAGAGAACAGGAGACTATGTGGCTTGGTTCCATAAACAGAGTCAAGAAAATTAGCTGCCAATTATAAATTATAAATGTGTGTGTGTGTGTGTGTGTGTGTGTGTGTGTGTATCAAGATAGCAGAAACATCTGAAAAATTTACTCAATTCACCTCTATACTAAGATGTCTGGTATTATATAAATCTATAAACTAATTCAGAACTCAAAATAATACTACCTAAACTAATTATCATTAATGTTAACACTTTGTAATTCTCATTTTGCTATGAGTCATTTTTCAAGATATACTCCTATGATGTACTTTCAGAAATTCAAGGTAATCTTCATGTCGATATTCACGGTATGTATGCAAACAATGAATTTTTTTTGTTGTTTTTTTGAGACGGAGTCTCTGTCGCCCAGGCTGGAGTTCGGTGGCGCAATCTCGGCTCACTGCAAGCTCCGCCTCCCAAGTTCACACGATTCTCCTGCCTCAGCCTCCCAAGTAGCTGGGACTACAGATGCCCGCCACCATGCCCGGCTAATTTTTTGTATTTTGTTTAGTAGAGACAGGGTTTCACCATGTTAGCCAGGATGGTCTCGATCTCCTGACCTCATGATCTGCCCACCTCAGCCTCCCAAAGTGCTGGGATTACAGGCGTGAGCCACCGTGCCCAGCCCAATGAACGTTTTTGAGACAGGGTCTTGCTCTGTTGCCCAGGATGGAATGCATCCACACAATCATGGCTCATTGCAGCCTCAATCTCCTGAGCTCAAGCAATTGTCCCACCTCTACCTCCCATTTATGTAAATGTGTGGGTCTGTACTGAGTCTCAGTATCAATGAATTTTTTTTTTTAAATGTTGAAAGCCAGTAATATATGATGGCCTGAAGTGTTCCTAGAGTCAACTAAAGACTGAGTTTCTCTAGTTGACATGCAACAGAAGTTTGTTTACCGGAAGTATTGCAAATTTTATTGTCGCACTCCCTCTCTCCAAGAAGGAAGAGCCAACTGACTATTCCCATCAGCACGGCCTAAAGCAATCCTAATCAAGTTAATGCCACCCTAAATTAACCAAGAAAAGCCAAAGGGAAGACAGCAGATGCTTTAGGGACCAAGTTGTTAATTCAGAGATGCTCCTGTTTGGTTGGTTCTTTTCCCCTTGGACTAACTACTTTGAATATTTTGTCCACTTGCCTACCTCTAGAATTGGAAATTTTCCCTAGGGCCTTCCTCTGAGTCTGCTGGGGTTTTTTTAAGAGTTCTTAGAGTTCATCTTCTCAAAGACAACTCCAGCTCTCTATTTAGTCAATCTCTCTGATATACACACAATTTTACTTTCCAACATTCCAAGGAAACATAAATTAGAAATATACACATAAAATGACATCCACCCCTCTTCTCCCTGCAATAATATCTTTGTGATATTCCTACTATCTACTTAACTGGTGTGTTGCTTTCTCTCACCCACTTCCATTCATAAGCGCTGAGAGTTATCTGCTATCTCTCTCCATTCCTAATTCCTGGCCTGAGATCCGGGCTACAGATGCTACAAGTTGATGTGGGCTCTTCATGCTGAAGAATTCATGAGTACTTTCTGCTTAACTCCTCTATATTCTCAACCCGATCCCTTTGCTTTTTCTTTCCATAATAATCTGTTTTCTGATGGGTAATCCATCCAAACACTCATTTGCCCTTATGAAATTAGTGTTTTCTAGCTTTCCATTTGCGTGAAGGACCCCTAACATATGACTTCAACCTTCAATTTTATTTCCCCCAAACTACCCTTTCACACTATTAAAAATAATAATAAAAAATTGCCACAGAATCCAACTATAGCTTAAATTAAAGAACTCACCTGTCTTGAGAGTAAGTATGCTTCAATAGCTTATTCTTTTACTATCCTTTTAGTGTTTTCATTGTTCAATGCTAACCTGCCCTCCAACCATACCTTAATCAACGAATTACACATTTTAAATAACTACTAACACTATAACCTATTTGAGGAACAAGCCTATCTGGTAAAGTGTCTCACTCCAGCAGTGATATTCTGTCCTCTCTTTGACAAGTATTAAATATATTTTCATGCTGCCCACCTGTCTATCATAGAGACCCACCTCCCTTCTATGAAGGTTCCACCTGGTGAAGAGCCCATGTTTTCTGGTCATTTACCTTTCTACCTATCAAAGCTGGACTATTATGTGGTCATTTTTCTCTCAGCTAGCAGTTCCCCTATAAAAAATCCAATAAATTCGGCTGCGCGGTAACTCAAGCCTGTAATCCCAGCACTTTGGGAGGCCAAGGCGGGTGGATCACGAGGTCATGAGATCGAGACCATCCTGGCTAACACGGTAAAACCCCATCTCTACTAAAAATACAAAAAAGTTAACCTGGTGTGGTGGCAGGCGCCTGCAGTCCCAGCTACTCAGGAGGGTGAGGCAGGATAATGGCGTGAACCTGGGAGGCGGAGCTCGCAGTGAGCCGAGATTGTGCCACTGCACTCCAGCCTGGGCAACAGAGCAAGATTCCACCTCAAAAAAAATAATAAAATAATAAAATAAATCCAACAAATTCCATCTAACCAAAATGCTAATTAATGATCATTTAATAAAGGAGTCCCCAACTCCTTTACAGCACAATACAGTGGACCAGTACTGGTCCATGGCCTGTTAGGAACCAGGCAACACAGCAGGAGGTGAGCTATACGCGAGCATTACCGCCCTTGCTCTGGGCTCCAGCTCCTGTCAGATCATCAGTAGCATTAGATTCTCATAGGAGTGCGAACCCTATTGTGCTGTGCATGCAAGGAATCTAGGTTGCACGCTCCTTATGATAATCTAACTATTGCCTGATGATCTGAGGTGGAAGTTTCATCCTGAAACCATTTCGCCCCCAACCAAACCATCTGTGCAAAAATTGTTTCCCACGAGACTGGTCCCTGGTGCCAAAATGGTTGGGGATCTATGATTTAATGAATTTCCCTTCCCAGAGGGAAATCCTTTTAATAACGACTTTGGCCAGCTTGGGCAACATGGCAAGACCTCATCTCTACAAATTAAAAAAAAAAAAAATTAGGTATGGTGGTGCGTGCTTGTGGTCCCAGCTAATCAGGGAGGCTGAGGTGAGAGGATCACCTGAGCACAGGGAGGTCAAGGCTGCAGTGAGCCATGATTGTGCCACTGCACTCCAGCCAGGGCGATAGAGTAAGACCCAATCTCAAAAAAAAAAAAAAAGTTAAAAAGAAAAAAAAGGACTTCTGAAGACCTCAGTGACAAGTATGTTAACGAAATCTAAGGAATCTAAAAACTACTCTGGTACCTCAAGTTGGTGACATGGGTGACCACATCTATTGCCTATGTTTAACACAAACCTTGTTAAGGAGACCAAATCAATGAATATGAGGGTGAGAGGTGCCTTAAAAATCATCTAGGTCTCTGAGTCATGATTCTTGAACTGGGCTACACACTGGAATCTCCAACTCCCAGAGGAGAAGAAGATGCCCAAAGAAGCAAATTTCAAAGTCAGTGACAAGGCCAGGCCTAATACCCATGCCTAACATTATGTGTTGATATGTGTACATACATACATATATATATACACACACATACATACACACACACACATACACACACACATATATATGTAACATACTAAAAATATAAAGGCATGTATGGGAAGGACAAATATCCAATTCATGTCAGTGATTACCTTTTGGGGGATGGGAAGGGAGTGTAATTGAGAAGAAATACACATGGTGGCTTCAAATGTATTGGTAATATTTTTATTAATATTTCTTAAACTGGATGGTAATACCTAAGTATCTATTAAATTAGGCTCTGTTCTTTTTTCTTTTTGTTTTGTTTTTATTTTTATTTTTGTTTCTTTGAGACAGGGTCTCACTTTGTCATCCAGGATAGAGTGCAGTGGCACAATCATAGCTCACTGAAACCTCCCACTGCTGGGCTCAAGCAATCCTCCCACCTCAGCCCCACAAAGTGCTGAGATTACAAGGCGTGCACCATCGCAGTAGGCCCTCATTATCTTCTGGATATCTAAAATTTTGTAATAAAATAGAATAAAAAGATGGTATATAATCAAATGTATATCACATTAGGAATTCAGTGAAATATCTCAGGCTAGAAAGTACTCAGAAAACATACTTGATGAGGTAGGCTTTGATGGAAGAATAAAACATAGATTATTCTTCAGGCAAAAAGTAACACAAACTTTTCTAAAGGAAAAATGTGAATAAAGGTAAAGCTGGGAGTACCCACAGCCTATAACATAAATAAAGAACAACGGGGGCCAGGCACGGTGGTTCATGCCTGTAATCCCAGCACTTTAGGTGGCCGAGGCAGGTGGATCATCTGAGGTCTGGAGTTGGAGACCAGCCTGGCCAACATGGCGAAACGTTGTCTCTACTAAAACACAAAAATGAGCTGGGCGTGGTGGCGCCCGCCTGTAATCCCAGCCTCTCAGGAGGCTGAGGGACGAGAATCGCTTGAATCAGGATGCCAGAGGTTGCAGTGAGCCGAGATTGTACCCCTCCATCTCAAAACAAAACAAAATAGTTTTGAAAACCACTGGACTAAAGCGTCCAGCTAGAAGGTACTGCTGCAATTCAAAAGTGAGGGTCATAAAACCATGGAATGGGTTTTATGGGGTAGTACTCTTGAGAAAGAAAACAGAAAAAATTAATCCACCAACTTTTTAATAGAAAATTTGATAGGCTATAGTGACAAACTAGATGGGATAATGAAAGAGTAAGACCTACCTGAAAAAATAAAAAATGCCAACTGAGCAGCAGCTTCTAGTCATACTTGAACATCAACGACATCGATAAGGCCATGTAAAAGTCAGCACTAAGGAAGTGTTATTCAAGGCAGAAAAGCAAAATGGCACTTTTATAAGGATTAAGAGCAGAATAAGCAACAGAGACCAGGAGATTACAGAAAAAGAGGACCACTACATCATGGAATGATAAGAAAGAGAGTTTCAAAAAGAGCCATCACTGTATACAACAAGAGGGTGCACAGCCTTTGTAGCCAATCAGATGCAGAATTCTGGCACTTTCTCCACTTGACCAAGTTATTTAACGTCTTTGAGCCTCATATAATAAGGAAAACATAAGTTAACAACTAACACTGTTGAACACATAGGGGCTTCAAATATATTTGTCAAATTTTATTTCTTAAGCTCAGTCGTGATACATAAATATTTATTAAATTAGTCCCCATTATCTTTTGTTGTTTTTGTTTTGTTTTTGTTTTTTTGAGACAGGGTCTCGCTCTGTCCCAAGTGCTTTACATATCACCTCATTTAATCCCCACAATACATTTCACAGATGAAGAAATTAAACTTAGAACTAGCATAATAAGTAGCAGAGCCAGGATTACTATTTCTTAGGATTTAAATAATGTATACTTAAATTTCCTGGCAAACAGGATGACCTCAAAACGAGTAGCTATATTTCATTATTAGGAGATAATAATCAATAGGGGCAAAACTGCCAGTAATTCCTGTCATAGCCTTCCATGTGGCAAACTCTCTCAACATCCTCATCTATAAATTAGGATTAATGCCTATAATCCAATCTACTCCATAGGGTTGCTGTGAGGATTAAATATTATGAATATGAAAATTCTATAAAAAATGTTGAGACATTCAAATATCAGGGATTGCTGTCACATATCTTTCGCCTTCAAAAATGCTTTTGCGGCATTTTTGTTCACTACTTCAAAATAAGACTCTGAATAAGCTAAAAATAAGTCTGTTAAAAGTGCAACCACCACTTTGAAAAGTATAAATCACCACAGAATTGCTGCCTACACCTGCCCCTGACTCCTCCAGGTTCTCTAATGTCTCCACAAGGGCAAGGATTCTCTTACACCTATAATGAAACTCTGATAACTTACAGTACAGCTAATCAATAGAGAGCTGCACTTCAATTCAGAGTTGTTCAAACTGGACTACTGTGTTTTCTCAGAGGTGCTCCTTCCAGTTCTTCCAGAAAAGAAAAAAGTGCCCAATTCTCTTATATTGTATTAAAACGGTGCCCAATGAGTAGAATGCAGGTAACTTACAAAATGCTAGAAAAGAATCTATCAATTGACTTGCTCAAGTGCTCTGACAGCAGGTCCCTTTTGGAAACTCCTTCACGACCCCCCCTTTTTTTCACCTGAACAGATGGCTTCCAGGCTTCAAGGCTCACATGTCTAGTCACACAATTCACAATAGCTCCCAAAGTTCCTAACTTTTCAATTATCCCATGTTCTTGAACACACCTTTCATCTAAAGATCTCTAGCTGTCAAAGCATACGAACTCTTTAATCTTCACAACAGCACTATCTGAGAGATTACTATCCTTATTTTATAAGTTAAAAATGAAAGACTGAGGTTAAATATTTTAGCAACATCAAACAATTCGTTAATTCATTCTTGGGGAGAGAGGAATACATATTATGAACTTCTGTCAATGGACAACCTAGATTTGGCTTCCTAAGATCATTGCAAATATTAGCTCAAACACATCCCACTCTTGTATGCATACATTTCCAACACAGGTGTCAAAGATTAAATATAAACTATTAATAACAGTAAATACCATACCAAAGCAGCACTATTTTTACACGCAAAACTATATTGGGGGAGGGGGTTCTAATTTAAACTTCCCACTGTCTTGCATCCATAAATACTTTTGAACTTGAGGGGGAAGGGGGAAGAACACCTGTCAGAGCAGCACATCCACAATGTTTTACAGACTGTGTAGCTATTAATATTTAATTCCTCCCGCCCCGGGAGGTCAGGCCGCAGGGAGCCCGGCGCTGCCCACCCGACTTTCCACGCGCCAGGCCTGCCGGCCGCAGGGGAGGCTCCGGCTCCCGCTCCCCTCAGGTCCCCTCGCCCGTGGACAGACGCGGCGGGACACTCGGACCCGCCTCCCGACCTCAGCGCGCCCGGCTCGGGGCCCGGCGGGCGGGGAGAGGCTCGCAGCAGGGCCTGGCCTAGCCACCCCCGCCCCGCGGCCGCCGGCGCCGCTTCCCTCCTTCTTCCCGCTCCCCGATTCGTTACCTCTTAGGCGCCGGCGGCTGCTCCATGGCGGCCGGGGACAGAGAGAGGGACCTGGTGGACGGCGAAGGCCGAAAGGAGGAAAGGAGCCGGGGCACCGGCCGGCCGAGCCTAGGGCACCACAGAGGGAAACTCTGGGAACTCGGACCAACTTTCCCGTAACTCCGCGGCGGATCTCCCTCCCGCTTAGGAGCGCGGCTCCTCCCGCCCCGCCCCGCCCCCGGCCGCCCCGCCCCGCCCCCGGCCGCCCCGCCCCGCCCCCGGCCGCCCCGCCCCGCCCCCGGCCGCCCCGCCCCGCCCCCGGCCGCCCCGCCCCGCCCCCGGCCGCCCCGCCCCGCCCCCGGCCGCCCCGCCCCGCCCCCGGCCGCGCCGGCCGCCAGCCTGCGGCGGCGGCCCAGAGAAGGTGGACGGAGCCGGGCACCGCGGCGGGGGGCGGAGCCTGCCGCGGCCTGGGTTGGCGGGCGGGGCCGGTGCCGCGGCGGGTGGGCGGGGCCGGGGACGAAGGCCTGGCTGGCCCCAGAGCCCCGTGACCGGGAAAAGGAGAAGGTTCCGCTAGAGCTAGGGGGCGAGGCCGGAGCCGCTCTAGGCTGGGGAAGGGCAAGTCCCTCTGAGCTGGCCCAGAGCTCCGCCCCTAGCCTGCCCTCACTACGGTTTGCCCTGATCCAATTTGACTCATTTCTTTGGCTTTCCCAACGACACATCCTAACATCGTGTGAATCCGTTTGAAGTATTACTTTCTCACTGCCCACGCTTCCCTCTCTAGTTCTGTTTATAATTATCGGTTATGTTTTCCCCCAGCCATTTGACATGTGTAGGCCACAGTACTAGGGATACTTCTGGAAATTCTTGTTTGATTTTTATTGTGGACAAGCTCCTCGCTACATTTCACAATAATTACATCTAATTACCGAGAAAATAATTCGTACAGTGAGATCTCTCGGTACACCAAATTCAGTTGCACTGGGCCCTTGCAGCTGTCCCATTGGGTAACCTGGCAAGCCTGTCACAAATTATGCTGCCAGGAAGAATACTCAAGAAAAGTTTGTTTCCTCCCCTCTTTGGTCCTCTCCCCCAACCTGATTCCAGCAGCCCTCATCCCATTGTAATCTGACCACTGCATGCATCCATATTGTGGGTATACTTTTAACCTTAAATTCCATATATACCTTTCACATAACAATATACAGCTGCTACATGAGTTTACTTGTTTTTGTCAGAAATTGTCAAGATGGGCCGGGCGCGGTGGCTCACGCCTGTAATCCCAATACTTTGGGAGGCCAAGGCGGGCGGATCACTTGAGCTCAGGAGTTCAAGACCAGCCTGGCCAACATGGTGAAACCTCGTCTCTACTAAAAATACAAAAGTTAGCCGGGCCTGGTGATGCGCCTGTACTCCCAGCTGCTTGGGAGGCTGAGGCAAGAGAATCACTTGAACCCGGGAGGCAGAGGTTGCTTTTAACCTTAAATTCCATATATACCTTTCACATAACAATATACAGCTGCTACATGAGTTTACTTGTTTTTGTCAGAAATTGTCAAGATGGGCCGGGCGCGGTGGCTCACGCCTGTAATCCCAATACTTTGGGAGGCCAAGGCGGGCGGATCACTTGAGCTCAGGAGTTCAAGACCAGCCTGGCCAACATGGTGAAACCTCGTCTCTACTAAAAATACAAAAGTTAGCCGGGCCTGGTGATGCGCCTGTACTCCCAGCTGCTTGGGAGGCTGAGGCAAGAGAATCACTTGAACCCGGGAGGCAGAGGTTGCAGTGATCCGAGATCGCGCCACTGCACTCCAGCCTGGGTGACAGAGCAGACCTTGTCTCAAAAAAGAAAAAGAAAGAAAGAAATTGTCAAGATGTAGAGTTACATAGAATTTTCTTGGAGGTTAGAACAATAAATATGAAGAGAATGTTAAATAAAGGAAACCAATTTGAAGAGAATGTTGAATAATGTGAATATTTGCCCAAATTAAACTTGACTATTAGCAGCTAATACAAGTTTAGTTTAGTCCTCTTTTTGCATTATTTTAAGTTTCACTATGTAATAAACTTACACTATTTTCAAACCATTATATTCTTTCCTAAATTTAGTTATTTTAAGACCATTCATTTTTGAAACTCTAATTCTGAGAACAAGAAAAAGGGTTTTTTTTGTTTTGTTTTTTTGAGACAGGTTCTCACTGTTCCCCAGGCTGGAGTGCAGTGGTGTGATCATGCCTCACTGCAGCCTCAACCTCCCGGGCTCAAGCAATCTTCCCACCTCTGCCTCCCAAGTAGCTAGGACTACAATGCCCGGCTACAAAATTTTATACTTGTTTGCATTTATTAAAGATCCACAGTCTGACTGTTCAGAAATAACAGGACAACAACAATTTTAAAACCTAAATATTTAAAATGTTAAAGCTGAGAAGAATCTTTGAAATTACTCCACTCTAACCCCCCCAACTCTCATCTTCACTTCCATGCCATACTCCCAGCTTTTTTTTTTTTTCTTTCACTCTTGTTGCCCAGGCTTGAGTGCAATGCCGTGATCTCAGGTCACTGCAACCTCTGCCTCCCTGGTTCAAGAGATTATCCTGCCTCAGCCTCCCTAATAGCTGGGATTACAGGCACCCGCCACCACGCCCAGCTAATTTTTCGTGTTTTTAGTAGAGACAGGGTTTCACTATGTTGGCCAAGCTGGTCTTGAACTCGTGACCTCGGGCAATCCACCCACCTCAGCCACCCAAAGTGCTGTGATTACAGGCATGAGCCACTATGCCAGGCTCACTCCCATCTTTTTGTGTTTCATCAGAGAAACCTCTTGAGGAAGGCTGGGCGAGGTGGCTCACACCTTCAACCCCAACACTTTGGGAATCCAAGGCAGGCAGATAGCTTGAGCCCATGAGTTCGAGACCAGCCTGGGAAACATGGTGAAACCCATCTCTACAAAAAAAAAAAAAAAAAAAAAAAAAAAACAAAAGAAATAGCTGGGCATGGTGGCATGCACCTGTAGTCCCAACTACTAGGCTTCAGTGAGCCATGATCAAGCCACTGCACTCCAGCCTGAGCAATAGAGTGAGACCCTGTTTCAAAAGAAAGAAAAGAAAGAAAGAAAGAGAGAGAGAGGGAGGGAGGGAGGAAGGAAGGAAAGAGAGAAAGAAAGAAAGAAAATAAATGATCCCTGAATTGTTTTACCAACAGCAATCTCCAGGGAGCCTTTCCCAGTCAAACCACCAGCATCATCACCCACTATCTGTCACATTTAAGTTGTGATAGAGATACTGTCTTGTATATATGTCCGTAGTACCCTGTGTTGGCTTTTGTATGAAACTTGTCACACTATATTGAAGTTCTGTTTATTAGGCTGTCATCCCAACCCAACTATGAGTTGATTGAAAGTTGAGCCATATCTTTATTCTCTATACCTTGCATAGCAAGTGCCTGATAAATCGTAAGGGCACTGGGCTGGATAGCATCCTTTTGGTCCTGCAGATTCATTCTCCATCCTTTTCCATCTGCTCTCTGCTCTGAGAGCTAATATGTATGGCTGACATCAGAAGCCCCTTGGCTTATGGTTGGGTCTGATGATAGACCCAGCAAGAGATCATCTGAGGGAGAAAGGAGGGTGAGGTCAGACTATTGGATGCCCTGGTTCCCTTCCTGTGAGGTGACCTAGGGCTAGCTGTGTTCCAGAGAATCATGGCTCTTTGCAAGGCAAACTACTCTACCTAATTATTCCTCCTTCCCCTTGACCCTTTGGGCCTGAGTATCATGGCTGCTCTGCTATTCCCTGGGTTTCTTCTCTATGTCCTATGTTCCCCTAACCTCAATCCTCAACTGATGCTTTGTAAATTAAACTCTTTTCAATTGACACTAATTTGATTGCACCTTCTAAAGGGCTTATGATCTTGACTGATACACCCATAAAGAATTGTGGAAGTAGGAGGAATACTATCAGAAAATAAATTTCTGAGGTCTTTCCTCAACTTGAAAAGGGAGAAGACTAATAATTATCATACGACTCCAATAGGATCAGACACTAGGCCTCCATTTTCTCATTAAACCCTGAAAACAACCTTGTGAAGTAGTTATTTCCATTTTATAGGTGAGAAAACTGAGGTTCAAAAGTGTGAAAGGAGTTACCCTAGGATAAACAGAATGTCTGTGTTCTAATCCAGGCCTTTAAGACTCCAAAGCTGGAACTTATTCCACTGTAGATCAGTCAACAAATATTTATTGAGCACTTAAGTATGCCAGGCACTGTTCTAGGTGCTGGATATTCATCAGTAAAGAAAAGAGACAAATAGACAAAAATCCCTGCCTTCAGGGGATTTACATTCTGGTTGGGGAAACATAATAAGATAAAAAAGTACCTAATGGGTCATGTTAGAGATTGAAAACTGGTAAGGAAGAAAAGTGAAATGGAAAAAGGGAATATAAAGTGGAGGGGAAGAGGCCGGACGTGGTGGCTCATGCCTATAATCCCAGCACTTTGGGAGGCCAAGGTGGGCGGATCACTTGAGGTCAGCAGTTTGAGACCAGCTTGGCCAACATGGTGAAACCCCGTCTCTACTAAAAAAATACAAAAATTAGCTGGGTGTGGTGGTGGGCACCTGTAGTCCCAGCTACTCAGGAGGTCAAGGCAGGAGAATGCGTGAACCTGGGAGGCAGAGGTTGCAGTGAGCCAAGATTGCGCCACTGCACCCCAGCCTGGACAACAGAGCAAAACTCTGCCTCAAAAAAATAAAAAGTAAATAAAAATAAAGTGGAGGGGAAGGGATGAAATTCAGGTAGGATGGCAAAGGAAGGCCTCAACGAGAGAGTGACTAAGGAAGTGGAGGCCAGAGCCATGCAGATAGCATGAATGTGAGGCCAAGGGAATGTTAGAATGTGAGGCCAAGGGAACAATAAGTGCTAAGGCCCAGAGGCAGGACTGTGCCTGGTGTGTTGTGTGTTACTCAATAAAGGAATTGTTTTTCTCCTGAATTACTTAGAAGAAGAAAAAAAAATGCTTCAAGCTTCTGTTTTACTTTGTCTGTTGAAAACCAACCTGAAGATTCCAGGAAGAAAGCATAGAAGTCACCATTCAAACTGCAAATAAGAGGCAGCAGCATTCATGAACAAAGGAAAGCTGCAGGAACATTTGAGATACAGGTAAGGGTCACCCAGCTTCACTTAACTGTGAAAGTAAGGTAATCGGCCAGGCGCGGTGGCTCACGCCTGTAATCCCAGCACCTTGGGAGGCCGAGGCGGGCAGATCACGAGGTCAGGAGATCGAGACCATCCTGGCTAACAAGGTGAAACCCCATTTCTACTAAAAATACAAAAAATTAGCCAGGCGTGGTGGTGGGCACCTGTACTCCCAGCTACTCGGGAGGCTGAGGCAGGAGAATGGCGTGAACCCGGGAGGCGAAGCTTGCAGTGAGCCGAGATAGTGCCACTGCACTCCAGCCTGGGCGACAGAGCAAGACTCTGTCTCAAAAAAAAAAAAAAAAAAAAAAGGAAAGTAAGGTAATCTGTTTCTGCTTCCAACAGCTCCATTTGGAATCGAGATTAAATATACACTTTAATTATACTAGCAAACAGCTGATTACAATTCTCAGTTGAGTGCTCTAAGAGAAATGGGAAAGAAATCTGCAATTTGAGATCCAGTGCCTTTGAATAACAAAAAGCATACGTTCTTTGTAACTGAATACGTACACCACCATGTTTAAAATATTAAGATAGAAACATATTAAGGTAAAAATTTTTCCTTGTCATACTAGTTGCAGCTATTCATTGAAACTACAACTTTGTATTTCTCTTAGGCTGGAGTGTAGTGACACAATCAAAGCCCACTACAACCTTGAACTCCTAGGCTCAAGGAATCCTCCTGCCTCAGCCTCCCAAGTAGCCGGGACTATAGGCATCCACCACCATGCCCAGCTAAGTTTACTTTTGAGTTTTGTAGAAACAGAGGTCTCACTATGTTACCCAGACTGGTCTCGAACTCCTGGTCTCAAGCAATCCTCCCACCTTAGCCTCCCATAGTGCTGGGATTATAGGTATGAGCCGCCATGGCCAGCCTCATTTTTATATTTGTTGGAAAAATAATATCAATTAACAAATGTTAATTAATCTTTTCTGCTATAATAAGGAACAGTTTGGGGAAGAGAGAAATCACTAATCAAATATATTGTGTAGGTTTTTATTTGCAGGAAAATTTGGAAATGTTTTCCTTCAAGAGGTAACTTTACAAAACATTTTCTCTTGATCTGTTTCTCTTTTCTAACTTAGTTTTATAGTTAGTTTGAAACTAGCATGTTGCATTTGAATTTAACCACTGTCCTCCTTTATCATAACAATCTTAAACTATTATTTAACTTGTTTCTCAGACCACACTGTGAACCTCTTGGGAATAAGGACAGTATCTTCTTCCTATTTGTCATGTCAGGAGTCTAGCATAACTATTAGCTACAAGTAACAACTCAAAATGATTTTTAAAACAAGAAGACTAGAAGGAGGTGTTTCTAGGTTTGAATAATTCTTCAATTTACTTCCATTTCTTGTTGTTGATTTAAGAATCACAAGGTTCATAAATTTGGAGTGGAGAGCTTTATTTGTTGTAAAAGGTTGCAGCCTGCAGGCTGGCCATCCCACAATCTGGGAAGCATAGCCTCTGTCAGAAACCGGAAGCAGGCATTTTAAAGAAGGAAGAATGAGACGGATTGGCTAAGTGTACATATTCAATAGGTTATAGTGCCTCCTTTTCGTGAAAAAAAAAAAATATATATATATATATAGATATCTATATATATATTCACAAAGGCAGACACTCACATGCACAATAAGCAAACATGCATATTATATATGTCCCATGTTCACTTTGGGGTGGAGATTTAACATTTACATGCATTAAAATTAAGCTATATACTTCAAAAGGTGAAACCGAAGACACAGAGGCATCCTGTGTGCATCCTCTGTAAATCAGCCACAACCAATCCATGGTGGTCACTTACCAGAAAGGAATGCTGGTCAGTTGTATTGTCAAAACCACAAAAAAAGGAGTCCAGCAAGTCTTTCAAAAGGAATAGTTCCTGTTTAACTCAGGAAAGAAAGTCTAAAGGCAATTAGCAAGGGAAGAAGTATAATGAGGTATGTCTGACCGCCTATCCTGTCATGGCTGGGAATTTAGTTTTTAAGGTTTCTCTGGGGTCCCCTTGGCCAAGGGGGGGTCCATTCAGTTGGCTGCGGGGCCTAGGATTTAATTTCTATTTCTCACTGCTCTGCTGTGCACAGCAGACCTAGTTGTCTCCTCAAACTATCTCCCTCCCCTCAGAGGACAAATATGGCCACCAATGTTCCAGGCCTTACATGGAGACATGACAATGCCCAGCACCAGAAGATAATTAGTTATTTCTGAATACAACTTTTATAAGATGGTAGGAAAAGTCTATTCCAGAAGCCCCTCTGCAGACTTCCCTACATGTCCTATTGGCTAGAAATGTGTCACAGACATGTTGATGAAAAATGCCAAACTGTGTAAAATATTTGAAGAGGTTTATTCTGAGCCAAATGTAAGGACAATGACCTCAGGAGGTCCTGAGAATACGTGCCCAAGGTGGTTGGGTTACGCTTGATTTTACACACTTTAGAGAGACAGAAACTACAGGCAAAACCATAAATCAATATACATAAAGTTTATATTGGTGTGGCCTGGAAAGGCTTCTCAAAGTTGGGGGGTGCAGGGGGAGGGTTCCAGGTCATAGGAGGATCCAAAGATTTTCTGATTGACAATTGGTTGAAAGAGTTAAGTTTTGCCTAAAGAGTTCAAATCAGCAGAAAGAAAGTCTTGTAGTTAAAATAAGGGGGGTTATGGGAGCCAAGGTTCATGTTATGTAGATGGAGCCTCCAGGTAGCTGACTTCAAAGGGAATAGATGGTAAATGTCTCTTATCAGATATTTACCAGTTAAATCTCTCCTGGATCAGGAAAAGATATGGAAAGGGAAGAGGATTCTCTAGAGAAAGTAAATTTTTCCCACAAGAGACAGCTTTGCAGGGCCATTCCAAAATATCTCAAAGAAATATATTTGGGGGTAAAAATACTTTGATTTCCTTTAGGGCCTGTTATTTGTCATGTGATGTGACCAGAGGCAGTTTGGAGTTGGTATCTTATTGCTATAAAGAGTCTGTTCTGTCAATCTGAGGATTGCTATTTTAATGTTAACACTGGTCAGTTGTGCCTAAACTCTACTTCCTTCATAACCTGAACTAGTTTTTCAGGTTTCTTTGGAATCCCTTGGCCAAAAGCGGGTCCATTTAGTCAGTTGAGGGGGGTTAGATTTTATTTTTGGTTTATAGCCCCATCTCTGACAAAGAAAAGGGGATAACCAAAACCTGTTACGACCATTTGTGATTCACCCCATGGAGGTGGGTTTAGAGTTGAGGCTGGGACTAGACTTCCCTGAAGTTTATGGCAAAGAGAACCATGCAGAGAAGAACTGAGAAAAAAAAAACCTTTATCTGAGGGATGTGAATCTTTAAAAATTATCAAGCCCATTGAGACAGCAATCACATTCTACTCCCCTGCAACCACCTGTTTAGCTATGTATTCATCTCTTAAAACTGCTTGCTATTGCCACAAGTAGCTATAAGTGTACCTAATAATGTAGCACCAGACACCATAAGCCACACTTTATAGTTGAACAATGTATAGCAAATCAATAGCTTATGTTATTTTAATATACATTCTTGGCAATGGAACTGCCTCTTCTTTCCCTTTAAAATTCTACTTATAACTGCTGCTAACTGGAGTGCATATTCATGGCAACTTGAATCTGTGCTCCCAGGCTGCAATCTTCCAACTTGACCCAAATAAACTCTCTACTTATATTAATTTTGTCTCCACTTCTTCCTTTAGGTCAACAGAACAAAATTGGAATCCGATTATGTAGAAAAAATGGGGAAATTGTAATTAGACAACAGACTACAATGTCTGCTACACATAAGTACTCAGAACGTTATAATCAATTAATACATGTTTGTTGGATAAATGAATGGATTTCCAAGCAAAGAAAACATAAGGAGGCTAGGAGGTCCAAGATCAAGGGCCTGGCAGATTCAGTGTCTGGTGAAGGCCAACTTCCTGATTCATAGACAGCCATTTTCCCCCGTGTCTTCACATGGTAGAAGAGGTAAACAGCTTCCTCAGACCTCTTTTGTAAGGGACTAATTCCATTCATGAGGGTAGCCCTTATGACTTAATCACCTCCAGATGCCATCACCTTCAGGGGTAAGATATAAGGAATTTAAAGAGACACCGTAATTCATAAACTATATATTTTGTCAACCTTAAATGATGAGATTCAGAAAATATGATTAAGTATAGAGTTTACTCCAGCCCAAAGCTTGAGAATGACCTTCTGATGAATAGCAGTTACAAGTGGGGTGTAAGGAAAAAAGAAGAGGCAATTCCTAAATTGTTACCAGGAATTTACATTGAAATAACATAAGCTCTTGATTGGCTATTCATTTTTTGTTTGTATCACAAAGTTCAGGAACATAAAGATAGTGGGTGAGGCAGCTAGACAGGAACAAAATGCTTTTACACAGTTGCCCCTGGGCATGGGTTGGAAGAGGCATGACTGAAGTTCCATACTCATGACTCTCTGGGCCTAAGAGAGTCATTTTGCATACCTCACATAGCTCAGACTACTCTGAGCTATTTTTCTTTTCTCATAAGAGAAAATGAGTATGCCATTTGTGATTTTGTTTCTTCTCAACTCTAGATTGATCCTTCATTGCCTGCTCTGTTAAAATAGAGCTAGGTCCTTTAAGTAATTTTTCTTTACCAGATGGCATGATGGTAAACTTTGTCAGTGGACAGCACTGGAGAGACATTGCAAAAGAAAAAGGTTTCCTTCCTGGTGGGCATATGTTCCCTCTGCAGGCTCCTGCACCCAGGGCTGCTTTTCTGGGTCCTACTAAATGGGCAACTTCAACATTGTCCAGCCAGGTCCTGCAACACATGTACCTTCATCAGCCTTTGGTTCCTGCAGTGCAGAGCAGCAACAGCACCCAGTGGCCAACAGTTTCCTTCCCACCACACCCCACTCCTCCCTCAGGCAATTTTGCTACCGAGTGCCCGCATTGAGACACCTCACCATGAACAGCTTTCCCAGAAACCTAAGAGGAAGATTTCTGCAAAGTTCCAGAAGGAAGATTTCCAGCAAGTTCTGTCAGCATGGCACTACAGTAACTTCTCTGCCATTCAGTGAGACACAGCTGTGTCCTCTTCAACAAGGTCTGGATCTCAATCCTGGGGGGCCTCTTCCTTGGATGCTCTAGCTCAGCCCCAGGGAGGAGTAGCTGTTATTCCTGTTGTCTTAGTCAGTTCAGGCTGCTATAACAAAACATCATAAACTGTTGGCTTATAAACAAGAGAAATTTGCTGGGCATGGTGGTTCACGCCTGTAACCCCAGCACTTTGGGAGGCCAAGGTGGGCAGATCACCTGAAGTCAGGAGTTCGAGACCAGCCTGCCCAACATGGTGAAACCCTGTCTCTACCTAAGATACAAAAATTAGCCGGGCGCAGTGGTGGGCGCCTGTAATTCCAGCTACTTGGGAGGCTGAGGCAGGAGAATCACTTGAACCCAGGAGGCAGAGGTTGCAGTGAGCTGAGATCGCACTATTGCACTCCAGCCTGGGCAACAGAGTAAGACTCTGTCTCAACAGAAAAAAAAAAACCCACAAGAGAAATTTATTTCTCACAGTTCTGGAGGCTGGGAGGTCCAAGATCAAAGGTCTGGCAGATTCAGTGCCTGGTGAGGGCCAACTTCCTGATTCATAGACAGCCATCTTTCCCCGTGTCTTCACATGGTAGAAGAGGTAAACAGCTTCCTCAGACCTCTTTTGTAAGGGACAAATTCCATTAATGAGGGTAGCCCTCATGACTTAATCACCTCCCAAGTCCCCATCTCCAAAGTCACCACCTTCAGGGTTAGGATTTCAACATATGAATTTTGGAGGAAAATAAACATTCAAACAATAGCACCTATATTCTTTAGAGGTGTCTTTGCTTCTTACTAGCCAATCCCTTGTTACTCCAGTCCTCAGTTATAGTTAATAATTCTTTATATTAAACTTTTCCTGTTCAAATAACTGTGGTCTCTATCTCTTGTGGTTTCTGTATCAGATTGGACCTTGACTGAGACAGAGAGTAATAGCAAAGAATCCCAGGCCCCACTATAAACTCAGAAAAATGATTTAGATAAGATCAGATTGATTTCACTTTCAGTTCAACACATAATTATCTACATCAGCAGATCTCAAACTTTTCTGTCTCGGTACCATTTTACACTTTTAAAAACTATGGAGAAGCTTAAAGAGCTTTTGTTTATGTGGATTATATTTATCAATATTAAGAAATTAAAACTGAGAAAATTTTAAAACACAAGATACATAAGCACACATTTCATTAGGCATCAGATCAATGATATCATTACATATCCATGTGGCATCTGGAAAACTCCATCATACACTCATGAAAGAAGGAGACTGAAAAAGGCAAATAATATTTAAACCTTGTTTTTAAATAGTTTTGACCTTGTGGACCCCTTGAAATGGTCTCAGATACCCCCGGAGGTACCTGGATCACACTTTAAGAACTATTGATCTAAACTAACTTTATATAAACACAATAACTAAGACCTATGAAGGGAAAATATAGAAAATATGGCCCTTGCCCTCTCAGAACTGCTTAGTTGAAGATATAGAGTATATATTCATGAAAGAGTAAAATAACAATTCAATTCTGTATGTAATAAACTATCAGTAAGTTCTATCATTCAGAAAAGTGCTGTAGTTCAGGCTGATAACAGGCTGGAGCTCAGCAAAAAAAAAAAAAAAAGAAAGAAAGAAAAAAATGGCTTTCATTTTATAAAATTCACCCTCCTTATACAGTAGTTACAAGGAGAAAAAACGTTTCCTTTATGTACAAACCTAAGTTCCAGAACAAGCTGAAGATCTCTCAAAACACAGCAATGATTGGCTAAGACACTAAACACAGCCACAGAGCTAAGGAAGAGAAAAGAACCAACACTAAGAATCTGAAAGACTCCATAAGATGAAGCCCTTTCATAGTGAGTCTTTAGTTACATTGATATAAGGAAACTTGTCCAGGTATGGTGACTCACATCTGTAATCCCAGAGCTTTGGGAGGCCCAGACGGGAGGATCCCTTGAGGCCAGGAGTTCAAGACTAGCCTGGGCAACATAGTGTAGACCCCCATCTCTACCAAAAAAATGTAAAAGTCAACTGGGCATGGTGGCACACACCTGTAGTCCTAGCTACTTGAGAAGCTGACATGGAAGGATCACTTGAGCCCAGGAGTTTGAGGCTGCAGTGAGCTATGATTGCACCACTCCACTCCAGCCTGGGTGACAGAGCAAGACCCTGTCTAAAAATAAGTAAATTAGTCTTGGTGTGGTGGCTCACACCTATAATCCCAGCACTTTGGGAGGCCAAGGTGGGTGGATCACTTGAGGTTAGGAGTTTGAGACCAACCTGGTCAACAGGGTGAAACCGTGTCTCTACTAAAAATACAAAAAAAAAAAAAAAAAAAAAAGTCAGATGTGGTAGGGCACACCTTTAGTACGAGCTACTCGAGAGACTGAGGCAGAAGAATCGCTTGAACCCTAGAGGCAGAGGTTGCAGTGGGCCAAGATCATGCCATTGCCCTCCAACCTAGGTGACAAAATGAGACTCCATCAAAATTAATTAGTTAAAAAATATATAAGAAACCTAAACTCTATAAACTAATGTTTCTTGCTTTAATCATTTTTCTTTATATATTTTTGATCTTTCAATTTCTTTTTATTCCTGCCTGTGGCCTCTATGAATAATTTCTAATGTGTCTTGACTGAACTAAGCAGAAAGAAGACTTGTTTACTTCTAGGCGAGGAGAGTTAGGGAAGTAAGAATACCCCTAGATAAATGTGTACTGGTGGCATCAGTTAATGCTGTTGGAAAACAGGGCAATGAGGCCTAGAGCAGGAGCGAAAAAAGAGGAGAGGTAGATGCTTAGTAGACAGAGAGAAGCTGCAGTAAACTCAGCTGCCCTAAGGCCAGTCTGAGCATGTGATACATTCAAAGTAAGCTCAAATTCAATTGCAAAAAGTTTGGAAAGATGAAAATTTTTACTAAAAATCTCACAGAAGTGCCGAGGGAGGAATTGTATGCATATTAACACAGCAAAACTTCCCAAAAATCCTCTTTACCGGTCTTTTTCCCTAAAGTTTTCCTGAAAACCTGCCCAAATAACTTCTCCAAATAACTTCACCAAACTCTCAAGGTTATTCCATTTTCTCATACTCACCCTTCTCTCCCTCCCCGCAATCCCGCCCCCACCCTACCATCGAGGCCGTTTACCTTCCTTGGCTATTACTTCAAGACCTTTCCCCCAACACACAAAATAATAATTTAACCTTCTTCTTTGTTTTTGTTTTGTTTGTTTGTTTTGTGTGTGTGTGTGTGTGTGTGTGTGTGTGCGCTTGTGGCTTTTTTGTTTGTTTGATTTTTGGGGGGGGGCGGTTTGAGACAAGGTCTCACTCTGTCACCCAGGCTGGAGTCCAGTGGTGTGATTTCGGCTCACTGCAGCCTCAAATTCCCAGGCTCAGGTAATCCTCTTGCCTCAGCCTCCGGAGTAGCTGGGACTACAGGTGTGCATCACTAGGCCTGACGAATTTTTACAA